>NC_000001.11:186309587-186934587 GCF_000001405.40 Homo sapiens | reverse complement strand
AAGATAGAGTAGAAGTATACATATATGTGTGTGTGTGCACATTTAAAATCCTTTTAATTAATCTCTCTGTATATATATATATGTGCACATTTAAAATCCTTTTAATTACTCTCTCTGTGTATGTATATATATATATATATATATGTGCACATTTAAAATCCTTTTAATTACATTTTACAGGACTTGTTTACTGACAGGGGAATGTGAGAAGATATTGCACCAAATCTATAACCAAAGCAATGACTATATCTCTAATCAAGCACACACATACACAATTATATCCCCAAATCAGCACTCGAAGTCTAGTCTTGCTTTATTAGATGAGTTTAAGAAAGTAAGCTTCTTCCAGTTGTCAGTGATGGACAACAGGATGTAATAAACAGTGAGTACAAAGAAAGAACACCACTCAAAGAATAATAACAAAATGATTGAGTAGGTGAACTAATGTAAGGGTCCAAGATTTTCTAACACATTACTCATTAAACAGGCAGATGCCTGCTCTTTCCTTCAAGGGAAAGAATAATGATGGGCTACACCCTTCCTTCAGAAGAAATAAATCATTTTGAGGGTACATATAGAGAAGATGGCAATGATGGCTCTAAGTTTTTGTTTCATGACTAAATCTGATTCAAAACATTTAAGAAACTGTGGATGATTTAAATGTGAAATTCCCTGTAAAATATATAGATGTCCCAGAAAAGAGTGTGGTTTAGTAGAAAGAACTCAGAATGACAGATCAAAAGCCTGAGTTTATATGCTAGCTCTACTAGTGATGTTGGACAAATCATTTGGCTTCTAAGTCAAATTTTCTTCAGCATAAAAATGAATAAATTCATACCCATCTCACAAGATAAAATGACACAGAAACTTTAAAATGCTAGACATATATAATACGATATTCTGATAGATGAGTTTGCCATGGCTGAATGACTAAAAAGGCCTTGTAAGTCCAAGGCAGATCTTTAGTAATAAGATGATACTCTTATTTGAGACATGTGAGCAAGGACTTTTCATTTGATTTTCAATGTGCTTATGTGAGGTAAGCAAACCAAAAAGTATGTAATATCTTCTTGGAAAATGTTTTATAAATATATTTGTGAAAACCTACAGGGTACAAGTATTATACATATGGATGCTTTAAGTCTCCACCTAAATTTAAAAGACAAATTTCATATTTAGTTAGATGAAAATCAATGAAATATATTATATTTCTATATTCAAAAAAATTGTTTTCTTTGTTCTGTATACTATGGTATCTTGCATCTTATTCTATTTGCCCTAAAGAAGAAAATGAATATGTAGTGAATCATGTAGACTTAGACATGTTCACTGAAGGACTACAAATCAGCAAATTATAAGAAGATTAAATTAATTATGGGTGGAGTATGTTGTTCCACTTCTATTTTTATCTAGAACTATTTTCAATTAGTCTTTTTTATTTCATGTTTTAACTACATTTTAAGTTACAAAGTGGCTTAAAAGAAGTAAATTTGCAACAAAAAGTTATTATTAAGTATGGATTTGTCTTTAAAAAATCTTTTAAAGCAGATTGTGGCATCAAACTGGAAAGTTTCAGTAATTTAAATTAATGATCAATTTTCTAAATCCCCTTTTCTCTTCTAGTGCTTGAGTTAGATAAATCCTAAATATTTAAAGTTATAAAACTAAAATTAAAAATGTATACTAACCAGGTGGAGCCAGAAAGACCAGCAACGTAGGTAGCACAATCCAGAATTCCTGATTCGTATAATGCCTTCATCACACCAGAGAATCCCACCATGGCTCGGAAACCCCCACCTGAACCCAATATGGCTACCACAGGCACCTGAAACGATGCAACAGAGAGATTTGTACACAAAGTAAAAATCATAAAATACAGTTCCCTTTAGTCTCAATCTTTATGTTATACATCCCATATTTTGTCACAAAGAAGTGTAAGTTAACTTCATACTTTAGTAATGCCTAATTTTTTAAAAGAAGAAAATAAGGCCGGGTGCAGTGGCTCACATCTGTAATTCCAGCACTTTGGGAGGCCGAGGCGGGTGCATCACCTGAAGTCAGGAGTTCGAGACCAGCCTGACCAACATGGTGAAACCCCATCTCTACAAAAAACACAAAATAAAAAGTAGCTGGGTGTGCTGGCGGGTGCCTGTAATCCGAGCTACTTTGGAGGCTGAAGCAGGAGAATTGCTTGAACCCAGGAAGCAGAGGTTGCAGTGAGCCAAGATCGTGCCATTGCTCTCCAGCCTGGGCAACAGAGCAAGACTCCATCTCAAAAAGAAAAAAAAAAAAAGAAAAAGAAAAGAATGTTTCATATAAGAAAATAAAAAAAGCAATGTCTATTAGAAAAAAGATATCATTAAAATGACCAACTTACTCTATTTAATAATAACAATAATACTCTATATTTGTTCAACATTTTGCAAATTTTTGGCTTGCTTTCAGGGACATTGTCTTATTTAACTCTCTCAGAAATCATGTAAGGTGAGCAGAAGGAAAGTATTTGCTGGTTTTGCAAATGAAAGTTATATAATGATGATGTTTCTTGTGTAAGATCTACCAGCTGGTAATTCATAGTTGAGTAAGCACCTTGACTTCAGGTTACATTTACAGAGAGCATCTTTAACATCTGGTGACCGATCTGATGTTAGCAGTAAAAGAGAGGAAGGTGGGTGGTCAGACTTAGGGTTTCTAGCTTTGCTCTTAAGCAGATGATGCTATCATTACCCAGAACAAGGATCCCAAGGCATGAATTTAGGTGAAGGAAGAAACAGTGCACTCAGTCTTACAAATGCTGAATATACAACATGAATGCATTGTGTTTCCAGTATTGGCACCTGATCCCTGAGTGGCCACTTACCAATATGATGTATACATATATTCATGGAATGATTATTTTACAACCAGAAGGACCAAAAAGATTGTATAGTCATAAGATATAGTAGTTGTAAGGAAGCCAGATAAGAACTTAGAACAAAGAGGAAGGATTTGAATTAAGCCTTGAAAGGGGGTTGAGTATATAGGCAGTGTAATAATAATAATAATAATAATAATAATAATAATAATAATAGCAAACATTTTTGCTTTAAATTGGGAAAGATAAATCTGCAGAGGCCAGATCTTATTAGAGTTAGAGAAGTGAACAGTAGAACACCTAGGACTAAATTCCTAACCCAGAGCTGTACTCTAACAAGTGGTCTTAAATCAAAAAACACTAGGCATCAAACTACATGCAAACTTGAAACCTCATAACGAAAGCACACTCTACAAGTGCAGTGCAATGGAAGGATCTAAATGGCTTTGAATCTGTATGTGTATATATGTGTACATGTGTGTGTATGTGTGTGTATCTTTATGTATCTTTATATAGATGTATATGGGTTTGTATAAATACCAAGCTCTCAAACAAAGATTTTAAAATTGTAAATAAAGTAAAATATGTAAGTCCTTAAAAGCTTGTCTGGAGGGGGAAATAAAGTTAAGGTAGGAAACTAAAGTAGGTTATACAGAGGATGAGTAGAATACAATAAAGTATTAGGTGCAGCAGTAGTTGTAAGGAAGCTAGATATAAAGTTAGAATGAAGAGGAGGGATTTGAATTCAGTCTTGAAAGGGGGTTGAGTTTACAGGCAGTATAATAACAATAATGATAACAATAAAAGCAAACATTTAACATTGCTATGTGCTCAGTTCTGGGCCTAAGGTTCAGGCCAAGATAGGCATAAGCAGGAAAGGGTATGCAATTTGGGTACCAAAATACTTGGGGTCTTAGTATTGTAGCAGGTGTATATTAGGGAGTTGGGAAAATAGGATTACGAAGGGCATTGAGGAAAAACAATTTCAAGATTAATACTGTAAAAGATAGGTTGTTCTTATTCAAAAATTATATGGGGGCATTTGAGTCTATAGGTATGGTTAATTGTAGCATTGTATTATTAAAAATAACCAACCCAATACAAATCACGTAGTTTAGAATAGAGAAAAAAAGTTCTTAGTAACAGATTATACAATTCATTTCAACACACAGCAAACAGCCTGCACTGTTATTCAGCAAGAGATTTAATAAGAGAAACTGGAAAAATGAACATAAGAGCTTCTCTAATCCTGAAAAAACAACTTCCCAGATGTCCTTCTCCAAATGCCAACAGCCCGACACATACTGAAGATGCTTATGGTATGTTGCTTGGAATTTTCTGGAAACAGCCTCCTATTAAACTAGAATTCATATGTTAGGTAACCTGCTGTTCTCATTATTGCTTTGAAGGAATTCTGAAGGAGGTTTTCAGGTCAGGGTTTTAATTCAGATACTTCTGTTGTCATCAGGGGAAGGAAAATGTTCAGATATTTGTACGTAAAGTTGAATAATCAAATAATTGGCTGTGCAGATTATAATTACCTTCATTTGTTAAGCATGCATTTACATTATACATTTAATTTTCATAACCTGTCAGTACATACTATTACTCCGTTTGTTTGTTTGTTTGTTTTGTTTTTGAGATAGGGTCTCTCTCTCTCTCACCCAAGCTGGAGTCTCTGTCACTCAGGTTGGAGTGTACTGGCATAGAGACGGGGTTTTGCCATGTTGCCCAGGATGGTCTTAAACTCCTGGGCTCAAGGGATCCACCCACCTTGGCCTCCCAAGTAGCTGGAACTAAAGGTGCACCACACCTGGCTAATTTTTGTATTTTTTGTAAAGACAAGGTTTCACCATGTTGCCCAGGCTTGTCTCAAATTCCTGGGCTCAAGGGATCTGCCCACCTTGCCCTCCCAACTTGCTGGGATTATAAGCATGGGCTACCACACTGGGCCTATAACCCCATTTTTAAAAATAAAGCAATTTAAACATAAAGAAGATTTTTTTTCCAATGTCACAAAGCTAGAAAGTGGTATTTGGAGTCAAAGTTGGGTCTGCCACATAACAAAGCTATTATTTCACTATGCTCTACTTTGTCTCTCCAAACAAATAGCCCCTGCTTTTCCCCAACTAATGCTGTGTCCTAAGGCCAAGAAAACACTCTGTGGGCTCAGTTTACTTATATATAAGAATATTGATCTTGATATATTGATATATAAAAATATTGATCCTGAAGCTTTTAGCAACTAGTAACATTCTAGATTCTGTAACACCTACAGAAACATGAATTATAAAACTATAAAATTGTAACTATGAACTATAAAAAAGAATGGGAAATTAGATGTGTCAAGAACATATTGTATGTGCCTTGCACTCTCTCATGGACACTTTCACACAATTTATTTCATTTAATCTTCCCAACTCTCAAAAGGAAGTCATTGTTTGTTTCATTTTTCAAGTGAGGAGTGCAGATAATACCTTGTCCATAGATAGATAGCTAATAAGTAATACAATCAAGATTTGAACTGAGGTATGTCTGGCATCAAAATTCCTTGCTCTTTCCTTTATCATTGCTCAGAAAGAAAGGGGTAACCTTTACGGAGAGAAACCATTGATGTTTGGTCAAACTATATTTCAAATTATGTATCACTTCAAATAATGTCAGGACAATTTTATGTAATAAACAAAGACTAAGTTTGGAGTTTTAATAGTCTTGCTCATTCTGAAATAATGTTCAAAGAAATAACACGAAAGTTATAAGGTTCAGCTGTTAGTCATGGCTCTAATTCTAAGAGAATCAAGTAAGTGCTGCTGAGAAGGTCTGGGGTTATATTTGGACCTAATATCACCAGTATTTAGATATAAATGATGTCAATAAATATTTCTCATACTTCATATGATTACAGGAAATGAGTTTTCATTTACCAAAAACCTTGCGTTTTGATTTAATTATCCTGGTACGCAAGCTTACTAACATTATTAATTGCCTCCCTTTCAAAAGAAAATTCTGAAGTATTCAAGAATATTTTTGTTTTTCATAGACAATTACATAAAAACATTTCTCTCCTTGGCCCCCCATATTAGTCAGGGTTTTTCAAAGAAACAGAACCAACAGGATGAGTAGATATACAGAAAGAGATTTATTATAATGAATTGTCTTACACCATTGTGGAGACCAGCCAAGTCCAAATCTGCAAAATGGGCTGGCGAGCTTCATACCCAGGAGAGCCTATGGTGCAGATGAAGCCCAAGGGAAGTCTGCTGGAGAATTCCCTCCTGCTCAGTGAGGCAAGTCTTTTTGTCATATTCAGGCCTTGAACAGATTGGATGAGGCCCACCCACATTATAATAGTAAGGATAATCTGCTTATTCAAAGTAAGCAAGAACACCGGCAGCCAATATAGCACTTGGTCTTATATGCTTCTCCATTGCTTCTGATATGGGACATTTGCTTGCCTCTCCCTGACCCTGTTTCCCTCACAGCTTACATTTCTCAGCGGTCAAGAGCTTTGGGCCCCTCAGAGTGCACCACCTTGCTGAGTGCAGTCTGGGTCCCTTGGATATCTAACCTGCTCTCTAGACCAGTTAGGCCAGTTTCCAGCTCTGTTTTATTCCTTGGCTGTTTATATCCCACCACTTCCTCAGATAAGAAAAATTCAGCTCCACCTCTTGATTCCTGAAACCTGACCTTTGCAAGCCCAGGCCTGCTCAGTTCATGTTCCTATACTCCACTAAAGGGAGCCCTCCACTGCCTGCCTTTCGACCTTTACCAACTGAAAGAAGAATAAAGATTGATAGCACAAAGTGCCATTGTCAGAATGAAGGTGGAAAGAGGCGAGGAAATATTCTCGATGAAGGAAACAACAGAAACATAGGAATGGAAATGCTTATTGACAACTCAAGGTTGATTTCTCTTATCTCCTTCAGAAGAAACTGTCTTGCTCTGCCTCTCCCTCCATGACTAGATGATCTGTCTTTCTCTAGACTTTCACTTAACTTATATGACAAGTACCAAGTGGCACTCGGAGAATTAATTACTTAAGGTCCATATTTTACTTCTATTTTCATCCAAAGCTGTCTATTTGTTTAAACTGAAATATGGTCCTTATTGTCTTCCTTAAGAAAAAGCATTATCTCTTTTACACTCTGATGACAAGAAGAATCTTTTCTTCTCTCATTTCTTTACTACTCTAATTCCAGATTTTACTCCCCCAACCAACCGCGTTATGGTATGGCTAGTTTTTAGGGGACATAGAGACTGGATAGTAACATTTCATTTCACAGACACAACTGTAATCTGAAAATTTTATCTGACCAGAAACTATTTTAGAACAAGAAAAGTTTAAAAAGTGGCTTCTGAACTATCAAAACACACCAAAAATCCCCATACACAAAGTCATATATCTTGCTCAAAGAAAAGATCTCAGCCCTCTTCTCATAAAGAAATTATATTAATTAGAGACACTGTTCTAACAGCAAGTTTGCTTATCAGATTTGAATTCCAGAGCAACAAAGTTGAAAGAGAAAAGGGCAGTGTGAAGAAATCACTTCAAGCAGCCAACACAGGGCACAGAACAATCGCAGCTGAATGCAAAGGAAGCAGGCCTGAGAATGCCCAAATTGGTTCAGTCTGAGCAAGAAATTACACATTTCAGAAAGATTTCTATCTACATAATCAAAATCAATAATTTTTTTCAAAAATCTTAGTACTTAAGAGAATAAACGCTTAGGCTTTAAAAAACCTTAACTATTTGACTAGTTCATTATACAGCCAGGAAAACTAATTTAAAAATTAGGCCATGGTAAATTTAACAATTATTGACCACGAGTGTTATGCCACAGAATGGCAGCACCCAAGAATATGTATAATATTACTGTTCTACTGAGTAACATTAAGTGCCCCTATACATTTTGCTGGACGCTTTATGAGCATTTGTACTTATCCCCTTGCCACAACAGGAGACATTATCATCATTTTACAAGTGACGCACAAAGGTAAAACAATGTTCCCAAATATATACTACCCAAATTCATTCAACATTTAATTCAACGTTGAGGTCTAAACTGGATACTGTCTGTATTGAGATGAATAGGACTGTTCTTGTTCATTGTACAAACTGCCACAACAGCCCACTCTTCCATACATTAAGGAGGCCAACTGGCCAGCACTGAACAGAAAGTGAAGACTTTGATAGGGGACAAAGGATGTGGAAAGTTAAGAGATCCAAGAAGTAACATAAAAATAGAAAAATGTTACTTTTGTTATGGGAATGGGTGGTACTGATAACTTCTAAGCTGATTATTTCTGCCAAGAGAAAACAGTGTGGGCTGAAACCAAAAAAAGCAACAACAAAAGTTTTAATTCAATAAATGACTTCCAAACACATGAATTTAATATTTTTTTGAAGGATAGCCCAGAGAAAAACCATGATTACCTCATTCCCCATCTGTTGCAGAAAAGTTATTTTACTGTCATTCGTATGAACATGAAGCAAAGTTATATTTTCCCAGGAAGACTTACTAATCCTTTCCACAAAAGGAGGAGTGACTAGAGGTGGCAGCAGAAACTTACTTTTTGAAAAGAAGAACCTAAGAAAAAATGCCAACCAATGTGTCCTACATAAATTTCTAACTCAAGAGTCTAAGCCAAGATATCATCAAAACCTTCTCCTTAACCGGTGTTTCCCTAGCAACCTGATACTCGTGTTCCTGTTTCAAAACCATGACCTCTCTCTCTAGCAAATTTACTCCATGCATGCAATGCCTAAATCTGTGCCCTCATGCATGCAACAAAATATTCACCAAGGATCTACCATACTAGGAACTATGCTAGGTGGTTGAAATATAGAGATGAATAACACAGATGTTGTCCTGGCCCTCATAAAACTTAAATTCTAATGGAGAAAACAGTCACAGTCACCAAATAAATATTTTTACAAGAATTTTTTTAAGTACAACCATGGGAAATGCTGAGAAGAGAATGTTCATATATGCCATAAGAGAGCATAACTGAGAGAACTAGCTTAGACTTAGGGGTAAAGAGGGAGGAGATGACTTGGGAGAGTCTCAGAAGAAATTACCTGTGTGCTCATTAAAGGATGGGAGAGTGTTAGTTAAAAAGGGGGTGAAGTGGAGACAGGGATTGTATAGGGGAAGCCTATTGCAGCAAGAGGGAGCGCTGTACAGGAGACCTCCAACCGGGGAAAGATTCTGTAGAGACACAGAACTAAGAGGTGCTTACTGGGAGGGAGTAAAGAAATTTGGGATAAACTGGCAAAAATGAAGCTAGAAAGAAGCTGTGGAGAAGAGTCTAAGAGCAGTGGAAGGATTTTAAACTTGGGATGGATAGAAATAGGTTTCTGTTTTGAAACATTCACTCTGAATTCATTGTAAAAAGAAAGTGGGAAGAGGGAAGACAAGTACAAGTCCTCTCAATACACAAACATATGTAAGTCCTCTCTATACAAGGCACAGAAAGAGACAAAACTTTGTGTTCAGATTTAGATAGGCTAAGTTTGAGATGCTGGCAGGAATACACGTAAAGAAATCAAGTAAGTTTGTAGATATTTAGGTCTGAAGCTCAGAAGAGAGGTTCTAAGTTGTTGATACACATGTGAAAGTCCTTAGCACACAGTTGTTGGGTGACATCATAGGCTAGAGAGAAATTTCTTTTTGTTGTTGTTGTTTGAGACAAGATCTCACTTTGTCACCCAGGCTGGAGTGCAGTGGCACCATCTTGGCTCACCGCAGCCTCTACTTCCTGGGTTCAAGTGATCCTCCTGCCTCAGCCTCCCAAGTAGCTAGGACTACAGGTGCGCACTACCATACCTAATTTTTTTGTATTTTTTGCAGACATGGGTTTTCACCATGTTGGCTGGGCCAGTCTTGATCCTCCCACCTTGGCCTCCCAAAATGCTGGGATTACAGGTGAGAGCAACCACACCCTGACTGAGAATCCTGGATTTAAATCCCAATTGCCTAGAAAAACGTATTTCTCATGGGGCATGGTGGCATGCACCCCATAATCCCAGCACTTTGGGAGGTCGAGGCAGGAGGATCATTTGAACCCAGGAAGTCAAGGCTGCCATGAGCCAAGATGGTGCCATTGCACTGCAGCCTGGATGACAAAGTGAAACCCTGTCTCAAAAAAAGAAAGAAAGAAATAGAATGAGGAGAAAGAGGACCTAGGACTATGACTTGAGGAATTACTATATGTAAGGAACGCTCAGATGAAGAAGAGCTGGTAAAGAACACCAAAGAGGCATGATAAAGACCGTGAAAAGGGAGTAAGTGAAGAGTAGACAATGTTTCAAAATGTAAGGAGACATCTGTCATTTGCATCTGCAAGGTTAGGTAAGATAGGGCAAGAACAAGATCCTGTGCATTTATTAGCACTGGTGTCTAAAGGAGGTAGAATGAGCTTGTATAGAAAATGTTGGAGACGTTTGTGAAGGTAAGGAGAGAAATAGAGCAGAAGGGAGGAGAGAATACAGAATCCAGAAAATGTTTTTTGTTCTTTATTTTCTTTTTATAACTGAGTTTAGAACATGTTTATATTTTTATAGCAAATATCCACACGGAGGTAGACGTTGACAATACAGGTTGAGAGTGATCTGGGAAAATCTGAATAATAGATATATTGGGGTATTCAAGAGGAGCTTAGGATCCATATCTGATGGGTATCTGCATTTGAAAGCAAAGGGAGTATATTCTCTATTGAACTACGAGGGAGGTTGCAAAAGACAGGCATCAGTTATGGAGTATGTCAATTTTATAGCAAGAAATGAAGGATTTGTCATCTCCTAACTTTTTATTTCTCTATCATTAGGAGACAAGTCTATCTGTCATGAGGGGAACAGGAAGTAGTCAGCCGTTAGCAGTAAAGAAAATAATTGTTGCAAATAACTAGAAAGCAATTAGGCAGGGAAACTCTGAGATTGCAAGGCACGTTCTCCCAAATAAAGTTGACAGTCATGACTTACAAGAAATATGAATTTCCTCCTTTTTCTTCTAGCAAGCTCATACCTCAAGGCATGGCCAACAGTCTTCAACTCTAAAAGAAATTTCTATCATCTCTACTGCAGAGGGTGAGTCATCCTCTTGCAATCACTTGCATCCCTCAGTTCACACCTCTTTATTAAGAACTTAACACATCATTGGTTTTGTTTGCTTAAATATCATTCTTCCAAACAAGGCTTTAAAATCACTAAGGAAGGTAACTCCTCAGGGCTAGCCATCTCAGCTTTATTCTTCTCTAGTGCCTAGCACAGTATCTCAATAAATTACAAATGTTAGAAATGAAAAGAATTTGTAATATCATTTTTCTGTTTTGAGGGTATACCAATACAAGGATGGTGACAAAAAGAAAAATGTTGTAGAATTGCTACCGAAAAGTTTTCTATATTAAAAGAAACACACATACACACACTAAAAACTTCAGAGAAGCTATAAATTTCTGAATAATATATGAAGAAGACAGTTTTTTCAAGAACTAATTAGCCTGACATGATAAACAACCACAAGTTCTAACAAGAGTCTATTATATTGACAAGCAAGATACAGGATTTGGCCAGGCATGGTGGCTTGTGCTTGTAATCCCAGTAAGGGAGGAGACCACTCCTCATATTGTCTTATGCCCAATTTCTGCCTCCAAAGAAAGAAGTAAAAACTAAAAGGCAGAAATGAAATCCACAAGCAGACAGCCTGGCACTACACCCTGGACCTGGTAGTTAAACATTGACGACTGACATAATTGGTTATGTTATCTATAGATTACAGACATTGTATAGAAAAGCACTGTGAAAATCCCTGTCCTATTCTGTTCTGTTCTAATTACCAGTGCATGCAGCCCCCCGTCACGTAACCCCTGCTTGCTCAATCGATCACAACCCACTCAAGTGGACCCCCTTAGAGTTGTGAGCCCTTAAAAGGGACAGGAATTGCTCACTCAGGGAGCTCAGCTCTTGAGACAGGAGTCTTGCCGATGCTCCAGGCTGAATAAACCCCTTCCTTCTTTAACTTGGTGTCTGAGGGGTTTTGTCTGAGGCTTGTCCTGCTACATTTCTTGGTTCCCTGACTGGGAAGCAAGGTGATTAACAGACGGTCGAGGCAGCTCCTTAGGTGGCTTAGGCCTGCCCTGTGGAGCATCCCTGCAGGGGACTCTGGCCAGCTTGAGCAAAGCAGATCCTGAGAGCACTCCTAGGTAGGCAACTGCCCCAGTGGAATGCCTCACCAGAGCAGCGCGTGGCAGGCCCCCGTGAAGGATCAACACAGTGGCTGAACACCAGGAAGGAACTGGCACTTGGAGTCTGGACAACTGAAACTTGGTAAGACTAGTCTTTGGAACTTGCCCACTCCATTTGAGTGGAAGCATGGCCTGATCACCCACGGCATGCCTGTACCGGCACTTTGGTTTTTGTTTTCAACTTGACTTGGATTGCTTGATACTTTGGGTCTGGTTTTGACCTGACTTGGATTTCTTGATACTCTGATTTTGGTTTTGATTCTGGTTTGGTGTAAACTGTAAAAGTGTGTGTGTGCCCTTTTTACCCGTTCTTTGTTTTGTGATGTGTGTGTGGTGTGAGCATGGTCTTTTGTCTCGAGGAAACACAGGTCAGGCACAAAGTAAGCCCACCCCACTAGGAACTATGTGGAAAAATTTCAAAAAGGGATTTAAAGGAGACTATGGAGTCACTATAACAACAGGAAAACTTAAAACTTTCTGTGAGATAGACTGGCCAGCATTAGAGGTGGGTTGGCCATCAGAAGGAAGCCTGGACAGGTCCCTGTGTCAAAGGTATGGCACAGGGTAACCTGTAAGTCAGGGCACCCAGATGAGTTCCCATATGTAAATTATTGGCTACAGCTAGTTTTGGACCCCCCACAGTGGTCAAGAGGACAGGCAGCAGCAGTACTAGTAGCAAAGGGACAGTTAGTTAAGGAAGGTTCTCCCTCCACCCACCGAGGGAAGTCGGGACCAAAAGTCCTGTCCGACCCAACTCCAGAAGAATCATGGCAGGAATTGGTATCAGCAGTACCCCCTCCTTATCAAAAGGAAGGGCTCCCCACTCCTGAGGCCACAGCACCTACACCTCCACCAGATAACCACACCCCTAGATCACACAGAGTAGACAGAAGAGGAAGTGAAGCCACAGGAGAAACTTCTCCGTTGACAGCTTGCTTATGGCCCAAGACTGGAATCCAAATGCCCCTGAGAGAGAAGCAATATACTGGGGTAGATGAGGACAGACACATGGTGGAAAGGCGTGCCTTTGTGTATCAACCTTTCACCTCTGCTGACCTCCTCAATTGGAAAAATAATACTCCATCTTACACTGAAAAGCCTCAAGCTTTAATTGACTTGCTCCAAACTATTATACAGACTCATAATCCTACTTGTGCTGATTGCCACTAGCTGCTCATGTAACTTTTAAACACAGATGAAAGGCAAAGGGTGCTCCAGGTGGCAACTAAGTGGCTACAGGAGCACGTCCTAGCTGATTACCAAAACCCCCAAGAATATGTAAGAATTCAGCTGCCAGGAACAGACCCCCAATGGGACCTGAACAAGAGACCAGACATGGAAAGGCTAAGACGGTACCGTGAGGCATTAATAGAAGGTCTAAAGAAAGGGGCTCAAAAGACTACAAATGTAAATAAGGTCTCTGAGGTCACCCAAGGAAAAGAGGAGAGTCCAGCACAATTCTATGAAAGACTGTGTGAGGCTTACCCTATGTACACTCCTTTTGATCCAAATAGCCCTGAAAATCAGCACATGATTAACATGGCCTTAGTTAGTCAAAGCGCGGAAGATATCAGGAGAAAATTGCAGAAACAGGCTGGGTTTGCGCATATGAATACCTCACAGTTACTGGAAATAGCCAATCAAGTATTTGTGAATAGAGATGCAACAAGCCGCAGAGAAAGCCATAAAGAAGGTGAATGCCAGGCTAGGCGAAACGCCGACTTACTGGCCACGGCCTTTAGGGGAATTCCCCTGAAAGGAGAGGAAAAGGGGGGTTCTGGGAAGAATACCCAGTCTAATCACCCACGCTTGCAACCTAACCAATGCGCCTACTGTAAGGAAATAGGACATTGGAAAGATAAGTGTCCCCAACTGAAGGAAAAGCAAGGTGATTCGGAACAAAAGACCTCAGATAAAGATGAGGGAGCTTTGTTTAATCTGGCTGAAGGGCTACTGGACTGAAGGGGACCGGGCTCAAGCGCCCCCAAGGAGCCCACGGTCAGGATTACAACTGGGGGCAAGGACATTAAGTTTTTGGTCGATATTGGTGCTGAACATTCAGTAGTGACCACCCCAGTCGCCCCCTTTGATATAATCAGAGCAACAGGAGTTTCCACTAAGCAGGCTTTCTGCCTACCACGGACCTGCTCGGTGGGGGGACATGAGATAGTTCACCAGTTCTTGTGTATTTCTGACTGTCCCTTGCCCTTGCTGGGAAGAGACTTGCTTAGCAAGCTGAGAGCCACCATCTCCTTTACAAAACAGGGCTCTTTACAGCTAAAGTTACCAGGAACAGGAATTATCATGGCTCTTATGGTCAGTCCCCTGGGAAGAAGAAAGGGGACTTTTTCTAACCGAGCCAGGCCAAGAGATAAAACCAGCTCTAGCTAAGCAATGGCCCAAGTATGGGCAAATGATAATCCTCCGGGACTGGCGGTCAACCAAGCCCCCGTGCTCATAGACGTTAAGCCTGGGGCCCAACCAATTAGACAAAAGCAGTATCCGGTTCCCAGAGAAGCTCTCAAAGGAATCCAGGTTCATCGCAGGTGCTTGAAAGCCTATGGAATTATAGTTCCTTGCCAGTCTCCATGGAACACCCCCCCTCCTGCCTGTCCCTAAGCCAGGGACCAAGGACTACCAGCCAGTACAGGACTTGCGCTTGGTCAACCAAGCTACAGTGACTTTGCACCCAACAGTTCCTAACCCTTACACATTGTTAGGGCTGCTGCTGGCTGAGGACAGCTGGTTTACCTGTCTGGACTTAAAAGATGCCTTCTTTAGCATCAGACTAGCTCCTGAGAGCCAGAAGCTGTTTGCCTTTCAGTGGGAAGATCCGCAGTCAGGTGTCACTACTCAGTACACTTGGACCCGGCTTCCCCAAGGGTTCAAGAACTCCCCTACTATGTTCAGGGAGGCCGTGGCTTGAGACCTACAAAAATTTCCTGCCAAAGACCTAGGCTGCATCTTGCTCCTGTACGTGGACGACCTTCTGCTGGGACACTCCACGGCAGTCGAGTGTGCAAAAGGGATGGATGTCCTGCTTCAGCACCTGGAGGACTGTAGGTATAAGATGTCCAAGAAGAAAGCTCATATCTGCAGACAGCAGGTACGCTACCTGGGATTCACTATTCGGAAAGGGGAGCGCAGCCTGGGGTCAGAAAGAAAGCAGGTCATCTGTAGCCTACCGGAACCTGGAACCAGAAGGCAAGTAGGGGAATTCCTAGGAGCTGTGGGGTTTTGCAGATTATGGATTCCAAACTTTGCAGTTTTAGCCAAACCTTTGTACGGGGTTACAAAGAGGGGCGATTGGGAGCCTTTTGAATGGGGGCCTCTACAACAGCAAGCCTTTTGTAAGTTAAAGGAAAAACTTATGTCGGCCCCAGCCCTAGGACTACCAGATTTGACAAAGCCCTTTACACTCTATGTGTCAGAAAGAGAAAAAATGGCAGTTGGAGTTTTAACCCAGACTGTGGGGCCCTGGCCAAGGCCAGTGGCCTATCTCTCAAAACAACTAGATGGGTTTCCAAAGGCTGGCCACTATGTCTAAGGACCCTGGCAGCAACAGCCCTGTTAGCACAAGAAGCAGATAAACTAACCCTTGGGCAAAACCTGAATATAAAGGCCCCCCATGCTGTGGTAACTTTGATGACTACCGAAGGACATCATTGGCTAACAAATGCTAGATTAACCAAGTACCAAAGCTTGCCATGTGAAAATCCCCACATAACTATTGAAGTCTGTAACACCCTAAATCCCACCACCCTGCTCCCAGTATCAGAGAGCCCGGGCGAGCATAACTGTGTAGAGGTGTTGGACTCAGTCTATTCTAGCAGACCTGACCTTCGGGACCAGCCATGGGCATCATCAGTAGACTGGGAGTTATACATGGACGGGAGCAGCTTCATCAACTCACAAGGAGAAAGATGTGCAGGATATGCGGTGGTAACTTTGGATGCTGTCATTAAAGCCAAACTGTGGCTACAGGGCACTTCAGCCCAGAAGGCTGAGCTCATTGCTTTAACTCGGGCTGTAGAACTCAGTGAAGGTAAGACTGTAAACATCTACACTGACTCTGGATATGCCTCTCTAACCCTCCAAGTGCATGGAGCATTATATAAGGAAAAGGGCCTGTTAAACTCTGGGGGAAAGGACATAAAATATCAACAGTAAATTCTACAATTATTAGAGGCAGTGTGGAAACCTCAGAAGGTGGCAGTCATGCACTGCAGGGGACACCAGCGAGCCTCCACCTCAGTGGCCTTAAGAAACTCTCGACCTGATTCAGAAGCTCAAAAAGCAGCATCTACCCCTTACTGGGCATCGATAGCAGCCCCCTTACTCCCTCAAACACCTGACCTGGTACATACCTATTCTAAGGAAGAAAAAGACTTCTTCCACCCAGACAGGGGGCAAGTAATAAAAGGAGGATGAATCAGACTGCCAGATGGGAGGGTAGCTGTGCTGCAGTTGCTGGGAGCCACAGTCGTATTGGCCATGCACGAAACCACTCACCTAGGGCAAGAGTCACTTGAAGAATTGTTAGGCCGGTACTTCTACGTCTCACACTTGCCAGCCTTTGCCAAAGCAGTAGCACAACTGTGCATTACATGCCGACAGCACAATGCGAGGCAAAGCCCCACTGTTTCGCCCCACATACAAGCTTATGGAGCAGCTCCTTTTGAGGATCTTCAGGTGGATTTCACAGAAATGCCAAAATGTGGAGGTAACAAGTATTTGCTGGTTCTTACGTGTACTTACTCTGGGTGGGTGGAGGCTTATCCAACACGAACTGAAAAGCCCTACAAGGTAACCCATGTGCTTCTCCAAGATCTTATTCCTAGGTTTGGACTGCCCTTATGAATCAGCTCAGATAACGGGCCGGCATTTGTGGCTCACTTGGTACGGAAGACAGCAAAGGCATTAGGAATCACTTGGAAGCTACATACCGCCTACTGACCTCAGAGTTCCGGAAAGGTGGAGCGAATGAATCGGACTATCAAAAATAGTTTAGGGAAAGTATGTCAGGAAACAGGATTAAAGTGGATACAGGCCCTTCCTATGGTATTGTTTAAAATTAGATGCACTCCTTCTAAGAAAACAGGATACTCCCCTTAAGAAATACTGTATCATAGGCCTCCTCCTATACTAGGAGAGCTTCCAGGCACTTCCCAAGAGTTAGGTGAATTGAATTACAGCGACAGCTACAGGCTTTAGGAAAAATTACACAAACAATCTCAACTTGGGTAAATGAGAGGTGTCCCATCAGCTTATTCTCCCCAGTTCACCCTTTCTCTCCAGGTGATCGCGTATGAATCAAGGACTGGAATGTAGCCCCTTTGCGGCCACGGTGGAAAGGACCTCAGACCATCATCCTGAACACCCCCACAGCTGTAAAGGTAGAAGGAATCCCACCCTGGATCCACCACAGCCGTGTGAAACCTGCAGCCGCTGAAACCTGGAAGGCAAAACCGAGCCCGGACAACCCCTGCAAAGTGACTCTGAGGAGGACGACAAGCCCTGCTCCAGTCACACCCAGAAGCTGACTGGTCTATGCACAGCCGAAGCATGAGGAAAATTATCATGGGATTCATTTTCCTTATAATTTGGACTTGTATAGTAGACACTTCCACTGATTTTCCCTGCATGGAGGACTGCTCTCAGTGTATACATCAGGTTACCGAGGTAGGGCAACAAGTTAAAACAATTATTCTGTTCTATAGTTACTATGAATGCCTAGGAACTTTAAAAGGAACATGTTTATATAATGACACTCAGTACAGGTATGTAGCCCAGGAAACGACAGACCAGATGTGTGTTATGACCCCTCTGAGCCTCCCATGTCCACTGTTTTTGAAATAAGATTAAGGACTGAAGACTGGTGGGGACTCATAAATGATACAAGTAAAGTATTAGCCAGAACAGAAGAAAAAGGGGTGCCCAAACGCATAATCTTGAAATTTGATGCCTGTGCTATCATTAATAGCAATAAGCTAGGAAGGGGATGTGGCCATTTTAGTTGGGAAAAAGGCTATATGACCAAAAATAAGTACATTTGTCATGAATTAGGACTGTGTGGAAATGAATGTGGATACTGGTCTTGTGTCATTTGGGCCACTTGGATAAAAAAATGAAAAGGATCCAGTCCACCTTCAGAAAGGAAAGAATGACCCTTCCTGTACTAAGGGACAATGTAACCCCTTAGAGCTAGTGATAACCAATCCCCTTAATCCTCACTGGAAAAAAGGGGAGCGTGTGACCTTAGGAATCGACAGGGCCAGACTGGATCCTCGAGTAAATATCTTGGTTCGAGGAGGAGAAGTTTACGAACGCTCTCCTGAGCCAGTGTTTCAAACTTTCTATGATGAACTAAATGTGCCAGTACCAGAAATTCCAGGAAAAACAAGAAATTTGTTTTTGCAACTAGCCGAGTGTGTAGCCCAGCCTCTCAATGTCACTTCATGTTATGTCTGTGGAGGAACCGTAACAGGATATCAATGGCCATGGAAAGCCCGAGAATTAGTACCTGTAGACCCAGTTCCTGATGAATTCCTGGCTCAAAAGAATTACCCTGATAATTTCTGGGTCCTAAAACCCTCAATTACTGGACAATATTGCATAGCTAGAGAAGGAAAAAAATTCACTCACCCCGTAGGATGACTTAGTTGTCTGGGACAGAAACTGTATAATGGTACCACAAAAACAGTCACTTGGTGGAGCTCAAATCACACAGAGAGGAATCCATTTAGTAAATTTCCAAAGCTGCAAATCGTGTGGACCCACCCGGAGTCCCACTGGGACTGGACAGCCCCCACGGCATTATACTGGATATGTGGGCATACAGCTTCCAATAATACAACTACCAGTGGGCAGGTAGTTGTGTTATTGAAACTATTAAACCATCTTTCTTCCTACTGCCCATAAAAACAGGCAAATTCCTGGGCTTCCCTGTCTATGCTTTCCGTGAAAAGAGAAGCATAGCTATAAAAAATTAGAAAGATAATGAATGGCCCCCTGAGAGAATCATACAATATTATGGGCCTGCTACTTGGGCACAAGTTGGCTCGTGGGGATACTGGACCCCCATTTACATGATCAACCGAATCATACAGTTACAAGCTGTCTTAGAAATAATCACTAATAAAACCGGCAGAGCCTTGACTATTCTGGCCCGGCAAGAAACTCAGATGAGAAATGCTATCTGTCAAAATAGATTGGCCCTTGACTACTTGCTAGCAGCTGAAGGAGGGGTCTGTGGGAAATTTAACCTTACTAATTGCTGTCTACACATAGATGATCAAGGGCAAGTAGTTGAAGACATAGTTAGAGATATGACAAAACTGGCACACATGCCCGTGCAAGTGTGGCATGGATTTGATCCTGGGGCCATGTTTGGAAAATGGTTCCCAGCACTAGGAGGATTTAAAACTCTTATAATAAGAGTTATAATAGTAATAGGAACCTGCTTACTGCTCCCTTGTTTGCTACCTGTACTTCTTCAAATGATAAAAAGCTTCATCGCTACTTTAGTTCACCAAAATGCTTCAGCACAAGTGTACTATATGAATCACTATTGATCCGTCTTGCAAGAAGACATGGGTAGTAAAAATGAAAGTGAGAACTCCCACTATTGAGTGAGAGTCTCAAATGGGGAGGATATAAGGGAGGAGACCACCCCTCATATTGTCTTATGCCCAATTTCTACCTCCAAAGAAAGAAGAAGTAAAAACTAAAAGGCAGAAATGAAATCCACAAGCAGACAGCCCAGCACCACACCCTGGGCCTGGTAGTTAAACATCAACCCCTGACCTAATCAGTTATGTTATCTATAGATTACAGATATTGCATAGAAAAGCACTGTGAAAATCCCTGTCCTATTCTGTTCTGTTCTAATTACTGGTGCATGCAGCCCCCAGTCATGTACCCCCTGCTTGCTCAAATGATCACGACCCTCTCAAGCTGACCCCCTTAGAGTTGTGAGCCCTTAAAAGGGATAGGAATTACTCACTCAGGGAGCTCGGCTCTTGAGACAGGAGTCTTGCCGATGCTCCCGGCCAAACAAACCCCTTCCTTCTTTAACTCGGTGTCTGAGGGGTTTTTGTCTGTGGCTTGTCCTGCTACACTAGCACTTTGGCAGGCAGAGGTGGAAGTGTTGCTTGAGCTCAGGAGTTTGAGACCAACCTGGGCAATATAGCAAGATCCCCATCTCTAGAAAGAAAAAAACATATATATATAAATTTTCTGGGTGTAGTGGCATGCACGCATAGTCCTGGCTACTTAGGAGACTGAGGCAAGAGGATCACTTAAGCCCAGGAGTTTGATGATGCAGTGAGCTATGATTGTGCTACTGCACTCCTGCCTGGGCAACAAAGCAAAACCCTGTCTCAAAAAAAAAACACAAAAAAACAAAACAAAACAAAAGATGCAGGATTGAAGAGAAGCCTCTCTTTTTAAAATAAACTTTAATGAAGGTTTCCTTAGTTTCCTTTAAGCAAAAATTCCCCTTAAGCAGCATCTCATCTTAGAGTCTGCTCCCATAACAACACAAGTCACTATAGCATCAGTAGGTTGGCTTTTGAACCCTACCCCCACCTAAAACATATTTGCAAATCTGCAACCACATGTGGGACAGGGGTGATCATTTGGCTCCCTTACTCAGAATTTATGTCTCATTTCCAACTGTATCCTGCCCTTAATTTGCAATAATCTCAAATTCCTACAAGAATGAATTCCAAGAAATTAATTTATTTATGAAATTATTTTATGAAAAACTTAATGAAATTAATTCCTACGAGAAATAATTCAAGAGTGTACAAGACTATGCACATATATGTTTACTTATGTATTTAAAATATTATTTTTATGAAAATAAATTATATTCATTTGACATATTCAATTAACAAGAAAGCTCAACTAAATAAATAAGTAAATAATTACCTGATACGTCACTAACAAGAAACTTCATTATCATTTGATGAGCATCATTGTGGCAATTAATCTTTGTAGATTTCAGATAGAAAGATGGACAGATATATAAAGAGAGAAATAGATAAGCAGATTAGATAGGTGATTGATGGATACATAGATGAAATAAATGAATGGATAGATAGCCAAAAAGTAGATTTTAAGATATATGATTGAGTAATAAAGGATATTACATTTTACTGGAATTTAAGGAAAGAAAAAAACTATAATTGAAGGATTTTACTTTCAATATTTGTTTATATTTATATTCCAGTATTTCTCCATAATTAGGATTATAAATCATTTCTTCAACTTAATGATTTTTATAATCCTAATTATAGAGAAATATAGAATACAAATATATTATAAACAAATATTGAAAGTACGATCCTTCAATTTGGTCAATTTTAAATATTGTTTAACTCTACTACAAAATATAAAGAATTTGGAATATTTTCTTTTTTCTCCCCATCACATTTGCCTGCATTTATTAATTCCATTATCATTAACAAGATTTATGGCATTTTCTTCTTGTTCGATAATGATGATTTCCACAGTTTAATTTTAGCCTACATTTAAATTAAGTAATTTTAATCCTTTTATATTTGAGGCTAAACTTTTCCTATTGATAAAATCAACACTCCTTTATGCGTAAGTATGCCTTATATATATATTATATACAAATACATACATACACTTATATTAGATACATATATATGTATATATATATATACATATATATATAAGTATACATATATATATACTTATGTATATATATACATATATATGTATATATATGTATATATAAATATACATATATATGAATAAGTAAATAAAATGTGGTACATCCAGACAATGGAATATTATTTAGTACTAAAATGAAATGTGCTATCCAAACCATGAAAAGACATGGAGGAAACTTATATTCGTATTACTAAGTGAAAGAAGCCTATCTGGAAAGGCTACATACTGTATGATTCCAACTATACTACATTAGGCAAACTAACAAAAGGCAAAGCTATGGAGACAGTAAAAGTATCAGTGGTGCAGGGGTAGGGAGGAGAGATGATAGGTGGAGCACAGAGGATTTCTAGGACAGTGAACTACTGTGTATGATACTATAATGGTGGATGCATGTCATTACACATTTGTCCAAACCCCATAAAATGTAGACCACCAACAGTGAGCCTAGCGTAAACTATGGACTTGGATGATAATGATGTGTCAATGTGGGTTCACTGATTGTAACAAATGTACCACTCTGGTGTGGGATGTTGATAGTTAGGGAGTATAATGGTTAATTTTCTTTATTAGCCTGACCAGACTAAAGGATACTCAGATCACTAGAAAAACATTCTTTCTGGGGGTGCTAATGAGGGTGTTTTCCAAAGAAAAACAAGTGAATCAGCACACTGAGTAAAGACCCACCCTTGCCAATGGGTGCGCACATCATTCCATCCTTGGAGGGCCTGAGGAGAACAGAAAGGTGGAAGGTGGGCAATTGTCTCTCTGTCCTTGAACTGAGACATCCCTTTTCTCCTGCCTTTAGACATTGTTGCTCCGGGTTCTCCTACTTTCAGACTTCAAGACTCCCACCTCCCCCTCCAACTGCCCAGCCTCTGACTGGGAGTTACTCCACTGGTGCACCTTTGTCTTGGACTAAATTGCACCACGGGCTTTCCTGGTTCTTCAGCTTGCAGAAAGCATATCGTGGGACTGCTTGGCCTCCATAATCATGTGAGCCAAACTTCATAATAAATCTCCTCATATCTACTGTGTATATCTTTTGGTTCTGTTTCTCTGGAGAACCTGACTAAACTTGGGAGGTTGTGCAGGGAGAAGAAGCATATTGGAACTCTCTGTGCTTTTGGCTCAATTTTATTGTGAACTTAACACTGCTCTAAAATATAAAGTAAAAATAAAACTAAAAACTATAGCTGATAAATATTACCAGCTAGGGCACCATTTGTGATGACCTTCCTCAAAGAGTTTTCATTTACAAATCACTTACCTTACCTTAAAAAACTAAAGGAATAATGCTCAATCTCAATATTGCCATATTTGGGTAAAATTATTGGGGAAATTGTCCAAGCTAAATTATTATTAAAGTATAGTAACACTTGAAAAATTTCCAACTCACATCACGTGCAGAATGCAATCCTTCACTATTCTTTGGACCCAAGAGTTTCTTCATGCTCTCCCTTATGTGTTCTTTTCTCTGTTGTCTGAAAGTCTTCTCCTGATCACACAGAGCCATACTAAATCGTAGGTCTGGGCATGAGCTGTAATACCAAACAGATAAAGTCATGAGCCAGTGCTCCCAGTGGTCTGGTTTTCCATCCAGGTAGCTTTTCCAGGTCCCTAGGAGCTACACTGATATATGCTGACTGCTTCCCTCAAGCCATTTCCTAAGAAGGGACCTAAAATAAGAGGATAAAATGATGGCTATCTTAAAGCAGCATTTTCCACAGCATGTTTTCAGAGAAAAAGGACTTTCCAATGCTTTAGATAAAATAAACGAGCAAACAAACAGCCTCTGATAAGTTGAATATTATAACAAAGACTTGGAAGGGCTTCAGTAAAGAACCCTGTTTATATTTGTTTGGCACAGGATATCCCAAACTTACTTGACCAAGAATTCCTTCCCTTATCTCTCCACCCTTCACTATTCCACCATCATAATTACTTTCTAACATCCCAAAGAGCCAGCATTCTGAGGAACATACTTGCAGAAATATTGTCTTAATTAATTGCCTTGTCTAATGGATGCCCCCCTCTAACAAAGAAAGGAACTTCTAATCACAGAACTTGAGATAACCATAAATGAGTTTACCACTAGAGGACTTTAGAACCCTTAAATTATATATACTTTATCTTGCTAATGAAGGCAGTAGCAATTTCTCTACACTATGCCAGAAGTCACATTAGGTATTACGTATGAATCATTGCAAGAACGATGGGAGTATCACTACATATTATTATACAATATATTATTATATATTGCAGCTTTATAAATTAGAAAACTAATGCCCTGAGAGGTTAGGATCACAGAGTAAACATGTGATGTACTTTCACCATGCAACATATAAGACATATCTTAATACTGAAGTCTAAATACCAACTACTGAATTTAAAAATACTTTTTAAAAATCTGTCAGCCTATGTTGGAGTGTGAATAAATCCAAAAAGCAGAAGTCAAGAATTATCACCAATAAAATATTTGTCTCTTTACCATTCATAAAAATCCTTACCTTAATTGTAAATCAATTTTAAATCTCATTTCTGTTAGTTCAGTATATTTTTTCCTTGTAAAATACAGAAAGAGACCAAGCCTCTGAGCTATGTTCTTTATGGCTATATTTGACCATTACAAATAATAGTTTAATTACTACTTCCCAAAGGACAAATATAGGTACCTCACAAAAGAGAAAGCAGAATTAATAACAAAAAAGTTTAATTTCACTAGTGAATTTAAATGATACTGTTATTAAAATAATTGATATTAAAATATTTTAAATACTTATTTTCTAGTCCTAGAAAGGAAAAATAACACTAATATTCTCATGCATCCATTTTGGGAATATAAGTTTGTTAAAAAGCAATTAAGCAGTATTCAAATTTGGCATATTAGCAATATGGAATGTTCAAAAATAATTAGAACATAGATTCCTTTTGGCCTAATAATTCTACTTCTGGAAACCTATCTTAAGGGAAGTAACCAAAAACTTTTTAAAGATCATTTAAAGAAACGGTTGTTGAACTGTATATAAAAGTATTGGGTTATACAATTATTAAATATGATTTTGGAAATCATGTAACGGGGGAAAAGAGTAAGACAGTGAGTTAACTTTTTTTTTTTTTTTTTTTTTGAGACGGAGTTTCGCTCCTGTTGCCCAGGCTGGAGTGCAATGGCACAATCTCAGCTCACCACAACCTCCGCCTCCTGGGTTCCAGCGATTCTCCTGCCTCGGCCTCCCAAGTAGCTGGGATTACAGGCACGCACCAATACACCTGGCTAATTTTGTATTTTTAGTAGAGACAGGGTTTCTCCATGTTGGTCAACCTGGTCTGGAACTCCTGACCTCGGGTAATCAACCCACTTCAGCCTCCCAAAGTGCTGGGATTACAGGCATGAGCCACCACGCCCAGCCAAATGAACACTTTTAAGTCTAATCTTGGGCTACACTCTTTTCTATTACTATTCTTTATAATGACATATTAGGTTAGGTATCTTCTAAACACTATAAGAAATTAAAGGCCGGGCGCGGTGGCTCATGCCTGTAATCCCAGCACTTTGGGAGGCCGAGGCAGGCGGATCACGAGGTCAGGAAATCGAGACCATCCTAGCTAACACGGTGAAACCCCGTCTCTACTAAAAATAGAAAAAAATTAGCCGGGCGTGGTGGCTGGCGCCTGTAGTCCCAGCTACTCGGGAGGCTGAGGCAGGAGAATGGCGTGAACCTGGGAGGCAGAGCTTGCAGTGAGCCGAGATCGCGCCACTGCACTCCAGCCTGGGTGACAGGGCAAGACTCCGTCTCAAAAAAAAAAAAAAAAAAAAAAAGAAAAGAAAAGAAATTAAAATCTTACCTGTACAGTTGCCTCTATGACACCTCCTCAACTTTATTTCCTTTTCTGTTCCTTAAAGGTAATCACTACTTAAATTTAATCTTCATCATTCCATATATGTTTATAATTTTACAATATATATTTATGTCCCTAAATAAGGTTTTCATTTTGCAGGTTTTTAGTAATTAGTGCAAATTATTTTTTCCAGTGAACACTTTTTTTTGAGAATCATCTGTGCTTATATAAATAAAAGTAATTCAAACACTTTTACTATTATGTAGTATTTCATTATATTAGTATACTATAATCTATTTATCCATAAATATTGAAATAATTTCCAATGTTTTGTAAACTATTACAAGCAGCACCATTATTAACATGTGGTATACGTGTATGAAAATTTCCTATTGTATATGTACTCTTTAGAAAGAACACCTCATTTAATCACAGTGATATGCTTAGAAAGTATTCTTTTCTTATTTTACCAGTGAGTAAATAAGTGATTAGAAATCTATCAATCACTAACATAATTAGAAAGTAGTAGAATTAAATCTAGGTCTTATTATTCTGGAAGTCATGTTCTCTGTAATATACTGTTCTGTTATATATAATTTTTAAAAAAGAATCATGATTTTTAAAAAATTTTTGAACAGTATAATGACCTAGATGTTTTAAGGATATCAGTTTTCAAAATCTGGATGAAAATTCAAAAAATTCTGAGTAATTTTATAAATTCAGTAGTAGAATTATGGTTAATTTACTTTTATGCATTATTTTTAACTTTCTAATTAATTCTTTCTTGCTTTTATGTTATTTTTAATAGAAGGCATGACATGGAAAATTTTTCTTTGAATAAATTGAATTTTTCTTTGAAAACAATTTCTGTTCTAGAGCTGACATAAATTAACATACAAAAAAAGAAATTTTTAATATTATAAAAATATGTCCTAATTACCTCAGTGAAGACTATTCCCCGCTAAACAAAAGCATTACTTCCATAGTCAGTCAAATAACAAGTGTTTCTAATCTCATGCCAAAATATACCACTTTTAAGCAAGAATGAACTTAATACAAAATAATGCAACACAATAACTTGGACTATCCTTTGATATTTGCTGACTTATATTAACAGGTTGTGGACATTTATGCCAATCACTTGCTAAGTCAAATCCACATGTTCCAGGGATCAAAATACAATAAACAAATGCCTAAACCCAATGTACCTATTATCATGCATTTGCCAAATCACCAGATGTGAAAATGTTCAATTTGTTTTCGTGGCATTTGTGTAAAATATGTACTAATAACTTTGGTCAAATCAAGTTCAACAGGGAAGTTCAAAGAGATGCAGAGAGGTTAAGGGAACTCATTATTACATCAGAGAACAGTTAGATCAAGGCAGACTTGCCTACCCTAAAATTCGCCGTTTGAAAATAAGTACATGATTCCCTAACGTTCAGTTTTGGAGGCCATTTTGAAAGAGCAGTATGCTTCATGGAACATTATTAGCAGTAGTCCAGCTGGGTCAGTATGAATAAAATCAGTCTCAATTTTAAAAATTATTATATAGTTTCTGTTTAAGTTCACTTCTATGTTTTTGAATATCTACCTGAATCAACAATAGAAGAGGCGCTTAAATAACTGCATTCATTTCTATGGGAATAGATGTACGACTAGAGGGAGGACTCTTTCATAAAGCACTTATTCTGACATTATTATATGACCATGAAACTATTGGAAAAATAAGCAAAGCATATTAAAATATAAGAATAATGAATATAAGAATATGTTTGTAAAGATTTTGTAGGTATTAACAGACAACTAAAGAAAAGCAAAGTAAACATAATGCACTTCTATATGTTCACAGCTGCAGAATTATATATAAAAAAATTCTTTAACAATTAAAATAAATTAGTGGATCACTCACAATATTTCTCATCCAACTAAATAAATGCACTTACCAAACTTCAAGAGACATTTCTAGAACCATTTCAGTGACCTAAAAAAAGACATGTTAATCAGATTAGGTCATAAAGTAGATATGTGTTTATATCATGGAAACAAACTCAAAATAAATTTTGAGTGCCAGATTATTTTTAATCAAAAAAACAAAACCCTAAAAATAAAAGTAACACAGCTCCATGAAGACCCTAAACTACAGGCGTATTTCAGTAAACCAACTTTTTGGTATTTTTTTTGTAAGTCTACTTAGTACGTCATTTTAGCAAACACAAGAATTATCTCTGCCTGGTTGTTTTCCTCCCTCAGTAAAATAAAGTAGCTCACCACAACTACTATTTACAAAATATAAAAAGTGCCTGAGATATAAAAACTACTGAGATGTTGTGTCTATTATTTAGGAGCTGCCTCAGGCCACAAAATCAGAAGCTGTAATGGCCCAGAGGTTAGAATCAACCTGGGTGAAAGTTCACACATGTATAATTGAGACAAGTGCAGGCTGTAGTAAGCTGAAAATACAACACCCATTCATGGCAGGCAGTAGGACCTAGGATCCAGCCAACTGTAGTTGACTCGGGAAACATCTACTAATGAGATCTGGAGCCTCTGGTTTTTATTTATTTCAACACTATTTGAGCCTATCAAACATATTGAAGGAGGACATCCTGCCAGAGAGACAATTTTTGTGTAAAGGAAAGAAAATGATTAATATCCACTTAAGATATTAAGAGTTGTCTTTCCAGAGACTGTAAATCTGTTGTACAGAAAGGCCTTTTCAATATTATCCCTGGCGTTAGCTATGAAAAATGTAATTGTAGATTGTTATAAGAACCAAATGAGAAAATGCTTTGAAAGTTGCTACACAGTTGTAAATGTGTTATTATTTTTATTGTATCAGGTTACCATAAGAACATAGATAGAGCTAACTTGTTCAATAACTTCAAGTAGAACAGAACTAGGATATACCTCTTGAAATGTGCAGAGGAAATTTTTAGAATCAACATAAAATGCTATAGATTATTAGATTTACCCTCTTGAGTTTCAAGGAAGGGAAAAACACAGACTAGAAGGAGGTTTCCAAAAAGGTTAAAATAAGTTCATAGATGATTGATTCTCAGTGCTGAATTTTATGAGTAAGCAAAAGGTATTGAAAACATCTATACAAAAATTTGCCTCTCTCACTAAACTGTAAGCTCTGTCTTATATAGGTTCCTATTACTAGTCCATTGTATAGTATTTGGCATACAACAGATAACACATATTTGTCAAATTACTGTTCGTTTGTGTGTGTGTGTGTGTGTGTGTGAGGAGGAGGAGTGCATCAGGCAATCTTTTCTCATCAAGAAATAGCTGATTACTATTGGGGACAAAATCATGGGATGGTCTGACCCAGAAAACAGTTCCTATATATAGAATTCTATGAGCATTCTTTCATCAAAGAAGCATATACATATTTTTAAAGTTAATAAACTAATTGAGAATCCCAGGACACATGGAATAATGCATGCTCAGATGAATGTAACGTCAAAGGGTGATTGGCTACCAAACAGACAATGCAATTTAGAAGAAAGCAAGATATGGGTAAAGCATGGTCTTTTTTTTTCAAGAAATACATAAAAATTGCCCTTAAAATGATACTAGATTTAATGTTTTTATCACCAGAGTGTAAAGCCATTGTGAGTGGATGGAAATAACATTAACAATTACAACTCTATGTAGAGTTTTCTAATAAATGGAAAGATTCAAGGCCTCTTTCATTGTGCCGTCTCATGACAGAAAGTGCTCAAGAAAATGCTGGTTTCCCAGCTGGCAGGTCTCCAAGCAATTTATTAATTACATATCCAATGTTTGGCTGGGTGTGGTGGCTCACACCTGTAATCCCAGCACTTTGGGAGACCAAGGCAGGTGGATCACCTGATGTCAGGAGTTCGAAACCAGCCTGGCTAACATGGCGAAATCCCATCTCTACTAAAAATACAAAAATTATCCAGGCATGGTGGCCCATGCTTGTAATCTCAGCTACTCGGGAGGCTGAGGTAGGAGAATCACTTGAACCCAGCAGGCGGAGGTTGCAGTGAGCTGAGATCGCGCCACTGTACTCCAGCCTAGGCAACAAGAGTGAAAATTCTGTCTCAAAAAAAAAAATATATATATATCCCTGCCTGTTTGTTCTGACAGCTCCATTGAATAAAAGGAAAATCAACAATGCTGCATTTATAGTCAAATTTGTCTTCTCCATTAGCACACACTTTATGTATCTACCAACATTTCTTGGCTAAGACATTCATGATCCTGGATGGAGTGACAAGACTCTTTAAACAAAGGCAGGATAACGGAAGAGAAGGCACAGGATTTTTCTGCCATTTTGAATGTTACAGGCTGTGCTGCCAAGGTTCTTGTCACACGGATTAGGATCCTCACTTCCTCATTGCACAAGTGGGTCACCCACAACCAGGAGGAAATTTAAAATCCTCTTGCTTGGTGCACTATGTTCAGACATGCTATGCATGATAAGCTTGATATTTATAATCTCTCTGCACCTTTTACCTAGAACATGTCATTCAGATAAAAACGTACTTCCTGTGAGGCATTAAACAATTACTGTAAACTTCTTCCCACACATGGCATAAAGCATCTCTGCATTACAGGCTTCCATGCTGCTTGTATTATTAGGGCAATTAGAAAGAAGAATGATCACCTCTTCCAGGCTTCCCCCAACACCCTAATACTTAGCTTAGAGCTAGAACTAATTAGAACTCCACCTTTTTTAGGAAGAAGTTGGTTGTGTCCATTATGTATTCTTGTGAAAAGCAGCAATGTCATCTTTAAATTCCCCAGCGGAAAGCAATTTTAGATGTTTACAATTGGAGATTTTCAGTTAAAGGAGAGTGTGGAGAACTGGAGGAGATAAACTATAAAAACTAAAAGCCATTTCAGCCTTTCAAATAATTTTTAAAGGATCTAACCCACTAATTATCTTGAAAACTCTCCAGAGTCATTTTGAAATAGTGAAGCTTAAAGCAACAAGCATAGTGCCTGAAAATAAGGAAGTGCTTTAAAACAGCAGTCCCCAACATTTTTGGCACCAGGGACCGGTTTTGTGGAAGACAATTTTAACATGGACCAGGGTGGCGGGGTAGGAGCAGGGATGGTTTTGTGATTCAAGTGCATTACATTTATTGTGCACTTTATTTATATTATTATTACATTGTAATATATAATGAAATAATTATACAACTCACCATAACATAGAATCAGTGGGAGCCCTGAGCTTGTTTCCTGCAACTAAGCCTTCCATGTGGGGGTGAAGGGGGACAGTGACAGATCCTCAGGCATTATATTCTCATAAGCAGCATGAACCTAGATCCTTCACACTTGTAGTTCACAATAGGGTTCATGCTCCTGTGAGAATGTAATGCCACCGCTGATCTTACAGGAGGCGGAGCAGCAATGCGAGTGATGGGGAGCTACTGTAAATACAGATGAAGCTTTGCTCCTTCGTCCAACTCTCACCTCCTGCTGCGGAGCCTAGGTCCTAACTTGCCATAGACCAGAACCAGGGGTTGGGGACCCCTGCTTTAAAATGATTATTACAAAAAAGATGCATATAGCAAAATAATTTCAAACTTGAGAATCTATCCTATTAGTAAAGGGTTCTTCAAATATGCTATGACTTCCCTTATGTACTCCAATATTTACAACATTTACTTTCAATAAAACATTATTTTGAATTCTGATCCCTAATTTACTCTTTTTTTTTTCTAGGTAGAAACAAACAGCAATTAATCATCATATTGATTCAATCATTATTCACATCTTTCAAGAGAATTACATAATATGTTCTGCTTTATCCATATTTACTTGACCTGTGCAGGATAATAAATAAAGTCATTTTTAAAGGGTCAATTTTACTTAGAATCATGTTTCCGTACATTGTACCTCAATCGTGTAAGGAAGGAACAGGATGTGGATCTGACAAGGAGGCAATCCAAGTGCAAAGCAGAAATTACAACCCTATCAATACATGCAAACTCACATCTAATAAATTCTGCATGTTTAAAAGTTGAATAAGACACTGGTAAAATCATTTTTCTTTTTCTTTTCTTTTTTCTTTTTTTTTTTTTTGAGCAATAAAGCTTTTTAATCACTAGGGTGTAGGCGGACTGAGTCCGAAAAAGGAGTCAGCAAGGGGAGATAGGGGAGATAGGGGTGGGGCAGTTTTATAGGATTTGGGTAGGTAGTAGAAAATTACAGTTAAAGAGGATTGTTCTCTTGTGGGCAGGGGCGGGGGTAACAAGGTGCTCAGTGGGGAGCTCCGGAGACTTATTGTCCAGGAGAAGGAATGTCACAAGGTAAGGTCATCAGTTAAGGCAGGAACTGGCCATTTTCACTTCTTTTGTCGTTCTTCAGTTGCCTCAGGCTACCTGGATGTGTACGTGCAATTAATAAGAAAAACAAAACAAAATAGTGGTGAAGTGTTGAGGCAGCAAAAATTTTGGGGGGTGGTATGGAGAGATAATGGGCGATGTTTCTCAGGGCTGCTTCGAGCCGGACTAGGGGCAGCATGGAACTAGAGTGGGAGAGATTAAACTGAAGAAAGATTTTGTGATAAGGGGTGATATTGTGGGGTTGTTAGAAGGAGCATTTGTCGTATAGAATGATTGATGATGGCCTGGATGTGGTTTTGTATGAATTGAGAGTCATTTTTCAATATACAGTCATGTACTGCATAGTGATGTTTTAATGATGAAACATATTTGCAATAGTGGTCCCCATAAGATTATAATGCTATATTTTTATTGTATCTTTTGTACGTTTAGATATGTTTGTTTAGATATGCAAATACTTACCATTGTGCTGCAAATGCCTATTGTATTCAGTGCAGTAACGTGCTATACAGGCTTGCAGCTTAGGAGCAATAGGCTACACCATATAGCCTAGGTGTATAGCAGGCTGTACCATCTAGGTTTGTGTAAGCATACTTTATGATGTTCACACAATAATGAAGTCACCTAAGGATGCATTTCTCAGCATGTATCCCCATTGTTAAGCAACATATAGCTACACATAATATTTTTAGTAAAACAAATTAGCTTTTCCTACCATGAATCATCTAATCCATTACCCAAGATTTCAGGATAATTGTGTCCACCCCCCAAACCCACACACACAAAAAAATTGTTCTTAACAGACTTGAAAGACTTTTAAAGACCATTGTCTTCCCTGTGGCCACATTCCACACTCTCATAGTTTCCTCCTTACATTTGATGATAATCTCATGTTCCTTAATTTAAGGTCCTTTTTCCTACATGGACATCAGTGGAAATTCTGAAGATCTGGGTAACCATTAGCTTTCATACAATGAAACCAGAGTTCCTAAAGCATTACTACCAAACCACTCTATTACTTCTTTTTTCTCAGACTGTCTAACTTTTCTCTTTTAAACTTCATTACTTTCACTACTCCTGTCTAAGCACTTCCCAGGTTTATAGCACCTCCTGTAAGTGCATTCATATATTCATTCATCCAAAAATGATCCAAGTGCCTAATGTGTGCCAGGATGGGTACACAATGGTAAATAAGCTAGTCACGTTCTACTCCATGATAGAACTTACCATCCAACAGAGGAATCCCAAGAATGCAAGAGCATTCTGAAACACCCTAAAATTTAAAAGTTATAAATTGTCATAAAAGTCATAAAAGTCTCACTTGTTTCAATTGTTAGTGACCCAAAATAAAAATGCATTCTCTATTAAAGCCAGGAATTACTTGAGCCACATTTGAACTCTGTCCTGCAACAATATCTAACAGTTTTAACATCTTAGCGAAAGGTCTCTCAAATTTCTCACAAAATTACATCGTTCTCTTGTTTTCCCTCCAAACTCCACTTTGTCTCAATAACTTACGTAAATTGCCCTCTTTGTTTTCAAACATCAATACGTGATTTTCCAATGACATCATCCTGAGACTAACAACATTCTGAATTCAGCCATAAAAACTCCCTTCTTTTTTTCAGCTTTATCACTATCTCTTCTGTGGAACTATCTTATTCATTTTCAAGTTGCACTCATGAATAAGCAACAATCAAAGAAAGCAATCAGCCAAAATCAGATAGATGCCACAGGAGCCATGAGGAATGGCTATTTTTAACACCAACTTCTAAATACAGATGGCAAACTAAAACACAAGGTCAACTTAGAGACAACTTTCCTCAAAGTATTGGCCAAAACAAACTAATTTCATCCAGAGAAATAAAGAAGCATAATCTTATCTGTGTTGCTTCTAAGCCTAGGCATTTCCATGATTCTTTTGAAGCGGGCTACTTTCCTTACACAAAACACTCTAAATTCTGAAGATTCTAGACCTTCCCACTTTAAAATGGGCCACTATAACCCCAAACCACATTTGACATATTCAGTCATGAGTGACTGGCACATTCTGAACTATCCTGAAACAAATGATCACTGCATTGATAAGCTCTACATTTAGTATTTAAATAACAAGTTCATTTTGGTCAGTAAGTTCAAACAAATAAGTATGTTTGATATCCAGTTAAATCAGCTTCATAAAGCACATGATACACATTTAGTTAAATCTGGTCAATTATAATTAGAGTGAGAATATTTAATATTTATTTAGTGCTTAATGGGCCAGGAAGTATCTTAATATGTTTTACGCATTAACCTATTTAATTATAACCACAACCTAAGAGGTAGGTACTACATGTAACCCTGTTTTACAGATGAGGATGCACGGCAAAGGCAGAAAAGATAACATGTCCACCATCACATGGTTAATAAGTAGGAGAATCATGATTTCATCTTGGGAAGTGGCCATCTGACTCTGAGTCTGAGTCAAAAGCAGCAGGTTGTGCCAGCATCTCTCAAACAACAACTCTGATGTTCTAAATTTTTGACTCCAACAAATACAGTTTAACCCAGATTTTATCAATGGCAGCCCTAAAATTGTCTTTCTCCTCCAAAAAACAAAGTTATAAAAGTTGAGTGATAAAATCAAAGTCTAAGAAAGAGCTGAATTCACTGTAATTCAGCTTTCCACCTTCAGCGGATCCTCACTGCTTCTAAGCAATCATTGCATTCAACTCTACTTGACACATTAAAGCTGTGCCAAGTGTGACTTTCCTCAAGTCACCCTGCACTCGCCATTCTAGTCACTTTCCACAGAAGCAGTCTGTGGTAAGCTGCACCCACCTTTTCATTTTCAGTATCAACATTCTTGGTATCTCTACCTGTTAACATTGCTTGCTAATGCTTCTGAGGAAAAAGCCAGAAGTTCCCTCTCAGTTCCCCATTACCTGGTCACGAACCTTCCATAACCCACTACTGTAAGTAAGATAACATCAGAACTCTTACATCTCACATTTCTGCTCTGCCATAGTCTCATCCCAGTGTACCTCTTCTTCCTTCATGAATGGATGATCTGTTCCCATCAAACTTGTCTAGGCACGGTTTCCCAAACATGCTCTGTCCTTTCTAGTCCAGTGCCTTCAGATAGGCTGTTCTCTTCACCAGGACTACCTTCTGCCCCTTTAGAGACCCAACCACCTCAACCACACCCTTTCTTTAAGGACATGCCTAAGACATTGATGTCCACTGTCACCCGCAATGATCCTGCTCCCCCAGCCCTGTCTTCACCTCTCTGACCTTATCTCCTCCCGGTCTCCCTCCCAGTCTTTCTTTGTGCTCCAGCCACACTCTCCTACTTGCTGTTACTCATCTTGCCAGGCCAACTCTGCTTCAGAGCCTTTCTACTTGGAGTGCCTTCTGTCCTCAGATATCCTCAAAGATACCTTTCTTAACTAAATTTTTGGAACTGCCTTTGTGACCCCTTTACACACATATACACACTGCCCCATTCTCTGCCCCTAGTTTAGTTAGCACTTGTCATTATCATCATCTGGCAGGAGTATCTTTTACATATTTACCTTGCTTTTCATCTGTCTCGCTAAGTAGAATGTAAGTTTCCTGAGGGTAGGGATTCTTGTTCATTTTGTTCACTGCTGAAATAGGCAGTGCCTAAAGAGTGTCTACCACATAGTGAGGGCTCAATAGTTATTTGTCAAATGAATGAATTAATGAATAAATAATTTCTTCTTATGACTCACTGCACACATTGCCTGCACTGTCCATTTATTATACATAAATATTAAACTCTAGATAATGATACACTGAAGTTTGTAGGGGTAAAGTATACTGTTGTTGGCCACCTGCTTTTAAATGTATCAGAAAAGTAAGTTTTTTTGGTAAAATGGTAGTTATAGAATCTAGGTGGCAGTTATATGATGTTCACTGTATAAATCTTTCAACTTTTTCTATGTCAAACATTTTTATAATAAAATTTAAAGAATAATAATGCTTTAGAGAGGTCTCCTGTGACTATACAAATTTCAGTTGCCCACCAACTGTTTTCTGTTGCATACCTTTATTTTCTTCACAGTATTTCTCATTAGCTGATGGCGTGTTGATCATTCTTTTGCTCATCATTGCCTGTTTACTTTCCCTATTAGAATGCAAGCTCCCTAGAGAGTTCACAGGATACTGTCTATCACCTAGAATACTGTCTGGAACATAACAGTTGTTTAATAAAAACTTCTCAAGTAAATCAATGAATAGATACCCCATGATACTGCTTATTATTATCTGTCTGTTTACACATGAAAGTATACTTTCCAAACAGATTCTTAGTTCCTTGAAAATTGTACTTTTTGTGCAGTTTTTTTAATATTTAGCAACATTTTAGGAGCACAATAGAGGCTTATATTCTTCTCATATTAATAACACAATCTATTTACAAGTTAGTATCTTTAAATTATATAATACTATATAAATGATAGATTTTTATTCTTGCATTATTATCATTTAGCTTCCATATCTGTAAAATGAGAGGAATTGGAAGCTTTTGGGTGAAGAAGGCCAAATGAAAATAAGGTATTGTACTTATAAGTGCAAGCTAAACATTGGGTACACAGGAACATAATGATGAGAAAAATAGACACTGGAGACTCCAAAAGTAAGGAGAGAAGGAGAGGAGCAAGAGTTGAAAAACTACCTATTGGATACCATGTTCACTACTTGGATGACAGGACCATTAGAAGCCCAAACCTTAGTATCATGCAACATACCCATATAACAAACCTGTACATGTACCTCCTGAACCTAACATAAAAAATAAAACAGGCTGGGTGTGGTGGCTCACGCCTGCAATCCCAGCACTTTGGGAGGCTGAGGCAGGAGGATAACTTGAGGTTAGGAGTTTGAGACCAGCCTGGCCAACATGGTGAAACCCCGTCTCTACTAAAAATACAAAAATTGGCCAGGCATGATGGCACGTGCCTGTAATCTCAGCTACTTGGGAGGCTGAGACACGGGAATGGCTTGAACTTGGGAGGCAGAAGTTGCAGTGAAGCAAGATTGTGCCACTGCACTCCAGCCTGGGCAACAGAGCGAGACCCTGTCTCAAAAAATAAATAAATAAAAATAAAAATAAAATATTTTTAAAAGAAGAGAAGTATTCTTTCTAGGTCATAGAATTTTACAAATTAGGAGCTTAGAAAAATTTAATCCAACCCTTCATTTTACAGATGAAGAAAATAAGACTCAGAAAGAAAGGATAACAATTCAAACATTCTGGAGAGCTATGAATGACAGAGACAAAACGAGGGTCCATTCTCTCAATTCCCAGTTTCGACTCCAAGTGAATAAAGCAGGGCTCTGGGAATCTGCCCATCTCCATTTGGAAGCTCCTGTTATTTCTCCAGCTGTCTCCTAGACACAGAAATCACTCTATGTTGACTCAGTATTAACGTTTGGATGACAAAACTATGAAAGAGTTTTTGCTAATACTATTTTGCCTTGAAGAATTTGTTTACCCTTCACCAAATCTAAGTGCTGTTTTTCCTCCACTGTGTTGCCATAACCATCTTCAAGGCTTACATCTCTTCTCTCCCATTGCTCCCTCACCAACTTCTCTCTCTTACAACCTCTGTAAACACTGTAGAAAGATCATCAGGAAGACTGGGATTCCAAGCTGAGGGCAGAGGCTGGATAGCTGGGTGGCTGGCACAGGGCACTCCCACATGATCTGAGGAACAAGCAGGGGACTCTCCCCTTAGCCATCATGCTTACTTCTCTCCCAACTACCCCTGCAGCTCAAAGGATTATCATTCAGATAAAACTACAAAGAAGTCTGAAAACAGAGTAATGAAGAAAAGCCTGCTTGGACAACTATTTTCTCAGGCACACTAAAAAAAATAGTTACATAATCTTCTTTAAATTCAGGAATGTGGAAAGCCTTTTTAGAGCCCTAGGGATTACACATCTAGCCATAGGAAATGACAGAGGAGAGGAAATGAATGTTGTCCACAATATCTTCTCTCAAAAACAGTCTTTGTATCATGAACTAAAGTGAAGAAAGAAAAGAAAAATGATTTCAGGAGGTCCAATCCATGCTTCCAAAGCCCTCAACAGACATTTACTGAGAGCCTATGCTAGAAACATGCAATAACTAAGGCCTGAAGATTTTAGCCTTTGACCACCTCTACACTCTCTTCCCTATGATTCAGCAAAATGGATCTGCCAAGCCCTTTATCTTGCTATGCCCCAGCTTGCTTTCTTCTTTCAAGACTCTGGCCTTCAGCAATCTGTTCTGCCCAGAATGCTCATAACTACTTTACTGATGAAATCCTGCTCTTTTCTTAAGGTGTAATAACAGCAACAATGACAAGTAACATTTATATAGTGCCTAATACGTACCAGAAACTGTTCTAAGCCCTGTATGTATACATGTGCACATCTATATGTGTATAGTATCGATATATTTAATCACTTATTTTAATTACTTTATAGTATTAACATACTTTTAATCACTTTCAATCACTTATTGAATTATATGCTTAATATATAAACTAAATAATATGTCAGTATATACTGAACCATAAAATATATCAAATTATAATTAAATGTATTCATATGTAATATACATTATATTATATATTATCATATGCATGTATTATATATACATAAATAAAATTAACTTGCTTAATCATAATGATTCCCTTAGAAAATATTATTTCCATTTTACAGATGATTAAACTGAGGAACGGAAGAGTTAAGTGTTATTTTCCCAGAATAAAACAGATGGCAAGGAACAGAACTGGAATTTAAACACCAAACAGCCTGTCTTTCAATGCCAAAGTGTTAACCACAGTTCACTGTTCAACTTGTTCAAAATCAGCTACTGCTATGGAGGCATCCCTAGCCTCCTCTCACAACACAATCGTTCTTTATTCTGCCTTCCCATAGCACTCTATACATGTCTCATTGGTACTTATCTCACTGTCTGGGGATTTCTTTTTATCACACGTATGTATCTCCCTACTTCCACTTCTCATTTCAACCTTTACTCACCTCCTTCCCAGAGGGAGATAATTGAGGGAAGAACTTCCTGTACCTTATTCTCTATATTCCTTGAACAAAACACAATGGCTGGCACACAGCAGATCTTCAATAAATGTTTGTAAAAGGAATGAATGAAATAGCTTTAAAAGGGGTCGACAGAATTGTGGTGAGTGCATCTCTTGGCATGAGACAGAAGAAATGCTTTCTGCAGCAGGTGGAAGCACCAAGGAGTGCATGGACCAGAGCATCCTCAAGGTACCTGGGCCATTCTGATTGCATGGACTAGTCAAGAAGCTCATTTGGGCTAAGTTGGTTTCTAAATAGGTACACATTCATTCCATAAATGTCATCTATGTAATTAATTCTGTAGGCACATTTAATCAGTATTTCAAGTTTCCTGACTTAGAGGATTTTAGTTTACAAGAGGAAAATGAAACATTGAACAGTATAAATAATGTAGTCCCAATGAATACCATAGATAATTATCATGGAGACTCAAAGGAGGAAGACTCATTTGGGACAGTAACAGGAAAGGCAACATGGAGAAGCTGAGAGTTAAGGGAGAGGTAGGTTGAGGTGAATGTAGGGACTTGGAAAGTCATTCTAAAGATGCGCAGAGACACATTGTCTCTCCCAACAACAAGAAATTAGTATGGTAACCAGCCTTACACATACAGGCCCACCAGTTGTTTACATTTCTTACTACAAACTACTAAATTAGTTTCTTACAGAATTCAAAATCCAATGAGTTTATTCTGTACAAAATTATTTACCTAAGGTTTCATTATTCCAAAATAAACTATCAAAATTTCAGAAATGTAGCAAACCTAGAAAGTCAAAGATAACAATAACCTCCCATCAATCCTTTTGGCCTTTCACTGCTTTGTCCCTATTTACTTGAGGATTCTCTGAGACAGAAATATTCCCCCAGAGAGATTTATTACTAAACATGTGGTTTTGGAATAGTCTGAATTTCCTAACATTTTCCACTGAGTTTGTTTACTTGTTCTCTCTCTCTCTCTCTCTGCCCCCAGCTCTCAGATTTTGCATGTCTTTTTATCCTCCCCAATTTTTTGTATTAAATTTTGCCATTAGAGTCCAAAGGCATTGCTGAATCCCAATGTCATCATTTGGAGCAACAAAGGAGATTAAAGCCTTAGTAGTGTTTGGTATAATACCTCAACCAAAGTTTATAGATGTCAGAATAATTTTTAAAATTAGGACAAAAAGTAAAAAGAAAAACAAAATTTTCTCTTTAAAAAGCAAACATTCTATGAACAAATAAATACAATTTTCCAAGTGTTAAACCCAACTTCCCAGAATCAATAGACTTTATCTAACATAAGGTTGGAATATAATTCTGCAGTGTTACTTACTTGGTTGAAAATAAAAGGAACTTCTTTCTTTTCTCCCACCTTCATAGAAGATACAGTAAATGTTGCTGTCCCTAGAGTTTCATCCATGACATAATTGGCATCCATTAACGTAATCTACAGAGTAAAATGTAAAGCACAAAAATAAAATTTCCCATGGATCTTTGGAAATGACATCTATAATTTCCACCACATTTAAAAAAATGAAGCTCTCAAATGATATTTAAGAGTCCTTGAAGATCTCAATATTTAATTAGTAACAATACTTTTATCTTTTCCTTTTTTTTTTTTTTTTTGAGACAGGGTCTCACTCACCAGGCTGGAGTGCAGTGGCGGGATCTCGGCTCACTGCAACCTCCACCTCCCAGATTCAAGCGAATCTCCTGCCTCAGCCTCCTGAGTAGCTGGGATTACAAGCAAGCGCCACCACATCCAGCAAATTTTTGTATTTTTAATAGAGACAGGGTCTCACCGTGTTGGCCAGGCTGGTCTCGAGCTCCTGACCTCAAGTGATCTGCCTGCCTTGGTGCTCTGAAAATGCTGTGGGGTGAGCCACAGTGCCCGGCCAATCTTTTCCTTCTGAGTACTGTGTTTGCTATAAGATAATAATTTTTCACATTTTCCTGATTGATTTATTCAATTATCATGTTTTCAAAAACGAAACTTTATCTCCTCTCTACTTTGGAATATGAGAAAGATATTAATGCAGAAAATCGATACAAATATTTTGGGAAAAATTAATTTTCACTTTTTAAAAAGGCAATTTAAAATATTTTTATTCTGTTATACTGGGATTCTCTCCTTGATAGCAGAAAATATGTTTTCTCCAAAGCACGTGGGGAGGACAGCAGTTTTCCCAACCCTACCTAACTCCTGTATGTCCTGATAGACACTCATATTACTTGACAGACACCATTTAGATTCTAGTCTACCAAGCTGCCCAGTCTAACTCCAACTATAGCTAACAGGAACAAAAAGGCAGTAAAAGGACAAACTCAAGCATGTCTCTCAACATGAATCACAACCATCTAACAGCATCCAAATGGTTCACTTACCTCCAAAACATTTTCCTGATTAGGATCCAAAATAAATTCAAAGGTCTCATTCCACACAGGGTTTATGTCATTATTGAAATGTCTTGTTCTCTTCCTGCTGTCAGGGGTTGTAGAGATAAAAAGTTCCACATAGGGATCTGGAGTATCAACTACAGATAGTAAACACAAACAAGAAGGAGGTAGAAATGTGATTCATAGTTCCTAATTTTTTTATTAATATATGTTGTCAGTTTATTCTCAATGAATCTGTAGTGATGTATTTAAATGTCTGAGACAAGATAATATACACATAATAGAAAAACATCATAGGGTAGATACTTTTTACATATGTCGCTGTCCTTCATAATAGTCCTGTGAGAGGGAATTGTTTATTAAGTGATTTATTCAGAATTCCTCCATCTATCTAGAGAGGACAGGTTCAAAGCAGTCAACATCTCAGTCAAGCTACTACAGGATGATAACAATGTCACCCAGCTAACGCCAACATGACCTTCACCCAGGACTGTGATAGTGACAAGATCATGGGCTTAAAGCTAGAGACAAATGCACAGACCTACTGTGAACTCATTTTTGACAAAGGTGCCAAGAACATACACTGGGGAAAAAACAGTCTCTTCAATAAATGGTGCTGGGAAAACTGGATCTCCATATGCAGAAGAATGAAGCTAGACTCCTATCTCTTGCCATATACAATAATCAATAAAAATGGATTAAAAATTTAAATGTTAAGATCTCAAAATATAAAACTACAACAAGAAAACATTGGGGAAAATCTCCAGGAGAACAGTCTGGGCAAAAATTTCTTGAGCAATACCACACAGGCACAGACAACCAAAGCAAAAATGGGCAAATGGGATCACATCAAATTAAAAAGCTTTTTTGCACACCAAAGGAAAAAAAATCAACAAAATGAAGAGACAACCCACAGAATGGGAGAAAATATTTGCAAACTACCCATCTGACAAGAAATTAATCACCAGAATATATAAGGAGCTCAAAAAACTGTAGAAAAACATCTAATAATGTAACCAACAAAATGAGCAAATGATTTGAATAGACATTTCTCAAAAGAAGACATACAAATGGGAAACAAGCATATGAAAAGTGCTGAACATCATTAATCATAAGAGAAACGCAAATCAAAATTACAATGAGATCTCATCTCACCTGGATAAAATGGCTTATATCCAGGCAATAACAAATGCTGGCAAGGATGTGGAGAAAAGGGATCTCTTGTATAATGTTGGTGGGAAAGTAAATTAGCACAACCACTATGGAGAATAATTTGGAGGTTCCTCAAAAACCTAAAAATAGAGCTACCATATGACCAAGCAATCCCACTGCTGAGTATATACTCAAAAAAAAGGAATCAGTATACTGAAGAGATATCTGTACTCCTGTGTTTATTGCAGCACTATTTACAATAGCTAAGATTTAGAAGCAACCTAAGTGTCCATCAACAGATGAATGGGTAAATAAAATGTGTTACATATACACAATGGAGTGTTACTCAGCCATAAAGAAGAATGAGATCTCGCCATTTGCATGGATGGAACTGGAAGTCATTATCTTAAGTGAAATAAGCCAGGCACAGAAAGACAAACAGCACATATTCTCACTTATTTGTGGGATCTAAGAATCAAAACAGTTGAACCCATGGAGGGGGCAGAAGGATGATTACCAGAGGCTGGGAAGGGTAGTAGGGGGCTGGAGGGGAGGTGGGGATGGTTAATGGATACAAAAAAAACACAACAGAAAAATGAATAAGACTTGCTATTTGATAACACAACAGGGTGACGATAGTCAATAATAACCTAATTGTTCACTTAAAAGTAACTAAAAGAGTGTAATTGGATTATTTGCAACAAATCATAAATGCTTCAGAGGATGGATACCCTATTCTCCATGATGTGATTACTTTACACTGCATACCTATATCAAAACACTTCACTTACCCCATAAATATATACACCTACTATGTACCCATAAAAATTAAAAAGTAAAAGTAAAAAGTAAAAAAGAAAAAAAATTGAAAAATACTTTTTTTTAAAAAAAAGATTATATTTGTCAATGTTAGAAAAATCATCCTGCTTACTTTATCAGATAAAATAATGGAAGTCATTGTGAGAAGAATATTGTTTATTGTTATAGAGTTGCCTTGTATGGTTGTACAGGTTGTACACTGAACAACTTTAAGGGGTGGCACTCATATTAAAAATCAACATGTATTTATTATGGCAATATTCAGATGGAAATGAGGTGTCTCTATGAAGCAACAATTTTTTTCTTTTCCTTTTTTTTTTTTTTTGAGACAGAGTCTTGCTCTGTTGCCAGGCTGGAGTGCAGTGGCACAATCTCAGCTCACTGCAACCTCGGCCTCCTGGTTCAAGCAATTTTCGTGCCTCAGCCTCCAGAGTAGCTGGGATTACAGGCACATGCCACTATGCCCGGCTAATTTTTGTATATTCAGTAGAGACAGGGTTACACCATGTTGGCCAGGATGGTCTCGATCTCCTGACCTCCTGATCTGCCCGCCTCAGACTCCCGAAGTGCTGGGATTACAGGCATGAGCCACCATGCCCGGCCAGTAACGGTTTTTTCTATTTCACATAAATACCCACTTGAATCAGGGTATGATATGTGTGCCCACTGAAATAGAACAAAACAATTGCAAATAAAGAAATTATTTTAATTTCCTCCCATTACATATACACTTAGCAACAAAGCGAGTGACCCAAACTGTGCAAGTATTGATCACTCCTTTTTTAGGATTCCACCGAATCCTTTAATGTCTTACAGCACTGGACACACTATACTTTATGGATGAAATTATACATCTATCTGTCTTTTCCTACAAGACTATAAACAACTTGAGGGCAAAGATCTTGTCTTCCTCAGCTGTACATCTTCAGAAGCTAACAACAGAAAGCGACAATTACAATATTTAAGGTTTCCTAACCTATCGACTTGACTTTCCCGTTTAACAGGTGCTTTTCCATGCGGCCATTATAATTAATAACAAAAACAACAAATAACTAAGTAATGACTACAGGGATCTGTGTTAAGTACTTTACACACATTAGTCTCATTTAAATCTCACAATCGCGCTATAATGTAAGTACTTTATTTTAGTGTTAAAGTAACAGGAACTGAGAAATATTAAGCATTCTGTCCAATATCACATAGCTAATAAGTATCAGGTCAAGTTCTTGAACCTGGGTCATTTGACTACAACAATCATTCTCTTATTACATCATGTTCCTCAGTAACAAAAATTAGATTACAGGGTATGGATTCTATGGAAAGAGGAGCTGGAATTAGAGGAAGAGAAAGAGAGGGTGAGTGCAAGAGTGAGGGAGGGAGGGGGGAGAGAAGAAGTACAGAGGTCTAAACAAAAAGATCCAACAGTTGAAAATAAAGGAAAAGCAAAAATAATAGTTTCTGACCTATTGATTGGGTTTCCCCCCCAAAAAAATTTAAATAGATGTTGTCTGTCAACAACAGCTATGGTCATCAAAAAACGTAATCAATGTCTTTCACTTAATTGTTCAGTATTGCTCCTAGTTCTTTATGTAGTCATCAGCTTCTTTAGATGCATGTGTATGTTTAGTGGTTGTTATTATAAAACGGGAGGATCTACAAACAAGGTATCAGCCTTTGAGGCTGCCTTTAATTTTCCGGCTTGGACCTTATACATCATTGGTAAAGAGCAGTGGGGCAAAAGTGAGAGTGCAACACAAATGCCCAGGGTTATTGTAAAAACATAGACCCCGACCTTCATCCCCGAAGACCCATTGTCTGCATATCTGTAGTGGAATTAAGGGCTTGCAATTTTTAACAAATAGTCTAGCTGACACTGATGTGGATCATCTTCTGGTCACACTTTTGATATCCTATTTTAGACAAAAGGGGAAAGCCAGTCATTCTCATTTCTAACTCAGTGCTTATAACTCTCAACAGGACCATGGAATACAAATTAGAGAACAAAAAGATTGAGTGGGAAGGATGATAAGGTGAAATGGGCCAAAGAAGAAGAGAACATGTCATAGGGTAACATTATCACATTTTCAACCAGGAGGTGACTGCTTCTTTTCCTTAACCATGTTTCTACCATATCACCAGTGCTCAGGATTGCAAATCAGAAGTAAAACTCCATATTTAGAATAGCAGTTGGTAGAAAATTATCAAGAAAAATATGTAATTTTAAGGAAAGTATTCAATTAATGCTTCAAATTATGTGTTACAAAACATAGCCCTACATCATCTCATAGGGCCAGATTTTTCTCATAAGGCCAATGCTCTTTTTTTTAACCATTTTCCAAGAAGTAATAGAAAAAAAACAAAGCCAAGCAAAAACCAACGTGGAATACAAGAGTGTGTGGGAAGGGGAGGCATGCAAATGGCAAACATCATTCATTCATTCAACAAATACATGAGTGCCTACTATATGCCAGGCATTGCTCATTCACAAGCAGTTCAGCCTTGATAGGGAGCCAAACACTAAACTGAAAATTCGGATTATGGAAGTGAGTCAAATGTTAATAGCCTAATTTTAGAGGCAAGGTAAATTGAAGATAAGCAGTTACACTACCCCAGTGACTAGTAACTCAGTCACCCAGATTATTACACACAAATAAGGTCAAATCGTAGGTGGGGAAATTGCCTTTTCAGACTTAATCTTTACTTGAATCTTTGGGAAAGAGGAGGGTGAGGTCTACTTGGCCCAAACAAGAAGGAGCAAGCTGCAAGTGAAGTTCCTTGGAAGGCACCAGATGGGAAAAGGAAAGGACAAATTGAGAAGCACCATGAGTCAAACCATTATCTACCCATCTTCTCAGCCATTTTAGATTCTCAATGGGTCATATTTTTAACAAATTCTAATTCTGACAAAATGATAAAGAAAATACCATAAAAACAATACCCACACCATGTTTATATATTAAAACATCCACAGACTTTGTTTAAAAAATCAGAATCCAGTTTAATAGCTGTCATGTTGGATTTGCATTATTTAATTTTACTTTGAAAGTAAGTCAGCTTTCTAAAATGTATGTCCAGAGTGGCAGCGTTTCTAATTTCTCCTCTTGATTCTTTAGCCAGAGACTTCAGAGTTAAGATGTCAAAGGATGCTGGACAGTGGAAAACTACCAAAACTGCACACTTTGATTTTGCAATCTGCATCAGCTCTAATCATTGTAAGCTAAGAAATATCTATAACAGTGGTAGATAGGATAAAAATAAGTTTTAAGAGGCTAGTTTAAAGTTGGATTACAATAATCACATAGCTCAGTTTCTTTGCATAATCTATAACCATCACTGGCATGGTAGCAAACAGAATTAGAAGATTTGAAAAGGAAGGCAGCCCACTTTGACAGTAAACACAGCCCAATACTTTAGAGAAGTTTCAAGGAATGAATTAAAGAAAAAGTTAAATGTAGAATTTGTTTTTTCCTGTACATTATACTTATTTCATGGCTTTGTCAATTAACACCTATAGGGCAATTGCGTGTTGAGTCACTAACTCAGCCTCATCTTCATTATTTTCAGCCAAACATGTGGTGAAGCAAAGATGTAATATGTGGGCAAAAACCCCTTTTACATCTCATCCTTTTATCTAAATCTTGACAAACAAAAAATGTCGGGGGTGTGGAATACAGATCTTTTTTCTTCCCATAAAGTTGACATGAAACTACATGCACCAGAAATAGCTTCAGGGTGGTAAAACTTACTACTAAACTTCAGGAGTTTAAGGAGCGCCTGCCTGAAGTCATAACAGACCCATTTGTCATTTCAGCTTTGTCCAAGTAATATATCATGTGATTCATGAACTCATGGCAGCTTCTAAACTCCTAGCTCTATTTTAAATATTCTCTATTTGCCTATTTCCCCTTCATCAGTAGCAACTTAAACCTCTTGTTTGAAAAACAGATTACAAGTAATTTGTTACAATTCTTGTGATAAATAGGAAAAAAAAAATCCCAAAGGGGAAAGTCCTCCCAAATGTGTAGTCAAAATATGGCCCATTCTGAATACCTATGGTTCAATGACAGTGAGCTTAAAACAGTGTTTCCCCAAATGTAGTCCATTGAAATACCATGACCTTCACGGATTCATCTGCAGTGCCGTTAAAAATGCAGAACCTTAGCACCTTCAATCATATTCTCCAGCATGGGCCTGGAAATCTGCATTTTGACAATTGACCAGGTGATTATTATTCAGACATTTGAAGAACAGGGGCTTAAGGTATAATATTACGAGGAACTAAAGAACAGGAGTATAATAACACCCACAGAAAAATTACAAACATTTTGACATTGAGAAGGCAACAAAGTTACTGTTCTTCTGTCAAGGAGTTATTCTGCCCATAGACTAGATTAAGCCCAGTCCAGTCATTTACTTCTATTTCTCTCCAGACATAAAATACATTTTCAAATGGCCACGAGAAAATAAATGCAAGAATAAATTAAGTGTGGGTGTGTTAGTTGGCAATCTGTTTAAGGTGATGGACTGCTCTTCAAATGTTATGCTTCAATTATCAACAAAGTAGAAATGACTAAACGAGAAGAAGTAAGACCAAAACTTAAATGAAAATTTGTTGAACGAAATGCCTCTGAATACTATTCTCAGATGTGGTCATTCCTTTGATATATTTATGATGTAATAACATTGCTAATTACACACAGAGATCTTAGAGCAGCTTTTACGATTGTCAACCTTTTCGCTACCCATGTACTAAGCTGGTTGAGGTATGAGGTAGGAGTTAGGATTCAGTCTTTTTCCCTGTGTAACCAATAGACCCAGCATTATTTATTGGGAATACTGCCTTTAGCCCTTGCATTGCAGTATAAACTTTGCATTAATCAAGTGGTCACATAAAAGTGTAAGTCTGTTTCTGGACTTCGTTTGTCTATTAGTCCATTAATCTATCATTTAAGCTTGCATCTATACCACGCCTATACCAAACTGTCTTAATTATAATATTTTTATATTAATTGTAATATCAGGTAGTCTAAGTCCTGGAACTTTGTTCAATATCTTCAGGATTATACTGGCAGTTGCTTTATTTCCACACCTCAAAGATGTCAACTAATATCTTATGGTTCCTCTCTGTTTTGTTGAGAAATCCACTCTTGGTCATTTGCTTTTCAATATATTTTATTGGCTACAGAAAATACCCAGCCATTATATTTTCAAATATTACTTTTGCCCTATTCCCTCTCTCTTCCCAATGCTTTTTGTCATACCCCAGATATTCCTTAGCTTTTTATTCTATATTTTATTTCCTTATTTGTCTTTTGTGTTTCAGTCTGGATATTTTCTATAGACTTATTTTTCAGTTCAGTAATTCTCTCTTTAACTGTTTTCAAACTACAGTAAAACCATCTACTGAGTTCTTAATTTCTTGTGTTTTTCAGTTTAAAATTTTCCATTTGATTATTTTGTATATATCTGGTTTCCTGGTAAAATCCTCCATCTTAGCATCTATTTTCTTGAACATATTACTCTTAGTTATTTTAAGATCCATATCCAATACTTGTGGATCTGTTTGTTTCTTGATCTTATTTTTGTTACACTCATATTCTATAAGCCGCTGAATATTTATAATTCAGTCAACCTTTGACTGAATGCCAGACTTTTTTATGACAAATTATGGAAGAGCTAGATCTACCTCCACAGATGACCCACTTTATTCTCTGGCAGGCAGAGAAAGTAGGACTGATAGCCTCTATTGCATTTTAACAAATGAATTGATTTCATTCTTTGTAAGGTTAGTCTACCTCTTGTTCACTCCCACTCTAAGGCTCCCAACTTAAAGTCAAGGGTATTTATTAGGCCCCTTTTAATTTGGTCTCTCTGATCTCCTTGTTTGTTTGTTTGTTTGTTTCCTCTTATGAGACTGCCAATATCTTTGTCCTGTTTTTCAGGTTTTTATTTTTGCTTCTCAGACTGTTGCCCTGCATGAATCAAGAATTTGGCTAGTGCCTCGTGATGAAGGTGCTGGCTGTCAGGCATACTTCTTCTCTAGGCTTTCTCTCAAGGAACTTGGCTTCTCAAAATCAACTTATTTTGTCCTAAAATCCAGTCTTTATACCCCAAGTCCTTTGAGGTTGACAAAGCTCTGCTGGATTATTGGCCTCTTCACTGCTTGGCTACTTCCCATATCCCTATCACTCCCCTCCAACCTACCTAGATGCAGCTAACTAATAGACTGAGGGAAAACGTGGCTTGCAGAATATGAGCTTATTCCTTCTTTTTTTTTTTTTTTTGAAGACAGGATCTTACTCTGTCAACCAGCCTGGAGTGCAGTGGCACCATGGTGCCATCTCAGCTCACTGTAGCCTCAACCTCCTGGTTTCAGGTGATCCTCACACTTTAGCCCCCTTCCCCAAGTAGCTGGGACTACAAGCTCACACCATCATGCTCAGCTAATTTTTTGTGTTTTTAGTAGAGATGGGGTTTTACCATGTTGTCCAGGCCTGGTCTCGAACTCCTGGGCTCAAACAATTCATCTGCCTTGGCTCCCCAAAATGCTGGGATTATAGGCATGAGCCACCACGCCAAGCCTGGCTTATTTCTCTTCTGAGATCTTAGTCCCTCAAGTCCCAGTTTACTCATCAGCTTTTCATTCCTCTAGACATTTAAAAAAATTAATTTAATATGTGTTTCCTAAGTTGTTCTTAGGAAAAGTAAATACACTGCTATTAGTCACTTTAGCATACTTCAGTGACCATTTAGTTCCTAACTTGGCCAAACTATAATCATCCCTATCCTTCCCCTCCACCCACCATTCTCCACATGGCTGCTAAAACATGTACTGTTTTTTTCAAGCCACCTACCCTACTTACTACTTCTCTTTTGAGGACACAATTCAGACTCACACTTCACTAAAAAAAAAAAAAAAAGGGGGAGGATTAGATGTAGTCCTTCAATTTTCCTTCCCTATATCTCACAATTTAAAAAATATGTTTATAATTTAATAATGTATTCATATTTAAGTTCTTCCTCTATTATCTTAGAAGTAAAAGTATCCTTACACTCTTCTCTCAATACCGCTTCTCTCGGATATTTCTTATTTTTTAATCCCCAGCCTCAAATTTAATCTGTAAATATTGGTTTTGCCTTAGCTACTTTCTCTCAACTTATAAATATAAACAAATATTGGGCATCCTTAAAAAAATGAACAAAATTTCATTAATTCTTACAATTCTTCCAGATCTTTTCTCTCCTACATCAAAGATTTTGGAAAAATATAGTCTACACTTACTGCTTCTAAATCTCATTATTCCATAAGTTTCCAACCTACTGTCCTCTGCCTTCTTCTGTTACCCTAATCGGTTCATTCTCTCGAACCTAACTTCAATGCCAAATTCAGTGAGCTTTTTCTCACTTTACTTAACACATATGCAACATCCTTGGTGCAATTATCTTTCTTTTGTGTCTAATATATCATTATTTTGTGATTTCCTACCTACCTCTCTAAATAGTTCCTCTATATCTTTCACCAGCTTTCTCCACCTCAACTCATCACTAAACTGTGGACTTTCTTCTTGTGTCCCTTACAAATCTCTTATTAGAATTCTTCAAAAGGAAGCGAGGCCTTTGAACACTGTATTGCTCATGTAGTCAAAACCAAGTTGCAAAGGAATGATCGCAGTTATTTATATGGTCTTGAAAACACTCAATATGCACCCCTCATATCACATGACATGCATTAATTGTGTAGTCTAGTTAATCTCAGATCCTTTAAAGTTGATTATCTTCAAGGTTTAAATGGCAGCTACAATGCATTCCTTCATATCCTCAAGGCTACAAGGGGGAAGAAGTATAAACATGACATATATGAGGTTCTTGATTATATGTTAACATATAATCTATTCTTAAGTAATATATTTTGAAATAGTTCAATCCTGTTTAGTTACTCTGAATCAGTTCTGGATTTTCTTTAACACTCCTTTAGTTCTGCCTTGCACATAAATGTCAGTGTCTCCCTAATCTACATCTGTGAGCCCTACCTCCATTCTGAAATCTTAAATCTGCTCTCAAATGCCTCAAAAATACCTTGAATACCTTAAAGATACCTCAAACTCAATATTTACAAAGCAAACTTATTTTCATCATTCTTTTCCTAAATGTAAGACAAAAATTAATACAAAACAAAAAAAAACTAAAATAAAAACTTGTTATTTTTCCTCACTTTCTTTCCTATTTTATTTAATGATGTCATCTTTTCTAACCGTCTGGCCTAGAAACACGAGAGTTGTCTTTTCTTCACGATTCAAATATCCAATCTGTCTCTAAGTTTTAGCTTTTCACTTGCAAAATGATGTTAACATCTGACTCCTTCATTTCATTCAAAATAATTGCCCCGATTCAACTAAGCACCACCTCTCACATAGACTATTAGCATAATCTCTTAGTTGCTTATTCTCAAGGCACCTTCTATAATGCAACCACAACTATCCTTCTGAAACACACTTTTGACCTTCACTGCCTACCAAGTCAGGCCTAAATATGGTGAGAAAGACTTAAAGGCTCCCTCCCAACCCCCCATCAAACCCAAGGTTCTCCCTCTAGTCAGTGACCCTTCTCAGCCATTCACTGGAATATCACTCTACGGCAAAGAGGCATCTTTGGAATCTACACATTTCAAACATTCCACACAGGCATATTGATGGCAGAAATATTCATTCTAACAGATCTTTGCTGTACTTTTAGTTGTACATGTTGTTATGTTTTCTTTTGACGTTTTAGCTGATAGCTAAAGTTTATTCAAGTTGTTGTTCTTGTCCCAAGAATATCCAAGATAAGAGTCCAAAGACGGTACAGTTAAGAAATATGGGGAATGAGATGTTCTCTCCATTCTTTCCTTATCTAGTCCCCACTTCCCTAGTCAACTAGTTGTTTTGTTTTCCTATTGGGTGAAACTGGCAACTTTAAATCAAGTTCCCCAGAGGTTTTATCTAGATACATCTGCATAAAATAAAAATAATTCCACATAAAGCTTCAACCTGCTGATTAGGTATTATTATTTCCATCAGAGGTGAAGAAATTGAGACTCAGAGGCATTTAGTGAGCTGAGCAAGTTCATTCAGAGTTGGGGTTTTAACCCAGTCTTTCTGAAACCAGAGTTCTTGCTCAGTCAAATATTCCAGTACTAATAACTTCTACCTCTTTTTGTCTCTATGAAACTGTAAACTCCATGATAGCAGTGAGCACAGCCTTCCTATTCACTCCTGTGTCCAAGAGTCTCACATGAAGTCTGAGATATAGGAACATGATACACATTACTAAAAGAAAGGATGATGGACTGACCCTAACCGATACTGTGGAACAGGTCACCTTTATCATAGGCACAACAGTCTCCACTCAAACTTCATTTTACTCTTTGGTAATAGGTCTCAACCCTCCTGGTGTTTGTCCCCAACCTGTTTATTTGGATTGTAATATAAATCAATGTCAGTCATTTCTTCCAAGTATATTTGTAATTAACCTTTATTTGTAAGTATTAATTTTATATTAAAAAAACCTGAACCTCAGCTTACCTCCCTTCATAATAACTCCAAGGAATAGGCAGAGTGCCACAGGACTTGTTTACATGTAGCAGCCCCTGCTCCCTCCAGAAAGAGATCAAAATTATAAGCGTTATGGCTATAGATGCTGAAAGACAATTCCTGGGAATTGCTGGGAGTGCAGAAGCTGGAAAAGTTAGTGAAGAATCCAATGTGGTTTAGTAAACAGAACTTGGGCAGTAATTCTGTGGGGAGAAAGGAGTAAAGATTTTACAACAACTTGAGCATTGCCTAGGAACTCAAATGTGGAATGCCTTTCCCTCATTTGAAATTACAATGCAGTTTTATTAACACTATGTTGAAATCCCTTTATTAGGCAGTCTCCAAGTTAAGCTGTACATTTCATTTCCTTTTTTCTCATAGGCTGAATATGTATAATAGTGCTTTCTAAAGTCACATTTCCTTTTGTAAGGGAGTGTAAGGCAGCATGACACTATCAGAAAGTGCCATCAGTCAAATGGATGTCAGCAAGACAGCACAATAGTATCCACTCATGATCAACTTGGTACATTTCGTACTAGCAATTGATTTAGTACATTAATGAATAGCTAACTGAGAGTTGGTATACAATAAAAATGATTTATTGCAAAGATGTTGATATTCATGGGAAAATGGGGAGAAATATACGCCAAAACAACACAAAGAAGACTAAATGTAGATCTAAAACAGAATTGAAAGTGTCGTTGTTGCCTGCAGTGTCATTTTACTTAAACTTCTGTGATATCTTCTTGGAGGGAAAAAACATATCTTTGGAATCTGTATCTATGCTTGGAATGTTTTAAATGCTTAGAATGTACGGATGTTTCTTGGAATCTTTCTAGATTGAATAGAAAGAGTAATTCTCCAGAAATTCTTATATACCGTGATAAAACATATTAATTTATTCATATTATTCATTTTAGCTATATGGATTTAAATATATATGAATTCCACTTACTGTAGGCAAGAAAAATTATTCTTTTTCATTAAAAAGAGATTCTTAACCTTAATGCTATTGACATTTTGGGCCAGGTAACTCTTTGCTCTATGGTGTTGTCCCTGACTTCTAGCTGCTAGATGCCAATAGAAATACCCGATTTTGACAAAAATGTCTCTAGAATATTGCCCAGTGTGCACCAGGAGGCAAAATTGTTTCCCAGTTTAGAACCACTGCACTAAAGCAAGACATAATTCTTGATATTTATTCACTAGCATAAATCATAAAAAAATAGCTAAGCTCCCTAAATAATATATATTGGACAGATTATGTCAATCTCACTTTAAATATTGTTCTTATGATTTTCTTTTCCAAAATTGAAATGCAACCCCTACCCATTCCATATATTAAAAGGCTACCTAAGTTATAAAGCCCATCTCAATCTACATTCAAGCTGTAAAGTCTTCTCTTATTGGCAGCATTTTTCCAAAGGGTTATTTAAGCCCATTTCATCTTCCCACTTACCCCACACACTGCTCACAGGCAAAGCTGCTGCACAAGTAAACATTGAAGTGAGGCAAGTTTGAGTTCCAGCCCCAAAACATAACAGCTCTGTGATTCTGGACTATGTTAACTAAACTTTAACCAAAGTTCTTACACAGGGCCTGTTGTGGGGTGGGAGGAGGAGGGAGGGATAGCATTAGGAGATATACCTAATGTAAATGACGAGTTAATGGGTGCAGCACACCAACATGGCACATGTATACATATGTAACAAACCTGCATGTTGTGCACAAGTACCCTAGAACTTAAAATATAATAAAAAAATATATATATAAATAAATAAAAATAAACAAAAATTAAAATAAAAAAATTAAAATAAAGACAGTACATATCTCAAAGTATCACTGAAATGAATACATAAAGTATGTATAATGTAAAGTCCTAAGAAGTTTGCTTAGGATTTTTGTTTATTTAAGAAACACTTATATTGTGCATACTATGCCATAATTTCATTTAAGCTTCATAAATAATAGTAGGATTATTACTCCCATTTAACAGTTGAAGAAACTGAGACATAAAACAGCCAAGTAACTTGTCCAAGTTCACATGGTTAATAAGTAGCAGAAGGGAGATTTGAACCCAAGCAAGACAGTTTCAGAGTCCTTGTTTAAACCACTAAACAATGCTTCCTCTTTGTTATAAATTACACACTCCATAAAGTTACCCACAGTAGATATTATCATTATTTTTCTTGTAATTTTCAAGGTACTAAATAAGTACTAACTACATAGCACATACTCAGCAATTACTGATGTGGACATTAGTCAGGCCTTGCTGGAATACGCACTGGGTTATATTTCTTTAATATTTCATTTCGAAGTTAAAATCTCAACGTTGTCATTTTGTTTTGCATCTGGAGATTTGCATTATTCTTATACATCAACTAAAAATATTTTTGTCTGGAATTTTATCTAAATTATTTCATTAAAATATATTGATATATTAAGTGAGGAGTGAGAATGAAAAAGTGCATCCAAGGAGCCAGTAAAATTTACAGAGACCCTCAGACCACAGCTCAGCTAAGTTTAATCCATCATTTCAGTCTCTACATTACCTAATTTTTATTTTTAAGAAAGATTTTATAATATTAAGATATACTAAAATAACATATAGTAAGCATTTTCACATAAATGTTTAAATTTTTAGAGCAGCAGAGGTATTCTCTTAGACATAAACACTTTAAGAACATACTTGTCCTTGGTAATTTAAGAAACATTTAGTCTCTGTTTAAATTTAATTCCATTAGATTTTAATCACATACTTTCTCTACAGAAGTGGCATATGGTTTTTGATCAATTGACATTATTGAAATATCATAGAATATTATTCACTGTGTTCATCCGACCTAAAACACATGAATACACACATACACAAACAAAAAAATCTAATAAAGTACAGAGATGGAAAGGATTAACTGTATTCATAAAACCACTTAACAACTTCGTAAACTACCTGACATTCTAAGCAGATGAGGAAGGAACAACAGTGCCTTACTAACACATTATATTTCTCCACTACACAGAAAAGACAAGATAAGAGATGTGAGAGAGACATGCGTTATGAAACACTTTACTCATCTTGAAATTATCTTCCATGAAAAGACCATTGGGAAACAATTTCATTATACTTAGAATTTTTAAAATCTTGGGTGGATACTCTAAAACATTCCAAAACCATTAATAAACTAAAACTCATGTTCAGTCATAACCTGAAGACTGATTTAAGGAAATATTTATATCAGAAAAGATATATTTATATATATATATAAAATATATCAGAAAAGATATATTTATATAGATATATATAAAAATATCAGAAAAGATATATTTATATAGATATATATAAAATATATCAGAAAAGACATATTTATATAGATATATATAAAATATATCAGAAAAGACATATTTATATAGATATATATAAAATATATCAGAAAAGATATATTTATATAGATATATATAAAATATATCAGAAAAGATATATTTATATAGATATATATAAAATATATCAGAAAAGATATATTTTAGTATATACTTTAGCCAAAGTATAGACCAACAGCAATGTCATTTATAAAAAATAAGATTTGAAACTCCATAATTAATGTAAAAAAGATTAATTAAATTCACTCAAAGGTGTTGTAAAATTTCCTGTGCATGCAACCTCAGAAAAATTCTAGTTAGTAGTGGATAGAAATAAGAGTCATTTATAATCTTTAAAAAGTGAAGTATAAAATTGTTTTCTAAAATTCTGTCTCACTGAAGCAAAAAAGGAAGCAATATCAAAAAAAAGTAATAATCACACACTTTCATATATTTTACTCATTCATCCAATATTCCCTGAGATCTTACTGCTATGCCAGAATCAGAATTAAGCTTCTTTTTTTTTTTTTTTTTTTTTTTTTTTTGTGAGTAAGCCTCAGGCCTTAGTCTTAAAAGTGCATGATTATACTCCCATGTGACAAGTGTTACAAAGAAATCTAGACAGCTGCTGAGGGAGCACAGGGAGTGAAATATACCCAAGTGTTTTCGGAAAAGTGTTTAACAATGGAGATACCATTCTCCATTTTGTTCTCTCAAGCTGAGAAAGAAGGGTCCAATAATTTGCTCAACACAGAAATTCATAATGGACATTTCTTGTCTCTAAGGTGAAAAATTGAAAATTAGTCAAATGCACAGACTACCCAAAAGAATATTCTTGGTTCATACAAAGATGACGTTGAAGAAATAGATGTCTTTTCATAATTGTGTTCGAAACAATTGTGATAATAATGGGTCACATTTATTGAGCACTTACTGTGTGTTAGGCATATAAGTACTTTGCATACGTCAACTCGTTCTATATCTCAATATCTCCCAAGATAGTGGAAGGCAGAGACAGGAGAAGTAATCTGCCCAAGGACACAGGACACGCGAGTAGTCTGCCCTCTCCATCTTTCCTGGAGCTTCTGATCACTGTGAAACTCAAGAATAGCTACCAAACAGATCATTTATTTTCATATTGATTCCTACATGCTCTTATTGCTAAAGAAGACTCTTAAAAGATTAAATAGATAATGTTTCCCTAAATATCCAACACCCTGCTTCTCACCCCAATATTTACAAATAGGAAGATTGAGTTCTAAGCTCCTTTTTCCAAGGGAATGATTAACACTTTGTATTGAGAGGTGGGACCTCTGAAGAGGATTAAGCAGGTCGCCCTACAGGTGAGAGGACTGAGGCTGCAACATTGGAGAGATAAAGCTGAAGGAAAGAGGGTTACCCTTCGGGAAAATGTTATGCATTTGGGTTTTCTTTAGTTTCTACAAGTTTTAGAAGCCCATGCTTCTTGTGCATTGTACACTGCATGGTGACTACAGGATGGCCATGGAGTCTGAACTCTAAACACCATCACCCGGAGAACAGCAGTAAAATCTCCCTGGTGTGCTGCGTGATCGCTGGGGAAGACTGCTCTGAAAGGCATTTTAGTGCCTGCCAAAAAGTGGATGGCCAGAATCCACGAAGACAACATTTAACAGACGGGTTGATGCCAGTGATGGCAAACAGCAAAGATTATGCAAGCCCTACTCCTAATTTATAGGCAATTATAAATGCCTAGAATTCCTGTAGGACCTTGGAGTGAGGGAGATCACTGAATTCCCCCACCTTCTCTAGGGAATAGGGCTCACAATCAAAATTAATGTGATTTGGAAAAATCATATAAGGGGAGATTTCATGGCCCTAAGCAAGAATATAGAGACTATCCACACCCTTACACGGTGATGTGTTCACTTTTAGAAATTTTTCCACAGGACTTCAAAGACATAAAAAGCAACACAGCGTGATTTAAAAAGAACTGAACATTTGCACATATTTAGAATATCTACTTTATGCATGAGCATACTGTCAAAATAAACCGTTAAAAAAACTTTCATAGTTATTTCGCGAATCTTATAAATGTTCAACATGCATCCCTCACATTACAAGGCCCACATCAGAACTGTTGCTGACTCATCCTAGACAACACATCTCCACTAAAGGAGAGGTGAAGGCACAGTGGGTTCCTTCTTTCCTCAAGGCCATAAGGCAGAACAAACTCAAGTTTTCACAAGTCCCCACAAGAAAGCACGTGGTCTAAAACATTCAAAAAAACTTTTTCATTCCGTTTGGAATCACCCTGGTTTTGTGCTTACATTCTCTGACAATGTGTGAAAGGTGAAAGTTTAATCTTCCCTTTGGGAGAACAGCCATATTTTCACTAGCAGCAAGGATTTACCTAAACTTCATACAGTGGAAACATATTACACCATGAGGATGCCACATCGGAACCAAAGCTCTTTGCAGGAGAGAATAAAACAGTATTTTACCATGCTGCAGTGGTTAAAAGCAGGGTACCTAGAGTGACGCTGCCTGGGTTCTTAGATGGATCACAAATATCACACAATCAAATATCACACAGTCAAATATCACACAATCACCAATTAAGCTGAAAGAGAATTATATATTAAACTATTTGTGGAAGGTATCTTTATATGTATGAGGGAAAGAATATATTTGTAAATGTGTGTGTGTGTGTATAGTACATTTCATGCATTAATCATTTAACATGAAGTGAGCACTGTGACTTTTGAAACAATAAAAAATATGTTCTTGTTTTCTCATGGCTTGTAATCTGGTATTTTCATGATTTTAGTATAAAATAATTTCAGAATTTAACATTATAATTGTGGTATTAAGGTATTTGTGTTTATTTCTATCATTCTCATTGATAATATAATGAGTCATGTAATTAAGCATCCTTTTATAAGAATTTCAAAAATAAACAGTATTAATGTATTCATGATTATTTCATTTTACAAAAGTAAAATCAGCAAAAAACAAAAGTCTTAGAATCTTTGTTCCATCATGGATTTTTAAAGTCTTTGCTCTGCTCACAAGTCCTATAGATCTCAGGGTAAGCAAACATAAACTAGAAGAAATTGCCTAGACCTTGTCTTTCAAAATGTGGTTCATGGGTCAGCAATGTCTACATCAGCTGTATGTTAGAAATTCGGAATCTACTCCCCAAACCTACAGAATCAAAATCTGCATTTTGAATAAAAACCCCCAGTGACTCATATGGACATTATAATTTAAGAAGCACTGTTTGTGGAAGATTAGGTCCAGCCTTAGAACTGCAAATGGCACAACCCTTTAAAATTAGAAACTTGATCCAAATCTTGCCAGGAAGTTATCAGAAACAGAATATCATTTACCTACAGGCACAGACTTTTTGAATATTAAGAGCTTGAGGTTATTAAGAAAATCTTAAAGAAGTATGTTAAGATATTAATACGATCTTATAAAATTGGCTTGAATACAATGAGTTCAAAATTTTCCCAAGCATATGTATTTTTTATTAGAGTATAAATGTGAGCATTAAACACTGTTGTCATCTGAATACTTAAGTAAAGTTAGATCCACCTGCAATCCTACACCTGTTCTTGGAAGCTCTAATGTTTATGATGCTAATTCTGTAAAGAAAAAGAGTTTATGTGTCTAATAAAGGGGCCAGACAAGGAAAGAATCCTCAGTATATATATCCATAATTAGGATAGTTCTAAAACTCTAATATTCTGTGGTATTTAATCACTTAAAAAACACTATGGCATTTCTTATCTAATCTCATAGCAGGGAGTGAAACATGGCTCTAATAGTTCTGAATTTTAAGGCTAGCCTCCATTATCATTCAGGATCTGTGTTTTCCCCAACACTTCTAAAAGAAGCAGAAATTCAGTAAGGTAGCTATTGCATTTGTGTCAGCTATTTCATTTGGTTATAAAATGAAGTTTGTGGCCAGAGTTGTGTGTTCTGTTTCTTACAGGCACAAAGAAAATTCTATGACCAATTGAAATACTACACTCACTGCAGCCATTCTGCAAACATATCTTCTGTTAAAAGAGGAAAGGGACAATGTAGAGTATAGAGTTTAACACACATTAACCCAACATTTAGCACCCAACATGATGCTGACATGTAGCTTGTTACATATCACATCTACAACAACTTCCTGTAGGTTTAAAAGTAAAAGTTACATTAATATTGCCAAATTAGTGCAAGCTACTTATTTCAAAGATAAAAATAGAGCGATGATTTTGAGTCAGGTGTAAATGTGAACTTCAAACTGCCTCTTCCTATGAACTGTAAACATAAGAATGCAGAAGGAGTCATCACTAGAGCACTGGGTATAAATGCTGCATTTGAGTAACACTGAAATTAGCAACCATGTCTGGGAAGGAACTGGCAGCTGTCTTATTCTTGGCTTGTCAATGCCCTCAAGTGAAAACAAGGAATGAAAGAGATGCTATAAATTAAAATGTCATCTCTGACTCTTCAAAAGACAGTTTATTGGTTGTTGCTGATTTTATTCTGAGGTTTTAACAGTGCAGAAGCATATTTCTAAATGTAGGTAGTTAGGGTAGCATGATTTATCAAAGGACAAAATAAAAAATAGATATAACCTTAGCACTATCCTCTTTAAAAGGAGATATGAATATTTTACCAAGAATTAACTAGTTGATTTTTTATTTGTCTTGGTACCGTTGAGAAAGCACTCAGACACACAAGCAAGGCAGAAAACTCCAATAGTAATCTATCATTCTTCTTTACCAAGATGTAGAATTTTATGGAACTCTACCTTTATAAATAAGTGCAGACACTATCAACAACAGAAGAGGATGTAGAATTCTGCGATCCTGGTCTTCACAGATCTTAGGACTTTTAAAAATAGTTCTTATAGTTCTATTCTTGTCTATGTTTAAAGAACTGCTATATACAAACACCCCAAATTCAGCTATTTGGTAATTTGTATAGATCAAGCTCTCCAAGAAATATCATCAAAATTCCTCTCAGAAAAGTGATGGCTAATACCTGTGCCTTTTCTCACCAGAGTCTCCCACAACTTTTCAAAAATAAAGTGGTTGGCACTATATATCATCTATTCACTTTTCCTTAGTAACTTTATCACTATATTTATTTCTCTAACACTCCTTCATGTTCTTTTTGTCTCTTCCCGACTCTTGTGCACTCATTAAGGTGATATAAATGGTCGACAACAACTCCCTCCCCACACACACACAAAAGTAACAATTCAAAAAAAAATCCAATTACAAATGCTGAATAAAAATTCTAACAGAATGCCATAACACTGTCCTTTCTGCCACAGCAATTAATCTTCAGTGGCCATTCCTTCCATGGGTCCTTCACTTTAAAAAGGAAGCTTCTAAAATTAAGAGTCTAATCTGTGTTATGTACACTGTGGGGAACCAAAACCTAAATGTTCCCTGTCCCAGGAGATTAATTAATATCTCAGGTTCATTCTTCTAGTAATATTATCAATATCAATTCAAAGAGATTTAAAATGAAACTTTCAGCATTACTTTTTTCCCTATTCTAATTATAATAAATAACCATTGCCAAAGTGCCTGGGCCTACCATGAAGTTGCTAGAAAATCAGATCCACACCAGTTGAAAGAGACTCATGGAGTATAAAGTTTGAACTGCTGTTGGACTCATCTTAAGCACAATAACAGCCGTTGTCTCTACACAACAGAACGCTTCATTGATTAAAAAAAAGGGGTGGGGGGATTGCTGCTGCTTTATCTAACAGATAATAGCTGTATTTTTGAAAGTCAAATTAGCTCTGTCTTTTGCATGCCTGACAAGCTACTGACACAGAATTTAGTGGAATTAAGAATGGCTTTTCCAACACACAGCGTGGCCTCTTTGGTTGTAAAACGCACGCCTTTTCTTAAGAGTATGGTGGGTAATAGTGTCTAAATACAGCTTCTAATGAGGCTTCTCTTTCGCAGGGGCCTTTCTTTCAGTAAATTCTCATTTAAAATGGTGAAAATGAAAAGAACTGTAAAAAGCAAAATAAGAATAACTTCAGAAAAATATTAATAAAGGGATGATTAGATGGGTTAAACTGAAGTCTGAGATAAAATTTAAAATGTAAACATCTGATCGAAGCTAGTTTTGAAGAAATTGCCATTGCTCTCCTCACCTGTCATGAAAACCACTGCTCAGCCAAAACTCTTGCTGTTAGATTCTACCTAACAATCCTCTCCTTGCTTCAGACATTTACCAACTTCCTGGACTCTCCTCATTCACTGATGATATGAGCCTTAAGCTCACATTCTTTCTTTTCTTAGTATCTAACTCCTCCCTCTTTACTGGCATTTTCATTGCCATTTCAACAGGCTGAAGTCCCTCCTGTTCTTTGAAAAAAAAGAAAAACCTATTTTCCACATTCCTCTCCAATATATTTAACATACTACAGTCACAACATTTTGAAAAATGAAAATTCAGTTGTGTGACTTACTACTTAAATGCCATCAAATTCTTTCCATTGCATTAATGAAAAAATCTCAGTCCTAAGTCTTTGTCTTACCAGGGCTTATCATCCTAGTCTCATCTGCCCTTCCAGCCCCCACCTCCGTTATCTATTCTCTAGTAATATTGGGTCGGTTCTAGCTCCTCACAAGCATTCTGGTCTTTTTGCTTTGGAACACGCTGTTTTCTCTGCCTAGGACTTCTTGCTCTCATGACCAAGATACTTCTCCTTTAGGTACCAGTTTAAATGTCATTTGGGCTGGGAACCCTACCTGTTTCCTGGACGATACATTGCAATCTCTGTTCTCTTTCCCAAAACCTGTTTTGAGAGTTAAATTATCCATTCCCATATTAACAATCTAAGATGTTAAATCTAAGACATTATTAAATCTAAGATGTTATCAAATTCATCATCATAATACTTTGTTGTATCCATTGTTATTTGTATTCCCACTTGCACGAATTCCAATGATTTAAATAATAAGATTCTACAAGGAAAATTGCCTTTTTTAAAAACATGGAGAAAGATACTGTCAACAAGTTAATTCAGCATTATCCTCAGGCTGTGGATCGCATCATTTCAGGCTGTCCTATACCAGTTTCTATGGCTATTCCATACAAAATAAACACACTCAAAGGCATAAGAACTAGAGAAAAACTACATTTTAACAATTCTAAGTGCATAATACCTCACAGAGGCAGCTTGTTTAAAGTCTTTACTCAGTATTCTTTTAGAAGCAAAATTGAACAAAATTTCTTTGAATTCCCAAGATGTGTACGTCACAAGAAAATCATTTTGTCTGACTCCAAGTGATCTCGGCTAATTTAAGGCCCAGGTAAAATGCTGTTCTGACAGATAGCATCAGAGAACTGTTCGAAATGTTATCGTTCAAAGATCCAGACAAACATAACCACATTTGAAGAAGGCAGAACCTCTGATTTGTCAAGGAACTCAAGTAATTAAAGGCTGAACCATAATTATACGTTTAACAGCAAAGAAAATAAGGGCACTCTTACGCATGTCACCAAAGGCCCCCTTTGTCACTTTGGCTAATTTAAGGCCCAGGTAAAATGCTAATCTGACAGATAGCATCAGAGAACTGTTTGAAATGTTATCATTCAAAGATCTAGACAAACATAACCACATTTGAAGAAGGCAGAACCTCCGATTTGTCAAGGAACTCAAGCAATTAAAGGCTGAACCATAATTACATGTTTAACAGCAAAGAAAAAAAGGGCACTTACGCATGTCACCAAAGGCCCCCTTTGTCACTTTGGTGGCACGTAACACCACTACCGTAAACTTGTGGGAATACTGGTGCTCCACCTGGAAATAAAATGACAGTAAATTTAAAATAAGCTTCCAACATAGAACCTCATTTTTTCCTTGAGATTAATTTAAAATATTCTACTTAAAAACAAGTAGCATGCATACCAGAAACATTCTTTGATGTAAGGCTGCTTCTTTTTTGACTCTCTTCTCTCTCATCACAGAATCATTGAGTTTAGATTGTGCCTTAAAATGTCACTACAGCTTGACTATGAGCACTTCTTTGCAGTCCAGTTTACCAAGCACTTGGTAAAAAATGTAAATCAGGACTGCAGGTATTCTAGGAGCACAATCAGGCTTTGTACTTGTTGACTAGGAAGCCCTGGCTTATAAAGGTGAACTCAGAGCAAGACATTCTAGATTCGTTTGTTGTTGTTGCTGTTCACTGAAGCAGTCAATCAAAAGTCTTTTCTGCATGACATTTCCAGTACAGCTTTCAAAACCCTATGGAACCAAGGCAATAAGCAGCAAACAAATTGCACTAATTGTAATGCATTTGTTAGAAATCATATGCAAGAATATTAAAATTTGCTATTAGCCTAACACCTTGCATAAACATAATAAAACATTAACAGGTAGAGGACTTCATTAGACACTTCACCTAAATGGGAAACAGTTATCAAACAATTCTACTCACTAAAGCAGAATGAGGAAGCAGGAACTCACATAGTTCTTGGAGCAACTGAGAAGATTACAAGGTCTTTATCTAAAACTCAAACATTTCTTGTTTTAATCTTAGGAGAGTTCACTTCCCTTAATTTTAGTAGGCTTGCTTAACTGGTTGAAAAGTTCATAATTGATTAAAAAGAGGCTCAGATACTGACAATACTGAAAAGTGAGCAGTGACAGTCTAAATGCAAGGAGGCAAAAAAAATTGTCAAAAGTGTAGACAGATTGATAAGGACCAGCAGTAGTAGAATATATGGACAAAAATTAGACAGCACTCAATAGCTTCTGTAGAAATCACTCCATCAATAATGTAATTAATATTTCAATTTATAGTACAGCATCAAAGAGGTGAAGACATGAATAATGAGCATACCTTGTTTAAAAAGGCAGGGAAGCATAAAAATCTTTCAAAATAATGCTTATTCAACTTTATTTAAAAAAAGAAATACCTTCAACATCCAAGAGTTGAGTAGCCAAAGTTTTATTATACATAAATGATCAATCATAAGAATATTTGAAACTAAATGAAATTGACAGTACACCTTGTCAAAATTTGAATGATGCCTTGAAAGCAGTACTGAATGGGAAATTTATAGCACTGAATGCATATATTAAAAAAGAAGAAAGAACTAAAATCAATAATCTAAGTTACCACCTTAGGGTACTGGAAAAAAAAGAGCAAATTAAATCCAAGGTAAACAAAAACTAATAAAAATTAGAACAGAAATCAATAAAATTGGAAACAGGAAATAGAAAAAATCAATGCAACCAAACTTTGGTTCTTTGAAAAAATCAATAAGATCAATGAGCCATTAGCCATGCTAAGAAAAAAAAAAAAAAGGATGAGAGAGAGAGAACAAAACTACTAATATCAGAAATGATAAGGGACATTATTACAGATCGCGTGGACATTGAAAGGATAACAGAAGAAATACTACAAACAACTCTATGCTCACGAATTTGATAACCTAGATGAAATGGATCGATTTCTTAAAAGATAGAATCTACCAAAATTTACATAAGAAGAAATAGACAATCTAAATAGGTGCATATCTATTAAAGAAATTGAATCAACAATTAATAACCTTACAAAACAGAAAGCACCATGTTCACATGGTTTCACTGTTAAATTCTACCACATGTTTAAGAGGAAACTATATCAATTCTTGTATCGATTATCTACAATCTTTCCAGAAGATAAAAGCAGAGGGAATGCTTCTTAAATCTTTCTTGGAGGCCACCATTACCCTAATTCCAAAACCAGACAAAGTCATTACAAGAAAAGAAAACTACAAGCCAATATTTCTCATGAACATACTTGCCAAAGTTCTCATCAAAATATTAGCAAATCAAGTCCAACAACATAGAAAAAGAATTAGACACCGGGCGGGGCCCAATGGCTCACGCCTGTAATCCCAGCACTTTGGGAGGCGGAAGCGGGCGGATCACCTGAGGTCAGGAGTTTGAGACCAGCCTGGCTAACATGGTGAAACCCCATCTCTACTAAAAATACAAAAAAAATTAGCCGGGCATGGTGGTGTGTGCCTGTAATCCCAGCTACTTGGGAGGCTGAAGCAAGAGAATTGCTTGAACCCTGGCAGCAGTGGTTGCAGCAAGCAAGATAGCGCCATTGCACTCCAGCCTGGGACTCCAGCAGGACTCTGTCTCAAAAAAAAAAAAAAAAAAAAAAAGAATTATACACCGTGACCAAGCGGGGTTTATGTCAGATACACAAGGCTGGTTCAGCATTCAACAGTCTATTAATTTAATCCATATATCAACAAGCTAAACAAGAAAAATTACATGATCATATCAACAGATGAATAAAAAGCATTTGACAAAATTTAACATCCATCCATAATAATAAAAAATTTCAGTGAGCTAGAAATAGAAGGGAGCTTTATCAACTTGATAAAGGACATCTACAAAAAACCTATAATTAATGTCATATTTAATGATGACAAAATGGAAGCTTCCCCGAAAAGATCAGGAGCAAGGCAAGGAGTTTCCCTGTCATCACCCTTTTCAACATTGTACTGGAAGTCCTATTTGATGCAATAAGATAAGAAAAGGAAATAAAAGGCATATAGATTGAGAATGAAGAAATAAAACTTTGTTTACAGATAACATGAACGTCTATGTAGAAAACCCAATATAATCAATTAAAAAAAAACTCCTGGAACTAATTATGTGACTATAACAAGTTTGCAGGAGATAAGATTAATACACAAAAGTCAATTGCTTTTCTATATACAGAAATGAACACGTAGACTTTGAAATTAAAAACACAATACTACTTATATTAGCACTCCCCAAAATGAAATAGTTATAAATCTAACAATGTATGTAGAAGATCTATATGAGGAAGAATACAAAATTCATATGAAATAAATCAAGGAAGAACTAAATAAATGGAGAGATATTCCATATTCATGGATGGGAAGACTCAATAATGTAAAGATGTCATTTCTTTCCAATGTGATCTATAGATTCAACAAAGACCCAATAAAAATCACAAAATATTCTGTGAAAACAAGTAACTGATTCTAAAATTCATATGAAGAGGCAAAAGACCCAGAATAGTAAACACAAATTTGAAGGAGAAGAAAAAAATTAGAGGACTGACCCTATGCAACTTCAAGACTTACTATAAAGCTACAGTAATCAAGACAGTGTGATACTGGCAATAAAAAAAATACAAACAAAAAAATAAACAAACAAACCAGATCAATGGAACAGAAAACAGACGCACATAAATAAAGTCAACTGATCTTTGACAAAGGAGAAAAGACAATAAAATGAAGCAAAGATAGTCTTTTCAACAAATGTTGCTGGAACAACTGGACATCCACATGCAGAAAATGAATCTACACAGATGATAACTGGGCCTGAAATACAATGAGAAAATGCTCTTGAAAATCTAACTTAAAAATTAGCTTTCTCCACAAAAGGAACCATCTCAATAATAATTATTATACATAATGATGCTCCCCTCCCAAAATCATCTATGCTTTTTTGCATATCTAAGAACTTCTAATATTACATGGGTTTTCAAATACCTAGGAACCTTCCTTGTATCATAAAAACTATGAGCAATATTTTTTATCCATTATTTAATATTTGATTTTTGAAGTTGCTGCAAATATATTCATATTCTAAATGTTATTAATAACATGTACAAAAAGATTGTTTTTATTATAAGGACTCATTGAATGTGAACCATATGTCATACATTCTACTAGACACCAACTGTCATTTAATATTCCAAACAACCCTAAAGAATAGGTGTGATTATATTTATAAATGAGTAAAATGAGACTCTGAGAGGCTCAGTAATTTCCCAGTTACTCATAGATAGTAAATGGTGAACTTTTACTAGAATTCAGCCTTGCTGTTCTGTGTCTGTGCCCATCTCTTTATAAGAGCTTTAAGGATTAATAAGAGAGTAACTATAATAAAGTAAGCACATATTCTTGGAGAAAGATGTTCAGTTTCAATCGATGATTATCCAAATAGTCTTTTGAGAACCGCTTACCATGTTTCCTGGGGCCACTATCACATGCAATTTCAAACTAGTCCAGACTGCACTAGGTTTCAACTTGGATAGGAGATGTTTGGTTATATCTCACGGATAGTGCCAGAGGAAATTATATTACTGAATTCACAACCAATATTCTCCAAGGGAAACTAATGACTCAGGACAATGGTGGCTGGTAGTTGGCAGAGAGAGATGTCATATTTCAATTGAGATGTCAAATCTAAGCTCAATCCGACTTAGTCACAAAGATTAAGCTTTGCCTTCAGGTTTTGGATTACTTTGAGTGTCTTTCTGCATTTAAAATCATTTCTATAGTAAAAACCAAGACAATTTTTCATTTCAAAATTACAATTTTCTATTCAGTAGGAAAACAGCTACTGTATTAAATTCATTCTGGATAAGTATATTGATATATGTAACTATGATTGGCATTGAAAAAAAGAACCAATTTATACCAAATCAATTTGATGATCTTCCTAATCTGTTTAAAACTCTACTGTTATAAGACAAGAACCAAAGAAACAATCATAAAATAAAGTTGATGGAAAATAAAGTAGATTCTGAATGCAAATATTGTTTTTCTCTATTCAACCTAACTTTGCCTAATTTTTAAAACTAAAACTGTTAGTATGACAAAGACTATGATGTGTGATTACTGAACCCAGAGATTATGATCACCACAACTGGCAATAGGCACCTTCTCAGAAATTTTTTTTAATAGTTGCATTGATGTCATTAATAAATCCTGAGGTTTTTTTGGTAAGATACTTATTTTCAGTTTCGCTTTCAGGTGTGGAGTTTCATTCTAATATAACTGTGAAGCACAGTCATTTTGCTATTATTCACCTACACTTTTTAAAGAATGATCAGCATTATCTATTTTTAGTCTAACAATACTATCTAATCTTTTTTTAAAAATTCTCAGACATGGGTTGGCCATGTGCAGAAATTATCTCAATGCTCAAAACACCTAATTTGGAACATAATTTGTTAGCTCTAGAAGACATCACTAAAAGAAAATCAAAATCAGAAATATGACTTGAGATTCTTCTCCCCTTGAACAAGAAATTTATCACCTGCACAAGTATATACATTAAGTTTGGCAATATATTATATTTTATATATATATATATGTATATATTTTTATTTTATTTTATTTAGACAGAGTCTCATTCTATCACCCAGGCTAGAGTTCAGTGGATCAGATGATCTTCCGACCTCAGCCTCCCAAGTAGCTTGGATTACAAGCACACACCACCAAACCCAGCTAATTTTTGTTTTTTGTTTTTGTTTTTGTAGAGATGGGATTTTGCCTTGCTTGCCAGGCTAGTGTCAAACTCCTAGGCTCAAGCAATCTGCCCACCTCAGCCTCCCAAAGTGCTGGGATTACAGGCATGAGCCACCACACCTGGCCTATAGTTGTATATATTTTTAAAAATAAAAGCAAATATAGAGTGCATTCTTATTGCAGTAAGAAGATTTTAAGTCCTCTTTTAATCACGAGTATAGGGACTGGTATCCAGAATATATAAGGAACTCAACTCAATAACAAAATAATAATAATAATAATAATAATAATCTGATTTTTAAAACAAGTAAAAGACTTAAATAGACATTTCTCAAAAGAAGACACTCAAATGGCCAACAAGTATATGAAAAAATGCTCAACATCACTTATCCTCAGGGAAATGCAAATCAAAACCACGATGAGATATTACCTCATCCCAACTAGAATTGCCATTAAAAAAACCACAAAAATGACAAATGCTGGCATAGATGTAGAGAAAGAGAAACATTTATACACTGTTGGTGGAAAACTAAATTTGTATAGCCATTGTGTAAAACAGTATGGAGGTTTTTCAAAAAAATTAAAAATGGTACTACCATATGGTCCAGCAATCCTACTATTGGGCATATATCTAAAGGAAATGAAAGCAGAGTGTCAAGGATGAATCTGCACTCCCATGTTTATTGCAACATCATTCACAATAATCAAGATGTGGAATCAACCTAAGTGCCCATCAATGGATGAATGGATAAATAAAAGTGGTACATATACACAATGGAATACTATTCAACCATAAGAAAGAAGGAAATCCTGTCATTTGTTCCAACAGGGATGAACCTGGAGGACATTATGCTAAATAGTTACATATTTGCGGTCAGGAGTGGTGGCTCATGCCTTAATCCCAGCACTTTGGGAGGGAGGCCGAGGAAGGTGGATCACCTGAGGTCAGGAGTTCAAGACCAGCCCGGCCAATATGGTGAAACCCCATCTCTACTAAAAATATAAAAAATTAGCCAGGCGTGGTGGCAGGCACCTGTAATCCCAGCTTCTCAGGAGGCTGAGACAGGATAATGGCTTGAACCCGGGAGGCGGAGGTTACAGTGAGCTGAGATCATGCCACTGCCCTCCAGTCTGGGCAAAAGAGGGAGACTCTGTCCCCAAAAAAAAAAAAAAAATTATATATTTGCACAGAAAAACAAATAGCACAACATCTACCCATATGTGGAATCTAAAGAAGTTGATGCCATAGAAGTAGAGAGTAAGATAGTGGTTACCAGAGGCTAGGGAAGATAGGAGGAAGGAGAAAATGGGGGAGAGAATGGTAAACGGGTAAAAAGTTAGGTAGGAGAAATAAGTACTGGTGTTCTATAGCACAGCAGGATGACTATGGTTAATAGTAACATGCTGCATATTTCAAAATAGAAGAGAAGATTTTTAATGTGCTCACCACAAAGATGTGATAAATGTATGAGATGATGAATATGCTACAAATCTTGATTTAATTATTACACAATGTATAATACAATGGAACATCATACTGTACCCCATAAATATATATAATTACTATGTGTCAATTAAAAACAGAATTTTAAAAAGTGAAGTGTCAAACAAAAAAGGAAAAAGATTGCAGGGATTGCTCTAGCAGTGAAAACCAGTACAAGAAAATATTAATGTTAATAGCTTGGTTCTAAAGTTCTAATTTAACTGGGTGCCATGGTGTACACCTGTAGTTACAGCTACCTGAGAGGCTCAGACAGAAGGATCGCTTGAGCCCAGGAGTTCGAGGCCAGCCTAGGCAATATAGCAGACCCTGTCTTTAAAAAAGAAAATGGTAAAATATTTACTTAATGATATATTCATCATGAGTTTATAGTGACTATAATATCCTTAAAACATTGAAATGAAACAACTGCCCAAATATCTAGCACCTAAATTTTAAGTGTAATATAGATTCTAGTCCAATGGTAACTAAATATCTATAGCATCACACAAAAAAAGTGTGAACATCAGCCTTTTCCTACCTCAATACTTATGAGGAAATCTACATTCTTCTGGAGTAACAGTGACTGAGTGGACTGTGAAAAACAGGTGCACCTTCACCTTTCTAGAGGAGCTCATTAGAACACATGAAGTAGCATGTACATTTGAAAAGTTTTTCTCACACATCCTTGGCGCTTTGGGGAAGTCATATTTATTTGGTTTAGAATTACTGCCCTAGATGATATGTCATGTTCATGAAGATCTAAGATGTCTTTGCACAGATGGTTTTCAAATGTGAACCTTAAGGCTAATAGATCCAATACACTTGAAAATATGGATATGCTAACAAATACTATTTTAGATATTTTATCCCTATTTTGAGGAACTTCTTAAAAACCTCCCTGCTTTACTTGTTCTTTTCATTAAGCAACAAATAAAAGGTTCAGGCCAGGCGCGATGGCTCAGGCCTGTAATCCCAGCACTTTGGGAAACTGAGGAAGGTGGATTACTTAAGGTCAGGAGTTTCAGACCAGCCTGGCCAACATGGTGACCATCGCTATTAAAAATACAAAAAAGTAGCTGAGCGTGGTAGCCCACGCCTGTAATCCCAGCTACTTGGGAGACTGAGGCAAGAGAATCGCTTGAACCCGGGAGGCAGAGGCTGCAATGAGCCAAGATCTCACCACTGCACTCCAGCCTGGGTGACAGTGTGAGACCCTGTCTCAAAAAAAAAGTTCATAACTAAAAGAGACAGACATAAGTCAGAAAGGCATTTACAATAAAGTCTCTTATATTTTCTGTTTTTGTTTCTTCATATATAAAAAGGCAATCAGAAAACCAACTTCATATGATTTTTCTGAGAATTAAATGACAATATATAAAAATAACTGAAAATTGAAAAGTAAAGTTTTCAATATTTTTATTATTTCTACACTCATGTTAATAATAATATATTACATTGGTATATAATTATATATAAATTAAATATATTATTTTACTTAATATTATACACTAAATAAAATGATATCGTGGGTAAAATGAGGTTTTCTTACTCTGAGCACACAGCCTTCAATGGGGAGGAGTCCTTCCTTTATTTATCTCATGTTACTGAGCAGTGAAGATCCACATTCTAGATGTAGAAAATAACTGTCATATGGTGAAGAACCAACAGTCTGGCCAATAACACAGGATTTTCTCAAGGGTTCCCTGGCACAAATCCAGACTCCAACATTAGAATTTCACATAGGGCAGTGTTGAATGTCAAGTTTGGGGGATGACTTTAGCATCTGTGGAACTCCTATAAAATAGGATGATTATCCAACTTTTTGGGATTGTCTGGAGGCACTACTGACTGACTGTGAAAGAAGTAATGAGGGAATTCCACTCATGATAACAGCAGATTAAGTAATCTGGGTGACCATTGCCCACTAAAAGTAACTATAAACTGGACAATGTTTTTTAAAAATAAACATTTTCCTAAAAGTAGGAAAGAACTAACTAGATAGGAAAGCATTAACTACCAAGGCAGAGAGCAAAGGTGAAAAAGAGCACAAAAACCCAGAGAGGTGAGCTCAGTTTTGCCATAGGGGCATTTGCTGATCCGGAAGAGGAGAGAATGGAGAGACTGCACAGCCTTGAGAGATTCCTCGGCGTTCTAAGGATAAGGTCGCTGGTAAACCACACTCCTGTTTCAAAGTAAAATCTCCATAGACTGTGACATAGGACTAAGCATGAACATCCTTTCCATGTACTGGTAACCCATTTTAATGTAATACAAGCTGCCCAGAAAACCAATCTGGAACTGGGATTACATTTGTCCCAAACTGCTAGTGTCCCCAGGGGCCTGACGGAAGCAAATAAGTTATCTCTAAAGGATTACTTCTATTTTTCACCATAATGTTCAACACAAAATCAAAGATAACTGGGAATATAACGAGTCATGTCACCAAGACTACAAACTAGCATAATTAATCAACAGGCACAGAAATAAACCCATCCATTAATCAGCTATACTATACTTACGATGTTCAAGGAAAAGAAAGTCAAATTGAAATATGACTATATGGAACTGGGAGTATAAAAAATGGCTGAGAAGATTTTAAAAAGAACCAAAAAGAAATTTGAGAACGGAAACATAAACCCAGTGACTTTCTAGGAATTTCTGATCTATGTTGTGTGGTAAAGAAGCAGAAACATGGACATTACTTTGAATTAGTGCACTTTTGCCTCCTAAGGGAGGCTTGTGGCAGGGCATGGCTGATATCAAGGAAAAGTTAGAAGTTTACCATTAGCTGTGATGATTAATTTTACACATCAATTTCGGTAGGCCATGTGTTGTCCAGATTAAACATTGTTTTTAGGTGTGCCTGTGAGGGTATTTCTAAACGACATTACCATTTGAATCAGTGGTCTCAGTAAAGTAGATTGCCCTCCTGGATGCAGTTGGGCATCACCCAATTTGTTGAGAGCCCAAACAGAACAGAGGTGGAAGAAGGAAGAATTCACCCCCATTTATTCTCACCTCACTGAGCGAGACAGCTCCTTGCATTTTGTCCTGCCCTCAGATTGGGATTTACGTTATCAGCTCCCCTGGTTCTCAGGCCTTCAGACTAAGACCAAAATACACCCCAACTTTACAGCATTTCCAGCTTGAGATGGCAGATCGTAGGACTGCTCAGCCTCCATAATTGTGTGAGCCAATCATTAATCAATTATCAATTAATTAATGTCTCATAATAAATTAATAAATTAATATCTCCTGTTTGTCATAATAAATTAATTAATACCACATACTTAATAAATTAATATCTCCTATTGGTCCTGATCCTCTAGAGAACCCTAATACACTAGCTTTCTTCTTCCTCATTTTTCTAGATTTTTAGTGCTCAAAGAAATTCTATTTGCCAAAAAACTCATTATTAACTCATTTACAGTCCTGTGCTTTTGTAATAATAGTTCTACCACTTTCATATTTATGATTTTCTAGTAGCGACATCTCATCATCTAACTTTTCTAAAAATATCTTATTTCATTATTTCAAAGGAATAATTTTGTGCACATAACAATTTACTATTTATAAAAGCTCTGTGAAGCAGACACAGCAGGTCCTATTCATACCCTATTTTCCAGATGAGGCAGGTAAAAGTCAGAGTCTACGTGTCCATGATCATGTAACTGGTTAAGACTAGAACTCCTACCAGAACACTAGTTCTTTGATTACTTATTCAGTGGTGGTTTTCTTTCCTGTGTTACTGTAATAATCTGAATAATAGCTTTCTATATTTTTGGTAAAATTTCCAGTCATCCTACAATTATATTTTTGAAAGCCCTTGTATTTTACTATGCAATCATGCTGCCATATCCACATGGTTTACTGTCCCTAATGTGAAGACAACCTTAGTTTCTGTGGGATGTGGAGCAGTGCCCCTCCATTGTTAATAGGTGGCAGAAAGAGGTGTGAATTTTTTCACTTCAGGGATATGACTCACATTTTCAGAGTAAAAAGATGGAAAATGTTATAAATATTTTATACTTGACTTCTTCTTGTAAAATTCATGGCTCCTGGTCAAAAAAATAAAAAACTTCAATAAATTTTGAAGGCACAAAAATCCTTGAGGTTGGAAGGCACCTCGTAATGATTCTAAACATAAGGAAACTAAATTCTGTCATGTATTTGTCACTCTGTTTTCCTACCAGCTTCTTAAAATCCAAGCACCATTGGAAGCAAGAGAGCTTGCTGGCTGCAAATTGCTGCATCAGCCCACAGGATTCTCCAACATGTCCCTGCATCACAGGAATGGTGAAAATGAGCCCAGTCTCCTGGCCTTGAGGCAACCAAAGCTGTGTTAGCCTGTTTGGCACCAAGAGCTCATTACTATTAATAGTAAGCTGGCTTGATTCACTCAACTTTCCCTTTCACTAATATCATTCAGTGTTGAGTGTGCTTGCTCATTTATATATTTTGAAAAATATCTTTCTGTGAAAATCAGAGCAGGAAATTTTTTTTAAAACAATTTACACACACACACACACACACACGCACACACCCACAGTTGGTTTTTTTTCCATATACACATAGCGAGAATAAGAAGAATAAAGAAAACTGTAAAGCTCACAGATCTCTTCATTTAAAAGGGCTATAAATTAGAATGCTAGTTGCTGTCTAAGCCTGATGTTGGAGAAACTAACGAAAAACATGATACCAATATATGGTTTATTCATGTTTTGTAATATGGTATAATATAATATTACCACATAGGTAATTACTATAGCCTAAATATGTTGCTATAGTTAACAAAATTTTCAAGAAAAGGTCCCAGTGCTGAACCTTAGATGTCCAGATGAAGTTTGATTTTTAAATATACTCTGCCATTCAAAAGAAACTACCATCAGAGTGAACAGGCAACCTACAGAATGGGAGAAAATTTTGGCAGTCTACCCATCTGACAAAGGGCTAATATCCAGAATCTACAAAGAACTCAAACAAATTTACAAGAAAAAAACAACCCTATCAAAAAGTGGGCAAAGGATATGAACAGACACTTCTCAAAAGAAGACATCTATGCAGCCAACAGACACATGAAAAAATGCTCATCATCACTGGTCATCAGAGAAATACAAATCAAAACCACAATGAGAAACCATCTCACGCCAGTTAGAATGACAATCATAAAAAACTCAGGAAACAACAGATTCTGGAGAGGATGTGGAGAAATAGGAATGCTTTTACACTGTTGGTGGGACTGTAAACTAGTTCAACCATTGTGGAAGACAGTGTGGCGATTCCTCAGGGATCTAGAGCTAGAATTACCATTTGGCCCAGCAATCCCATTACTGAGTATAAACCCAAAGGATTATAAATCATGCTACTATAAAGACACATGCACATGTATGTTTATTGTGGCACTATTCACAATAGGAAAGACTTGGAACCAACTCAAATGTTCACCAATGAATGATAGACTGGATTAAGAAACTGTGGCACATATTCACCATGGAATACTATGCAGCCACAAAAAAGGATGAGTTCATGTCCTTTGCAGGGACATGGATGAAGCTGGAAACCATCATTGTCAGCAAACTAACACAGGAACAGAAAACCAAACACCAAGTGTTCTCACTCATAGGTGGGAACTGAACAATGAGATCACTTGGACACAGAGCGGGGAACATCACACACCAACGCCTGTCAGGGGTGTGGGGGGCTGGGGAAGGGATAGCATTAGCAGAAATACCTAATGTAAATGATGAGTTAATAGGTGCAGCAAACCACCATGGCAAATATATACCTATGTAGCCTACACGTTGTGCACATGTACCCTAGAACTTAAAGTTTAATTTTAAAAAATGTAAAAACTAAATATATATAATATATTTTATATTTATATTAATATTATAATTTATATTATATATTCATATTATATTCTATAGTTATATTATATTATATATTATATATAGTATATTATGTTATATATTGTATATATATTATACATGTTATATATTATATATTATATTATATATTTATATAGTATATATTATACATTATATAATATATATTATATATTATATTACATTTATATAATACATATGAATATAATATTATATTTATAATATATATAATATTATATTTATATTATATTACATATAATATAAATATAATATATACATATAATATAAGGCAGTCAGCCTTATTACTGACTGCCATGCAGCCCCCACATGTGTCTTGCCAGATGATCTGGTGAACTGGCCATTCAGTTTCTTCTTTTAACATGGCAGACATATTATATAATTATATTATATTATGTAATTATATAATTATATAATATATATTATAGAATATTATATAATTATATAATTATATTATATATTATATATGTATAATATATGTGGGGGCTGCATGGCAGACACATGTGGGGGCTGCATGGCAGTCAGTAATAAGGCCTGGTCAGATCAAGTAGAAGAGTTAAAGTCATTCAAAATAATCATATTTTTTGAAATGTTTTGTGTTCCAACCATACTGAACTTCTTTCATTTCCTTGAATCATGTACTATTATATCCCGCCTTCAGACTACTTCACATATGCTTATTTTTTCCAATTCAGAAAAGTCATTTTCTCTCTCTTTAACTGACAAATTTCTGCTAACCTTCAGGTCTATGCTGACATCTTACTTCCCCTAGAAATCCTTTCCAGAAGGATTCCTGTTATTAATTCTTCCTGTTATGTACTCCAGAGTGATCTTCATTGTCTCTTATCAGAGCCCTTACACTGTAGGCTTACATTATCTTATGGTTATTATAAATAATTTTTTCATATTTTTCTGCTAAACATAAACAATCAGGAGTTCAATACCAGCCTGGCCAACATGGCAAAACTCCGTCTCTATTAAAAATACAAGAAAATTAGCCAGGCATGGTAGTGGACGCCTATAATCCCAGCTACAGGGGAGGCTAAGTCACGCGAATTGCTTGAACCCGAGAGATGGTAGTTGCAGTGAGCTCTGATAGCACTACAGCATTCCAGCTTGGGCAACAGAGTGAGACTCCATCTCAAAAAAAAAAAAAAGCAACAACTAATTGGAAAATAAAGTTTGCAAATACTTTTACAATTACATTAAAACATCAAATATCAAAAAATACATATAAAATATGTATATATATATATACACACAAGATTTCTTAAAGAAAACTATAATACATTACTGAGATAGTTAAAGATAAAATTAAGTAACGTTTAGTTGTGGATGAGATTCATGGTTTGTTAATGGATTGGAAGACTCAATATTGTTATCATATTATCTCTCCTCTGTAGAATCATTACAGTCCCAACCAAAATCCCAGCAATTTTGTGTGCATGTGCGTGTACATGCATGCATGAGTGTGTGTGTGTGTGTTTGTGTGTGTAAATTGGCAAAATGAATCCAAAAATTATATGGAAATGCAAAGAACTATAACTAGACAGGATATTCTTGAAGAAGAAAAAATTGGAGGATTTACATTGCCATACATAAAGACATATTTTAAAGCTACAGAAATTAGGATAGATTAGTATTGGCGCAAACTACAGAAATTAGGATAGATTGGTATTGGGGCAAACACAGACTATCTGACTAATAAAACGGAAAAGAAATGAAGCCACACATATATGGTAGCCTGATTTATAGGAAATCACCATTGCCATTCAAAAAGAATATGATGGTTATCAGTAGATTAAATAAATAGCTTGTGACATTCAAATGATGAAAAACCACAAGGCAATGTAAAAGTGTGGAAGTGTGCTACTCACAACAACATGAATGAATCTCATAGACACAACGTTGAATGCAGAAATGTATATGAAGGTCAAAAATAAGCAGAACTTACCCATGATAATAGAGGTAAAATATTGGCTACCTTTGAGGCAAGTTATTGACTAGAAGGTATATGAGCAAGTCTTCCTGGGTACTTATAATCTGAGTGATGGTTTCGTGGGTGGAATACATATGTAAAAATCCATCAAGCTTAACAATTAAGATTTATGCACTTTATGTATATTATACCTCAATTTATTAAAAAAAGAGAGTCAGACAGAAAGAAGAGCTTGCATAAGAAAACTGAGAAGTAACCAACAGCAAGGAAACAGAAGAAACAAAACCAGAAAAATCTGAGAAGAGTTTCAAGAAAACAGTAATGAGCAGCAGAGTTGGGTAGAAGGAGTGGGGGGACTGAAGAGTTTATTGGATTTAACACCAAAGAAGCCAATTAATTAGACCTTTTTGTGAAGTGGAAGGGCTGAGTCCAGGTCAATGATTCAAGTTGTGAATGGACAGGAAGAAGACATTACAAATAATTATAATATATTAAACTTTTCATCCAAGGAGGGCAAGAAAGAGGATGATATCTAGAAATGGATGCAGAGTAAGAAAACAGCATTTTATTTCAAGTAAAAATGAGGCTATGGATTACTCCTTAAATATCCATAAAACCTTTATCTACTTCTTATAAACCTGAGTCTCAAATGTTGAATTCAGTAAGGAAATCTCCCTTCTGTTTATTGACCAGAAGAGAGCATGTATACTTCCACTGGAGTTCGGAAAATTATGTACTAAAATTTGAATTACTTAACTCTTCACTAAAATTAAGCACCCATAGAAGAATTTATTTAAACATATCTAACTAAGGGAAAGTTTATAGAATTAATTGCCCTGAAAATGCAAACCATAACATAGCCCTAAACTCAGAAATTCTTTTACTTTTATTCTTCTTTCCACCAACTCATGTGAAGGGTGTAAACTATGCAGGCTGATGATTGCTAAGTGATAACAACATTTTTTATTGTTCCATTATTATTATGGTGTTTGGGTATTTTTTTCCTTTCAAGTTCCTCTTTTCTGGAAACTTACAGTAATAAAATGAAGAGATAAATTATTTTTATTATGTTCCATAGCCTCTTTGTATTATATTAAGTTCATATGAGTTTAATAACAAATGCAGAAGTTGTCACAGTTTGACTTTACTAGCAACACCCGCAATATTCACAGAAACATATCAGACCCCCTCCAAGAAAGAATTCATAAACAGTGAATGACTTACTATAATGTGCTGGTAAGGATCTATAAATGACATTTTGGTTTCAATTACAGGAAATGTTTTCACACTTCAAAGTCTTCTTTGGCACTCTAGCGTCTTTAAAACCTACAAAATAAACAATCACTATTGTTAAGCTTCCTCTTGGATGCAGTTCTAAGATTTAAACAATTATGAGTATGCGTCTTAGGAAGAAAAAGTCTACCCAAGGACACTAGATAGGTTGAGTTCCCTGTGTATACGAATGGGTTATCACACATCACTTAGAGAAAAGGTAAACATGTTTGGATGATACTGTTTATTTTCCATATTTACTTGTTCAAATTTATACTGTGAATAATTATTAGGAAACTACAGGGCTTGTGTTGCTTTTCATTTGCCAAGTATTTTATGAGAAATATGTTGAAATTACGGAAACTTAAAATTATTTTTGTACTGTTTATATCATAATTAAGCCACATGTCATTGTTTTCTCAGTAGGGTCAGCAATATACAAATTCACAATAAAAAAGAAAGATATTTTCACCTTAGCTATTCGTTAGGAATTATAAAAGTACATTCATGTTGAATTTGAACTTTAGTAATGACATTTTTAAAGAAATGTTTGTTCATTTGAAGACACCAGTTTAATTTGGAAGCAGTTAAATAAAAATATTTTAATGGAAAAATACTCTCTATACTTTCCTTTTTTCTTCTACACTTACTCTGTTATTTAAAATCAAATAAAAAACTATTTAATGAATGAACATCTTTGCTATTCCATTATACCAAGTCCTTGAGATTTCATAAAACAACATACACTTGTATTTCAGCATTTTATAAGTTACATCTAATTTGGAATACCTTTTCAAATATCTTTATTATCTATCTTTAATATGTAAATTCTAAAATGTTTTTATTTCAAAATAAATCAAATTCGTTTTAAATTTTTAGTGATCTTTCTTTTTAAACATCAACTTTAAAAAAATATAAAAATGATTCCTGCTCATTGTCACAAACAAAAACTGCTGAAGTGAACAAAGAATAAAGTGTAATCACCATTTTCATTATGATGTGTATCTTTCCAGGCCTTTTCACTGCTTTTTCTTAATACTTAAAGCAATAGGAAAAGAGAGGATTTAAATTTTTTTTTAAAAAAATGGGATCTTCTAATACGCTCTTGAGTTTTTAAACTCACTTTCTTCACTATATTTGGTTGTAAAAAATATGAAGCAATATTATATGAATGGTAAAAATCACCCATAGTTCTCTATTTAAGAATTATAAAAAATAAGGATTCCCCCCGTTCTTCATTCTGGTGCATCAACCATCATTATTTGTACCAACAAGAAAAAAAATGTTTTTAAAGTAAAACGTCTATTTACTTTCATCACTTACTTCTTAAGCTCCTAAAGTACAAATACTTTTATCTTATCATGCATATTAATCAGGCTCAAAATGTATACAGCATTTTAAATCAACTTTTTAAATAAAGATGAGGCCAAACTATGAGTCTAATTTATCATGATAAATTACTATAATCTTTGTTTTGCGTTTTCTTATTTTAAACCTAATAGAAAAGTTTCCTGATAACATTAACCAATTATAAACTACTTTAGTGCTATAGTTTTATTATTCCCTCCAAAAATCATGTTGAAATTTCATTGCTAATGTAATGGTATTGGGAGGTGGGGCCTTTGAGAGGTGATTAGATGATGAGGGTTTCACCTTCATGTGTGGGTTTAATACCTTTTTAAAGGGGCTCATGGAATGGGCTCTCTCTCTTAGCCCTTTTGCCTTCTGCCATATTTTAGATACAGCCTTCATCTCCTCTGGACAATGGCTATCTTGAAAGAAAAGAATAGCCTCACCAGGCACCAAAACTGCTGGCTCCTTGGCCTTGGACTTCCCAGCTTCCAAAACTGTAAGCCAATAAATTTGTTCACTTTATTAATTACCCAGTGGGTCACATTCTGTTATAGCAGCATGAAACAGACTAAGGCACTCAGCTTTCACATTTCTGTTATTTTGATTGGACCTGGCTGCTATTGTTAGTAAGTTTCAGGATTTTATTCCAATATCATCTTTCCAGTGGAGTCTTCCCTGACTGTATTATTTAAAATTGGCAAAACCGCTGCTTTCTTGCTTTATGACCATCTAACATCCACTTATGTAGTTTTTGTTGTGTTACTATCTCTTCTCCCTTCTTCATTAGAATATAAATTCTATGAAGGCAGGTTTTTTGTGTGTTTCATTCATTGTGAAATTTCCAGTCCCTGTGTAGGCACATGTGGGCCCTTAATACATATTTGTTAAATAATGAATGAATGATAGGATATATATATACAGGTAAGAGGGATAATTTTCAAGCCCAGTTACACTAAAGCATTTTGCTCAAGTCAAGGGATGTTCATTTTCTATTTATCCATAAGTTGTATTACCCTCATCCCTCATCCTCTGTTCTACTATGCTGTCTTACACTGTTAATCAATATCGATATGAGTTTCTCCTTTATCTCTTATTATTTTTCCCTAATTAACTACATATTACACACATCTTACAAACATGATTATCCATTTACTATTATACTGTATTGTGTCTTTGATTAGGCTCTAAGTATTTTTGAAACTACATTTTATATTTATTGGATAACATTATAAAACAATACAGGCAAAACTACAATAGAGTAATTTTTACTCTGGTATTTATAGTTAAATTTATAATACAAGAAATATATACCTATATTGAGTGATATAATCCTTACGATTCAGCACTTCCCATTATCAGCATTTTCTGTGCTATTTCTATTACAACATTTTTAAAGTGATCAGCAATGACTTTCTACTAGTATGGCTGATGTTTTCGTGCCAACTAAATTCAAAGTATGAGAACTACATCCGTTCCCAAGTCAGAATCCAGCTAATACTCTAGAGCTGTGGGTGGAATATATTTTTATGGATGATATAACATAAAATCACCTGCCTCATTTTCATCTTTACCATCCATATTTCCCTCATATCATTTCCCCTCAGAAGTGATTTCTTAATATGAAGCGTTCTATGCATATGATGGTCCACATAAAGCTCCTAGGCCCAAGAGCATGAAGCCTTTAGATTGCTGCAGCAGTGGTAATTCCTGAGAGCTTATGTCCTCCCTCTCCAGAAGCTGAAATGTCTATGTAGGACAATGCTAGGACAGTACTATCAGGGATTCAAAGGATTAAGGAAAGCCAATTATTTTCTTTATTGAAGCAGCATAATTTGGTGAAAACACCATTGGTTATGGGATCTAGAAAGACCTTAATTCAAGTTCCAGTTTCATATTCTAAGACCCAGGTTACTTGCTTGTAATGTGAATAACAGTACTGTGAAAGGTACCTAGCCCATAATAAATATTCAATGCATATGATTTGCTTTTAAGATAAACATTACATAGACTTATCACTAATAACATTATATATTTACTTGAAAGATGTACTATCTGTAGTAATTATTGTTGTGACAGTAGAAAATAAGTTTTTTTTATATATTTGCCACTTAAAAATAAATATCTACAATATGCCTTGTGCTATGCAAGGTGCTTGGGAGCAAAAAAATGGTGAATCAGACAGGTGTATACCATGAAACTTTGTGGCCCTATTGACTTTATACTTGACACTCTCCAAGTGGAACCTCAAAAAGTAAACAAGATTCTGGTAGTTATTCTCACCAAAGTTTTCTGTGTTAAAAGCTGTAATAATGAGAATGGCATAGCAGAAGAGCATCTTCTGGGACTTATGGCCATTCAATTCACGAACAGTAGCTTCATAGGAGATACTTTGTTCATTCAACAAATACATCTTTACTATCTACCTAGTCTGTAGTAGGCACTGGGGAAACAATAGTATATAAGACTTCTTACCTTGTAGAAACAAAATGAGGCAATCTAGGGGTAGCAATAAATGCAGGCTAGCCTGATTTTTCATGCATGCATGTTGCTAAAAGTAGTAACACTGTTTATTATGATTAATGTCTCCAATTGGAAGGAAATCTTAAAACCTATTCTTCTGGGAAAATATCATCAATGAGTTTCTATTCCCTTAGTAGAAAAATCAGAAATCCTTAACATGGTCTACAATGGTGGCTTTTATATCTATTTACTGCAAACCAAAACGAAGAAACCTTTGCATATCACAATACAATACATAAATATATACACAGACAAATATTTAAAATATAGAAGTAAGTTTCATGTGATACTTTTGCTAAGTACAATGTACTCTGATTTCAGTCTATTACTTTTGTTTAAATGCTGGTAACAGCCCACTGAATTGATTTCATGACTCACTAACAGCAATTTGAAGAATACTAGTGCAAAAGATTGCAAAATTGAATTTCTATCTACTTCCTCAGCCCCATACCACTACTTTCCCTTTTGCTTTCTATGCTAAAGCCATACTGGTTTTCTTTCCTTCAAATGTGTCAAGCTCTTTCCCACTCAGGGCTGTAACTTACCTCTTCTATTCATTCATTTAGTCAACAAACATTTAAGGCATAACTACCATGTGTCAAACATTGTTCAAGGGACTGGAGAGGCAAAAGTGAGGAGCTAGATACATTCCCTTCCCTCTTGGAGATTCCATCTCTAGAAAGCAATCAGAAAACAAGGAATCCAAAAAATAAAAGAAACAATTGGAAATAGAGTTGTATAAAATGATGGAAACAAGTAAAATGCAGAAACAAAGAATAATTGAGGGTGAGCACTAAAAAGGAGCTAGCCATGCAGAGTGAGGAGAGAGTGGGTTTAGACTATAATGTTCCAGGCAGGCAGTATGAGGAACTGAGAGAAGACAAGTGGCTGGCGAATGGTGAGCAAACGTGAAAGTGGCTTATGATGAGGTTGGAAATTTAGGCAGTGGCAGATCATGTTGAACCTCTTAGGCAACTACTGTTTACCTAGCTAAATCTGACCCATTCTCCAGGATTCAGTCTCAACGTCATTTCCACAGAGAACCCTTCCGTGACCTTCAAAGTATATTTGGTCTGCCTGTTACTGGTTCTGTGTGTTCTCTAGACTCCTCCTTCAAGCCTTTCATTCCACTGACGCAATGTCTGTCTTTCCTGGGAGAACAAAAGAGGCATTAAGTCAGTGGCCATATTTATCTTATTAATAGAGACATCCCTAGTGCCGAATACAATGGCCCAAATATAGTAGGTTCAGAATAAAGATTTGTCCAATGGATGGATGGATATTCAAAGTAGTGCCAGGTTGATGCATAAAGAATCCACAGAATAGTGCCACACCCTCTTTTGATGTCTCTCTTTCTTATTCCTAACAATTCTTAATGTCAAATGATGTTAAATTAGCTCTCTATTTATTTAAAAAAAGCAGAACAAGTGAGATTCCAGAGGGGGTGAAATTAGTACTCAAAATGTTTAGAGGAAATCTGTTGCTGGGATCCAAAGTTTAATGTCAGCAATTTTATTTCCTCTTCTCATTTCCAGCAACTTCATTCATAACCACTCTGTTCACCACCTATTATCCACTACTGTATCTTACAGCAAGACTTGGATAGAGACTCTCCTGATATTAAATCCAAAGCAAGAAATATGCTTAAGATAGCTAACTGTCCAAGTCTAGTTTCTCTCTCTCCCTTCTCTGCCCCCTTTCTGTGTGTATGTATGTGTGTATGTGTGTGTGTGTGTGTGTGTGTAAAATCACTAGGTTAAGAACTACAAGATAACTAGAGAGTAAACAAACATGACTCATGGCATTTAATCTCAAAGCAACTTTGTCTTGTTCTTTGATTCTATTCAGGGCTAACTCTCCTTCTACCCTGATGAAATCTCAGGCAGCCTCAGAACTTTTCTGTTAACTTGGATGTGAAAGGAAGAAAAGAAAAAGGAAAAGAGAAAAAGAATTAACCCAGTCACTGCAGACATTGAAATGCCGGGTTCGTTGAGTTAAAGTCTCTCTCCTGCTCAAGGTAGAGCTTGTTGCAGGAGAAAGGGGATGAAGTCATTGACTTCTCCCCTCCCCTGCCTATGGTCAAACCCTCCCAAGCTTGATAACTCTGGTTTTTAAACCCTTATAGTTGGAAAAGGATGCAGAGAGAGCGAGAATAGAGGCAAGAAAAATATTACTTCAGCAGTACTTTTATAAGCTGGTTTTGTGATCTCTTGGCTTGGTACATGTTAAAGCTGAGTCTTTCTTTCATAGATGCTTTTTGTGGATTCTTCTGAGATTCTCTGTTTTTGAGATTTCTTCCTTGTGTTCCCTGACATGCACAAACGCATCTCTACTCCAGCTGGGGGCTTGTGTTTTTTTCCACAGCCCCAGTGCATCTTGTGGTCCACTTCCAGTTTTCGTTTTCTGAGGTTCTTTCATGTTACCAGGCAAACGCCTTGTATAGGATTTAAGATTCTTCCCAGGGTTCTCTTTAGTCCATGGACAATACTCATACATGTTTTCTTTCTTCCAACAAACCCTGAGAATGCAATTACTTCCTAAATGAAACTATTCTGCTACTTGTGTCCTTTATATTTCCCAAGTATGACAAGACACCAGCCTACTGCAGAAGACAAATGTTAAACCCTCTGATGAGCGTTCTCAGTGGTCTCTTTAAAGCCCCTCTCTTGATTGGGAATTAGTAGGCATATTCCTCTCCAGATCTCCACCCCAAGGGAAGAGGGGCTGTACTCACAGCAGTGCTCTCCAAAACAACAACAAAACTCTTCTGAAGCTCTTCCCACATCTCTACTATTTCAATGCTTTTATAACTGTGAAGTGGGTAAGTTTTATATATTATATAAATGTCCTTGTCCATCTGCTTTCTTTAAAACACAAAGAGTAGGCTGTTTCACTATCCATTTTAGTAGTGCATGTCTTAAATCTTATGGCTTAAGGTCTTGGCCAAAGCTTCTACTTTAAAGTCCAATACATAGGTGAACCAGCTTACAAAATGGCAGAACGAGGAATGTGGGAAATCCTCTCCCAGAAAAACAAACACATTGACAAAACCGGGCAGAATTATTGCAAACAACTATAGACACACACACACACACACACACACACACACGTATGAAATAATAGCACAAAAGAAAGGAGATGGAATGGAGGTATACTGGACCAAGGAAATGACACCAGATCATAATTGAACCTACAGAAAGAAATACAGGGTACCAGTAAATAAGCTCTATCACATTTTCAAACAGCAGACCAGTTATTTACCATTTCTCTGAAGCCTTTTCTATTTAACTGTAACAGTAAATAGGTAGGTTAATATAAAATAGTCTATAAATATTATATTGTTCAAATATAAATATATATGTAGATTAATATAAAATATTCTATAAACATTTCCTTTTCTTCTCTCAAATTCTTTAAAAGATATAGCATTTACATAGCAATAAATTATAATCCTATCTAATGTATACAACAATAATTGCAAAAAGGAGGAGCGGTCAGGGACTAGAACTATACTGCAGAAAAGTTTTTGTATTTTACTGGAATTAAGACAGTATTGATATGAAGCGGACTATAATAAATTAAGGCATAGAGTTTAATTCCTAGAGCAACCACTAAGAAAATAACTCAAAAATATAGTTAAAATATCAATGAAGGAATTAAAATGGGCCACGACAAAATAGCTATTTAATATAAGGAACAGAAGAATTTAAAAAAAGAGACATGGAAAACAGCAAAATGGAAGATGAACATCCAACCATGCTTCCAATAACATTAAATGTGAGCGATGTAACATTCTAATAAAAAAGTAGAGGTTGTCACACCGGATAAAATTGAATGTATATAAAAGACTAATGGAATCCAAATAAGGTTTGTCGTTTAATTAATAGCACTGTACCAATGTCAGTTTCCTGGTGTTGATAATGTACTGTGGTTGTCAGATGTCACACTAGGGAAAGCTAAATGAAGGGTACATGAGAGCCCTGTAATATTTTTGTAATTTCTTATCTTAAATTATTTCAAAATAAAGTTTATTTTAAAAATGTAATACATATGAACAGATCTAATTTATATTTATAAATTTTATTCCACAGTTATGTTCAAGGGAAGAAACAAAGACCTCCTATGAAGAAATTACTGAAATAGAATCACTTCCTTCAGGATAAAAATCACTAGCCATTATTGTCAGGCAGTGGCTGCATGTCCAATTCCAGTTAGGAATAGGCAGCCGTCCTTTCTTTTTTCTCTCTGTAACTGTTAATAGTAGCAGCAGATATTTTAGGTTTCTGCAAAATTAAGGCATTTCTGTCCAACTAACCACATGAAACAGTAGGAATTTTTTGTCCCAGAATTAGCTCAGTTCTGGAAACCTTACTGCAACTAGTTGGCACAACCACTCTCATGAATACTCATAAAATAGCAGGGTTTCTATTCCTTTGTTTCTTATAACTAAGCTAAATAACCAGTCTTAGTGAGTGTACAAAGTCTCTTAAGTCTGAAGTAAGAGATGTGAAACTCACAGGGTTTTTTTCTTCCTTTCTTTTTTTCCTTTCCCTGCCCTGTAATTAGAAACTTTCAGAACATGAATGAGAGGGAAATTTGGATAGACTTTTCAACAGATACTTCCCGATGCAATGTAACTGTTGGCATTCAATGAAAGTTTAATAGTATGTGGTCTTTCCAAAACGTTTAGTCATGTTGTCAGGGCAAGATGGACTTCTCAGGAAAAGTGAACAGAAACAAAAACCCAGACTAGAGTGTTTTGTCACTTCTCTCTCTGTGTACAGTGATATGACAAGGGGAAAAAGAGGGGATATTATTAGAGTTGTGGCATGTGGCGGGAAGAGGGATAGGAATGCAAAAGATTCTTTTCTCTTTCCCTCCAACTCATTGTATAGACGCGTGGAGATATTAAAAGGTTGAGCATTTAAGTGGCAGCAACTTCTTGACTGCAGCCAGAATGACCCAAGTTCTAGCCTGTCTCCTCCTTTCTCTATCTGTGGGATCCTGACCCTCAGTTTCCTTGTCTGTACGTAGGGAAAATCGCCCCTAATCCTCACAGAGACAGTGGGAGGATGAAATAAGAAAATATATGTAAATCACCAAGCACAGTACCTAGAAGGCCATAAATGTACAAAATAATCATTATTATTATCATTGTTTATGAAACTGGTGATGATCCCCCTCAAACTGCCTCAACTCATGCAAGTCACAAGTATTTAATTCTATAGAGAGTTTTTGTTTGTTTGTTTGTTTTGTTTTTTTGATGGAGTCTCACTCTGTCACCCAGGATGGAGTGTAGTGCAATCTTGGCTCACTGCAACCTCCGCCTCCTGGGTTCAAGCAATTCTGGGGCCTCAGCCTCCCGACTAGCATGGACTACAGGCACCCACCATCATGCTCAGCTAATTTTTGTATTTTTAGTAGACATGGGTTTTCACCATGTTGGCCAGGCTGATCTCAAACTCCTGACCTCAAGTGATCCACCTGCCTTGGCCTCCCAAAGTTGGGGGATTACAGTGTGATCAGGTGTGGCCTTGGCCTCCCAAAGTGAGGGGATTACAGGTGTGAGCCACTGCACCTGGCCTCTATAGAGATTTCTAAGAAATTCAAGTAGGCAAATTTATTGAGCACCTTTTATAAACACCAAGTACATTTTCATATACAACAATAAATTTTTTTTATTATACTTTAAGTTTTAGGGTACATGTGCACAACGTGCAGATTTGTTAAATATGTATACATGTGCCATGTTGGTGTGCTGCACCCATTAACTCGTCATTTAACATTAGGTATATCTCCTAATGCTATCCCTCCCTGCTCCCCCAACAGGGATCTAGAACTAGAAATACCATTTGACCCAGCCATCCCATTACTGGGTATATACCTGAAGGATAACAATAAATTTTTAATAGAAACACTGATTTTTTGATCCATTAACATTTTTAAAAGTAGAACACATTTGGACACTAACTTGTCCGCTGCCAAATTCAAAGCTTTCTCCACTATACTGGATATGGAAGCATATTCTAAAAGCAAAGAGAGCATTATATTACTATGTTTCCATCATCATCATTCTTATAATGATATATAGTTACTAAGACATCACTAAAGTTTTAAGCTTTTAAGTGAATTTGATGGTGCTTTTTTTGTAAACTAAGGCTATACAAAGAGTTTGATATTGCCAACCGGCACAAAGGAATAAAGAAACAATAGGAATTCAGATGGGTAAATGAGATGCTTTATATTAAAAATGTCTCTCAAACCATACTCTCAGTTTACGACAGGAACACCTCCCTGTTCCCAAGGAAATGTAACAGCATGCCTCCAGACACAAAGGCACAGAATAATTAACTATGTCTGTTTCTTGAGCCTGGAACCCAATGGTATGGAACTTGCCACTAAGTCCCACAGTAGTAACAGGTGGTGCCATATGGCTGATATCCATACTGTTCCTTTTAAGATTTCCCTCTCCATTTGTATTCCTAAGTCACAGCTTCTTAATCTATCAAATTTGTATTCTTCAAATCTCATTATAATTACATAGACAAGTATATATGAAATACCTACTAGAGTTTCAGAGAAGAGAGAGATTCCAGTGGTTTAAAGTAGAAACGGCTTCAGAGAAAATGGTAACTGATCTGACATTTGAAAACGTGAAAGAGCTTAGATCTATAGTAAGAGGAAGTGGAAACATTTCCTCTAGGAAAAGGCCATGACGTTGGAGATACTCCATCCTCCTCAGGCTCTCAACTGGTGCTTTCCTTACCCACACCTCTGCAGGATCATGTCCGCCTGTCATTCAGGGTTCTGCATAAATTCACTCTCTAAAGTCAGTCATCTCTTAATTTATCTACTAGATTAGGACCCTTGTACCTTTCCTTGAAATCTCTTATCACAATATTGTATACTAGACTACCATTATACACGTGTCAGTCTTCCATAGCTGTGAGCAGCACAAAGGAAGTTCTGTCTTCTCCCTGTATTCCTGTTGGGCCCGGAGTGATAATTCAATTACTATTGACTGAAGGATGAATAAGCAAACTGGGGGATTTGCATGATGTACTGGAGAAAACTGTCTAGATCATAAATGTGCTCTTGTCTTAAGAAACAATCAAAAGGAAGTAGATTACATTTATAGAATCTAGAATGTGAAACTGGAATATATCTTAGCAGTTGCTAATATGAACACTTAATTTTGAAAATCCACACTTGTTAAACATTTCCCAAGTACAAGATACTTTAAGTGATTTATATATACCATCTCATTTAATCTTTATAACAAGATAGGGATTATTATCACTACTTTTGAGATTAAAAAAAACAGATTTGGAAAGGTAAGTAATTTGTTTAACTGACAACACAAACTAAGGTAGACTCCCACAACCAATCTCTACAAAAGAATAACTGTCTCAAGAAGAATAAAAAAGTTCCCAGGTCATCTGGGTTAACATGGGCTGAGCTGGCCCTAGAATCCCCTTTCTATGTCATTTTTTCACTCTACAAAAGACCCTGAAGCACAGGCAGAGTTTCTGAGAAATTATACAATAAGCAATAGAGTTATTCGAGTCTTAGCAGGGAGGTGGCATGATGAAAGTGGCACTTTGTGTTAGTTTACGAGGGTTGCCATAACAAAGTATCACAGACCGAGTGGCTTAAACAATGGGAATTTATTTTCTTACAGTTCTGGAGGTTGGAAGTCCAAGATCAAAGTTTGGCAGCTTTGGTTTCTCCTGAGACCTCTCTCCTGGGCTTGCAGATAGCTGCTTTTCGCTGTGTCCTCACATGCTCTTTCCCCTGTGCACAGAGTGCCTGGTGTCTGTGTGTGTTCAAATTCCCTCTTCTTTTAAGGACACTAGTCAAATTGGATTAGGACATGCCCTACCAGCCTCCTTTCAATTTAATGAGGACTTATCCCCAAATACTTTTACATTCTGAGGTACTGGGATTTAGGTTCCAATGTATGCATTTGGAGGGGGCATATTTCAGCCCGTAACAGGTTTTAATGACATAAACACAGCAGTTAAACAAAGCAGCATACAATTGTTAGTGGAGAAAAGTGGTGCTGTAGGAGGGAGGGAGAAAATCGGCCAGAGAAGTCCAGATGTGATATAAGACATGATATGCAGCCGGGCGCAGTGGCTCACACCTGTAATCCTAGCCCTTTGGGAGGCCAAAGCAGGTGAATTGTCTGAGCTCAGGAATTTGAGACCAGCCTGGGCAACACTGTGAAACCCTGTCTCTACTAAAATACAAAAAATTAGCCAGGTGTGGTGGTGGGTGTCTGTAACCTCAGCTATTCAGGAGGCTGAGGCAGGAGAATTGCTTGAAACCGGGAGGCGGAGGTTGCAGTGAGCCGAGATCACGCCACTGCCCTTCAGCTTGGGCAACAGAGAGAGACTCCATCTCAAAAAAAAAAAAAAAAAGATATGATATGCATCTCAACTAGGATGGTGAAGATTATAAAGGAGAGAGCATAGCTCCTTTAAGATGGAGCAGCTACCCTCATCTGATTATTTAAAAAGCTCCCCGCAACCCCTCACCAACATATACATACACACATTCTACATAAACGAAGCACAAGGATAACGTCTAACCACTTCACATTTGGGAAGTACTAATCCAGATAAACCTGTCCATCTTAAGGATCAGGAAACTGGCCAGCCCAGTTTCACATAATGCATTACAAACAAAGCAAGAATGTCTCCTCACTCCCAAGCCAGTGTTCTAGTTTTCATTCCTTGACCACTCTGGTTTGCTGTTATTTTCCATTCTTTCACCTCTTGGTGGTCAAAAACAAGTGGCCATTCTGGCCATATTTTAAGGTCAAGAAATTTTGGAGAAGGAGGAAATATTCATAATCACCACCTAGAAAGTATTTCATTGTACAAATTTGTAAGCTGAGGCTTTAAGATATAAATAAACCTCACCAAGTTACCCAGTAAGGGGAACAGCTGAAACTGAACATACCTCTTCACTTTCAACCAGGTACTCTTTCTTTATACCCTACTGGCATCCTCCCTGCCCCACCCTGCCCCCCACATGCACTGGGGCTAAAAAGGAAATATAGCCAAAATTAAAATAACATATATATAATTTTAGTTTGGCTAAAATCTTAAGTTACCAAGTTACTGTTTGGAAGGACAGAGTAGATCCAAGATATGAATTTGAGGAAAACAAATAACTGAATTTCTCCTTGGGATTGGTCCAATAAAGCTCAAAAAGAATCACTTTCATCTTTTGTAATTTTCTAGGTTTGAATCATAGTTATAAATTGTTTACTTTCAAATATTAGATTGTTTAAAAAATTCCTCTTCCCACACAGACCATTATGAAATAATATCACATTGATAGGTGTTAAATATATGATGTGCATTTTCAGAAAATATAGAAGAATAATGTTCTGACTTCTACTTAAAAGAGACTGACAATGGTGATGTACTTACTGTTAACAGGTTATAAATATATGCAACAAGGTGGCACAAAATGCTAGGAAAAGAAGTGTGTTTTGACAACAGCATTACTTCTACATCTTTTCTCTCTAGACTGGACATTTTGCAAATATGCTCCCCAAGGTAGTATTTGTGTTTTGTTGAGGGTTCCACTCCCTCTTTAATTGCTGCCATTGCTGCCTTTTTTAAGTGACAGAGTCAGTCAAGTTTTCCACAGCATGGAAAGCCATATCTTTTTTCTAAGGTAAACAGTTCAGGGAAAACACTCAGGAAAACCATCAAACTGGCTTAAATGTTTAATGAGAGCCATTTTATTACTGGATAAAATTATCAGCATTTATAGCTTGCTTTGCTTTTCAATGAAAGCAATGACTATTTCAGGCAGCCGGTGAGATTGATCTGACAGTTTAAAATATGGAATTACTATGATCTTTAAGAGGAATAAATTGATGATAAACTATATCATCAGGAATTGCGGAAGCACAGAAGGGTGTACACCTGCTTCCAGGTGTTACTGTAAAGTTCGGCCACTAAATACGAGACCAGCATTCTACAGTTCCTGAACTGGGTAACATGTAATAGGAATTCAGGGTTACCATTTTCTTCTCAGATCATAAGAAGTTTTAGAAATCTTATTTTAGACACTGTGATGGCAATTCACTTTTGAAAAGAACAAGAAACCTAGTCTTTTGCAGGATTAAGAACTCTGTAAATGGAGTGTATGCACTTGAAGGGAGTAGACTTGGGGGTTCTTAATCTTTTTTGTGCCATGGACCCCTTTGGCAATCTAGTGAAGGCTAGGGACCCCTTTATAGAGTATAACATTTTAAAATATATGAAATAAAATATCAGTTTATAAAGAAAGCTAATTACTGCCCAGGCATGGTGGTGGGCACCTGTAATCCCACCTACTCAGGGGATTACAGGAGAGGCAGAATTGCTTGAACTTGGGAGGCAGAGGTTGCAGTGAGCCAAGATTGCACCACTGTGCTTCAGCCTGGGCAACAGAATGAGACTCCATCTCAAAAAAAAAAAAAAAAAAAAAAAAAAAAGAAGTCAATTATGTTGAAATACATGTAGCCATGACAGTCTGCAGACCCTTTAAATAATATTTATGTGTGCGTTGGAGTGTTGCAGCACATTTTTCCCCTTCTACTTCTGTGGGGTACTCCAACATAGTTCCAAAGTTTCATGTAAAATTTTTGAGGAGAGAGGAAATTACATCACTATAAAGAGTAAGATGATGATAGAAAATCTTAAGTTCTTTTTATACTACCTACTTTTGCTAGCACCATAATGAACATGTAGCACATCCTGAAAATTTAGGGGTTACATACAATAAACTCAGGTTGAAATGAACTGAAAGTGCTGTCATTTGCTTCAAAATGAAATTTATATTGCCTCTACCTTTGAGTAGCAAGCTGGAGAACTGTGCCAAAAATACATTAGTAAAATCAATAAGCAGGTTTCAGTTGAGGTTCTGCGGATGAGATATAATGCCTCAATGGGTTCTTTGGAAAATACGAAATTAACAAAAACAATGTTATACTCTCCCCTTCATTTTGCCAATGAGAAATTTGACAGGAGGAAGTTAGACAACTGCAGCTAAACCATAGCCTGACAAATATGGACAGGACCAGGAATAAAGTGCAGAATGACTTTCCACTTCAGGACATGTCTCCGGGAGGTAGGGAAAAAAGGAGGAAAAAGAAGCAGCTACTTAGTGTCAGGCAGAGAAGTAGATGAAGGGCACAGCCAGAAACAAACTGAAATCCATCTGACCACAAAAAACACTCTCTCTTCTCACCATGCTGCCTGACTTGACCCGCACAGACTCACTGCTTCCACCCATGGAGGAGCCTGGCCTTCATTTGTGTAAAACTAAATCATTTTTATGTGAAGAGGATTTATGAGAGATGGCTAATGGATTTTTAAATTTTAAAATGTTTTTTTAACTTTGAGGAAATATGAGTCAATAGTTCAATAATATTATTTTGGTCGTTGAAAAGATATTTTGATTATGGTAACCAGCTGTTCTCTAAAACTGTAAGAATTGGAAAAGAAAAGGAAGTGACTTTTAGATGCAAAATGAAAGATTTATGTCAGGGTGAAGAAATACATCCTGAGAGCAGGGCTGTGAAAGATCCTTTTTTTGGATGGTCTATTATTATCACAAAATGTTTTACACATCTTTACATTGTGGAATTCTAATGATTCGAAGTCTATAAACCCTTATCTTAGGGAGCACAAAGACCAAGGAGTATGCTACAACTCAGAAACAAGTACTTAGCTAGGAGTCCAATAAAAGCAGGGAGGCAAACAGTTAATCATTCAGAACTTCAAAGGACAACAGCAACAAGTCTACCAACTAGAACATGAAGAAAAAAAAGGTTCCAGAATGATGGCTCCTGGAACAGGTAACTGGGCTTCACTGAAGTGTACAAAGAGGCCTAGCAACTGGCTAGGTAATGAATCCAAGAGTTGGGAAAGAACAAAGGCTAAATTCCCACCTACTAGAGCTGGAAATCAGCCAATTTTGGACTACTTCCTAGTAGTCACTAATTACCTTAGATAAAGGAACTCTGTTCTACAGACTCATTCATTTTTATGAATTTTTGTTTAGATTTGGTTTTGGTTTGGGTTGTTTTTTATTTTGTTTTGCTTAGTGCACTGGTTATCCATTTTATGGATTTTTCTTTCTGTCTTTAAAAACAATTTTTCTTTCTGTCTTTAAAAACTCCCACTCTAGAGAAACCATCTAGCTTCTTTGCTCTTAGCATTTAAACATGTTGCAGAAAAACAACATACCCTGGAAGGCTAGTTTTAATTTAAGTCCATATTCTCAAAACCCACAGAGGTTCTCTACACTACAAGACATCTTTCTAAATTTCTTTGGTGGACTTGTATTCCCACCGGAAAAAGTCACTTTATTCCCTTCTCTCACTCAAGTTTCTCACCCCACCCCAACTCCCACTCTTAGCAGGCGACCTCATCTTCCTTCACTGAGAAAGCAGAAAGCACCAGAGGGAAGTTTCTCATCTTCCCACCATCAAATCTGCGTATTTCCCTGCAGGTGCACTTGGGTTCCCCTTCTCCCTGCCACAAAGGAGGCAATGTTCCTCCTACTGTTACAGACCTGGCACCACCATGGCTCTCTGGATGCAAAATCCCTCTCCTCAAGGACTTTATTTTTGATGGTCACGTCTCTCTTTCCTGAATCATCAAATTTTACTTTCCTTTATTTTCTTTTTTTCTTTTCTTTTTCTTTTTTTTTTTTTTTTGAGACGGAGTCTCTCTCTGTCGCCCAGGCTGGAGTGCAGTGGCGCGATCTCGGCTCACTGCAAGCTCCGCCTCCTGGGTTCACGCCATTCTCCTGCCTCAGCCTTCCAAGTAGCTGGGACTACAGGCGCCCGCCACCACGCCCGGCTAATTTTTTGTATTTTTTTTTTTTTAGTACAGATGGGGTTTCACCGTGTGAGCCAGGATGGTCTTGATCTCCTGACCTCGTGATCCGCCTGCCTCGGCCTCCCAAAGTGCTGTGATTACAGGAGTGAGCCACTGAGCCTGGCCCAAATTTTACTTTCAACTGGATAATCTAATTGGCAAACTTGTTACAGTCTGTCTGTCGACTCCATATTCCTTTTCCCTGCTATGTCTCCATTTGGTTGCTGTGTTTCACTGACAGACTTCTCTGAAGGGTTATTTGCTTACCCTGTATCCAGGAGCCAGCTATCCTCATCACGCATTCCTCCCATCCCATTTGTAAATTCCTTCTTCCTTCTTCTGTCTACTCCCACCACTCCATTGAACCTGCACTAATCAAGATCATTCATGATCTCCAAATTTCCAAATGTAGTAATCACTTTTCCGTCGTCATCTTATTCAACCTCTTTCCTCTAGAACCACTTTCCCTCCTTTGCTCCCACAACATCACCCTAATACCTGGTTTTCCATCTAGTTTCTTAGTTGCTTCTTTGCAGGCTCATTAACGAATGCCACTCTCTGCCTGGAACTCTAGCGTGAGCCTTGCCATTCTCACTCTACTTACCGCCTCCCGTAGATGGCTTTTTATCCGTCACATCTGTGCTTCAATTCTATGCCTCAGAGAGCCCTTCCCATTCTCCGCCTTTGCATGTTATTCTCTATCATTGAAGCCCATTTGCTTTCTTTTATAATTTATTATCTGTTTGTTTGTATACTTATTATCTGTCTCCACTAAGACGGAATGAACTATACCTGCTTTATTCACCCAGGTATGCCCTAAATGTAGCACAGTACCTAGCATGTAGCTGTTATTAATTAAAACTGACTGAATTAGCGAAGGAATAAATGCATACTGCTCAGTGACCAACAATTCCTGATTGACATTAACATCTGCATTTCTTGACATAGGAGGCAAAATTGGTAAGTGAAAAAGAAGAGTAGATATTATCTAAATAGCTTCATACAATACCTGTTCTTTTTCTAAGTATTAAAAAATTGCATTTTCCTACTCCTACTACTTTTCTAAGTATACTATATGTATTAATAAAATGGTATATAGAAATTATTTTTTCACAGAAACTTAAAATTTATATGAGAGCATCCTTTTCATTGTGATGATAAAAAGTGCTTGAAGATTCTTGTTATCTGTTTAAATTACATCTTAGATTGACAATTGGCTTGGTTGATTAATATCTTATGTACATATTAATATATAATAACAATCAATATTATTATTAAGGTATATTATATGTAATATATGGTGTATTGAATAACTAATGATTTACCTGAATTAATTCATATTGATTATTAATTATATTAATGCATAGGCTATATATTAATACTGGGGTATTAATTCATATAAATAGCTTATTAATACTTATTAATACATAATATATTGATCAACCAAATCAAATTTGTCAACCTAAAACATATTTTAAACAGATTGTAACAATTTCTGCAAACAGTGAATGAGTGTCACAAATTTGATTCTTTCTTTTATTGCTTTTCATTGACAACAAAGGCATCATTACAGAAAGTAATAAAGGTGAGAGGGAAAAAATGCATGTAAATATTGTGAAGCTTTATATATATAAAATGTAAATCTCTGGTTGTCACCAGCTCAAAAATTAAGTACCAAGTAATAGATTATAAGTAAGCATCCAACAGATTTGCAATTAAATCTTTAATTTACCAAGAAGCCTCTTTTAAATTAGAATCGCTGCTGTGACAAATCTTTCTAAAATGGGTTAGTGGCATTGTCTTCTAAGAACCAGGGATATAACAGTATTTTAAAGTTATTATCTGAACATGTATTACCATTGATCATTGAAAGTGAACTACAGAAATTTCCTAGTGTTCTCTCTTTGAGATCTAAGTTCATGACGTCAGCAAATTTAAAATTCATCCACCTCTTCTTCATGGCAGTTGAATGAAAAGAAAGTTGATAACCTGTTTGAGGTTTGTGGTAGACACAACAGTGGCTAATGGATATTAAGAAATCATAATGATAGACGCAGCAGTCTATACAGAATGATCCCATAACTGTGTGCATCTTTAGACACTTTTCCCTGATTGCTTTTCAATAAATTCTTACATAATTGCTCCAAATTACTTTTTTCAATACTTTCATAATATTGCATCAAATATATGTTTTAAAAAGTCCACAAAATGAATTGCCTTTTTGTTTCAAAACTTAAAACACCATTTATCTGCCTCGAGACTATCCTAGGCAGACACTGTCTCTTCTTATAGATCCAAGAATTCTGCAAAAATACTTTTTTCCATAAGGGGTGAACATCCCAGTTTACTGCCTGTGTACTGCATTTAACTTGCTTATCCTGTCAAAACTGTGGGCATAAAAGTATGGGGCAAATAAGAAGTGTGTCAATTTACTGACTGAAATTCAGAAGCCATGTGCTGACCTAATGTTTCTAGTGGCACAGTTGTATCCAGCAGTAAAACCTGACCTAGTATGCATTATTTATTACCACATCATAGTATGTATACTAAGTCAAGCGTATAACTAATGTTGGGTTTTACCCCTGAGAAGGAGTATCTGCTTTATCATAAGCTACTGAATTATTTGGAAAGGTAAAATAATAATTATTTTGTCCAAATGATAAATCCAAGGTCAGAGTAACCATTTTGATACAAATGCTTTATGCCAACTGCCAGGTTTAATAAGAGCCAGAAAGAGCCATAGGTTCTGTAGGTTATACTTAGAAAATTCTAAGAAAATTCTCTACGACCAACCTGAAAGCAAAACATTTGGCAAAATCAGCACTTTTTACATAACTCATGAAATGTGTTTATTTTGTATTTTTAGATAAAATGTAATATATTTTATTTTCTTAAAGTAGTATACATACTACTGTACAAAGTACTATGTAGTTCCAAAATTGCACAACCTCCCCTATTACGTCAATCAGTAATCAAGTTATAAGGGCAGAACGATTGAGTTATTATGGAAACACGCACCAGGAGAGTGGACTTCCTGGGCCTTCTCCAGTAATTTTTCTGATGTTAACTCCAATAGAAAGAGTGTGACAACCTCAAAGAATACACATTAAAACTAAAAATATAAACCAATATATTTAAACATTTAAATACATCAAAATGGAATCATAAGGCAGACATTAAAAAAAAGAAAAAAACGTTTGACTTTTCAATAGCTCTTTTTCACATCTGTAAAATGTGGATAGTCATACCTGTACTGCTAACTTACACAGTTTTGTGGAAATAAACAAAGTTCATAACCAATCCCTTTATCAACCACAAAGCCTGTGAAAATAAAAAAATACTGGGCCTCTGATTTTTTTTTCAAACTAGATAGTGAGAAAACAGCTTGTAAATTAAATAACAAAACAAAAACCTAAGCAAGTATAAGCTGAGTATCATAAATACATGAGTTTTCTGTACTGTAGAAGAATACATATTAATGACATTTGTTTACTAATTCAAAGCACACTGTTACCTAAAATACCGATTTTTTTCCTGAAGACTCCAGAAGTCAAGCAAATGAAGAGGAAGATTGGGGAAAAGGAAGCAGTTGATTCACAACTGCATGTGCCAAAAAAGGAGTGGGAAGAAAAATGAGAGCCAATTTGGTCTATTATCTTTAATGGAGAGTGATGGCTAAACTCTGACACTGATAACTTTCAGCGTCAGGTGTCTGCTGAGTTTCTCTAAGCTCATTTGAATTCATTTAATAAGTGATTAGACTGGTAGGGTAGCTTTACAAATCTGCTTATGGTGAGCATTGAGTTGTTTATGCTTATTTCATTTTTTGTATAAGGAAAGGTAAACTGTATTTTCAAGGTGTGTTGTAAGATTTGCACTAAGAATCACAAAAAGAATCAAAAAACTTAGAATCACATAGCAAAAGTAGCAAATACATGTAATGCATCCTTTATTAACAGGCAGGTAATGGTATCAGAGGACCAGAATAACCTCTGCTCTATTTACTGTCTTCTTTGGAAAGAACTCCAGAACCAACCTTTTGGTTCCCCCAACTATTTATTGCCCTAATAGTCAAGGGGTAGAAGACAAAGAGTTGGCCAGAACTGAAATTCATTTTCTCTAAATTGGTTGTTCACAACCAATAATATTATTTTCCTCACAAAACTTTTCTTTTTAATAAGAAACAAAATCTTGCTCTATCACCCAGGCATGAGTGCGGTGTGTGGTCAAAGCTCACTGCAGCCTCAAACTCCTGTGTTCAAATGATCCCCCTGCCTCAGCCTCCCAAATTGCTGGATTACAGGTGCATGCCACCATATCCAGCTGATTTTTTCAAAATTTTTAATAAGATTTTAATTAATCTCACTATGTTGACCAGGCTGGTCTCAAACTCTTGGGCTCAAGCCTGCCAAAGTGTTGGGATTACAGGTGTAAGCCACTGCACCCAGCCTTACAAAACTTGAACAGTCATCACGCCACCCTTAGTCCTAACAATATCTTCTTTACATGATTCAGGCCAGGATGTCTCTGGTGCTGGGTTTTGGCCATCATCTCTGAACCCTCCAGGTTTCCCATCATTTGTAAACTATTAGTCTATGAGAATAAAAAATAATTTGCTCTCATTTTTCTATGTATTCTCACCCATTTTTAAGGGAAAGGTTTCAGGAAACACTAAAAATAACCCTCCAAAAATGAGAAAAACATTGTTTATAGAATTTCTACTTCCAGTTCAAAATTTCATCTATATTGTTAAGACTCTTAATATTCTTCAAAATTACTGAGGACCCCAAAAGTGCTATGATTATGTAAGTTATATCCGTTAATATCTATCATATTTGAAATTGAAAGAGAAAAATTTTTTAAATCACATTGAAAGAGACAATTCACAAACATAGACATATAAGTGGCCACTATGAAAATTGCTCAACTTTGTTCAACAAAGAAATGTAAATTTAAACAAGATACTATTTTCGTATATCAATTATCCAAGTTGTTGGATTTGTTGTCATTTGCTCTGTTTGATGATGGCACCCAGTATTGACATAGAAAACTCTACTCTTTTATATTGCTCATAAATGAATACCATATTCCTCAAGAGCAAAATGTCAAAAATAATCACTAGCATTCCATGAGATTTCGCTAAATATTTTAAAGAATCCTCAAAATACCCAACTATTATTATTTCTATTTTACAATTGAGAAGACAACATTTTAAGGAGATAAAGTAATTGGATTATCATCTCACAACTTGTAAGTAATAAAATTTTTTTTAGAACCTAGAAAATAAACTTTAAGAATCTACCATAAGGAAATAAACAAAAATGTATACTAACATATATAAAAAAGGTCCTAGATGAAATATTATTTATAATAGTGGAAAACTATTATAAATCTAAATATCCAACAATTATTTATAATAGTGGAAAACTAATCTATCTAAATATCCAACAAGATATAATTGGCCAGTACAGCCTATATACAGATGAAAAATTTCATATAGTAAGAACCATACTCTTTTGCTCATGGATAGATTGCCATTACTTGCATTACACACAGTAGGGACTTAATAATATTTGTTAAATATGTGAATACAAAGTAATGCATGATTATTAAAAAAAACATGTTTTAACAATGCATCTCATGAATGAGGGAGAAGCATGTTACAAAACAGCATGAACAGTGTGATCACAATTTTGTAAAACTACATGTATGTATAGAAACATATCTAGACATATAAACATGTATATACATGAACTTCTTGTCTGTCTCTTTGCTGATGCATACTGGGTACTCAATAGATATTTGTTGATTGAATTAATGATTGAATTACATTTTAAAAGTACCTTGGGGGAAATAATAGGTAATATTTTCTTTTTCTTCCTTGCAATTTTCTATATTTAATGAAATTTTAAGCAGTGAGTGTGATTTATCTTTATAATAAACAATAGTGTTATAAAAACTAATCATTCTGGGAAATGTCATTAGGAATTTTGGAATAAAAGTAGTAAATATAGACACCCCACAATCCAATAAAAAATAACTTGCATCTGATTTTCTTATTATGTTTCACTTACTGCATTCGGCAATAAAAGCAACAGATGTTACAGAAAAATGTCAAGCGTAATATTGTACAGTTAATTATTATTGGGGTTGAGTCTAGAACCTAGGTCACCTGGTTTCAGGCAAGCAGTTTTTTCCATTATACCAAGTTGCTTGGAGTTCTAGAATACCAATGAATAAATGACTATGTGGGTGCTACAATATCCACTGTTAGTTCCTTACTTATAAGTAAAATGATTTTATAATTAATCATTTTATATTATCAGAAAACTCCAAAGTTTTAAGAAATACTGCATTTTCATGTAATATGAATTGTCTTTGGGGATTTGTGAACTTCTTAAAGGTGTTTTTAAATTTGTGTGTGTTGGAATGGCATAATGTGCATTATTCTAGGGAGGGGTCCATACCTGTCACAAGATTATAAAAGTGTCTTTGATGGAACAAAAACAAAAGAAAGAAAAAGAAAAGAAAGAAAAAGTAAGAAAGAAAGAAAAAGAAAGAAAGAAAGAAAGAAAGAAAGAAAGAAAGAAAGAAAGAAAGAAAGAAAGAAAGAAAGCAAGCAAGCAAGCAAGCAAGCTATACAATCTGGAGCAAGAAGGAGGAAAAAACTGATGGTAAATAAAAGCAAACAAGATGAATGGGAACCACAACTAATTCTGTCTTCCTCTTTTTTATTCCTGGAACATAATTTTAATATGTAGATGATTCGATTTTATGACTGCTTTCTAAGTACCAGCACTAGAAAAGATAATGGGTTAAAAACATAAGCCAAATAACCTCTATGGAATGAACATTTTCAGTTGCTAAAAATCTATTTAATAATTTTTCTTTTCCTAATTAAATGTAAATGCAAAAATGCAAAACACTTCAGAATAACTTACTTTTTTTTTTTTTTTTTTTTTTTTGAGACAGAGCTTCGCTGTTTTCGCTCAGGCAGGAGTGCAATGGCGCGATCTTGGCTCACTGCAACCTCCACCTCCTGGGTTCAAGCGATTCTCATGCCTCAGCCTCCCAAGTAGCTGGGATTACAGGCACCTGCCACCACGTCCGGCTAGTTTTTCTATTTTTAGTAGAGATGGGGTTTCACCACGTTGGCCAGGCTGGTCTCGAACTCCTGCCCTCAAGTGATCCACCCGCCTCGGCCTCCCAAAGTGCTGGTATTACGGGCATGAGCCACTGCGCCCAGCCAGAATAACTTACTTTTTAAAAATATGTTAAAAAGATGCAATGTCTTATCTCAAAAAATATGCTTCCCCTAAGGGAAGTTTGTAAAACTCCTTTGAGCAAATGCACATTAAACACTTCTCTATGCATTTCACAATTATTGCTTAATTTAAAATTTAACTCTTCCGGAGCTAATGAAAGAAGTAAATACCTGTTTCTTATCCCAACCTCTAACTTGATTGGCAAGGTGTAGGAACCTGTAGAATGTAACTTTAAAATTCTTAACAGAGCTTGTTTCACTACAGTCCTCTACAAATATCCCTTGAGCCACAATTCTAAATTTAAACAACAAAGAGAAACAAAAATACAAATCTTCTTTGAACTCAAATTATATTGGCAAATATAACTTTAGAATTGACACCCATTCAGACAGTACGCCTCTAATACTCTCCATCTGCCTTAGCTGAATAAATGCTGACATCATCAACCCATATGAGGAGTATTTCTTGTTCTGGTTTTGGAGGTGAATTTATTTTTAAGACTAAAATGATTATAAATTGTAGGAGACAGATACATTCATCCACTGATACTTTAAAATCAAATACCTTTTTTTTCTGTTTTTTTTGGAAACAAAATTACTGAAATATCCACACTCAAAATTTAACTATGTAATTTGATCAAATCTTTTCTAGTATCTAGTTTTGAGATTTTTTTTTTCTCTTGGCAAGCCAAGTAACTTAGGGGAAGGGTGGATCATCAGAACACCAGTCCGTTTACAGTTAATTTTTCAATAATCCTCTTTCTTTCGCATAATTCTGCAAAATATTGACTAGCCAGGAAAGCGTCCCATAAGTAACAAAAATGACCAATTTTTAGAAATTAAAAGTTAAGTGAGTCAACAAAGTCTCTCGCTAAAGATCGCTAGGGCTGTCAAACAGCACAGCATGCTGCTGCTCAAGTTTGGGGATCAGTAACCATTGGGTGTCATCACGTGGAACGCTAATAAGCGCCACCTCACCGCCGTTTTGAATGCTAACTTTCTGGGATTCCAACCCAAAGAAACACCTTAATCTTTGACTCCACAGTGCATTTAGATCCAGGAAGGCAAATCTGCGTGGGTTTGAAGAAAATTGAGGTCCCTAATCTGTGTTTCACTTCAAAAGGCAGAGGACATGCTGACTTTTTAAAGCAGCGAGGTTTCCCCTCCGTCCTTTCTTCCTTCCAAGTAAACTACCAAGTAAAAGCTAAGGAGGGTGGGAGAGAGAAGTGGAGCAGAGGAAGAATAAATATATTGCTTACAGTTCCCAGAGTTACCTGAGAATCTTCAGGCTCCTCAATGCCTCTAGCTTTCAGTCAGGATCCTTTTTCAGCTCCGGACTTAGAGAAAGTCTTATCCTGAGTAGGAGGGGCTAAAATGTGGGCTGGTCTCCTTGCGCTTTTGCAGATGTTTTAAGGTGGAATTAAAGGGGAAGAGGGAGAACGCTCTCTTCTCATAGAAGCTAATATTGTAAATGTAAATGCTTAGTTATTAGAACCAGGAGTTTGAAGTCAGAAAATATGCTTAAATAATATGTAAATTAATCAGTCCTAAATTCCATGAGTGCTGTTGTGGATTTCTGTGTGTGTGATGTGTGTGTGTGTGTGTGTGTGTGTGCGTGCGCGCGTCTGAAATTGCTACTTGTCCTTAAGTAGTAACTACTTCCTCCTTTTTTCCAAAGGAGAACAAAATTGAAAAGACAGTGAATAACCTAGAGCATTTTTGCATTATTTAAAAAGGCAAAGTTTATAACAAACCCCAAATATAAAAATGTACATTTTTAAAAAATGAGTATCAGACCACTTTAAAAATCAAATCTGTTTAAATATTTCCACTCCAGACTCAGAACACCTGTGTTGATAATAATTTCTTTGTAAATTTAAGATTAAAGGCATACCAAATAATGTAATATATATGTTGAGATTTAGGGAAGAAAATGAAATCAGGTTGAATTCCAAATTTGCAGTGTAAATCCAAATACCTTATAGCACTGTAATGAAGAAGGTGCATTGTTTAAATGTACCCAAATTCCATGAGAATCAATTCATGTCTTTAAAGATTGACATGTTCATTTAGTATATCTTGTTTTTCAAACACAGGATCTTGTTTTTGCCTTTAATTAAATACTGAACTCACTCTCCTAACTCTCTTACAATATTTTCAAAGAATATAATTTCACTAAATCTTCTGGAATATCTGCTTTCTGTAGCCCAACATTCAACTCTTATTTGTTTTTATTTTTTTCCCCTAAATTCAACCTGGCATATTATAAATCTCTCTTTGAAAAAAAAAAAAGCCAGTAATGTCTTTTTTAGGAAGGATAGATTTATAATAAACATTTTTCGGGCTGGGCACGGTGGCTCACGCCTGTAATCCCAGCACTTTGGGAGGCCAAGGCGGGCGGATCACGAGGTCAGGAGATCGAGACTATCCTGGCTAACACGGTGAAACCCCCGTCTCTACTAAAAATACAAAAAATTAGCCGGGTGTGGTGGCGGGCGCCTGTAGTCCCAGCTACTTGGGAGGCTGAGGCAGGAGAATGGCGTGAACCCGGGAGGCAGAGCTTGCAGTGAGCCAAGATTGCGCCATTGCACTCCCGCCTGGGCCACAGAGCGAGACTCCGTCTCAAAAAAAAAAAAAAAAAAAAAAAAAAAAAAAAAAAAAAAAAAAAAAAAAAATTTCTCTTTCCAAAGAAATCCCTGAATTTCTAGAAAGGAGGTGTATGTTAATTAGAGGAGCAGAGAGCACACTGGTAGTTTTCATCTCTTTCCCCCAGACACAACTGGTGAAAGAAAGAATCTATACTGCAGGGCATGTTCGTTCTAAGACTCTGATAAAAAAGACTCCCTGGAAAAGCAGCTTCACAGTGCTTGCTTATAGAGCACAAAAAAAGTGCTCTAGTGCTTTTTTGATAACAAAAAGTTATAGCTCTCAATATTTCCAGATGATATCCAATAGTGTGTCATGCATTAAAGATAAAAAATTTATTTAAACGCTTTTAAAGAAAATGTCATTATATGTCATGGTTAGGGTTAATATATACGGGGAGAAGTTTGTCTCTTTCCCGCCTTACTAAATGAAGCTGATTTATCTCCACCTTTATAATGAATAAAGGCTGCTGCAGGTATGTCTTTTCCTCTCTGGAATCAGTGCAGACCAAATCCCATTTACCCATTTTGTGGTTCTATGGCCTCCTTATCTCATCTATTTTGGCTCACTACTTGTGATCTCACTGTTCACATAGACCCCTAGGTGGATAGTACAAGTTCAGATTTGCCGTCTTCACTTTGCCCAATTTCCTCCAAAAATATTTTCAGCATTGACCTACTGACTTCAAAAACCTCTGCTTCCACCTTAGGTAAGATAGGCCCTGACTTCCATAGCGTGCTTCAGTCTATAGGATCAATTATGTCTGAAGACCCCTCTCCACTTGGTTTGTCCATCAACAAAGATTAGTCATCTGGGACCCATCTGAAACTGAGAAATATCATAGCAGCTTCTTTGAATCCAATTCTACCATTTGCACTATTTCCAGCTAATAAGTTTCATGCAGTTTGCTAGTAATTTTCCACATCTTTAAAATTTTAGAAAGAGAATAATAAGCTAAGAACTAGATAAGTAATCAAAAGGAACAACCCCAAAACTGGCCAAATTAACTAACAAAGAACACCTACTTGTCAAAAGCCATGGCTCAAAAACCCCAGGGGGTTGGGAGGGGGAACCCTGATGTTTGTATGATTGATTTTTCTTTCTTTCTTTTTTTTAATTTTACTTTAAGTTCTAGGGTACATGTGCACAACGTGCAGGTTTGTTACATAGGTATACATGTGCCATGCTGGTTTACTGCACCCATTAACTCGTCATTTACATTAGGTATTTCTCCTGATGCTATCCCTCCCCCTGCCCCTCATCCCACGACAGGCCCCCGTGTGTGATGTTCCCCGCCCTGTGTCCAAGTGTTCTCATTGTTCAATTACCACCTATGAGTGAGAACATGGGGTGTTTGGTTTTCTGTGCTTGTGATAGTTTGTTCAGAATGATGGTTTCCAGGTTCATCCATGTCCCTGCAAAGGACATGAACTCATCATTTTTATGGCTGCATAGTATTCCGTGGGGTATATGTGTCACATTTTCTTAATCCAGTCTATCATTGATGGACATTTGGGTTGGTTCCAAGTTTTTGCTATTGTGAATAGTGCCACAATAAACATACATGTGCATGTGCCTTTATAGTAGCACAATTTATAATCCTTTGGGTATATACCCAGTAATGGGATGGCTGAATCAAATGGTATTTCTAGTTCTAGGTCCTTGAGGAATTGCCACACTGTCTTCCACAATGGTTGAACTAGTTTACATTCCCACCAACACTGTAAAAATGTTCCTATTTCTCCACATCCTCTCCAGCATCTGTTGTTTCCTGACTTTTTAATGATCGCCATTCTAACTGGTGTGAGATGGTATCTCATTGTGGTTTTGATTTGCATTTCTCTGATGACCAGTGATGATGAGCATTTTTTCATGTGTCTGTTGGCTGCATAAATGTCTTCTTTTGAATGATTTTTCTTTCTTTATGTGGAGTTGTTTTCTGTTATCTTTTTTACTATTTCCAATTCACCTATCTTCTGCTCTAACTATATGAAACTGCTTTGTTTCTGATAAACTTGAGCAGGGTAATGAGGTAGTATATGAGAATTAAATCTGGATAGAAAATGAAGATGATTAGCCAGCATAGGGTACTAAGAGAGAGTTGAATAGGGAATCTAATCCAGATTGCAGGTAAAATCAGAAAATGGCTACCAATCAACTAATTTACTTATAATAATGTATCCTTCTATTCCACAGGCTATGCTTGAGTCTTCTGGTCCAACTGTATTTATAGTAAAATAATAAGTTGATATTTTTGCTACTTATTTGTATCTGTGAATATAATTAACATGAATCATTTCTCTTTTTAGGTATTAACAAAATCAATCAGGTTAGTAAAATAGCAAGTCACAGAAAATGATTTTCTCACCTTGTCAAGTTTTCTGGCATCCCACTAATTGACCTCTACCTTTCATTCAAACTAAGAGACTATTCTCCTTGCACATCGTTTCCCTAAATTCCACTAGAATAATCCTACTCAACCTGCAAGGCTTAGCTCAAGTACTATCTTGTCTGGAAAATTTCCCTACCCTTTTCCCTGTCCAGCAGAATTCATTATTCTACTTGTATGAGAATGCTCATTAGAGCACTGATCATGTATTATACTTGGCTATACAAGAAAAAAAATATTTTATATTCCATCAGGGCACAAGGCAAGTCTTTCTCATGTTAATAAACCCTCTTTTCACCTGAAGTTTATAACACATTGGGAGCTCAATGGATGTTTGTTGAATTTGTTTTCCATGATATCAGGGTCAAAGATATCTTAAACCTGACACCTAAATAGCACTCTACCTGCCACTGCCATCTCCATCATTACTAAAGAATAGACATTTTATTTTTTTAATACCCTCCAATCCACACACACACTGATAAATTACTGACAATATAAAACTAACAAGAAGTAAGGATGAAATGGACCCTAATTAAAATGTATTTACCATGAATTTAAAAATCAGATGTTATGATGAAACTACATTTTTCAGGAGAGTGTATCTGTGAACAATAAGACCTATATTTTATAGCTAAATATCTACTAGTAGTTACACCTACATTTGCAAAGATCTTTTGACCTAAACAACGGAAGCAATACTTTTCTCTTACTTTGAATTGAACTCATTAAACAAATTATTACTGCTTAATTAAACTTTTCCCTCCTTTTTAAATAAATACATTAGGAAAACTATAACAAATAAAGTACTACTAAGATTGACTGTTACTCTTTATATAGAGCCTATAATGGGCCAGGTACTTGTGTTAGTACTACATTTGTTGTATCACTAACCATTATATTCATGAAATGAGACATTATTTTCTTTATTTAGAATCTCGATATTCAGTAAGCATATAAAATTTGTAGTGAGGCTGGGATTTTAATCAAGTCGGTCCAACTCCAAAGCCCACAATTTTTCTAGTGTATCACACTCTCTCATAGCAAGTTTTGTTTGGCCATATTTTCAGCTTTGTCCCAAGTCAACCAAATCTCTGACTGTTAGGGAGCAGTGGTAGTGGAGTTACTAATAGATAATTAAAGCCTCCATTATCCTAAGCACCCAGGCTAGGAACCTTCTACTATTCTCTTCCACATCAGCAATTGTCAGAGTCTTGCCCCTTTTCTTCCTTCAACCCACCCAACTCCTTTATTTATCTTCTGGTTTCTATCTTCACATTTTTATATCTGCATTTTCCTGTCCATTTTACTATCAAAATATTAACTTGTACTCTTGCTTTACTATTACTTACATATACTACCATACAATCTTTACTCCTGCATCTCCTTTTCAGTCTTAAAATCATCCTAGCCTTCACTAACAGATAGACATTCCTACAATTCAGGTCATTTCACTACCCTACCCATACCATCCACTTCTCTATACTACCTATTGATTTATATTACTACACTTTAAAAATACCTCTTTCCTTTTGCAGATGATGTAGAAGTAAAAATTAAATCAGAATACTCTCAGATTTTATCACAAATTACAAATAGTCATACTGTCAACAATAAATATGACAACACACATTAGAAAATTTTGGCTACAGACAAACCATGTTCAGGACCTTTTGATAAAACTGAGTTGTCCTAATTCATTTTACCTACTTGTGGCAATAATTTCACACATCGTTTTCTGCTCTCTAAGAGTCCTCTAAATTTGGTAAAGCAAATGCATGTCTAGTTTTAGTAATTCTGTAGGAATGGGCACGAACTCAATTACTCACCTCAGAAACTGACTGGCAGGCACTTTGCAGGGTTTTAAAAATACTTGTGCTCTTGGAATTTAAATGTACTGACGACAGTGAGAAAGGCAGAGCCTGTGTCCTTTGCTTTGAGGTAATCCTGAGTAGGAAGAATTACTGCTAAGTGAATTTCCAGTGCCTCCCATGTAGCTGAACTCTGAAAGATGTCAGTAGAGAACTTTTATAGAACATTTGGCTGTCTAGGGCTAAGATAATAGCACTATTCCTATACTTATATTTATAAAACCAATGACTGAGCAGCTTCAAAAGCTCTTTGCTGCTTGATTCCCATAATAAATCTCCTCTTATATGTGTGTGTGTATATATATACATATATATTCTATTGGTTATGATAGAATGTGTGTATGTGTATGTGTGTGTATATATATATTCTATTGGTTATGAATATATATATTCTATTGGTTATGATTCCCTAGAAAACCCTGACTAATACACCTATTGAGATATTTTTACATCCCAGAAAACAGTAAGATAGTCCAAGAACTGAATTTAAGACAAAAGATGAATATCCTAAACAGTTGCCTATCCATTTTTGCTTATAACTTGCTACAGTTAAAGAAAGCACTGTAATGTCAGATAATATTGTGATTTATCACTAAGATATTAAAAAGAGTTTATGATTCTTTTCCTCTAAATCACAGTCTAAAATGACAAACTCCCTTTCACTTTGCTCTCTAAATAGTTCCATTTTCCTTAATAGCCACTCTGATATTTGTATTAAACATGGGTAGCAAGGTTTAGGTTCTGTATGATCATTTATTTTGGAATGTTCTACCAACTCTCACACAGTATGCTCTTTGGATATGATATTTGCTTAATAAATATTACCCATTCACCCAATAAATGATTCATTTATTTGATCATTTATTCACAGTGATGTTTAAAGCCCTGTGATAGGAAAACCTTTAGAATTTTGTAATGTGTCCTCTGCTTCTAAGTCCTCAAAGAGTCAGATGTGAGTGCTTAGGGAAGTCCTCCTAGTATATGGGTGACATATACTGGAACTGTGTGTGACTTCTGGGATAAGCTAGGGTTATAGAGATCAGGTCCTGGCAGCATGGCCACAGCCTGCAGTGTTACCATTCCACTCTAAAAAATAGGAAACCATTGGCTCTAAGAAGGTAGGTGATTCATCCAAAATTAAACATCAGAGGAGGACAAACCAAGCCTTTGACTTCAATTTACTTATCTCTTTCTATAGCCATTTCCCATTGCCTACTCACAAATAAATTAATTGAGCATTAGAAGTCAAAGCTTCCAAGCAAATAGGAAATGGAAAATAAAAGCTAGGAGTTTTTATCTACCCGTACTTTGTTTTGTTTCCTGATAAGATTTTTTAAAATTTATATTAGAAAGGTAACAAACTCATTGTTAAACGTTTTGAAAATGAATGTACCAATTTTGTGTTTCATTCTTGTGTCTATGTGTATTTTTTTCTTTCTCCATTCCAAATCATGACTTTATGTTCCATTGTCAAGGAATCTTTTTAGTTTGTACAACTACTGCAGCACCCTGTACAAAACATGGAGATTATTACACTCTCCTTCCAACTTCCCACCATCATCCTTCCCAATTATGTTTGCATAGCCCAAATTCTTATGGAGAATTATGAGAAGAAGCAAAACACTCAGGCAAGGTAGGAAGGATTCAGACGATTCATGTATTTAGACTCGGTATCAGCAACCCTCATTCCTCACATTAACAGCAGGTAGCAAGACTTCTGAGGAATGGCTACCTGGCCACATGGTAGAAGATAATTTGTATAAGATTGATGAAACAGATACTTGATTTAGAATTAGGAATTTAGTGCTTTATACATGGTAATGCATAATATTACATAGCAATATGTAATAAATAGGAATACATAATGTATAGTAATACATAATACATAGTAATGCATAAATATAACATAGCAATACATATTAAATATGTATTTAATAAGATTTATAAATATTTAATCTTCAAATTGCCACTTACCTTATAAAATAATGCCTTACTAGGAAAGTCAGTTTATTCTTACTGGGAAACAATTTTACCACATGAAAATTTGAAGAACTATTTGAGGAGAAATGAAGAGATTTTGGATAACAAAATGCATGGTGTCCATGGTAACATTGGACTATATTTGCAGGAGTTCCCAAGACTCAAGCTTGGTGCAGAGGTAGGAGAATATTTCTTAAATTTCAAGGCATGATATGGCTTGAGCATGGATCTACCATTAGTAACTAGCGTATTACTAAACCAGAAGATTCTATTCAAAGGTTTGAGGCTTTACAAGATCCATAGGACACTTGCACAGCTTGGAGAAATTGAAGGGGAAAGAAGTTTCAATAATGCCTGAAATTAAACTTCCTAGCCAGTTGGGGGTTAGGAGCAGTTTAACTTTGACTTATCAAAAGAAATGTGGCATTTCTTAATCTAGTGCTATAGAATAGAAGTCATACCCATTGTATCTAGTTACACAAGAGAAAGATAATTTTAAAAATCATATATCCCACCACCCTAATATAACAATGGTTAGCGTTTTGTTGTCTATAATTTTTTTTTAAATTTATGCTGGTAGATATAATTTTGATAGGATTATACACTATTCTGTCATCTCTGTTTTTCTCTATTCACAGTATGTTGGAAACATCTCCAAGACCATAAAATATTTTTAATGGTTGTATAATTTTACAGTGTGTGGACACACAATAATTTATTAAAGAATCACTTATTTTAAGGTGTTATACTGTTTTCAACCTTTTCACTTTTGCAAACAAAACTTTGATAAACATTTTTTAACAATCTCAGTTCAAGTCCACAATGAAGTGAAAAGGCAAGGCAGGGCGTGGTGGCTCACGCCTGTAATCCCAGCACTTTGGGAGGCCGAGACGGGCGAATCACAAGATTGGGAGTTCAAGACTAGCTTGATCAACATGGTGAAACCCCGTCTCTACTAAAAATACAAAAATTAGCTGGGCGTGGTGGTGTGTACCTGTAATCCCAGCTACTCAGGAGGCTGAGGCAGGAGAATGGCGTGAACCTGGGAGGCGGAGATTGCAGTGAGCCAAGATCATGCCACTGCACTCCAGCCTGGGCGACAGAGCGAGACTCCATCAAAAAAAAAAAAAAAAAAAAAAAAAAGAAAGAAAGAAAAAAAATAAAAGGCAAGCTTCAATGTGAGAAATCATTAGAACATTAATATTTTTACGTCTCCTTGTAAAAAGCAGCCTGGATCACGTAGATGGAAGAAGATTCTGGACATCCAAAGGAACCTGGGTAGAAAGGGAGGATTGGCTGCAAGAACAGGGAGAATGAACATGAGAGGAGAATAGCAAGCATTTATTAATGGTCTGGAAAACATATTTATTCTCATTTAATTTTTAATTGCACTGCAGCAAGTTATTACCTACATTGTACAAATGAGGCCTAAAATGATCAAATTGCCTAAGTTAATTTACAAAGTGTTAAAACACAGATCTAAACTCAAGTATTCCTGATTTCAAAGCCCATGGTGTGTGTTTGCTTGTTTCCTTCACCATTTTGCATAAGCAGAACTTAAACCAATAATAACAGTGTTCATGCAGTTTTAAAATATGTAACGAATGATGAAGGAAGCAAGGAGTTTAAGCTTCTGAAAAAAACTCTTCTTGCTATATTAGTAAGAGATGTGCTTGTCTTACTCTTCACCAGGTTAATATTAAACTCACAAACCTTCTTAAACCTGCTTTATGCAGAGATGGCATTACATTTTCCTATTACCAAACCTCTCTTCCACCAGAGGAATGAACGAGGAATAAAGTTAAAAGGGAATCATTACTCATCAACTTTTCTTATAACCTATTACTTCTCTTTACTTCTATTTGTAAAGACAAAAATACAGTGCCTACTATATGAAACAAACATGTTTTCAGAAATGTTCACTTGATCATTATTTTCTGAATAGTTTCAATCTAAATGAATATATACACAGCCATTTTATTTTATGTGTATGTTCTTTAGAAAAATTACAAGTCAGGGAAGTCTTAAAATAGGAGGTTTTCAGTTTCTGTTCCTATTCTGAGGCCACGTTCAGCATCTTTTTATGAAAACATAATGACTCATGAGAGTGGTCATCAAGGCATTCTGCTGGGATATATTTCCAAAGCTAACAGCCATCACGCAAAGGAATACTCGCTGAGAAACATCTGCCCTCTTTTAATGAATAAGCAACTACTAATAATATGGCTTCTTCATGAATAGGGAGATTAAGCCTCCTTCTAGTCTATCCTAAACAGCTCAGCTGTGGAATTCAGGCATATTTCAAGCTCTTTAAGTGACTTTGGGGGTGCTTGGTTCACAGGTGAAGGCTGTACCAATTTTCATCCCATCTCTGCTATAGTTAGAGCTGGGTCTACAAAATTTAGTATCTGTAACATTATTTATGTGATAAAATGTTGTAAGTTTGTGGACAAACTAGAAAAATGAGAAAAATCCTATATACAATAATGACATTAACTGTCCTTTCAGAGGAATTCTAAGGTTTACCATTTACTGCGAGATTATGGACTTAAACATTGGTGTTAAAATAGCATTCCAAATTTGTATATGAATTACTTTGTTTTTGTTTATTACTGGGTGAAGGAGGGAAGAGATCTCCTGATCCCTGATATCCAAAAGTCTGGGATTCGTGGCTTAAAACCTTTTTTTCAGAACAGCTAGGAAACTTTTACCCTCTTAAAACTCTTTTTGCAGTACAAATGTTTTCAACCTCTTAAGGAGTGTGATCATCAAGAAGGAAGACTTCGTTAGATTGCATAATAATGTGATAAATCATTATCCCAAACTTCCATTTGCTGTCTCTTCAGTTAATACAATCTGCCAGATAGCATTCCCTTACTGCCCAGATTTAGAGCAATCCAATATATTTTTCATCACACACAAACACACACACACACACACACACACACACACGGGCTCCCCTCTTTTCCTCATTTTCCCCATATCTTTTCCTAACAGTAGGCAATATGGTCATCATCACTTTAGTACACAAATATCTTGTCACTTTCCTTCCATGGCTCGCCAATTCCTTTAACATGGTCTCAAAATATCTGGTCCCATCCTGATTCAAGTCAGCCTCACCTGTTTCTCCTTACTCCAAGGCAATACTGTACTTCTTTCAATTTCAAGAGCATCCCATAGTCTTTCCTATCTAATTACTTTCACACATAGCCCATTCCTTTGCCACCATCTCTGCCTTGCTGGTGCCTGCATGACTTTCAATTTTCAATTTAAAAGTCACTTCCTCCTGAAAGGTCTTACCATGTCAACATCCCCCTTTCCTCTACCCAAAGTCTAGCTTCTGTCCTTTTGTTCCATTTCACCTGTAATTCTCCATCTTAAAACTTCTCATCACTTATGCAACACTTACATTTCCTACCAGTTTTATAGACTAGACAATAAGCTTTGGGAGGGAAGGGACTATTTTGTGCTCTGTCATATAAGCAATTCCCAACATGATGCCTGCACATGTTAATAATTGATATTCAATAAATATTTTCAAATGAATGAATCCCCTCTACTTAGTATTGTAAGTCCTTTTTTCCTCTTGTGGTTTTAAAATTCTGGATAGTAGACTCAATAGTTCATCTCAATTAATTCAAAAGGCAATGTGATGAATTGACACCACAATTTCCAAAGCTGTATTCTGTATTTAATATATGATAATGTGCTTTCCTGTAATGCTTCTCCTTTGTGTTACCCAATCATGCTCCCTAATTCTGGTTGAGCTTTTTTTTAAGATAAGGCATGATGCTTGAATTCTGGGTCATAATTAACATCAACTCGTATGCTGCTATTTATCATATCAATTTTAAGAATGAACTTTGAAGACTCTGTAACATACTTGAACTTGATGATTGAGGACAGCAGGGTTTCTTGGCCATTTATGAAGGGTGTGACACACTGAAATCATTAAAATTAGGGTAAACCGTTGAATTTTATCAAATGATTGCTATAGAGGAAACCACAACAGAAAACTGATCAGCCCCATCCTAAGCAGTTTAAAAAATATCAGGTGGTTATGTTGAGCAATGCTTACTGAATCTAAAAAGCAAAGTCACAAACATTTCCAGGCCTTGAAAACAAAAAAAAATGCACTTTGTATGTACAAAATCTGGAAAAGTTTTCTAATTATATACTTGTATATATACACATACATTTATGTATATATGTACACATTTGTGCATCCAGAAATGGTCTCTTTCAGGGCTAATTTTGAAATAAGAAGATGAAAGGAAAGAGAGGGTTAGATAGAGGAAAGAAGTGGCTCTAATTCAAAGAATTTTATGAATTTAGAGAGGACAATGATCCTTGAGATCACCTAAGAAAACTCTTACCAGTTTACTGGTAAGGTGAGGAACTGAGACATGGATTGTGCACTGATCTGCATTCACCCATTTCACGATTTTTAAATGGACATTAGAATGTTTAAAATTTGTAATGAACGTTAAGCAGGGTTTAGCCCTTCCTCAAGTTAGATGCTGCACCAAATTCCCTAATGCTTTTGAAATCCATTCATATTCCTGAAGCTATATTTGAATGAACTCTCTCCTTGTAATTTCACATCTAATGAGATTTTAAGTTCCGTTATTTTATCCCACTCAGTATCACTTAAATTATTTTTTTTTCTATTTCCAGGGCCCCAACTCTATTCTTCACAACTCCACAACTGGGGGATGTCATAAACTCCTCACTGGTCTCTCTGTAATTCAGCCTGTAGAAAGTAGCCAGAGTAGTAAGAATAACTATCTCAATAATCATTTTCATCATAATATATTACAGTTATCCTACCACTCAAAAGCTTACATTGCTCTTCATTGCCTACAAAATCAAAAAAAGTTCATAGCAATCAAGAACTGTCTGCCCTCCAACAGGAAATTTTCCTTTCTTCACACACATTAATGTGTTCAACCTCATCCGCTCTGTGCACTGGCAAATTGGATAGAATATGTAGGTAGTGGGAAGACCTCAACATTGTTTCCCATCCTTGCCTATCATCAGATGTATGACCTTGCTACTACCTTTTATCCATTCTGAGCTCAAGTTTATTCATATCTAAAGGGTATATGTGTTTATTTTCTACTACATTGACTTACTGTGAAAATTAAGACATAATTTAAGTAAAGCACCTGCCATATATTATATATATTGTACATTTTAACTATTACTATTTTATATATTTGCTCTGCCTAATTTCACAAAGGATTTGAGTAAACTATTAACTACATATACTTTCATTCATTTATGCAATCAATAAACATACACTGAGTACTTTTTTCGTTTTGGACACTATGTTAGTTAATTGGGATACAAAGAAGAATACGACATAGGCCCTCACCCTGAGAAACTTCACATAGGCACAACGTATAAAAATACAAACAGAAAGCAATGTGAGTATCTAGGAAAAGCAATACACTGTGTATTAGAGGATTGGTGAGTAAAGACTCCTAAACTGCCAAGATTTGGGAGCTGGGTCAAGGAAGATGGAACAGAATTTCAATCATTGGGCAAAGATGAGTAAAAGCTATGAAGGCAAAGAAAGAAAACAGAAGGCTATCACAAGTAGATGAATAGAATACTATAATAGTCATTATTATCATTATTAATTATTAAAGGCCTACATCAGAAAACATTGCTCAGTTCCAAGCTAACTTCTGGTTACCTTACTTACAGCAAATTGTGTATTAAATTCTGACTTTGCCCCAATTTATCTGTGACAGAGTCCTTACAACTATGCCCACACCTTGGTCCCTGGTGCTCTCCTCTCTGAGCTAGTTCTCAGCTTCTATATACCTCAGAATTGTGTTTTAAGTTCCCGAAGTCCTTCCTTCTTGGGTTCCTTATTCATCTTGCTTGCTTACCCATTTTGTTTCTTGTCTTCTCCTTGACCACACTGGCCTCCCAGGGTTTTGAATTTAGCCTGTCTTCTGGGAATACTTCCACCAGAGTAGGATCTTCCCAACCACACACCCCTGTGTGTATGACTTCAGGTCTCAGTTTAAATGCCACCTTTTCAAAGAGCATTTCCCTACCCACTTTCTTTCCTCACCCCCAAATTTTAAAGAACAAGTCAGTCTCTTCCTTCCATTATTATTCACTTTCATTTTTTGCATTGCAATTTTTATATGGTGATGTTCTCATTTGTTTCTTTGTTCTCTGTTTATTTCTCATTCCTTCTGCTAGGATATAAGTTATATACAGTTTGGGGCCTCACCTCTTGTGCCTAGAACACTTCTTGGAACATAATAAATGATCAATAAACATTAGACTAATGAATGAAGAAGTGAATCACTACCTCTACGCTGGCAGCTGACTCCTAAATTTCTGCCTTTCAGACTCTCATAGCCACTAGATTTCTGTTTCACTAGACTCTTAGTTTTAAAATCTCAAGACCTGCCCATTGGTTGTCACACAAGTCCCTACATCCACACGAGCCTAAATTCAACCTTCTCCATCCCAACTCTTAACTCATATTTTATTGATCAGCAATTTGACCCTCTTTTTACTTTAGCTAACAATATTTAATTGTCATCCTTCAACCAAATTTACTAATAGCATAAACTATTACCTAGACTTAGCTATAGGAGTATAATTTATTTCCATTATTACCTTAAGGTTCTGGTTTAAAACTCCACTATTCTCAACATTTTTCTCTAACCACCTTCTAAGAACAGTTTCTTGTCATTAGGCCCTTTATCAGTTTATTCAAGCTGAACCAAATTGTAATTATTACGGTGTTGATTTTATTTTTTAATGTCACCGAACATAGATATTTCTTTTCCCTTGCTATACTGTAAGAGTTTTAAATTAGAGATTACTATTTTTTAATCCTTATATTTATCTTCCATCACAGTTTCATGATTTCTTCTCAAGAGATAAAAAGTAAACACTTTCAAATAAAACTGTATTCCAATTATGACTGACATTATACAGCTTTGTTGTGACTAATCAGAGTGTCTGAATTTCACCAAATCCCAAAGCTCGTCACCTCTTCACTGCAATAATTATGTATTAGCATGTATTTCTTATGTAAAGAAACTCCTTTTATTCTCCTCAACCAAGACAGTGGGCTCCTTGAAGGCAAAAGCCACCTCAATAATTATGTATTAGCATAACTCCTTCTCTTCTCCTCAACCAAGACAGTGAGCTCCTTGAAGGCAAAAATCACAGCTCATTCATCTACGACTCTCTAATAGCTAACACATTGGTTGGCATATTGCAAGGGTTTAACAAAACTCTATTGAAGACCTAAGTAAATTAATTGTGTTTCCAAAGGTATCGCGGAGCACAGTAGATCTTTCACTCCACCAGTAGCCTGGAATGTGATGCTGAAGTGCTGGCTCAATGGTCAGGTGCAGATGGGTTTGCTGTGGACCCTGTGCTTCAGTACCGAGATGTAAAGGGTGCAACATTCTTCTTAACTTTCTTTCACTTGTTCTTGCAGAATGTCCATTCTTTCCTCAATGGAAAGAAAATTTGATTTGTAATATTTTAAGTGCTTTTTCAATTTACATGGTTCAAAGCCTTATAATCTATTTTTCTATATTTGGTAGCAAAGCAAAAGGAAGAATTGGTTGTACGTTTAGACTTAGAAGAATTGATTGTATGTTGTAGCAAAGAAGGAAAGGGGTGAAAATGATATGTTCCTGAGCAGGATGCTAAAGCAGCCACGTCTTAGGAACAAAAGAATCAGAAAACAAAGGAGGGACTGACTCACTTCCATCATTTAAGAGGCAGAGGATGAGAATTAGGTAAGGCTCAAAGTCAGAGAGGAATTAGTAACAGCTTTTACTTGAGGTTGGATGAGTGAACTCTTAACTTAGGGCTCATTACATTTCCTTGATTTGGTTCCAGCATCTGAAACAAAGCCAAGTACTGTACACAGGGTCAAGTAGGTCCAGGTGTAAAGATTGGAGAAAAACAATAACAAGGAGACAGGCAGGACATCATCTTCTTGGGTGCACTCATAGATTTCATCATACCCATTTGAGTCCTCTGTTTATCAGGCTTATTTACTGTATTTCTCTCTTCCCACATAGGTACATACGTGTGGCGCTATACTTCTTTTCTTGCCAGCTTATTTCAGCCTATTTTTAACCATGTACATTTTCATTGGATAAGAATTTATTATAGTATATGTTGATTTGCATCAGCATTTTATTATTGGAAATTTAATAGCATTTCTTATTCTGGCAATGTATTAATCTCATTGTGGTTTCTATGTAGTACCAGAATCTTTTTTTATAAACTGCTAATCCTTCAGTTGATTGAATATTACAGTTTATATAGATTACATCACTGAATGTTAGTAACTGAACTATGTAGATGACTTCGGCTTTAATCTCTTCAATAAGGTTTTGTGTGTGTGTGTGTGTGAGAGAGGCAAGGTACCTTCCCAGAATTTAGCCAAACTTATTTTCTAATACAGTTTCATTTTTCATGTTGATTCATACTTACATCTTCTCTTTTTTGGTTCATTCCTTCCCTGCAGAATTTTGGCCTCATTCTAAATTCAAGACATACGAATTATTTATCTTGGAATCTTTTAAAAATTATTGTGGTTTAAAAGATTTCAGTAGCAAGACGTTTTCGTCACTGTGAGACAATCCCTCACTTAGAGCAGCATTAGTCTCCACATTGCTAACTCGCCATGCTGTATGTTTTTCCCTTAACAAAACAAGCAAAAATCACTCATGGGTTACCACAGCCCTCCTCATTTTTCTTTCTGTGAAAATTCACTTCTACATCCAATAAGCCTTATTCAACTCTATTACACAGTAATTACTCAGCAGTATTCAAAATAAAGAATGACTTAACACTTCCCTTCCAATAGTTCATAAACTAATTGAGGACATAAAAATACACACGCATGCGTGCACACACACACACACACACAAATCTATGAAAAAAAAGTTGTAATAATAAATATAATAATAAAATAACACACTTTTTTTGAGACTGGGTCTCGCTCTGTCACCCAGGCTTGAAGTCCTAAGCTCAAATGATCTGCCCACCTCAACCTTTCAAGTAGCTGGGACTACCATGGGCCATTATGACCAACTTCCTTTTTGTTTTTTTTTTTTTTTTTTTGGAGAGAGGGGATCTTGCTTGTTGCCCAGGATCATCTTGAATTCTTGAGCTCAAGTAATCCTACTGTCTCAGCCTCCCAAAGTGCTGGGAATACAGGCTTGAGCCACTGCCCCTGGCCAGTAATAAACACTCTTATGGAGTATGATAATAAATTTTATATGATTTTGACTTTGTGAAATGATACCCACATAGGTAATAAAACATTATATCTGGGTGTGCCTGTAGGGTGTTTCTGGGAAAGATTAGCATTTGAATCAAAGCACCCAGTAAGAAGATCTGCCCTCACTTATGCGGGCAGGGATCAGCCAATCCATAAAGGGCCCAAATAGAACAAAAAAGTGGAGGAAGAGTGAATTTGCTCTCTCTTCCAGAGCTGGGACATCCACTTTCTTCCACCCTGGGACCTCAGAGATCCAGGTTCTAGGGCCTTTGGACTCTGGAACTTACACTAGCAGTCCCTCAGCTCTCAGGCCTTGAGTCTTGGAGTGGAAGTTATACCACAGGCCCCTCAGGTACTCAGCCCTTTGGTCTTGGACTGAATTGCACTACTGGCTTTCCTAGTTCTCCAGCTTGTAGATGGCATATTGTGTGACTTCCTGGCCTCCATAATCATGTGAACCAATTCTCATAATAAATCTCTTCCTATATATCTACATACAGTCATCCCTCACTGATCCATAGGAGATCGGTTTCGGGACTTCCCACAGATACCAAAATCTGCAGATGCTCTAGTCACTGATATAAAATGGTGTCATGTTTGCATATAACCTACACATATCCTCTTGTAACCTCTAGATTACCTGTAATACTTAATACAATGTAAATGCAATATAAATTGTTGTTGTATTGTTTAGGGAATAATAACAAGAAAAAAGTCTGTATATCCTCAGTACAGACACTGTAGTGAAACTACTCTGGTTTGTAGAGTGAAGAAGGAAATCTAAGAAATTACTCTTATGAAGCTAGCTTCATAGACATAATCTCAAACATATTTTTTTTTTAATTTCAAACATATTGAAATGCATGTATATTCCTAAATTTCACCGTGGATATCTCCACTGATAACTACCCTTACGCTGACAAGACAGTAAACAATAACTTCACAATTCTCCAGCTGAAACTAAATCATAACTAGCCTCTAAAAAAATTTCATTAATTAGTATATGCCTCTAGTCACAACCAATTGTTTCTTTCTCCTTAATTCAAAGCAAATGATTTTTATAACAAATTTCCCATTATCACATTGTTGCTATATTCCAGTTGATTTTCTGCACACAATTATAGTCCTCATCCTATTTTCTAGAGTCCTAAACTGAGGAGATACTATGTTCTAAACAATTACCCAATAGATATTTACTGAAACTCTGTGGTCTCAAAATCATTGACACTCTTTAAAATTATTGAGACCTTAAAAGAGCTTTTGATTGTATGGGTTATAGCTATTGTCTACTATAGTTGATATCAAGACAGAAAGATTTAAAACGATTGTCTATATATTTGTTTTTAAATAGCAATAATAAATCCATTGTATGTTAAACTTAATACACTTTTATGAAAAATAACTATATTTTCCAAACAAAGAAGACTTAGGGAAAAGAATGATATTATTGGACATTTTTGCAAATCTCTTTCCTGTGTGGCTGAGTAGAAGAGAGTTGGATTCTTATACTGTTTCTGTATTCAGTCAATTGCAATATACTGTTGTGGTTGAAGTATATGATTCAGAAAATCCAACCTCACAGATATGCTGTTGAAAAAAGAGAAGTATTTAACAGCCTTTTTAGAAAATTATCAGTACTCTTCTTTGATACCAATCAAAACTTGACAAGTGGCAATTTCTTAAAGGTGAGCTGAAATGTGGAATCTTAAACCAGATAGCAATTAACTTTTCGTGCTTTTTTACATTAGAATCCATTAGTCTGTCTTGTACTTGGAATAGATCTTTTAACTATGCATGACTTTGTAGCATAATGTGTTCATCATTTGAAAAATATTATATCTACAACTATCTGATCTTTGACAAACTTGACAAAAAAAAAGAAATGGGGAAAGGATTCCCTATTTAACAAATGGTGCTGGGAAAACTGGCTAGCTATATGTAGAAAACTGAAACTGGATCCCTTCCTTACACCTTGTACAAAAATTAATTCAGGATTGATTAAAGACTTACATGTTAGACCTAAAATCATAAAAACTCTAGAAGAAAACCTAGGCGATACCATTCAGGACATAGGCATGGGCAAGGACTTCATGTCTAAAACACCAAAAGCAATGACAACAAAAGCCAAAATTGACAAATGGGATCTAATTCAACTAAAGAGCTTCTGCACAGCAAAAGAAACTACCATCAGAGTGAACAGGCAACCTACAACATGGGAGAAAATTTTTGCAACCTACTCATCTGACAAAGGGCTAATATCCAGAATCTACAATGAACTCAAACAAATTTACAAGAAAAAAGCAAACAACCCCATCAAAAAGTGGGCAAAGGATATGAACAGATACTTCTCAAAAGAAGACATTTATGGAGCCAAAAAACACATGAAAAATTCTCATCATCACTGGCCATCAGAGAAATGCAAATCAAAACCACAAGGAGATACCATCTCACACCAGTTAGAATGGCGATTATTAAAAAGTCAGGAAACAACAGGTGCTGGAGAGGATGTGGAGAAATAGGAACACTTTTACACTGTTGGTGGGACTGTAAACTAGTTCAACCATTGTGGAAGTCAGTGTGGCGATTCCTCAGGGATCTACAACTAGAAATACCATTTGACCCAGCCATCCCATTACTGGGTATATACCCAAAGGATTATAAATCATGCTGCTATAAAGACACATGCACACGTATGTTTATTTCGGCACTATTCACAATAGCAAAGACTTGGAACCAAGCCAAATGTCCAATAATGATAGACTGGATTAAGAAAATGTGGCACATATACACTACGGAATACTATGCAGCCATAAAAAATGATGAGTTCATGTCCTTTGTAGGGACATGGATGAAGCTGGAAACCATCATTCTCAGCAAACTATCGCAAGGACAAAAAACCAGACACCACATGTTCTCACTCATAGGTGGGAATTGAACAATGAGAACACATGGTCACAGGAAGGGAAACATCACACACCGGGGCCTGTTGTGGGGTGGGGGAAGAGGGGAGGGATAGCATTAGGAGATATACCTAATGCTGAATGACGAGTTAATGGGTGCAGCACACCAACATGGCACATGTATACATATGTAACAAACCTGCACATTGTGCACATGTACCCTAAAACTTAAAGTATAATAATAATAAAATTTTTTAAAAAAGAAAAACATTGGTTCGTTTAGTTATGTAACTCTTTAAAATATTGACATATTTCATTTATTTCAGGTTCTTTTGTTTTCTGTCTCTGCTGCTTGAATAAGAGAAATTACACATTTTATTACAGAAAATGAAACATCATGTTTGATAATATCACTACTAGTTTCATCAGGAAAGTCTTTAAGTATTTAAAAACTATCAAGACCATAGTGGAAGATATTGGAATATTGGAAGTTTCTCAATATTCTAACTTTCATGTGAAACCTCAAATGTTATTATTGGCAACAAATCCTGTTAGTTGTTTCCTTGAGGTGACAACAGACTCATTCCATTATTTTTTGAGAAAATGTCTGCCAAATACTAAAGTCTAAATAACCATAGTTTGTCTGTCACTTGGTCTTTCAAAATGGTATTTCATAAAAGATGGCTCACAGCTCAATTACATACATGCTTTTCCTAAAAACAGCACCATGCTTTAGTGTGACGCAAGTGTTTCATGCATTCTTCCCTTCCATCACACAGAATATTAAAAAGATATGTACTCAACAGTTGGGATTTAATAATGTTACTAATTTTTAGTAGTTCTCAAGGGCATTTTTTTTCTTTCTTTCGTTTTTTATGTTTGTTTGTTTTGTTTTGTTTCAGACAGGGTCTTGCTTTGTTGCCCAGGCTGACTTCTGGACTGCAGTGTCACAATCACAGCCCACTGCAGCCCTCAAACTCCTGGGCTATGGGTGCACACTACCAGGCCCAGCTAAATTAAAAAATATATATATAGATATAAGGTCTCACTATGTTGCTCAGGCTGGTTTCAATCTCCTGGGCTCAAGCGATCCTCCCACCTCAGCCTCCCCAAAGTGCTGGGATTACAGGCGTGAGCCACCATGGCTGGCTCTCACGAGCATCCTATTCTTTTCTTTTAATTGATATTGTGTGGTGGTAAATATGCAATGACTACTAAAACTGGCACCAGTACTTCTAATAAAGAGTCCAGTGACTACTAGCGATGGTAAATAATGATGGCAAGGCAAATAATACCTAAATATTATGAAGATATTTTGCCTTATGAACCTCCTGATAAGATTTTGCAGACTGCCCAGGTATCCACGTGTCACCTTCTTAGAACTACTGCTTTAGAGCCTTCTGATGATAGCTAATGCTTATGGTCCCTTCCCATGTGCCAGCTGCTACTCCAAGTGCTGAGTTACTTTATCTGAGTAAGTGCCGAGATACTTAATCTGAATTTAGCATCTCTTTTTCTTTGATAAGAAACATGAATGTGTCCCAAATGAAGGAAGAGAGAATAGAGGAGGGACTATAATATTAAAATATTTTTCAACAGAATACATTGAATAAATGGCTTTCAGTAACTTGAGATCTAAAATATTTACTTTTAAATGATATGCACTGGCAATCTATAATAAAGTCAACATTTTTGTGGGACTTTAACACAAATTCCTCAATTGGCAAAGAAATTTACCAAAAATTTTAGCAAAAATTATTCCTACTTGGCGATATAGCACTTTTAGGAAGATCTGGTTCCTATTCTCAAGTTTATGTAAACTTAGAATCAAATTGTAGCTCCAGCTTTGCCACTTTCTTCAAGTGTTGCGTAATGCAAATCACTAAGTTTTAGGAGCTTTAGAGAATTAACACAAGAATTTAAAAGGACAGAAAATGATCTCACATCTTTGTCCATTAGAAGACCCAAAGCTGGATCAAATTCTAAGCCAACAGTTATCAGAAATGCTATTGGGTCTGACGTTCCCTTCTGGAAGCGGCCAGAAAGAGACCACTTTTGGTCTTTGGTCCCTACTTATAGGCATTGGAAAAATAGAAAAGGCTCTTAGATTCTCTAGAGACGTGAGTGTATACCAACCCCACTAATCTGACTGTCAAAACAATAAACAAAAACCCAACAAATAAAAAACGAATTTCACTGTATTTAGCATATATCATTTCATCTATCTTGTTTACTAACCTTAGTTTCTGTGTCTGTAAAATTGATCTAATATAATTGGCCTAAATAATTTAGTATAATCCAAGACTGACGACATAATTCCAAGACAACACATTCATTACTGGAATTGCTTTGATGTTATAAAAGCTAAGAGTAAAAGATAAGAATGGGCCAACTTCTCAAACCAACTTCTAAGCTTTCCTGAAATTACCAATTTTCCTTGTAATCTGAGATGAAGAAACATAGCATATCATCAGTCATAATAACTGATGGAAAAGGCCTGGAGACTTGGGAGTAAATGCTCAAGGATAACGACATAGCATTCTCCCGCAGGTCAGCAGGGGGTGTCACATCACCAGCCTTTGTGTTGTCGTCCAATAAGCTCCTATAGCTGTAGAAGAGATCTTTAAATAAAGCATTCAAATGAAACATCCACAGCAGCTCTTCTCACTAGTTTCCTCCATTCACTTAATGTGTTATTTTGACTTTCAGGCTTCTCTTCCCAGAAGTCTGCAGAAAAGTAATATATTACTACATACACATTTCAAATTCTCAGCTTATATTTTATGAGTATGTCTTTATCACTATCGAAAAAAATCAACCCATTTTGAAATAAGATTGAATCAGATTTCTCATGCTTTTCAAAAGAAACAGAAAACTATCTGCTCAAAAATAAACAAAACTATAGAATTTTTCACATGACAAGGAACATATAGGCTAAATGCGGTGGCTCACAACTGTAATCCCAGCACTTTGGGAGGCTGAAGCAGGAGGATTGCTTAAGCTCAGGATTTCTCAGCTGCAATGAGCCATAATGCACCACTGAACTCCAGCCTGGGCGACATATAATTATATATTTGTCCATAATGCAACTACTTTTAAAAGTAGTTCACACTGCTGCCTCTTGATTACCTACCTACACATCCAAACCCCTTGTGGTATTTTAAAATCCAGTATGCATATGGAACACACATAGCAGTGGAGATTTTTAGTGTCCTTGCATGCCCTTGAGAAAATACTGCGTAATAACCATGTCCCACCTTGAAACTGAAGTTTCAATAGTATTTACAGCATAGTTCATTAGGTTTCTGAATACCCTATTCAGTTATTTCAAAGCTTGTCCATGGTTAAAGAATAACAACATGACTATTTCCCTTTCCCCAAGGGAATTGTTTAAATTGCAATATCCTGTTTGGGGGATCTAGGACATTGACACCCATACTGAATAGCAAGCTTGTCCAACCAGCAGGCTGCCAACTTTGAATGTGGCCCTACACAAATTCGTAAACTTTCTTAAAACATTCTGAGATTTTTTTTTTTGCGATTTTTTTTAGCTCATCAGCTATCATTAGTATTAGCGTATTTTATGTGTGGCCCAACACAATTCTTCCTCTTCTAATGTAATCCAGGGAAGCCAAAAGATTCGACATCCCTGCTGAAAAGTAAAACCTCACTCTCTCAAAGTTGTAGTCTGGCTCTATTGTTCTAAATGGGGTCTCCTATGAGCTTTCAAAAATACTTCGATTTATAGACTGTTTTGAAATATAAATATATATATATATATATGACTTATTAGTTTCCAGTACATCTGGCTTATTAGTTTCCAGCATCAAGATGCCAGTAAGTTCTTATACTCATAGTTTATACCATGGTTTAAGCAGTATTATCTCAGAAGAACCAGACACAAACCAATTTTTTCTTTAGAAAATAATGACAATCAGTATGAATCAAAATAATCGAATTTGAAGTTTGGATGTTTGTCTTCAGGATCTCCAACTTCTTCATTATTATCTCTTCTCCTTCAGTAGCACCTATTCTTTCTTCTAGTGCTCACTAGGAAAACATTTTCTAATTCTATCCCTCCCTAAAGAAAGAGTAGGTTTAAAAAAAAGTGAATATGGACAGGTACTCATTTACAGCAACCTTTTAACTTCTATGAGTTACCAATTTAACATACAGATAGTCCCTTCTTTGAAAAGTAATTATAGGCCATAAAAAGCAGAATGTAAAGGGAGTAGGACGAAATAAGTCAAATACTGCTACAAAAGTTATGTCTAGGCCAATGCTTTCCTTCTCTCTATCTGCCACTGCTACCTCTTCTTTTCCAAGAACTTCAGATAGCTGGGATCCAAAGTCTACTCTCATTAAAAACACTCCCATGTCTGATCTGTGCTTCCTCCTTGAAGAGTCATATACTCTGATTTACAGAATAGTATCGTATTCTGTTTGGTAAGTGGTGAGGAGCTGGACCAGTTGGTGTTAGTAGGAATAAAGAAAAAGGGAACGTAATCTAATACAACTAAGGACGTAAAACCCGTGAGACTGGGAAACTGAATATGGAAGGTAGGAAGAAGAGAGAACTCTGGAAAAAATGTCTGAGTTTCCAGGTATATTTGCTTTCTGGGTAAATTTCTGCATATTTTTGTACCTGAGTTATACCAAGTATTCAATATGTACTTTGATTAAAGGATGAGTAGATGAATGGATGGATGGATGGATGGATGGATGGATGGATAGATTAATAGGGGTTAATTGTGACACCTTACACAGAGACATTAGACTTCAAATTAGAGGGAATGTACACAGATTTATTGCACAGATAAGATACTATCATTTGGTTCATCTAATTTTCATTCATACTCTCTAGCTACCCTCCACACTTGTTTAGGAAATTCTGATGTCCATATTCCTGGATTCATACCTTTTACTCTAAGCCAACAGCCTGAAAATGTTATCACACTTATTGGTATATTTTTAAAATTATCTCATGTTTTTCTTGCTCCTGGCAGACAAGATTTTATTTAGTTGATGACTTTTAACTTGTACTTTTTTAGCTGATGGTATGTTGATGGGAGAGATATAAGTTCACAGCTTTAATGTGAAATTTGGACAAGATATTATATCTTGACTCTCTCATTTCAAATCAAGGAAACAGGACACATTTTGGTGACAAATGTGGCAATGAAAATTATTAATCCACAATGAGCCTCTATTGCCTTATACAAGCCTATACAAAACTATAAAAACCCTTAACACACAATATTGAATCTAAACACAGCCTGTCAAACCCTGAAAGCATTTTGAAATCATTGATTTCATGGCTAAAAAAGAAATATGATGTTAATCATCATTTCCATTACTTAGAAAATACTACAATAATTAATAAAATCTTGTGGTATTTTAAATTTGTTATATATGAGGTATAGGGAATGTCATTTGTTCTACCTCCTTTCTGGAGTTCAGACCAAGAGATGATACATATTTGTACACATTTGCATCACTAGCTAAGTGAGAAACAAAGCAGCAGTTTTACTAATCTGTACAGTTACTAAGCACGGCTTATAAGAGCCCAAAACTGAGGCCCAAATTGGAACTCTTTCTCCCCTAAACTACGAACACCATGCCTACAGCCACTTGGTCACAGATAGGTGGAGCACAGTGAAAATGACTGCCTATTCTGCATAATAGGGGTCAGGGCTGGAAGTAGGGAAGGATTTGTCAGGCATGTCTAGTGCACAAAATTCACAAGCAAAAGAAGCAAGTGATGTCAAACACAAGGCAAATATCCTTTGCACCCTGATGTCACTCACTGGGAAAATGCAACCCAATCAGTGCATGTTAGACACTCAGAGTAGACCCTTCTTCCTAACAGAAGAGAGAGTACAGAGGGATGCAAGTGTTCTTTGAAAACTTCCTTAAATGAGGGTAGCTCAACCCAATGTGGAAACCAAACGGGAGGTATTTCCTCAACGTTAGCAACCAGGAATATCTGGTTTCTTTCTACATTTCAGGATTGGGGGATACTACCAAAGATCCTTAGAAAATCCTATGTAGCAGGTCAAGCCTCTTGGTCATTTGCTAAATGACAATTCTTTTATCACATAGACAAACAGGATATTATAAATTGCCACTGATTGCTCTTTTGTAACATTTCTGTTAGAGAAGACAAGAAGCCCTGCCTCTCAGAACCCCAAATGAGAAACAGGTTTCATAAGAGTAACATAAAAGTAACAGGTTTCATAAGAATGAACCTCTCCAACAGAGACAACAGCCTCACAGGCAGAGAGCTAAGGAATCAGAGTGGGTTATATTTGATCATTAGTCTTAATTTTATCTTGAGTAAAATGTAAAAGAAACAATAGTAAAAAAAAAACATTTTGTTTGATTATTTTTTTCCTTGGAGTTCTTGATATTTTGATATCCAAAATGCAAATAAATTCTTTTGAGGTTCAGTAAAGAGAATGGAGTTTCTTGGTCTGTGAACAATATTCCTTTAAAAAACAGGTTTGGCATAAATACATCACAAGGTAAGTTTTTTTTTTTTTTTTTTTTTTTGGTTTACTGGGCCTAGTAAAGAATGAAAAGAGAATTCATCATCAGTGTCTTTTGGTATTTTGCAACTAAGCTCACGTAGGTACTTCTATTTCAACATTTCTTGCATGTGTTTTGCTTGCAATGACTTCCCCTCCACCCAAGTTTTTATTAGTAGAAGAGTAAAAAGAATAAAAAATATATATACTATGTGGATTCAACTCATTGGTCACTGATTGTTGATATGTTTGTATTTAACTTTAAGATTGGACATTTAAAAATTATTTTTTGTTACACCAGGCATATTTCATAAGTTTTACATTTAGTAATATTTCTTTTTATTTTATTGTCCAACACTGGACTTGTTCTGACTCTAGCAGGGCATCCAAGAAACAAATTGTAATAAATAATTTTAATGTTTTATGGTATATTAATTTTATATTAAAATATAACATTTGGTATTTTTGCCCAAAATTTTGTTTAGTTATTTCAGATGCAAGATGAAAGTGTGTGTGTGTGTATCATATATATATATATATATATATAGAGAGAGAGAGAGAGAGAGAGAGAGAAAGATATTACATCTCTCTTGTTTTACTTGTTCCTTATTTAAGTAGTATTTGTTAAACATATTGCTCTTTTTTCTCCTTATTTAAAATAATTTCATAGTCTTCAAGGTCTGAAATATTCAGGACACTACTTTACTTCAAGAATCAGATCTCTTTCCAGATCCCTAAAAGACCAAAGTCAATGCAATAATACTCTAAGGAATTCATTCTTTGCTCAGTTTCTAATCCTACCTTGAAACAGACAGTCTCTGCTTTGAACCAGAGTTAATGAGAAAGGGGTTTTGAAATGAGGAAGGTAAGATATAATTCCTTGTCCAAATTTCATATTTCACATTCATTAACTTTTAACTTGTACTTTTTTGGCTGACGCTATGTTGATCTTGTCTGCCAGGAGCAAGAAAAATATGAGAGATAATTTTTTTAAAATACTTCAAATTGAATTGAATAAGTGTGATAACATTTTCAGACCGTCAGCTTGGAGTGAAAGGTGTGAATCCAGGAATGAGGACATGAGAAATTCTAAAACCAGTTTGAAAGAGGGCTGGAGGATATTAATGAGAATTAGGTGAACAAAATGATGGCATCTTACCTACACACAAAAAAATCTGTGCACATTTGCTATAATTTGAGGTAAAATTGTACTCATAGCAGTAACTAACAGTAACAGTGGCAGCAACTGCAGTGAACCAGCCTTTGTCATGCTTTGATACACAGCAAAGATTTGCAGAGATGTTGATCAAAGCCTCTCCTGACAATATACATTGCTATGCTTTGAATATCATGCAAGTTTTCATATCACAATCACACTTTTCCTGTAAAATAAAAAAATATTTTCTATCAATCACATTATACTTGTAGAGTACCTGTATATATTGGTTGTGCCAAAGTATGGTAAACTCATTAGATGATTACACTCTTGCTTACATTGTAAGACGCAAATTTATCAAATAAGAATAATTGTGTTTTACAAAAGGAAAAGCTAGAATACAGATCAAAAGTTCTCTCTTTATTAATGTCTTTCACGTAGGATTTTTTTCTAAGTATGAGAAGGGGAAATGTGGGCGAAAAAGTAAGATTCTATGAGTAGACAAATAATTTGACTTATACTGTGATTGTAAGAGTAAAGTTAGCTCAGGAAGGGAGAAAAGAGGGCAGACAGGGGAAAGGAAGGGAAAGAGAAGAAAAAATGGTATAGGACAACCCAGAGATGAACAACAGTGATCTTTTTAAAAACAGGGCCCTAACTTTATTCAACCTTATAATACTATGAATAAATAAAAATGTATTATTTACTGAGTGGCTAATGTGGACTTTCAGAGTTGAAAAGGGATTAGGTGATCCCTGAATTTCCCAGCTCAGTAATCACTGGCATCATTTGGCATTATTTTAATTATTTAACAGCAATATAATCAACCACTCCAGATTAATATCTTTATTTACTCCACTTCTTATTCTATGTAATCACTCTTCTAACAGAAGAACATGTTTTTCAGGTCATCGATGCAGAATTAAATCAACAGCCAAAACGTACAACATCTCATTAGCTTACAAGACATTTCTATCCCTATCAAATCAATTGGGAAAAAAGAATTAATGGTTGGGAACTCTAGTTATTTGACTGTGATTTCCTCTCATAATAAACCATCTACTCAAAATGTCCTGCATTCTTATAATGGGAAACTTGTTTCACCCCAAAGTATCTACAAGGTTATACTTAAGAAGTGTTTGTACAGAGTGTGTCTGCATTTGTTTTATCAATAGAGTTAACAGTAAGACTGATATTTAAATTGAGGGTTCTGGATTATTGAGATATTTAAATGACAAAATGGTTAAAACACTTGTGGGAAGTCATCTGTATAAGAAATGTAAAGCCCTGATTTGAGGCAAGCTTACCTTCAAAGATTGCCTCCAGTCACCTGAGCCTCTCCTTACTTTTCCTCATCTATTATGCTATCTTCTCTGATCCAGCTTGCTCATCATCACAATATATATATCTTTACCCTATTGTGGTCAGACACTTCTGTTAGGAAATTATCTGATTCATATAGTCACACAAGGTATATTTCAAGGATTAGGTTTTTATTAATCACCATTCCTAGAAGTATTTGCATCAAGAAATATAAGCTTTAGTATAAGAAAATTTGAAGCATTGTAGGTGAAAGGGTTGAGGAACTGGGTAGAGGCAGTGACAGAGAAGAAGAAATACTAAGTGGTGGCCCCAGGTGCATTTCACAGAGATGATGACTAGAACATGTATGCAAAGTCTTTAGAGGTTTCAGAGCTGTTTTCTAAAAACATCTAGAAATTGAGGTAGTGTGTACAGTATAAAGAAGCCTCCCAAAATAGCAAATATGACAGCTCAAAGGCATACTGCACTAGTGTCTCCTGCCTAAATCAAAGTTTGGCTTCTGAGACTGATAACATTTCCTACTTCCAGACACTGTCAAGAGTTTCCTTTATATATCTAAATGTCGTCATTTAAAATGAGCTATGGTTTCCTACTCAAACTCCCACAGAGGCTTTGGCCTTGATAAATAATCATTTGAAAGAGACCAGTTTTCTTCTCAAGAGATTTAAAAGCTAACAAAGATGAATAAGGTAAGTAAATATTTACTGATGTTTTGGAAACCGGAAAGCAAGCTGAACCTATTGAGTGGGTAGATAATACAAGCATGATAATAATATGACATTAAGGTTTTTTAGTTACATGAGCTATTGGATTTTCTGTTGGCTTGATTTACTGTGTTTGAGGAATTCTAATTTTTTCACTCAAGGGTCTGTTTCCTATTTATGATTATATAATCTCATTAATAAATAACAACACCTTTGCTACTCCATGAAAAGTTCATAATATAACGGAAAAAAATGTAGAAAACCAAAAATACAAAGAAACACACCTGACCCACACATGAACTCATAAATGACTAAAGCTCTGGGGTGCTTCACAAAAATATTTGATGAGCAGAAAGGGAAAGAATTAGCAGGTTGGCAATAGAAGCCAAAGGAATTGTTTACTGCAGTGACTGACGTGAATAGGAAAAGAAAGACAACTTTGACCAGGATTCATGAAGGAGTGGAGTATTAATTGGGGAATTTTTATTTTATTCTTCCACCTTAACATGAAAGTCCAGAAAATTTATTATAATTTTGTAAATGGCTACAGTTAGTCTTGTATTTACTTTTGACACAGTAATTACTCATTGTAATAAACAGGGATTTTTTTTCCCGTTTATGAGATTTAGTAGGTTAAAAGTCTTTCTCCCTTATTGACCTTTGAAGGTATCTAAAATTCCAAGCTTCAGGCCTATGCACTTACTTCTCTACTTGACATCGCCACTTAAATATCTTTAGGTAGATGATGGACAGATAATAGATAGATAGATAGATAGATAGAAGAAGAGGAGATTTATTGTGGGAATTGGCTCATATGTCATTCACTGAGAGAGGTGACACCAGGAGAGAATCAGCTATGAGACAAAAGTTACAGCTTTAAGGACCGGTCATATTGAATTTGAGGCTCAATATGAGTCTCAAATTCAAGTGTCATTCCACTTACTGTTCCTTCTGCCTAGGACATTTCTTACATGCTCTTACACCATATTGAATTAATGAAATTCAATGCATATGCCATATCAAATGCATATGCCATTCACTGAGAGGTAACACCAGGAGATGACCAGGTATGAGATAAAAGTTAGTTTTAAGTGCTGGTCATATTGAATTTGACCAGCACAAAAGCAATTTGAATTTGATTATGACCAGTACTTAAAACTGTAACTTTTATCTCATACCCAGTCCTCTCCTGGTGTCACCTTTCTCAGTAAGTGGCACATGCATTTGATTGTCATCCTTGACATCTCATCCCTTGACACTCTCCATCACTAAGCCATTGATATTACCTCTAAAGTACCTTTTTAAATCTATGTACATCTCTCTCTCTCTTTCTCCCCACTGTCACCACCTTAATTCGAATAACAAGGTCTCCTACAGTAGCCTTCGATCAATTTCCAAGACTAGCCCTGCTCGCTACAATTGATTATCCCATAAAGCAGTCTTTGTGAGCTACCTCAAATACACATCTCATCAAATTATCTCTCCTCTTAAAACTCTTAAAAGGTAATGCATAGCTCTTCAGATAAAGAGCAGACTCCTTAACATGCCCTCTGAAGCTCTGAGTGAGGCAGCCCTGGATCACCTCTGCCTTAGCCTACTTGCCTGCAACTTTCTTCCTCACATTCTTTATTCAAATATAGTGGCTTCCTTCAGATTTTGAATATATCATGATACTTTCACTATAGGGCCATTCCACTTACTGTTTCCTCTGCCTAGGACATCTCTTACATGTTCTTTCACCTAATAACTTATAATTTTCTCTCAAATTGTTCCAACAGCTCTTCCTCAAGAAATGTTACTCCTCTTGACAAATTGGACCATATTCCTATGTCTTTAGTGACACTTAAAACTATTTTTAATCTATGTACTTTCTTGGGTATTGTCTACCTACCACACAATAAGTTTCATGAGGGCAAGGACTATTTCTGTTTTTGCCGGTTCTTCTCTTGAGCATTCAGTTCAATGATTAGCAAATACTGGGTACTCAAATGTATTGTGGAATGAATCGAGTGTATGAATAAATGGATGGATGGATGATTGAAAGAAAGAACATTGTCTTCAGATGTCAAATATCTAAAGTCATTAAACCAATCATTTCCCAGGAAGAAAGAAAGATCCTGAGAGAATGGAATCTGTTGCAATGGTATAGAGAAAATAAGTGAATAACACAGAGAATATTTGCAGTTACTCTTCCTATTCCAAATGTATTCACCTTTTCTGAGAGCATCCTCTTCTTTGGGGAATTTATCTTTTCTTTACTGTGTGTGATTATATGTGACTATATGTCTGGGAGGTTTTCTCTCATTATGGGAGTTGGGGAGTCTATATCTTTTTCCCCCAACTCCATGGTATAGCCAGGGAGTGAGAATATAGCCTAAGCTTGAGAAATTAGAGTCTTGAGATTTTTGACTTAAGCAAGAGTGATTTGAAGGTTAATTTTAGTGAAAACTTGGATAGGCTAAGGAATGAACAGATACAGCTCATAGAACGTTATTTCTGGGTACGTCTGTGAGGGTGTTTCTGGAAGAGATTAGCATTTGAATCAGTACACTGAGTAAAGAAGTTCTGCTCTCACCAATGCAGGGTATTGACACCATCTGAACTGTTGAGGGCCCAAACAGAGTAGAAAAAAAAGGCAGAGGCAGGATGAATTCTCTCTTTGTACTAGGATATCCATCTTCTCTTGCCCTTGAACTTTGGGGTTCCTACTTATAGGACCCTGGGGCTCTGGTACTCACACCAGTGGATGACAGGCCTTTGACCTCAGACTGGGAGTTACACTATTGGCTTTTCTGGTTCTCAGGCTGTAGAACTCAGACTGTATTATACCACCTACTTTCCCTGTTCTCCAGCCTGCAGATGACTATTGTGAAATTTCTCAGCCTCCATAATCATGTGAGCCAATTCCTACAATAAATCCCCCATTCCATTCTATTCTATTCTATTCTATTCTATTCTATTCTATTCTATTCTATTCTCAATCAATCAATCAATAATCTATCTGTCTGTCTGTCAATCTATCCAACCATCTATCTATCCTGTTGGCTCCCTTTCTCTGGAGAGCACTGTCTAATCCAAGCCACAAAGGCAAAGAGAATGGCTGAAGGTCATTCATCTGGATAGCAGTGTTAGAGTGTCACCCTGAAGACACTATTCCGACTGCAAGATGGCGGCTTTGTTTCCTGTTCATCAGTTTGACGGATCTCCTTTGCTCCTATACATTGCCAAACCCAAATGTCCATCACTGATTGATTCTGGGGATGTTGCCTGTTTTTGCAGTAAGTTTCTCCTTACTTAATTTACCAGAGTCTGTTTCTGTTGCTTACAACCAAGAACTCTAATGCAGACAGGAAAACAGGATGCTTTGGAAGTCTGGGAAAGAGTATGACGGCACCCAACAAGCACCTATGAAATTTCCACTATTGTTGAAAATAAAAAAATGATTCCTACTCTTGAGAGATAGATTTTGAAGGAAAAGAAATACAGCACCTACAGATATCTGCCATCCTAGGGATGAGAGAATCAGTAAAAATAGAGTGACACCAGGGAAGCAACTATTAAGTAACCATTGCCTGAGGGGTATTAAACGTGTCATCCCAGAGGTAGAAAAGCAGAAAGATATAAGTTCAGTGGATGATAAAGTAACAATTCCGACTGCAAGATGGCGGCTTTGTTTCCTGTTCATCAGTTTGACGGATCTCCTTTGCTCCTATACATTGCCAAACCCAAATGTCCATCACTGATTGATTCTGGGGATGTTGCCTGTTTTTGCAGTAAGTTTCTCCTTACTTAATTTACCAGAGTCTGTTTCTGTTGCTTACAACCAAGAACTCTAATGCAGACAGGAAAACAGGATGCTTTGGAAGTCTGGGAAAGAGTATGACGGCACCCAACAAGCACCTATGAAATTTCCACTATTGTTGAAAATAAAAAAATGATTCCTACTCTTGAGAGATAGATTTTGAAGGAAAAGAAATACAGCACCTACAGATATCTGCCATCCTAGGGATGAGAGAATCAGTAAAAATAGAGTGACACCAGGGAAGCAACTATTAAGTAACCATTGCCTGAGGGGTATTAAACGTGTCATCCCAGAGGTAGAAAAGCAGAAAGATATAAGTTCAGTGGATGATAAAGTAACAATATACATAACTTACCTAAACTTTTCAATTGTGTTTAGAGCAACTGTCTTTTAGGAGTTATGCATATTTCATAACAGTTGTTTATCACATATATATGGAAAAAGTGGGGGAAATAAAAAAATCATTTCTATCACCCAGGAGGTCATAATTATGACTGATGAGAATATTTAAAATACAATGTGTTTATTCATAAACTATATATCTATAAGGGACTTGCACCCAGAATATATAAAGAACTCATAAAATTTGATAATAAAAGTCAAACAACCCAATTTAAAAATAGACAAAGGATTTGAATAAACATGTCTCCAAGAAGATATGCAAATGGCCAATAAGCTCATGAAAAAACACTCAAAATCGTTAGTTATTAGGGAAACGTATATCAAAATGACCATGAGATACCACTTCATATTCAATAGGATGACTTATCAAAATGATGACAATAGCAAATGTTGGCAAGGAGGTGGAGAAATTGGTACTTTTATATACTGCTGATGGGAATGTAAAATGGTGCAGTCACTTTGGAAAACAGTTTGGCAGTTCTTCGTAATGTTACACATAGAGTTATTATATGACTCAGAAATTTCACTTGTAGATATCTACCCAAGAGAAAGGAAAAGGTGTTCACAAAAAGGACTTGCACATAATGTAAATAGCAGCATTCTTCATAATAGCCAAAAAACAGAAACAACCCAAATTCCCATCAACTGATAACAAATTGTGGTATATCAATACAATAGAATATTATCTGGCAATAAAAAGAAATAAAGTACTGATACATACTACAACATGAATTAATCTTGAAAATATTATGTTAAGTGAAACAAAGCTGGCCACAAAAGACCACATATTGTCTGATTCCATTTACATGAAATGTCCGGAATAGGCAAATCCATGAAGACCAAAATTAGATTAGTAGTTATCAGGGGCTGGGGAGAGGATAAAAATTGAAAGTGACTACTAATGAGTACGGGATTTCTTTTGAGTGCTTAAAATGTTCTAATGTTAGATTGTAGTGGTTGCACATTTCTAGGAATATATTAAAAACCACTGAAGTGTACACTTTGAAGGAGTGAATTTCATGGTACATGAATTATATCTCAATAAAACTACTATAAAAAACAAATGAAAGGTACTAATAAGTGCAAAGCTATTAACATGTACAACATGCTGGAGAGGCATGGACGGGGAAAGGGCTGGGACAGGTAAGCCTTCATGGGAGAGATGTTAAATCATGAATGACTTGTGTTTCACCCAACCTTACCTGTCAACATGTAGAGAGTCAGTTCTATCAGGCTTTGGCTGCCCAGATACATAAATATTAAACAATAATTATTGTATTGAGTTTTGAATGGAAAATATGTTCCAGAACTCTCAAGCATATCAATCTCAAGAGATTAAGCTTCAGGCAAATCCAATCTCCACAGCCAGATCTCTAATAAAGGGCACTAGTGCAGTTTAACTACACCTGAGTTTATTCAATGATGTATTTTTTTCTCTATTCAGACTCACAAGCACAAGAATTGCCAAAAGACAAGAACCCCTCAAACAACATTTTATTCTCACAGGATGTTGAATGAGTAGATGTTAGAATCCACTTCACTTATCTTGTTCACTGTGTAACCAAAATAATCCAGATCTCCAAATGCTTGTTCACTTACTCGAAACCTAAACAATATTAAACAGCACACTAAAGACAGGAAGTGGCTTCTGAAAATTGTTGCAGTTTTCAGGACTTTGCTACCACATTCAAGCTTTCACAGGAAAAAAAAATTAAAGTACCTCTTTTATCAATTCATATATCCAGAAATTATACCAAGAAATTTGCAGATTCCTTGTCTTCCCTTTATAGAATATTTCTGTATAAAGTGAAAAAATGTTTTAGACTGTAAGTTTTAGAGTTCATACACACCACTAGCCTAGGAAACAGTTTCTATGGTACTACTGGTTACTTATTAGTACTATTTGGGCAATGAGTAAATAACACAGAAAACAATGCAAAACACAATAGGATACTATAGTGGAATTTTTGTTGTAACCTAGGAAACTAAAAGCTTGCCAATCATTTCTCCTTGCGTGCAACTAAATCAAAGAGAACATGACAAAAATGTATTGAGGGGAAAAAAACCCCTTCACCACAGATTATATCTAAGTCTTATGACCTTAGCATTTACGGCAAAAGATACATCGTGTCGAAGATCATTTTGACCTGACCACAAAAGAGGAGTAAACTACAGAACAGGAAGAAATGTACCTTAGCAATAAAGACTCAGTGACCAATCCCTGAATGATATCCGGAAATTCTATTTTGTAATTGCATACAAGTGTGCTGAATCAGAGTTGAGGTTAGCCTATAATGATACACTAGCACAAAGGAGGTGATCCCCACTTTTCCACTGACTTACTAAGGTAGACTGTGTATGAACCTTTACCATCGGTATCAGTCATTCTCTGCTCTATATGAATCTCCCACTGCATGCGAAGAGTAGAAAAACAAGATCCTGAAGGGTTTGGGGTGGCAAGGGGCAAGAAAAAGCCTTTATGACAGTCTGCTAGCCTGGTAGAATATCTAATATTAATTTCCCATTAATATTTACTTTGTATTATTTTAAAAAATTACTGGGGGTTATTTTACTTTGGTGAATTAAGTACATCTTAAGGGTACAGTATCATCAGTTTCGACAAATGGATACACTCTTATAACTCGCATCCTATCAAAAAAAAACATTGTCATGACCGGAAAAAATCATTTTCTAGGAACCTCTTTCTGCCCAGGAGCATCTTTGTTCTAATCTCTATCACCATAATAGATTAATTTTTCCTGTTCTATGACTTCATATGAATATATTTTTTACTATAAGAATTCCTTCACTCTGAATAATTTTGTTGTATGTCTATAATTTATTCCTTTTGATAGTTGAGTATTATTCCATTATATATTTGTTCATTCATTATTTTGTGGATGGCAAGCTAGGCTATTTCTAGGTTTAGACTATCATAAATAAAGCCACTGTGAATGTTCTTGTACACATTTTCATAAACATATTTTTATTTTTCTTGAATAAAAACCAAAGAAGGAATGTGGGTCACAGGGGAGAAGTATGTTTAAATATTTCAGAAACTGCCAGTTTTTCAAAATGGTAGTATCATTTTACACTCCCAGCCAGAAATATATGACAGTTCTATTCACCTTACACTTTGTCAACATTAGATTGTGATTGTCACTCTTGTTTCATTTTAGACATTTTTTCATTTTATCCATCCATTTTGTAGATGTGTGGTGGTCTCACATGGTAGTTTTAATTTGAAGTTTTCTGATGATTAAGGACATTGAACACGTTTCCATGCATGTATTGGGCATTTGTATATCTTTCTTTGAGAAGTATCTGTTCAAGTCTTTTATTCATATTTTCACTCGATTGATTGTCTTTTAATCATTGAAACGTGTAAATTTGTTGTTTATTCTAAATATCATCTTTTTTTTTTTTTTTTTTTTTTTTTTTTTGAGACGGAGTTTTGCTCTTTCGCCCAGGCCAGAGTGCAGTGCCGCTATCTCGGCTCACTGCAAGCTCTGCCTCCCGGGTTCACGCCATTCTCCTGCCTCAGCCTCCAGAGTAGCTGGAACTACAGGCGCCCGTCACCACACCTGGCTAATTTTTTGTATTTTTAGTAGATACGGGGTTTCACCGTGTTAGCCAGGATGGTCTCAATCTCCTAACCTCGTAATCCGCCCGCCTCAGCCTCCCAAAGTGCTGGGATTACAGGCATGAGCCACAGTGCCCGGCCCCCTTTTTTCAAATGTATGTGTTGAAAATATTTTTCTCCCAGTCTGTGGCTTTCTTATTCATTTTATCAATAATGTCTCTTGATGAGCAGAAGCTTTAAATGTTGATATTAAATTTTTTATTATTTTAAGTATAGCTTTATTTCTGTGTCAACTCTAAGAAATGTTTTCCCAGCACAAAGTTGCAAATATATCCTGTTTTCTTCTAGGAGCTTCATAGTTTTGACTTTTGCATTTATGCCTATTATTCATTTCTAACATATGTGTATGACTTGAAGCAGAAATAAAGTTCTTTTATTTTTTCCATGTATATGTTCACTGGTTCCAGCACCATCTGTTGAAAACTAAAACAAACTTCTCTTAAAAATTTGTTTTGTTTCTTCGAGGTTTCCTGAATTTCTATAGAAATTTTATAATTACATTCTCAAATTCTGCTTTTTAAAAATTGACTAAGATTATGATTGCAGAGAATCAATAGACAAATTTGGGCAATGTGAAGGCAATTGAGCATTATAACAATATTGAGTCTTACAATTCAGGAACATGGTATGTCGCTCCATATATTAGCACTTTCTTTAATTTCTGTCATCAATATTTTATAGTTTTTAATATAAAGATTTTACACAACTCATTAAATTTATTTCTAAGTATTTTATGTTTTTTGATGTTATTGGAATGCTATTTTTTATCTAATGTTTGAATTTTGGGAATGTAGAAATACAATTTATTTCTGTATTTTGACTTTTATACTAAAAATTGCTAAATATATTTATTAGTTCTAGTATCTTTTTTATACATTACTCAGGAGTTTCTACATGTACAATTATGTTATCAACAAAAGAAAGCAACTTTATTGTTTTCTTTTTAATCTGTAAGTCTTTTATTTGTTTTTCTTGCCAATGGTACTAGATAAGACCTCTAGCACAATTTTGAATAAAATTTGTAAAAGTGCGAACCCTTTAGAAGAATGACAAAACAAACCATATACTGAAGAAAAGATTTGCAAAAGACATATCTGACAAAGGACTGTTACTCAACATACACAAAGAATTCTTAAAATTCAATAATAAGAAAACACACAACCCAATTTAAAAAATGAGCAAAATACCTGAACAGACACTTCACCAAAGAAAATGAGCACATAAAAAAGGTACTCCACATCATGTCATTAGGAAAAGGCAAATTAAAACAACAATGAGATACTACTACAAACCTATTAGAATGGCCAAAATCTAGAACAGTTACATCATCAAATGCTGGCAAGGCTGTGGAACAAGAAGAATGCTACTGAGAATGCAAAATGCTACAGCTACTTTGGAGGAGAGTTGGCAGTTTCTTACAAAACTAAACATACTCCTACCATACAATCAAGTAGTCACACTTCTTGGTATTTACCCAAATGAATTGAAACTTATGTCTACACAAAAATATGCACACGAATGTCTACAGCAGCTTTATTCACAATTGCCAAAACTTGGAAACAACCAAGATATCCTGCAGTAGGTAAATGGATAAATAAATTAGTACATCCAGACAATAGAATATTACTCAGTGATAAAAAGAAATATCCTATCAAGCCATGAAAAGACATGAAGGAAATTTAAATGCATATTACTAAGTGAAAGAAGCCAATCTGAAAAGACTACATACTACATTACTTCAACTATATGACATTCGTTGAAATGTAGGACTATGGAAACAGCAAAAGGATCAATTGTTGCCATGGATTGAGGGGAAGGGATGAATAGGCAATAGAACTATTCTGTGTGATAATTGATAATTTAATGGTGGATACATGACATACATTTGTCAACATTGATAGAATGTAAAACAGTAAATCGTAAACTCTGGACTTTGAGTCATAGTGATGTGTCAATATAGATTCCAAAGTCATAACAAATGTACCACTGGTGATGGATTTTGATCATGGGGGAGGCTGTGTATGTGTGAGGACAGAGGGTATATGGGAAATCTCTGTAGCTTTTTTTTTTTTTTTTTTTTTTTGAGATGGAGTCTCGCTCTTTCGCCCGGGCTGGAGTGCAGTGGCCATGATCTTGGCTCACTGCAAGCTCCACCTCCCGGGTTCACGCCATTCTCCTGCCTCAGCCTCCCGAGTAGCTGGGTCTACAGGCACCCATCACCACACCCAGCTAACTTTTTGTATTTTTAGTATAGAGGGGGTTTCATAGTGTTAGCCAGGATGGTCTCGATCTCCTGACCTCGTGATCTGCCCGCCTCGGCCTCCCAAAGTGCTGGGATTACAGGCGTGAGCCACCTGGCCCGGCCATCTCTGTAGCTTTCTTTCCATTTTTCTATAAAGCTACAACTACTCTAAAAAATAAAGTATATTTTTAAAAAGTGGACAACCATGCCTGTTTCTTCTCTTTGAGGAAGTGCGTTTGGCATTTCACAATTAAGAATGACATTAGCTCTAGAATTTTTGTACATGCCTTTTATTAGACTGAGATTTTTTCCTTCTTTTTATTTTGCAGAGTTCCTATCATGAAATGAAGATGAATTTTGATAAACGCTTCTTCTGCACCTGTTGAATTATCATACAATTTTTTCTCCTTAAATGAATATGTAAATAACATTGTTTGATTTTAATGTTAAACCAAAAATGTATTATTCTTTTTCTGTATTGCTGTATTTGATATGTTTATAATTTGTTGAGAATTGTGTATATGTTTATAAGAAATATTAATTTGTAATTTTTCTTTTGTTGTAATGTCTTTAGTTCTTTTGGTATCAGAGTTATACAAACTATAAAATTAGGTGAAAAACATTACTTCTATTATTCTTTGTCTTCTTTTTTTACTTTTAGTTAGAACTTTACAAAAAGCCTCCTACCTTTGCAACCAGGAACTCTAGTTCTGGGTAATGGTGATGAGTGTATGAGTTATAAGAAGTAACAGTCTTGCCATATATGTTTTTAAAAAGTATAGTCCTCTTTCATTTGGGGGGTGTGTCTTTCATGTTTAGTTGAAATTCTAAATTCTGCTACACATTTAAGATCAGGATGACACACACACACACACACATGCACACACACAACACACACATTATTTAAGCACCTTGCTTTTGAAGTTTATCTCTGCTGGTATAATAAATGTCACCATTTGTTTGGTTTAAAATAGCTTCTTCCTGAAAAGTATTTTAATTATACAAGTCCTAAAGATACATTAAAGTCACTCAGAAAAAATTTGTCACCAATTACAAAAAAATAGACCAGAGAGTTGCTGTTTACACACATTAGAAATTAATATTGCATTGAAACTTATTGTAACATTGGCATTTCTAAGTTTTCTACACAATTCAATGTCAAACAAAATTATTGTTTAAAGAAATGAAAGAGACCTCATAAACTAGACACATTATCTTACATTTAAATAGCAATTTTTCAAAACACTCTGTCTCTGAGAGGCGCTTTCTTAGCCAAGTTCACACAGCAGACCTGCAATTCAAACTCAGAAATACCAACTTTACACCCAGTGTTTTTTCATATGCAGTATATTCCTACTTTGAAAAGTGTTTAAAGCTTTCAGTTGCTAGAAGACTTTGTCTATTATGTGCTACACTTTCCAACATCATACATAAGTTTTGGCATATCATGCACTGATAGTCTTAATCTGCTTTTCAAATGCTGCATTTGTTTCTCACACCACCTTAGGAAACCATGTAGAAACAGGGGTACTTAAAATTGTATGTCAAAAATATCAGTGACAGGCCAGGTGCGTGGTGACTCACGCCTGTAATCCCAGCACTTTGGGAGGCCAAGGTGGGCAGATCACTTGGGATCAGGAGTTTGAGACCAGCCTGGCCAACTTGATAAAACCCCATCTCAGCCAAAACAATGAATATTAGCAAGGTGTGGTGGCATGCACCTGTAATCCCAGCTACTCAGGAGGCTGAAGCAGGTGAATCACTTGAACCCAGGAGGTGGAGGGTGCAGTGAGCTGAGATCGAGCCACTGCACTCCAACCTAGGCAACAGAGTGAGACTCTGTCTCAAAAAAAAAAAAAATCAGTGATAAACTGAAACATGATTACAGCCTACAGTGTGAAAGATTCCTGTCATTAATATGTAGAGAACTCATTTAACAATATAAAAAGCACTCAACAGAAATATGGGTAAAGGTTATTCATGAAAATTTTTTTCAGAAGATAGGCAAATCAATAATCATAAGATTGAAAACTTTATCCTCACTTGTAATCAAAATAATGCAAACTGAAAAGCTAGATAATAATTTCTTACCTATAGTTTGAAAAAATGTTAAAAGAATACTAGGAGTTGATGAGGACATATTTATGAAATTGCTGTTTTAAAGTAAAAGTTCATACAACTTTACTAGAAAAAAATTTGTAATTGATAAAAAAATTTTGAAAGTTGTATGTCTTTGACCCAAAAGTTCTACTTCAAAGAATCCAATCTAAGATAATCAGACATGTTTACTCACATACACATGTATATGCACACAGAAATACGTGGACAAACATGAGAAATAGTTTAAAATATTTAGAAATAAGTTATTGATTAAATGTGTTCTGGTAGAACCTTGATGATAAAAATTTATGCCCACTTGGTTATAATGTATTATTCTATTTACATAATGCCAAATTTGATTTGATAATGTTTGTTTAGAATATTTGCATCTATACTTACAATTGAGATTGGCCTATAATTTTCTCTTCTCTTTTTTTTTTTTTTTTTTTTTTTTTTTTTGATTTTGCTATCAGGTCACACTTGCTCCAAAAAATCAGTTAAACTGTTTTCCACATTGTTTTTCTTCTATGGAAAAGTTTTTGTTAAACTGGAATTATTTTTTACTTGACTGTTTGATATAAATCTCCAGAAAGCAAACTGAATATAAAAATGTCATTTTTAGATTCTGACTAGTGATTCATTTTAGTATTGGGCTTCTATTTCTTCATGAGTCAATTTTGATATTTCTTTTTTAGGAATGGGCCCATCTCATCTAAATTTATTAATTGTTCACAATATCTTATTTATTTAAAATGTCTGCAGCATCTTTTCGTTTTTTTAATTTGTTGTTTGTTCATTAACTCTTTTCTGGATCAATTATCGAAAGATTTGTAAAATTTACTACCACTTTCATAGAAGCAATGTAACTACTTTCATCCTTTTTAGTGTATTTTCTCCATTAATTCTGAATATTATCTTTACTATTTCCTTTATTTTACTTTTATATTTTTTGTAATTTGTTGAGATGAATATGAAAGATTAGATGAGGTAATTACAGGTAATTATTAAGATAAATGTGAAAGACAACTATCATTGTCTTTTATCACTATTATGTGCAAAGATGTAAATTTCCCTCAAAATATTGCTTTAGCTATATTCCACAAGTTTTAATTTATAATTTTTTATTATCATTCAGTTTAGTCGTTTCTATATTTTCCATTGTCTTTTTTTCTTTGACTCATGGTTTATTGAGAAGTTAACTTCCAAATGCATGGAGATTCTATAGTCATCATTGATATTTGCAAATATATGAAGATTTTCATTTATATTTTTGAAAATATATGGCTTTATTACTAATATTTCCAAATATATTTCTAAATATATAGAGTTTCTATAACTATCATTTGTTTTTGATAATAAGAAAATATGGTTAATATTAGGTCAGAGGATATAAGTTAGTATTTTATATTGTTAGAGACTCCTTTTATGGCCCATTGTAAAGTAAACTTTTTGTAGATGTTCTATGTGTACTTGAAAAGCATGTATTATTCTGCAGTTGCTGTGCATAGTGTTCCATATTTGTACATCAGGTAACTTTTAACTTTACCATTAAAATTTTCTATATCCTTACTGATTCTCTGTTTTCCCTCTCGGGTTTACCACTTACTGAAAGGGGTGTTTTGAAATCTCCCACTATGGTTGTGAAATTTTCTCTTTCTCCCTGTAGTTCTGGCAGCATTGTCTTATCTATTTTGAGGTTATAATTTTACTTGGAGGCAAATTAAACATTGTTTTTCCGGTGAGTTCAACCAGGAAATTCATTGTGATCATTATAAAATGAACTTATTTAATTTCTAGCTATGTTTTTGCTTAAAATAGTATTTGACATGATATTGATATAGCTACATGAGCTTTCTTTTGCTTGTCGTTTGCATGCTATACAATTGGCTAGAAAAGATTTGTAAGATACACATCTAAGAGTTATTTAGTTTATTTAAAAATAACTTCTGGGCCAACCACAGTGGCTCACCCCTGTAATTCTAACAATTTAGGAGGCCAAGGCAGGAGGATTGCTTCAGCCCAGGAGTTGGAGACCAGCCTGGGCAACACAGTGAGACCCCGCCTCTACGAACATTTTTCTTTAATTAACTGAGCATGGTAGCATGTATCTGCAGTTCCAGTTTGTCTGACAGAATAAGACCTTGTCTCTAAAATAAATAAGAATAAAATAAAATAAACACTTCTGAAATGCTGACAAAAGTACAATTATTCCTTTTGACATGGAACAATGTTCATAATACATTATTGAACCAACAGGTTATGAAATACAATAAATAGCATTCTCTCATGTGTGAGAGGGAGACTGTGAGTGTATGTATGAGGATATATGCTCATAATAAGAACATGTGTTAGTGTAAAGATACACACTCAACTGTTTTCAGTAGTTCATCCTAGGTACTTTTCTGTACTTTCTAATTCTCTAAAATGAGATTCTACTTTTTGTTTTAAAAAAATGTGTTTTAAAAAAATTAAGCAATGCGGAACAGTATCAAATACATAAAGAGAAGCTAAGTATTTTTCTGAACTGGAAAGAATCATTGACTTTGGCAATAGTAATGTCTTTGACATCTTTTAATAAGAATAGTTTTCATGGAGGGTTTGAAGCTGAGGTCAGCTTCAAAGTAGGAAAATCCAATATTTTTATAGCTGTGAAGGACAGGAAAGAGATAAGTATGAATGATATGTGAATGAAAAAGAAAGTTCAAATTTTATTTTTGCTTAGTTTGAGAGAAACACTAACATGTTTCTAGACAAAGTGGAAGAAAGAAAATGAAAACAGAAAGGGCAGTTTATTGAACAAAGAAAAGGAAGGCCTCAAGAAGACAGGGACTGAGTTGGTCTCTTAACAAGCAGAAACTGCACAGAAAAAAGTAAGGCTTAAATTCTGCAAGTTCCTTTCAAACTATAAAATAAGAAGACCAGTAGGCTATATTTACAGAAAAGAGGCAGACAAAACTGATTCCAACTTGCTAATTTTTTTTTCTGAGAACAAAAGCAAGGTCTCCCCAAGACATGAGCTTATTAATGAAATTAGAGAAATCTAGTCTATATTTTGTTTTCTTATCTGAGTAATCGCACCAGTTCAGTTATTGTTTGTAACTAGACTCTGGGTCACTAATGCTAAAATCTCCAGTAAAATATAAAGTGTGGATGCTTTCTTTCAGCCTAGACTAAAATGGAAATGAGCATTAATTGTTACATGTGCATTTTATATAAGTTCCCTTAATTTGCACCCAAAAACAGACATTAAAAAACAATTCATAATAATATTTAACTGATTTTTGTGTATTTTTGTTATAAAGAAGTTGTAACTAAAGACATGAAACTTTGTGAAGAGAAACAAAGGGAAGGGAAGAAATAAAAAATATTTCATATTCAGTAATACGCATAAATACTATCTGAGTTTTTATATATGATTTATACTATATATGTATATGTTTTTATAGGGAGAAGTTTATTTACCAAAGCTCACAAGCTAGTAAGTACAAGTGCTCGGATTTTACTATGGAATCTATACAGTTCCAGCTCTGCCAGTCTGGCTACTAATCGGATTTTCCAATGAATAAAACTGGTTGCTGATTTTAGAGCTCAGTCTTTTAGAATTGTGAAGCCAGCTGATAAATCTTTACGGAAAAATGGGTAAAGAAAAATGGCAAACTGAGAGACATATTTGTTTTCCAGTAAAGAAAGCAGACCTGTCTCCTCAGGTTTGCCACAACTTTCAATGGGATCTTGAGAAACTCAAACTTCTCCAGACCTCAGTTTTCTCATCTAAAAGATAGGAGATTTTAACCAAATGACTTCTAAGATTCCTTTCTAGCTCCTAAACGCAGAGCCTCACCACAGCTACTTTCTGCACTGAAGATGCAGCCTGTTTCTAGCACTGTATGTAGTTCCTAAGATTCCTCAAGATAGAGGTCTTACCCACAGCATCTAGAAAGCAAGACAGGGCAAGATGCAGCCTGGCAGTTCAGAGTTCTGGCTGCAACCAGTCTTAAGCAAAACATAGCTGACAACCGATCCAAGTTAGGAACCGCATTTATTAGTATGGGCTCCTTTTTTGTGCAAAAGATTTTTTCACTGCATAACCCTATCCTATTTTTGGGTATGCATTCTGTTGAAATTATCTTATGAGATTGTAATGTAAATAACATAATTTTTAATTTGTACTGCCGTTATGAGATATATATTACAGTAAATTTTCCATTCTAAAACCCAGTAAGAAGCTTAAAAAAAGCACGTATTGTGGACTTACGGTGAGCACATGCACATACACTGAATCATAGACATTGTATCAGGATGTGGCAATGGATCAGCCAGTCCACACCTCTCCCATGTCAAGGGAACCCACTCATGCTCACACACCAGAGCACTTCCAGATGACTGGCAGTACAAGAAGCCTTCTCCCAGAATCTCTACCTGTGACTTGTTGTGGGGGCCTGCCTCTCACTGCAGAGAAGGCAAAGCAGGAAGAAATCACACAAAACAGCAAGGGCTGTAAGGAGAGCATCCCTTCTTCCGAGTCAGCAGCAGGTCCAAAGAGTGTTTTAAAAGTGCCCAGGACATAGTGAGAGTACAATCAACTCCCTACACAGAGTATCATTGTATTGGTTCTCCTAAGACGGAATCTTTCCATCCTCTTTTCCAAATATGCTGCCCAAATAGTTCCCCTAAATATTTTTAGTTCCAGTTTCATTGTACTCTAATAATAATGTAATATTCAACCACTATATTTTCTATTTATATTGAATAATGTAATGAATGCTTTTCAAGTAAGAAGATCTTGTGGATGGAGTCTGTATCAGGCCCTGTATTACACGAATGAGCAAAATTGTGTCTTTTCCTCATTCTTAAGTTTGGCTTAGCTATTGCTACGTGTGATAAACAAATCGATGACATGTTTGGCTGCTTAAGTTTACAAATTCATGTAATAAACTCTCATAGGACAGAAAAAGACTGCAAATTACATAGTCTATTCTGATGTTTTTTAAGATGTAAAGATTAGATAACTCATATCTTGACATGTAGCCAGGTACACTGTGGATAATTATAGTAAGATGCAGCACTCTTTGAATGGCCGAAAGCTGTAATTCTCCCCATGTACTAGAGTGAGGCAAGTAGGAAGTCTACCTGGGAGGTAAAAAAACAAAACAAAAAAAAACTAAAATAGATGGCAAAAGAAAAATAGGAGATAGTTCAAAGGTAAGCAGTAAAAAGACAGAATCGACTGTGGAAGAAACGGCTGTTATTACCAAGTCTGACATAGCACACAGAACTAGATACCTACAGGATGAGGTGTAACTTGGAAGTTCAGCAAGGAAGACTGATGCACTATATTTGTTTTGTCAGATTCAGGCAGAGGGAACTGGGAGGACCCAGAGAGGGAAACTGGGAGGACCAAAGGAAGTTCTCAGCCAAAGTGACTTCAGCACTTGGAAGTTGCCAGAATTTGGAAATGCAGTGGGGCTGGATCACAGCAGAAGACTATTACAGAGAATGGGAACAAGGGCAAGAGTAACGCCAGCAGAAAGCGATAGATGAGTAGGCTATTTCTTTTGTCCCTTTTACTGACAACGAGGATGAAATGAGGGTCTACGTAGTTTCAACTCCATGCAGAAGAGATCTGGCAAACTAGAAAACAAAGGGAGAAAAACTGAGGCACAGAAAGCTACAGAGCAAGTTACCAAGATAAATAAAGCAGCAAAAGAAATAACCTGTGCCCAGACTCCATCTCTAATAATTTTTTTTAACATCACCAAGCTTTCACTTGATTTATAAATAAATTTTTTTACTTTGGAAGGTAACTATCTCTTTTATTATTCTAACTATCAAATTTGATGAAGATTTTTTTCTCCATATTTACTGTTTAAAAAGGCAACAGTTTGAGGATTGATTTTAGCTACATCTGGCCTGAAAAGCAACAATAATTCATTTAGAATAAAGTAAAATGAATTATACGTATCTTCCAATTTAATACTTTACAAGAGAAGTACAGTGCTTTTACACAATTCATTTGTGAACACAGAGAAGTATATTTGTTCAATTTTGGCTAGACTAGCAGTAAGCTACTTGCTCTTTATATGTTTTATTCTGCCAATTTATTCAAGAAAAACTTACCAAGAGCTTACTATAAGCTGGATGCTTGGGGTACAGCAGTGAGCAAAACAAAGATTCCTGCTGTCATGCAACTTTCATTTGAATAGGAAAAGATGGTCAATAACCATAGATATAACAAATATTTATTTAGTATGTAGAAGATGTAGGAGTGAAAAGGTGTGCTAACCTTTCCATGGCTGACACACCTATAACAAGAGACACCTTAACGAGAGAAAAGCAAAACAAATTTATTTAATCAAAATTTATGTGTCATGAGATCCTTTAGAATGAAGACCCAAGGATACTTTTTTTTTTTTTTGAGATGGAATTTTGCTCTTGTTGCCCAGGCTGGAGTGCAATGGCTCGATCTCGGCTCACTGCAACCTCTGCCTCCCGGGTTCAAGCCATTCTCCTGCCTCAGCCTCCCGAGTAGCTAGGATTACAGGCATGAGCCACCACACCTGGCTAATTTTGTATTTTTAGTAGAGACAGGGTTTCTCCATGTTGGTCAGGCTGGTCTCGAACTCCAGACCTCAGGTGATCTGCCCACCTCAGCCTCCCAAAGTGCTGGGATTACAGGCATGAGCCACCGTGCCCGGCCAAGGATACATTTTTATGTATTGGTTCAATGAAGAACAGAGGATCTTATAAAAATATGGACAAAAAAGGATATGGTCAAATACTAGTAGACTGAGTAGAGAAACCCAGCAAGGCTTGTCTGTTCAGATTCTTTTTGACCTATTTGTTGTAGCATCTCTTCCTCCCAGCTATGGGTAAGACCCCTTTGAAATGAGGTCTTATGACCTCCTATCTGACATGGTACATCAGTGAACTTTTTTATGGCCAATTTCTACACAGAAAGGTAGGGAAAGAGTACACAATAATTTCAGTTTTTATAGCTTGCTTTGGGGAAAAGAGGTTCTTGTTTCTACCCTGCCTTGGGGAAGAATAATTCTGGTTTCTATGACTCATGTTAGGGGAAAATGAGGGGCCAGAGACAGATGGTCAGGAAAAGATCAGATAGAGCTTTGTTCTGATGCTGTTTCTGAAGCTTTCAGATTGCCTTTAGTTAAAAGACCTCAACATGCCAAAATATGTCACTTTATCTTTGTTGGGGCTCAGAAAATGATATGCCAAAGTATATCACATCATTTTCTGAGCCCCAGCAAAGATAATTAGTGCTATAGGAAAAAAATTAGAACCGAATGGGGTAAGGGTGATCATGAGTGTGATGTGGGGGGTAGGTAATTTTTAAGAGAATCCCCAGAGTAATCTCAAGTAAACTCAATGATAAAAATTGAGCCAAGGTTTAAAAGAGGTAAGGGAGTTCGCCAGTAGACATCTAAGGTGGCAGGTGTGGTTTGTTCAAGGAACAGAAAGGAGGCCTGTGTGACTGGAGAGGAGGGAGCAAAGAAGAAGGAGAGAGGAAGAATAATAGAAAAGAAGATCTAATTTCAAAAGTAATTCACATGATGAAAATATAATTTACATTGACCTAAATCCCTGGAGGAATCTGTAAAAGCAATCATTGCACCTAAACAGACATGTGTTATGGAAAGCAATACTTCAGATCAACATAGCATTCGCTGAAATCTTAAATTTATGTGTTAAGTTGGAAAGCTATTTGGGAAAGGGGAAAGAGGAAGTTCATTCAATCATCATAAGTAGCTTAACAGAGCTGAAAATATTTTTGATCTGTCTACCAATCATCTCTCTGTTGTGAGATGAATAGTTATGTCTCCCCAAAATTCATATGATAAGACCCTAACCCCCAATGTGATGGTATTTGGAGGTAGAACATGTGGGAGATAATTAAGTCTAGAGTAGGCCATGAAAGTGGGACCCTAATGATGAGATTTGTACCCTCATAAAGACAGAAAGACACAGAGAACTTTCTCTGCCTGTACACAAAGAAGAGATCATGAAAGCTCACAGCGTGGTGGTGGCCATCTGTGCACCAGGAGGCAAGCCCTCACTAAGAAACAAATCTGTCAGTACCTTGATCTTGGATGTTCCACCCTCCAGAATTGTGAGAAAGAAATGTCTATTGTTTAAGCTACACATCGTAAGGGATTCCCTTATAGCAGCCCAAGTGGAGTAAGGCATTACTATCTATTTCCTTCTAATACCCCAAAGCAGCAGATATCTGTTCACCTACCTGTCACAATGGAAGAGATTGTAAAAGAACAAAGGCACCAGATCTGCAACATTTTAAATGAAACTGGGATGTACTAATCTGCATCTATTTGATGCCTCAAAGACTCAAATAGCAATTTCAAGAACAGGAAAATAGAAAAGTATCATTCCCTAGAAACAAAGATACACCTACTAGTGCTTGGGCAAGTAGCGATGTCTGCTAATGCCTGTTTAGAGGTTAGGTGGTTTCATTCTGCTGCTTCTTTTTGCTTGGAGCAAGCATAATAAGTTTAAATTAAATTTAATAAATGTCAACAATAAAAATAATGAGTGTATTTGGAAACATGAGTGTTTATTTAAATACACAGGTGCTGACTTGCCAACTTAAAGAACACAACAACAAAATTAACCAGACTTAACTACATTGAGAATTCCACATTGGAAAAAATAGTGAGGGTCTCCCCTAACAGAAAGGAATTTTCAATTAACGACTTTACTGAGTATGTTCCAGGAATTAGCTCATGCATTCTCCATCACAATTCTATGAGGTGGGTACTATTGTTGTCCCAATTTTAATAGAGGAGGAAACTGCAGCACAGAGAATTTACGTTAACTTGCCCAAGATCACACAGGCAATGTAAAGACTGTGATACAAATTCTACTGTCATGGGTCCAGAGGTGGGCTCTGTGCCAATACCCTCTGCAGCCTCTACAGCAGGTATTGTGTGATTACTACACAACTTGCACTATATTAAGTATTTTTTTCACATATTATACTCTAATCCTTTCCACAAACTTGGAAACTCTAAAGTATCTAAAGATCTAAAGTAGGTACCATTATTAGATCTTTTTTTTTTATTATTTTTTTGAGATGGAGTCTCGCCCAGGCTGGAGTGCAGTGGTGCAATCTCGGCTCACTGCAACCTCTACCCTCCCTGGGTTCAAGCAATTCTCCAGCCTCAGCCTCCCAAGTAGCTGGGATTACAGGCATGAGCCACCACGCCAGCCAATTATATCCATTTTTATGGATGCATTAATATCTTAAAGCACTTCAGCTAAGAAATTAGTAAACTTCAACTTGATCCTAGGCAGTCTGACTTCAGCACTCTCCCTTGTTGCCACCGACCTATGCTGCCTCCTTACCATATTCCATCTTTTCTTGAACACAATTGCTTTTGCTACAAGGAGAACTGTCACTAAAAGCTACATGAAACAGTGATATGGATGTGGGATTTTATTAACAAATATATATTAGTCAAAAATAAATTACTAACTTTGAGTTTGGGGAGAATAACAGTGGGAAAATGCTTTGGAAAAAAATGCCAGTTCCATCCCTATCTAGCTTATGGAATCATAAGGAAAAAAATGCACTAAGTCATTCAAAACCACGTTATAATCTCTAATATACTCGATTACAATTATCTACTGAGCTAAATTCTAGTAATAATATCCACTTTTTACAAGACAATTTTGAGAATCAAAGTAATTAATGTATGCAAAAGCACCTTGCAAACTTAGTTACAGAGAGCTACAGAATAGCAAGGACACAAAGCTTTACTATGGAATCAAACATTGGACATAATGTAGGCTATTTATGATGCCACAACCAGATAAGGTAGGTTATCAAGCACTAAGTCAAGAAAATGAAGGATCAATTTTTCCCTCTGCTTAGATACTTAGACATCATGAGATAGCTTTTAGAACAATGAAAGACGCACCAGTCTGCACCAGTATAAGAACTCTCTAGGTTAGCAATTGTTAACAATATGCTCACAGTAGAATAAAATGTCATAATGCTTTTTGGCCATTTATAGATTTGTTGAATAATTGTAGAGTACTCACTCTGCTTAGATTGTGTAAGATTTCACATTAGGATCTGTAGGACACATAAAGTAGTTGAAGATTTACTGTAGTTCTTGCCCTTGTAGAAAGAAGGTACAGAAAATACTTACATGTCAATGTTGTCTATGGCAGGTATCATATTGGAAGAAAAGTAACTGAATACTATATTGCAACATAAAAATGGGAAACACCACTGAGGATTAGGAGAAAGAAAAGTTGTCTTGAAGACAGACCAAATAAGATAAAGGTCAAAACTTGATAATTGGCTGCAATCCTGATATTCACATCATATTTCTTTTTCCAGGTCTTTCCTGAGCTAACTTCATGATTCCTTCTGGAGTCCATAAGATGACATCCTGTTAGCTATAACTAGTGTCATTTACAATCAAAAGATTCTAACAGTAGTAGGAAGAAACAGGGGATAGGAAGACAAGTCAGGAGGCTATTGAGTGTTTCAAGATGATGACAGCCTAGACAAATATGGATACATTGGGAAGGAAAAGAAGCTGGATTAGTCAACGATATCTGAGGCAGAATTGATAACTCTTCCTGGTTGATTTGACAGGACAATATGGCAGAGATAATTTCTATATGTTCACTAAGTTGTTACATTCTTTTGAGTATGGAGTCTCGCCCAGGCTGACAGACCAAACTATTCAGCCCCATATATGCAGGTGGAGTCATTTGATTAATTATCACCAGTGAAATGTGAGTGAAAGTTATGTGTCACTCCCAGTCTATGGCAACTAAGAGCAGGTATACTTTCTCCATTCTTACTCCTGTCTACAAAGTTGGAAGAAAGGGCTCCAAGATGGCAGTGTTCTAAGATAGATGAAGCTTGAATCCTGAGCCACCAATTTGTGGTTTGTGTCTTTTATTGTGAAATCATCTTCAGAAGAGATTTTTTTTTCTAAGGAGTCCAACATACCCCAAGTGTTATAAATGTTGCAATCTTTTCCTGATTGATTGTTCTAGAACAAGTTTGTACTTGTTGTATACAGCTAAGGTTTTACTGCACAATTTGCGTTCCATAAATATGAAGGCAGAGCCTTCAAGTGTTGATTTCCCATGTTTGTTTGTTTTTTCTCCATTCAGGGCTTTATCTCTCCTCATTGAGGAAGTGGCCTTTTTGATGGTCTGCTTATCTGCAGGCATCTCAGTTTTAACTGCTTGCCTTCTTCATGCCCAAGCCATGTCTGCTTTCTTCACATAGACATGAAAACCACAACCACTTAGACATTAAAGCAAATATTCAGGTTCAAGAGCCTCTGAAGCCAGAGGGAGGAGGCATACACTTGTTACTACCAACTCTAACTGCCCTCTTCATTTCTGGCACTTTTTAAAAAATTGTTTTGAGCACAGTTGTGCATGTATGTACATACATGTCCATATGCATATAGGTATATGTGAATATATTTTTATATTCTATGACACATTTATTATTTTTTTTAATTTTTTTGGTAATGGGAAGGGCTCCCTATTAGCCTAGTCTGCTATGTCATCAGAAACAGAAGTGCAGGAAAACTCTTTTGGCCATGTTTGCCTGAGGGGTCTATCGGAAATACAAATGGAAATGCTCAATAGTTTAGTGAGCTATATGGGTCTGAAGTTTGGAAAACAGGCCTGGAATGAATACATAGATTTAGTATAAATAGAATGTGCTCATCTGGATTGACCAATAAAAGTAAGAAAGGAAGAGGATAAAGATAATAAGACTCTAAGGAAAATACGAGTGAGCAGAAAAATAAATAATAATTAAGGGAAAGTTAGAATAAATAAGAGTATGAAAGAGTAATAGGAGAAATCGTTTGTAATCAGTAAATCAGTTTCAAGTGCAAAGTAAACTCTCCAACTTACAGCGAAGACTTAAATGAGAAATCAGAAATAATGTGGGCTTGGGCAGAAGGAAGTTTTTGGCAGTGGGAATAAATTTACTAAAGAAGATAATTCAAATATCTTGGGTCATATGCGATTTCCATGACTTTCTGACAGCTACCATATGGGCTCATGTCATTGCTAAGTGGCATTCTGTTGGAGTGTGAGCATACTATTGGCTCCAGTCTAATAGAACAGAGAATGACCTCATAAATTACAAGTGGTTGTTAGATTTTCTCTGTTCTTTTTCATCAGCCAGGCTCTCTTCCCTCTTATTCTTGGTTATCTCCTTTGAGAACTTGAAATCAATCTGAGAATGAGCAGTAGCTGCTGCTGCCCTAAGGACAGACCATCAATCCTTATTCCATTGGAATGTTCTATTTTCTCAGCAACTGTTTCTCCCACCATTCCTGGATGGGCCTGAATACAAAGACATTGCCTCAGTTTTACCATTTCAAGGACAGCGAGGGTCAAGAAGTAGAGGTGATATCAGAAGTATCAGGTACTGCTGGGAACACAAAGAAGTTTGAGATGAATTACCTACATACATTAATAAAAGGTTCTCAGTTATGTTACTGAACAGAGTTTCAACAGGAAGACAGGTGAAAAACAGACTGTAACATGTGGAAGAATAAAAAAGAAGTTGAGGAAATACAGAAGACAGAAAAATGTGGCCATCTAAATAAGTCTGGCTGAAAAAAAGAAAAGAGATTTGTAGCCAGGGGAGGAGACAGGGCCAAGGGTTTTTTTTTTTTTTTTTTTTTTTTGGTTTTGTTTTGTTTTTCATCATGGTGATTGTTTCATTTGAACATGTCAGCAATTAAGGGGCAGGAGTCAAAAAAAATAGGAAAATACAGAGGAAAGCGGGACAGGCTGACAGAAAAGAATGCAAAGAGAGATGAAGAAGGGGAAGAGTACAATTTTGGGAGAGCCTCGGAATATTATTTGGTCAACCTCCTCTTCTTCCAGGAAAAACAAACCAAACTCCTGTTATAATAATAGATTTCAAAGCTACTTTGCTAAATAGTCAGCTGGTTTTAATCTCTTACCTAACAGATTTTCCTAAATTTCCCTTTGACATTATTTTCATACTGAATAGGTCAGTTAATAATACGGTTTTGAGTTTTATTAGCAGAAAACCCCCAAATTTCCTGTTTTGAATGATTTACTTTACAATCCTAAATTCCTGTAACCACTTTTCTCATATCTGATATGTCCCTCTTGTGTAAAAATGTTCTTTAAAGATAGGTCACAATTCAAAATTAGATAAATTACCTTAAAGGAAGAATAAGGGATTAATTTATATTATATATGTATATATAGTATCAGTCTTAAAGGTCAAACAGAATTTAGGCTAAATGTTAAGTAAACTGGATTTATCTTTAAAAAGCACTTTGGAATTAATAAAACCAATGCTATTCCAAGAACTGAGATGTTAAAATGTCAAGTTAATTCTCAATTTTTTTACACAGTTTGAAACAGAATTGAGTCAAGACTCTAAAATGGTAAATTAATCATGCATTTAAAGCACATTTGTTTCTAGAAGATATGGGGAAATTTACATTGGTATATAGGAGATTCTGATGCTTGGGTGCATTAAAATATTTCAAAAAAATAACAATGTAAATATCTAACCATTTATTTAGATTTATTCCAGTGCCGCTGCCAAAACCCCGTCATACCTAAAGCTACATCTTCCCTAATTGAGGAAAGCAATTAGCTTGCTAGTTTATATTAGTACCTAAGGCAGGCAACTACATTAGCTAAAAGAGGAGTTGGTTTACTATCTAAAAAGTGTTTATTTTTATTATGCCAATGAAAAATCTACCTAATTAAACACAGGAAGTGACAACATTTGGTAAGAACTTTTAGGCATTATTGAGTGTTAATTTTATATTGGTATTTCATCCTTATCATTGCTTTGCATGTTTTTCTATGTTCTTACTGGATCCTATGCATTTACTCATAATTGTATTGTCAACGTATCTGAAAAGTTAGGAGCATTTTTTTTTTTTTTTGAGATGGAGTTTCATTTCATTTTTGTCGCCCAGGCTGGAGTGCAATGTCACTGTCTGGGCTCAATGCAACCTCCACCTCCTGGTTTCAAGTGATTCTCCTGCCTCAGCCTCCCGAGTAGCTGGAATTACAGGTGCCCGCCACCACGTCTGTCTAATTTTTTTTGTATTTTTAGTAGAGACGGGGTTTCACCATGTTGGCCAGGCTGGTCTCGAGCTCCTGACCTCAGGTGATCTGCCTGCTTCAGCCTCCCAAAGTGCTGGGATTACAGGAGTGAGCCACCATGCCCAGCCAGGAACATGTTTTTATATAAGCTATAAAAGGAGAGTTACAGGCTGCAATATGGAGCACAAGAAAAATATCTGACCCAAACACAAAAGATAGGTGAGGCTGGGCATGGTGGCTCACACTCGTAATCCCAGCACTTTGGGAGGTCGAGGCGGGCGGATCACTTGAGGTCAGGAGATTGAGACCAGCCTGACTAACATGGTGAAACCCTGTCTTTACTAAAAATACTAAAATTAGCCAGGTGCTGTGGTGTGCACCTGTACTCCTAGCACTTTGGAAGGCCAAGGTGGGCGGATCACTTGAAGTCAGGAGTTTGAGACCAACCTGGCCAACACGGTGAAACCCCGTCTTTACTAAAAATACAAAAATTAACCTAGCATGGTAACGTGTGCCTGTAGTTCCAGCTACTTGGGAGGCTGAGGCAAGAGAATCATTTGAACCCAGGAGGCAGAGGTTTCAGTGAGCAAAGATCACGCCGTTGCACTCCAGCCTGGGCGACAGAGTGAAACTCTGTCTCAAAAAAAAAAAAGGTATATGAAGGCTTCTAGAGGAAATGATTTCTAAATTGGGATGTAAAGGTAAATGACTAGCTTGCTCTTTAGAGGAGTTTTGGTAGTGGTTATGATGGCTTTAGAAAAGGATAGTGAAAGTCATGGCATTGGTCATGGCAATCTGCAATTGAAAACACAGGGTATGCTAGAGCTTACAAACTAATGTTCCCTAGTTATCTTGCTGTGTTGTGAATGAGTTACAGACATGTTTAAATATTGATTCTTTTATGCTTGGGGGAGTATGTGAGATCTTAGACCAACTGGCTCTAGACACAACCAAATTTACTGGTTTACCCCAGTGTACCATGAATTTATTCTCGTTTTCCATGTATTGTGAAGTAAAAGAGGTTCTTGGGGAAGCACTGCCTTAGAGTAAATAAAGTAGCTGATGTGGCTACAGCATTGAGTGAAAATTGGTAAGTGAGGAGAAATGAAGATATGCAGTTAGGCGTGGAAATATCGTGAAGAACCTTGTTACTTGTTATAAGTATTTTTTCAGGAAGCCATCTAATTGATTCAGGCAGGAAACAAACATGAAAAGATTTGCATTTCTAGAAAACCTCTCTGGATGCAGTGAGAAAATAGTTTGGAAAGAATTCAGCAAGAAAGACTAGTTAATATGTTATTTTCTTTATTCTTTCTTTTATTTTCTTTCTTTTTTTTTTTTTTTTTTAGATGCAGTCTTGCTCTGTCACCCAGGCTGGAGTGCAGTGACACAATCTCGGCTCACTGCAGCCTCCAACTCCCAGGTTCAAGTGATTCCCCTGCCTCAGCCTCTCGAGTAGCTGGGGCTACAGGTATGCACCACCAGGCCCAGCTAATTTTTGTATTTTTAGTAGAGATGGGGTTTCATGATGTTGGCCAGGTTGGTCTCATACTCCTGACCTCAGGTGACCCGCCTGCCTCGACCTCCCAAAGTGCTGGGATTACAGGTGTCAGCCAATACGTCTGATCTATTGTGTTATTTTCATAAGCCAAAAAAGTAGTAGTTATTGGCCTGAGCCTGGGTAATAAGAAAAAGAATAGAGAGTGTGAATCAGTTCCAGAATGGTAAAGAAACAGAAACTACTGAACCTGGATATTAAATAAATCCTACAAAGGAGGGAGAGGTAAAGTTCAAGGGTGACTTGCAGGTGTTTGTTTTAACTAATTAGGTGGATGCAATAGTAATAGTTGATGTTTATGAGTACTGTTTTAAAAAAGCACATCTGGCACTACTTTAAGAATTAAATCAACTCATTTAATCCTAACAATATTTCTCTAAGGTAGATTACTAAGCCCACTTACAGATGAAATAACTGAGGCCTAAGGGTAAATTATTAGTAATAAGAGCCTGGATTTTAGTCCAGAAAGGTTTGTTTTCTTCACCACTACTTTGTACGGTCTCTGGTGCTATTCACTGAAATTGGGAACATAGGAAATTGAGCTGGTTTTAGTGTAGATCTAATAAGTTCAATCGTGGACATTGCTATGGACTGAATTATGTTCCCCCCAAATTCATATATTAAAGCCTTAACCCCCCAAAGTGACTGTATCCTGAGATAGGGCCTTTACAGAAGTAATTAAGGTTAAAGGAGATCATAAGGGTGGGACACTAATTCAATAGGTCTATGGCCTTATAAGAAGAGAGAGAAAGAGTCAGGGGGCAGAGGAGAGAGAGAGAGAGAGAGAGAGAGAGAGAGTAGAGAGAACTGTTATGTGAGGACACAATGAGAAGGCAGCCGTCTGCAGCTAGGAAGGGAGCCCTCACCAGAATCCAGTCATGCTGACACCCTGATTTCAAACTTCTAGCCTCCATAATTGTGAGAAAATAAATTTCTTTTGTGCAAACCACCCAGTCTATGGTATTTTGTTATGGCAGCCTGAGCAAGCAAAAACAGACATAGATCTGTGGGAACCCCAAGAGGAACTACATATGTGAATCAACATTCAGAAGAGGCACTGAATGGAGATATAGATTTAAGAGTCATCAGCACATGGGAATAAAATTAAGCCATGGAACCTAATTAGATTGACCAAGAGCTTACATGTAACAAAGAGAAGGCTAAAAATAAAGCTCATAGAAACATCAGTATTTAAGAAATGAGCAAGGAAAATAAGCTAGCAAAAAAAGTTGGGTAAGAAGAGTTAGCATGGAAAAATGGAGAAATGAAACAAAAGAATATAGAGTCACAGCCACCAAGAAATGTTTACAGAGAAAGGAACAGAGGAACAACATTAAATATTACGGAGAGCTATAAGGAATAACAATTATCCGTTGAATTTAATCGTAAGAAGTCAGTGTAACCCTTAGTGAGAATAATAGACTTGTAAACGTATAGAAAAATAGACATATAGAAAAATATAAAGAGTAAAGGAAGGTTGGGAAGTGAGAATTGATAACTCATTCAAAAGGTTGGCCTTAATGGAGAAGATACATGAGAATAAATGTAGGCAAATATGGAGTCAAGGAAAGATTTTGATTTTAAGAAAGGAGAGATTTAAGCAAGCTTAATGCTGATAGGAAGGAGCAAATATAGAATGAATTTGAGAGAGTTGGGATCATTAATAGACAAGTGGATAGAAATACCTCTCCTTGAGAGGTCAAGTGGATAGAAATACAGAGAGTTCAGGTAGAGAGGTTTAGGAGGAAAGACATTGCTTCTTTTAAGAGAGGAAAGAAAAGTGAATATGGATGCAGGTGAGTCTTTAGATTTAGAGATAGATGTTGAGAGGCTCTTTTTCGATGGCTTACATTTTCTCTAAGAATTAAGTAGGAAGGTATTCTAAGAATAAGAGGGAAGTTGAGGAGGCAATGGACAGAAGCTTACTTTGTAAAAGCTCTAAGGTAATAGCTCTAGAGAAGGAGAGAGTGAGCTGATCAGGAAATATGAAGAAATTCTGGACAGAATTGCAGGTTACTGCTACGGTTAGAGATTTAAAAACAAAACAAACAAACATGGCATAGCTCTGTCGGGGAGGTCACAACATTTTCTCCAGTGGCACTTATCTACAACTATCTAACACTTCATAAGTGATAGAAACGTTGGATTCAGCATGTCTCAGGTTTTGCAGGTCATTTGTGACAATAGATTAGAATCTAGATTATTGGTGAGAGGAGAACAACATCCGGAAAGGAAGGTTGAAAGTACTGAAAACCTGATAAGTAAGAATGAAGGAAAAGGGTTCTGGAATTACAAGTTCCTTTGAGGTAAGGCAGGTGGTAGGGATGTAACTGACAAAGACATTATGGCCAGAGAGTGGAATGACTGAGTTTAAGATTTCATGTACTGCAGTTCTAGATGGTGACAAGCTCCAGAGTGTGGTCATTGGGAATGAAAATAAGAGATTTTCACAAAAGAAATAAGGAAGTGAAAAAGCTTATAAATAGGTGAAGCCCTTTTAACAAGTAGTCAAAATGTAATCTGAAGCTCTCACATCAACCTTATCCTGTTCCAGTTCAAGCATGCATATTACAGAGAGAAAGAAATCTTTGTGCTCTACTCAGTAGGAGGTAGCCTCAAAAGAAAATTTCAAAATCAGGACACCTGGACCCACACCCTTGACAAACCTCTGGTGTTATATATAGTTTCCATGTCCTCAGCACTTTTAACTCCTGCCAAACACAGCCTTCCCTCAAAAGTGAGATCCTTTTCACCTGTAGTCAAGGAGCCCTGTGCAGAAGAAAACTCAATACAATTTCTGCAGCCTTTTTTCCACCACCACCTCAACTAAGAGCCAAATGTGTTGACACCCCAGTGGCAATATATAGATCAATGAAAGCACTAATGCCTATGCACTTTTTCCCTGTTATTAAAAAAAATTATCTTCTGACAGTTTTGTAACTATTTCCAAGCTTCTTTTTGTATATGTGTTTAACATCATTAAAAGTAATGGAATGATTCCAGTCCATAGGAAAGTTAGAATCAAATTTCAGAAAATATATGAAGGGAAAACTGATTTTATTACATTTTATTAAAATCAGAATTGTGAAGATAGCCTAATGAGTCATTCTGTTACTACTTTTAAGAGATAAAAAAGGCCATTTTGACTGGTCTTTTCCATTTCTAAAAAACACTACACCATACTCACTTTTCTCCAAGCTCCTCCCAGAATATGTATCATTCTTGCCTTAGAATTCCAAATACTCCCTGCGCCAGACTTAAAGAATGTCATCACTACAGTTTCTACAAGTACTATCACTCTCCCTCATATTTAGAGTTCAGGTTTTATGGGCTGTTTGTCATGAGCAGGTCACCTAAATACCATTCTCTATTCTTATATAGTGATCATCTGTTCTAAATGTTATTCAAGGTTCATTTAAGTGTTTTTTTTTTTTTTTTTGAGACAGAGTCTCGCTATGTTGCCCAGGCTGGTCTTGAACTCCTGGGCTCAAGTGATCCACCTGGCCTGGCCTCCCAAAGTGCTGGGATTACCCGCATGAGCTACAATGCCCAGCATCACTTAAGTCTTATCTCTTTCATTAAGCCTTCTCTGACCATCCTAAGCTGCAGAGAATTCTCCCTCTCTCTCCATGAAGTACGTATTTGTTGGGCACCTAATGAGATATAGCCACTCTACTAGGTGTTGGTAATATATTGTTGAATAAGATGGCTTACATAAGCAAGTGGCAAAGAACATAGTTTAAAAATATGTACTTTGTAAATCAAATTTTTTAAGAAGATTCATGATGGAAGGAAAGAAATTTAACATTTATTAAATCTCTTTTTTTATAGGCCAGGACTTTAATCTTTATAACATCCCCTAAGCTTTTACAGATGACAAAACTGTAGCTGGAAGAGATTACAGTTAAGCAAGTCATACAAAGGTCATGTGATAAAGCAGAAATCAGAAATCATCTGTCTGATTCCAAAGCCAAGCTTTTGCCACTTTGTTGAGGATGCCTTTATAGAGTAGAAAGGAAGGACAAATCTGATTACAGTAGCAATCATTTATTGAATGAGCCTCATAAGCATATTGGGCTTATAAACCAGGCACTGCATTAAATACTTTACATAGGTATTTATTTAATTAGTATAACCAAACTATGAGGTAGACATTATTATTTTCCCTATTTTATAGATAAAGAAACTGAGTAGTGAAAGAATTAAATAGCTTGTCCAGTTCCCTAAAGCAAGTAAATGATGGGGGCAGAATTTGAACCTATTTTCTTCTTACTACAGAATTCAAGATCCTAACCATTTTATTTTTATCAACACCTAACAGAAGTCTACATTGTAGTCTTGGCTCCATTATTGTGAGTTGTTTGAACATGCAAAAAATTTCATGAGTTTCAATGTCTTGGTTTTTCAAATGAGAAAAAATAATGTCCATCCTGCTTTTTTACAGGAAAGTGTGAGGCTCAAGTGAGAATTATCTATACGATGCTTTATTAGTAGTAGGTAAAAAAGATAAAGTTATGTTTAAGCATAGGATACAGGCTAGGAAATTCTGAAAAGTGGCCTATTATTAAATCAATTACTCAAGGAGTCATTTTACTTATAGGTTTAGAAACGACTACTTATTTTTAGTGAAAGACATCTTAAAAATTTAATAAAGGATAACAACAACTTTATTTTTAATGCAAGTCATTTCTGAAAATTCAATGGTAGATAATATGGAAAATTGTCTAACCATAAAAATACATTTCTAATGCCATTATCCTGAGATTTATCCTTGTATGTGGCTGTTACTGCTTAAGGGAAAGTTGGAAAATTTAGGACAGCAATGCAACCATGCTCTGATGTTTCAAAGTGCAGTGAGGGTCTCAGATTAATTAGAAGTAATATACTGAACAATCCAGAATACAGCGGCAGTGCAGTAGGTGGCTCTGGTAGGGCACCCAGGCTGAGATAAGAGTAAAGGGTTTGCTCCACCCTGGGTGAGGACCCTTCCACTGGGGTGTCCTTTCCATTTGTGTGGAATCCAGTGCCTTGTAGCACCATCTTGAGTACCTGGCCAGGGGGGTTGCATGGTACCATAGTAGGGTCCTGTTGTTTACTGGGTTTTTTGTATGCTCACCTCAGCAGCCACCAGGCACTCTGCTCAAGCCAGGGATACAGTGGCACAGGTGCCCTGGGTTCTCAACTCCAAAATTCCAGACTCCAAAATGGTTTCTAGAGTAATCTGGCATTCAGAGCCTTGCTCGCAGTGCCTGAGGCATGGGCAATGATTTATTGGAAGTTTTTTAGCTCTGGGAAAGTCAGGTAATCTTCATGGGTTAAGGGAACAGGCTGCGGAGGTCAACAGACCCATTTTACAGATGGGAATCCAAGGAACAGAGAGACTAAGCTATTTGCAGATCACCCAGGTTACTTTTGGGAACCATTCCATGTAGAAGTTGGCAGACATTACTGACCCAAGGTGATTAGGACTGAGATGGGTGTGCTTTGAGCATAAATTGATCCTATGGAGGAATCACCCCAAGAGCTGATAACTTCTGACTTGCCTCGTCAACCAAACTGAGCTGCAGAGCATATCGGACCGTTCAGGCAGCCACTGTTCAGGTACTTGAGGAATTGAAGTGCTGTGGACATACCCACTCGGATGTGGCTTACATGTGGGTAGTAGCACAGGGGAGAGGAGCGTTAGTCAGACAGGAGGAGACTCTCTGGGTGACTTTGGGTAATTTCCTCTCCCTCTGCAGGCCTTCATTTCTCCAGTGGTAAATGGAGGGGTTGAACAGGAGGGCCAGCCCAGTGGTGGGCCACAAAGATGTCTCTAGCCATGTCCTTGCCATCAGTGGAGTGGGAGAGGAGACTAGAGGTGACAAAAGTCTATGCCAGGAACTGTAGGAGACAAATAGTATCAACAGGAAATGACACAAGGGTAAGATCTGTATAAAAAGCCCAACATACCTGGTCTGAATTTTTCAGGATTCTCAACCAGCGCACAGCCTGGGGGCAGCTTAGGAAATGTCTGTTGAATAAGCTTTGCAATGAAGGCTCTGTCCCTGTCTTCAGGGGCACCACAGTCTTGCTGAAAGGAGTTCTTTCCTTTTTAGTGGCTGTTGATTATAGGTGAGGTAAGGGATGATCAGAGAGAGAGACTAGAGCTCAGATTGCCCTGATAGCCTTCAGCTTCCAGATACAATCAGATCTACTCTTGACCCGTGTCTGCTTAAAACTCATTGCCATCAGGATAAAGTACACATTCTTTAGCAGATGAAGGCTTTGCATAACCTGACTCTCTTCTTCAGATCAGATTAGGATTTTTCAACCTCAGCACTACTGATAATTTGGGTTGGCAAGTTCTTCGTTGTTAAGAAGCTGTCCCTGGCCCCTACACATGAGATGTTAGCAGTACATACTCCTCTCCAGTTGTGACAAACCAAAAATGTCTTCAGACACTGCCAAGTGTCTCCGAGGGAGAAAAATTCCTCTTCCTTGAAAACCACTGGACTAGAGGAGGGTCAGTCGTTGTAAACCTCTTTTATTTCCAGGAGTTTGCCTCACCATCTCTTTCCTCCCAGGTTTTGCCCATGTTTCTCCTCTCTTTACCAGGTGGATCCTACTAGTCCTGCAGATGTCAGATGTTCCCTTTCCTGGGAACCCCTTTTTGAACCTCCTCAGACGGTCAGGTGCCACCTCTGGGCTTCCGCGGCACCCCCCCACCCCGCCCCAGCTATGATTTCCCTACCCCTGCCCTGCTCATTCTGGGTGGTCACTGTGCAGTGACTGAGCTGTCTTTCTCCCCAACACCAGACTGAGGGCCCCAGGAGGGCAGAGCCAGGACTGTCTCAGTCACCACCCTAATAGTGCTGTCTTCAGCACTGTCAGGCTCAGGGGCAGGCACAGAGCAGGTGTTCTTCAGGTGGGTAATGAATGCATCGTGAAACATCTTGGGATGAGGTGGGATTATCTGATACTCTTGGTATATTCAGATGACCAGTGAGGATGTGCTAGAAAGCCTGGATTCCTGTGGCCCCTGTACATCCGTTATGGTTTTGGCTACCTCCTGGGGCCCTTAGGGGATGTCCCTGGAAATTGTGAGATGAGATATGCAGGTCCAAGATCAGAAAGTGTCTTAGCCATCACTGTCCACAGCTACCACCATCGTCCCCTCTACCTCCATGAAAACTAGCACAGATATGGCAGTCCCTGGGCCCAGACTCACGCCCTAGACCATCTGCTCCTGCTTTATCCAGAGGTTCAGACACAGAGCCCACCGCTCTGCCATTCATTCCTTTAACTAAGGTGTTTTGAGCTACTGCTACACGCTAGGCTCTGTGCTAATGCTGGGGACACGGCTATGGACAAAGAAGACCCTGCTTTCTTGGAGCCCAGGTTTCTAGTTGAAGGTAGGATAGGGAGGTGGAAGATGGACAGGGACAAACAGTATACCAGACAAATAAGAAAAATGTACAGTATGCATGTAAAAATCCACACATGGTGATAAGTGCCACGAAGAGAAACAAAGCTGGGGAAGAAGATAGGTGGGAAGGTTGCAATTTAGTAGAGTTGTCTGGAAAGCCTTCTCTCAGGAGGTGACATTTGGACAAAGACTTGAAGGGGGAAAGGAAGGGACTCACACAGATACAGAGATGATTGTTTAAGATAAAGGGACAGCCAGTGCAAAGGCCCAGAGGCAGGAGGTGGCTGAGTGGGTGAGTGAGGGGAGAAGGCTGAGAACAAAGAAGCAGGAAAGGGGCCAGATCATGCCAATCCTTGGGGTCATGGTAAGGACTCTGCCTTTTCTCTCACTGAAGTGGGAGCAACAGGAAAGTTACCTGTTTATTGAGGTATAATTTAGATACCTTGACATCTACCCGATGTTAATATAGAGTTCAATGGCTTTTAGTGCATGTACGCAGTTCTGCAGTACAACCATCACCACGGTTTCCTCTAAGGACACTCCTATCCCCTCAGAACATTCCCTCTTCCCCTTTGCAGTCACTTTCCAGTTTAACCATCAACCCCAGACAAGTATTGAGGTGCTTTCTATCTCTATAGTTTTGCCTTTTCCAAACATTTCTTATTAATGAAATTAGACCCCTGCAAAAATCCTGTCTAATATAGTTTTTTAGTACTTATCCTCCAGTGGTGAATGTCAACAATACACAAAGAGATGGTAAATCAAACTCTCAGCAGTGTCGTGTCACAGTTTGGTTAGTAAACTGTGGCATAGACAGGTCAAATAAGTCACTGTAGTCATGAGATGAGTCAATCACAGCAAGAAAAGAAAAACAGAGGATATGATATTGAGACTTCTATCTCCCATTCTCCATTACTTCTTACTGTGTAAACTTTTCACCCTACTAAACCCCTCTCCAATGAAAACAGCCTTAGGTAGGAAATCCCAATGTTTCCAGATCAACTTTGGAAAAGAATGCCTTGTATGTTTGTGTTTGATAACATTGTTATGGTTACTAAAAGATCAGCTCATGTTTCTGGAATTCTCTAGGACTCCCCAATGCAAAGGCAAGTCTATTTGTGCACACAAGCTTCTTGGTTTAATATTTTCTTTAACGTCAGGTTGCTATGGAATAATATAAATCAGTGAATTTCCTTAATATCCAAGCTAGTCTAAATTGGTTTTAAATATGATTAAATGTAAATGAACAACACTATCAGCAATTTTTTCCCCTGTAAGCTGTTTTACAAAAGAATACATAGTTGTGACTGCACAAGCACCCTTCAGAGACAAGAATGAATTAAAAATGGTAGAGAGTTAAAAGTGGTCACCTTAGCAAAGTTGTCTGATTAGACTTTCCACTCTAGTTGTTTACTTTGTCAACCTTTCTGCTTATGCTGCTAGACTGTGATTCCCAGGGCAGGAAATTCAGTGACTACTGATAAATGACTGTTGAATGAATAGGCCTTATTTCCATATATAACTATAGAAATTCTAAATTTGAATCTATAACAGGGAAGAAATAAAAGGAAGCAGAAATCTCAATCACTTACTTAGCCAATTGATTTATCGATCTTTACCCTTCCACGTATATTTTTTTGGTTAGTATGATAACAAAAAGTGTATGAAGTTTTGCAAGGTATTACAAGACAAACTTTCAAATACTAGTGTATAAGGTCTATTTTCAAGCAATTCATAGAATGGTCAAAATATATTAATCTCACAGCCAGAGGGAGACAACACACAGATTAAATTGTCAGGTGCAAACAGAATAGGGTCTTATGAGTGTTCTGTAAAAACAGGTAGAAATAAACAGGCGCCATATTTAAAGAGAATAGTAACATTAATGAACTATAATCTCCATTACATTTCAGATGTTGGAGTTATAATAAAAATTTATATAGAAGTATCTAGTACCAGCATTGATAGTCCAGAGCTATCTTGGTCCAGTAGCTGCAGCCGCAAGACAGCGTGAGGATAGAGTAGAGTTTATTATTAGTGTTACAAGAATTTTTGTGTTTGAATAAAATGAGAAGACCAAAACCAAAGCAAGAACAAATTTATGCAAATGTCACATGTTTCATTTAAATTGGTCCTAGTATTTTATGATCCAAAGAGAATTAATCTTTTTACTTTAAAATACTGAAGATGAGATCAGTGATTTATTCCTAATGGAGAGAGATACACAATGTACTCTTGAAACAGGTGACTTTGGACATACAGTCAGATCTAGGAAGCACACAAAATAAAATTGAGACCATCTGGGAAATGTTTCTTAAGCAAAAATGAGTAATGTCTGATATTTAGTAGACAGGAGATGGAGTATCTTTTAACAACAATATAAGTCATACCAACAATGAATGCATAATACTGGGCTTTTGATCTTCTTTACTTTTTTTCCACCTGAAAGACAGAGGGTACACCACAAAAATCAACAAAACTCACACAAGATATAAAAAAGAAGGTAAATCCATTTGTTTTAATTGAAGATATAACTTTTCACTATCCCCTTTCCAATACCAGCCTCTATTTCCTATGAGAGGCAGGATACTGCATTAGCTAAGATCAAGGCATTCAGCATCAGATAAATCTATCTGAAATTCAACCCTGCAACTCATCAGCTGGGTTTCTAGTAGCCCCATTTTCAAAGTCACTTCCTCAGTGTGATTCTGAGTTTCTTTGTCAGTGAAACAGAAAACTGAGAGTTGCTAGAAAACTAAATTAACTCATTCAAAGAGCATAAAATAATGAGTGACTTGTGACAAATATTCAATGGCATGGCCTAAATATCTATTAAAATTAATAATCAGAATTATAATGAGAATAAAGATACAGCAAAATGGACCTGAAGAATGTTGATAAGTGTCTGTATTTACAGATTATGGTAAATGCAGAGAATTATCCCATTTTAACTACAGAAAACACATTCTTCTAAGTGATTTGAACATTTATAACCACCAGATATAGCTGGCCTCTTACTGCTTTTTTTTTAGTGCTATACAAAACACTAACACATTTTTACTCTTTAATTTCCCTTTTGAAGCAGTCATCAAACTATAGGATGTATTACAAAACAATTAAGGCTACATTTTCTATTGCATGATCTATATTACATTCATATCTTCGGGCTGATATTCTTTTTCACCTTGAGTAAATTTAGAAAATTTGTGCCCAACACATTTGCAAATCATCCCTGCAGGAGGCCAAGCTCTTTCATTTGTATTTTTACTCTCACTGATTTTAATATCAGAAGATGCCATTTTGTTTTTCTGATTTTGCTTTAGCTTTTGCATGGTCCAACACAATTTCATTTAATGAACTTCATTTTAGGAGGAATATCATTAAACACGTATCTAATTTATTACCAGACCATTAAACTATTTGACAGAGACTAACTAAACTTTTTTTTCTCCAGCTAGACTCATTTTTTAAAACAACTTTTCAGTTAAATGTGGTCACATAATTCAGTTTCTGGTTGTTAAATGTGGGCCAGAAATTTCATGTGCCATTCTTATCTCCATTAACCAGCAGGATGTCAATGCCCAGGAAGACTTCAGATGCCACACACTGAAGAAAGCAGAAAGTAACAGGCTTGTGATTGACATGATTCCGTGGAGCAGGACCCCTACCTCTGTCACACATTGGCCTCTACATGACTAAGAAACAAACCACTTGTTAAGTCTGTGAGATTTCAGGATTTATCTTTCACAGCCTCTAGCATTCTTAAATAATATGGAAATTGGTGTTAGGTACAGGTGCTGTCACACAAAAACCCCACCTCAGTGGCATGAGTTAGAGGTTAGGCATCTAAACACTAGTAAAGCCATTGCCTGGTGATAAGGTCTGAGGCAGACTTGTAGCTGTAATAGAGATTGTATAATAGAGTATAGAAAGTGTGCTGGTCATTAATGGCCATGTGCAGCATGTTATGCAAAAAAATAAGCTCAGGCAAGAAGTAGCTACTTAGCAAGCAGATATTAAGAGGAATAGAGTACCATTATATGGGATCTCAGAGTGTTGAAAAACTGAGTGATTCTAGAACTCAAGCAGTGGAAAATAAGTTTGGAAAGATTTTTATTACAAAGGGTATAGTAAGACTCAGCCCTGCTTGAAGAAAAAACAAAAAAAAAACAAAAAAATCTCAACTAAGAGTTTGGCCTTCCTTGCCCCCATCCCCAAGCCTGATGTTCTCCCAGTTGTTGCCATTAATGAGAAACAAAGGTGTAGGGCTTGGAAGCAAAGAAATAAATTTAACAATTCTGACAGCATCTGGTACCCACTAGAAGCAAATTGGTTAGGAGCCTACCTTCTTCGGGGACTTGCATAGCTGAGAACCATGAGGCCATTCTTTTTTTTTTTTTTTTTTTTTGCCAAGAAATTCCCTTCTGAGTTTATTTTTTTCTTTTCCTACTTTGAGCCCTGCTATCCCTATTTTTTTTATTATACTTTAAGTTTTAGGGTACATGTGCACAACGTGCAGTCTTGTTACATATGTGTACATGTGCCATGTTGGTGTGCTACACCCATTAACTCGTCATTTAGCATTAGCTATATCTCCTAAAGCTATCCCTCCCCCCTCCCCCCACCCCACAACAGGCCCCAGTGTGTGATGTTCCCCTTCCTGTGTCCGTGTGTTCTCATTGTTCAATTCCCACCTATGAGTGAGAATATGCGGTGTTTGGTTTTTTGTCCTTGCGATAGTTTGCTGAGAATGATGGTTTCCAGCTTCATCCATGTCCCTACAAAGGACATGAACTCATCCTTTTTTATGGCTGCATAGTATTCCATGGTGTATATGTGCCACATTTCTTAATCCAGTCTATCATTGTTGGACATTTGGCTTGGTTCCAAGTCTTTGCTATTGTGAATAGTGCCGCAATAAACATACGTGTGCATGTGTCTTTATAGCAGCATGATTTATAATCCTTTGGGTATATACCCAGTAATGGGATGGCTGGGTCAGATGGTATTTCAAGTTCTAGATCCCTGAGGAATCGCCACACTGACTTCCACAATGGTTGAACTAGTTTACAGTGCGAGGCCATTCTAAAAATGCCTCCAATGGCTCAATGCCGACAACAATCTTCAGGTATCCAGAGTTGCATCACATTAAGTGGACTTTGAATGCTCTGGGAAAGGTGTCATGTCCAACACTTCTTTCAGAGGCAGTCAGGGAGGAGACTGGACAAGGAATAACTTCTAGAAAGGCAGAGCCAGGAAACAATGAAAAAAATCTTTGCTTCAAAATGAGTAAAATTAGCTTCTAATCAAGGAAAATTCCCCACCATTAGGGGTAGGGAAACTTCACAGAGCTTGCACAGCAGAATTCTGTAATTTTCATGGTCTTTCATTCTTTTCATTACTGGGTGGGAATTTCTATTTCTGGTTGTACTTTCCCTAATCCACTATGGTATATTAGCCAGACAGAATGGTATAGATAACTTGTCCTTTATAGTTTATAGATCACCAGAACATAAAGATTCACAACTAAACTAAGCGGAGAGGAATTAATATCACCCAGAGGTACTGGATTTATATTCATGGTTGATCTTTCGTAGGTAGCATATTTGCACTATACTATCCAGTCTGACAATGTCTGCCTTTTGATTGAGATGTTTAATACATTTTACTTAGTGTAACTATAGACATGGTTGTTTTAATGTCTGCCATTTTGCTATTTGTTTTTGATTTGTCTTACCTGTTTTTCTTCCTCTATCCCTTCATTCTTGTATTCTTTGAATCAAATGATTCTAGTACTCTATATCCATAATTATTTTTTAGTTTAATGCATTATTTGTTAGCAGTTTCTCTGAATATTACAATATGCATCTTTAATTTTTTTCTAATCTAAATTATTGTAATCAAAGTTGATATGAAATTAACCTCATTAAAATATGGAAAACTTGTAATAGTAGATTTTCATTTACTGTCTCCATCTTCAGTGACATCGTTGCCATACATATCACATCTACATACACAACAAACAGCAATGCTATTTATCTTGTAAGAATTAAGAAAAGAAAACTGTTAGGTATGTGTGTATAAAGAAATCTCTGTGTGTGTGTGTGCACGTGTGTGTTGTATAGTCTTTCATAATTCACAGTGTACTATTTGTGGAGCTCTTCATTCCTCTTTGAGTTTCCGTGTGATGTCATTTCCCATCAGCTTCCTTTAGTGTCTCTAATAGTGTAGACATGCTAGTTACAAAATTTCTCATCACGTGTTTACCTGAAATTGTCTCAATTTAGCCTTACTTTCAAAGGATAGTTTATCTGGTCATAGAAGTCTTTCATGACTTTTTTTAATTCAGCATTTTAAATATGTTAATAAGCTATTCGACAGTTTTTATTTGATTTTTTTATCATTAATCCTAGACATCAAAATTATATTTCTTTATACACTGATATTCAGGTCCTTTCTATAAAAATCTTCACAAATGTATTGTGGAGCATCTCTTGTAATTTTCTGCATAGTTCTGAATATATACTAACATCATTAGGCATGCTAAACTAGTAAAATAGTTCAAATTAGTGTTTGCGTATATAAAAATCACCTGCCATACAAGACGAATTTTGAAACTAGTATTTATAAACCCAGCAATTTAAAAAACAATCCAGATGTTTATGACAAATGTGCATTGAGCAGACCAGTTATTAAGCCATCGCTATCCTGACCTTAATAAACTCATTCTGACCTACTTTTCTAAGTGCAGAACACAAGCACATATAGCACTCAAGATTCCCTGTGCTGGCATGAATGATTCTGGCAAACAACAAGCTGAAAGGAAGCTGGAAAAAAAGTCTGAAAAGTAATTTTTTAATTATTATTATTTTTTTGAGATAGGGTCTTACTCTGTCACCCAGGCTGGAGAGCAGTAGTGTGATCACAGCTCACTGAAGACTTGACCTCCACTGGCTCAGGCAATTCTCCCACCTCAGCCTCCCTAGTGGCTGGGACTACAGGCATGCACCATCATGCCAAGCTAATTTTTTGTATTTTTGGTAGAGATGGAGTTTTTCCAGGTTTCCCAGGCTGGTCTCAAACTCCTGGACTCAAGCAATCTACCAGCCTCAGCTTTCAAAAGTGCTGAGATTACACGCAGAAGCCACCGCACCCAGGCCAATATTATTCTTATTGGCCTCTTTTACATTTTTTCTTAAGATCTTAAACTATATTGGCACATTTGTTTTTTTTCTACCTAAATAACGGCTGTTTCTCTAAATTACTCTATGCTTCCACTTAGAACTGCACTGCCTTCTTAGATAATAGTAGCTGTCATTTAATATGTGCCAAATACTTTGTAGCTACTTTTATGTCGCTAATCCTTGTCATTATTGTGCTCATTTAAAATATTAACAATCTGATGCCCAGAAAGGAAAATAATTTGTTCAAGGTCACTGAGCTATTTTATATTTAATCCAGAATTCCAAGCCAGGACTCCTGAATCTAAAGCGTGTGCTGTGTCACCAAATCTTATTTCCATCTGTGACCCTGAGATCTTGGTCTTTTTCAAGAACTATACAATGTATGGATCTACTTGCTCCTTTGGCTTACATGTTATTTATATCTCTCACCTCAATAAATGTGTAAAAGGTGCAGTATATGTGTGTCTGTGTTTATTTTTCCCAAAGGAAGTCTAAATGTGGTACTTGGTATGAGAACTAAATTTCAGGTAAGTAAATTGAATCCCTCTGGATAGCCTCTTCCCCCTTATCCATCTTACTCTGTGCCCTGGGTGCCTGACTCATGTGAACTACATCAATACGACCCCTGCCACCCAGCTCCCAGATGGTTTAGCAAGTAGGAGACACCAGCGGGAGAGTGAAGGACAGGAGAGTGAAGTTGGAATATTTATTTTTTTACTACTCTTCTGCCAAGCCACTATGAGGTTAGTTAACTGATAGAGACTTTAAAAAGAGCAAGGTTGGAAGTTTGTCATAAGACAGTCAGAAAATGCACATCTCAGGTACGCACAGAGTAATTTTTGTTTGTGTTCCGTACTCACCAGAAGAATGGGCCAAACATGATGTCAGCTAACATCTTTCCCCAACAACACCAGCTTTCACTCAAAGTGTCCATGCCCAAAGTGGCCAGGATGGCAGAAATGGACATTATAAATAGAGTCAAGAACATGGACGTCCACTCACGAAGGTCAATTGGGCTATCATTGTTGAGCACCCAACTTGCCAATAGGAGACACCAGCATCAGGGCTTCTATACAGCATCACTCATCAGGTGATCAGCTGGCTACATGGTGGCAGACTACTTATATTGAACCCCCCCCCAATCATGGAGAGGTAGACACATATTCTTGATGTAAAATGTTTTCCCTTCCTAAAACATTTCTGCTAGTATCATTTGCAAATCTAGAGAACGTCTTATCTATTACCTTATCAGTTGTCTTGGGGGACATTGTGTAAAATCAGAAAACACATCTTAACAGCAAAGAAAATGCACAATGGGCTTATGCCCAAGAATATTCCAGCCTCACCCCATGCACCCTTCACTCAGGAACCATCTCAGAGGGGTTTGCAGTCCCAGTATATAAAGAGGATGGCTCCTACCAGAAATACAGTGGAAATTATGGCACCCCAATAAAGATAGGTCTACTGAGAATTCAGATCCTATTGGAAAGAAGGCTTGGGTAACCCATTAGATGAAGTGATCTGACCAGCTTAGGTCCGGGCAGCAGGACCTAAGTGGTAGAGGAAATAAGCGATAATTAATCAAGTTAAGATTTGTGCCAGCTACAGAAGCAAGAATAGTCGTTGTTTTATGTTCCTTGTTTTTTTACTGTCATCCATTTCCCTTTTCTTTTCTAATACTTTATTTGAAAAGCCCTGATTGTGGTTAATATTTTATGTTTTAGGTGACAATATGACAAAAACTGACATCATCCAATAATGACACAGTAGTAAGTAGGACTTTGCCTATCGCAAGAGTTAAGGATGTAAATTTTTTTACTTACATAAGACTGATGGAAAGAAAAAAAAAAGGAATAGAGTGGAGGGGTTTGGAATGTGACCCTATAGATAAAGTATATATCCTACTTCTTCCAAAGCAATATGTCCAATAAGGACTAGCTGGATTCAGCCCTTGGGAGACACTGACAGAGATATAAAAGGCATGAGAAAAGTGAGCTTAGAGTAGTTTCCTCTCGGGTTTCCTCCCAGCTAAGTTGCCCCAGGGTGATTGCTTTCCCTTAATAAACTCAAGAGGCTTCCCTAAATCACTCTCTCTCTCTCTGGGTCCTGATAATTCTTTCCATCCTTTAACCCTGCCTTCAGGGCTAAAGATGATAAAGTCTTCCCAGAATATTGCACTAACTTTTGTTTACTTTTCTGAAACATTGTCCACATGTTTGTAAATAGTCCCTTTATTAAACTCTCTTTAAATGACTCACTTTGTGCAATCTATTCTTTACTAGGACCCAGATGATATGCAAATTATAATGACGTGTCCTTAGTGACAATTCCTACACAGAGTTCAGCTCACAGATGTCAGTGCATGTGTTTGTGAGTGTATGGTGCATGTATGAGGTGGGGGATACCTTCTTTCATATATCCCTGGGTCTAGAGCCAATATTCAGTTGTTTCATTTGCTAAGAAGGCAGGAAATTCTGAGCCCAAGAGACAGGAGCTGGCAGGTCAACGGTTCTTAAGAGGTTCTGAGCCCAGGTTGCCCTTGCAAGAAGTCCCATTTCTGCTAGTTATGAGGAAGTTCCAAAAAAGTAAAGCTTAATAGTCAAGGCCTTCTAACATCCACAGACTTTAGTACATCGGCTGCTTTTGCCACAAATACAAATGTAATTGCTTTTATAGTCTTCTTTAAAATAAAGTTAAGAGTTTATGGAACAACTTTTAGTTATTTTTCTAATAAGTTAATTATGTTATATAATTAACCAGAAAACAAACAAAAAAGCAAAATCAGGGCTAAGACTTAAAGTTCCATTACTTAACTGTTATATAAACACCAACAAGGCTAGAGTGGGAAAGAGGAAATCTGGAAATAAGTCTATAATTGCCAGTGTCTATCCCAATTTCTGCAGCTGTAAATCAGCATGGCTATCATTTATTGAATAGTTTTTATATACTAGCAACTGTTCGAAGCATTTTAGTTGTGTGAATGCATAGAATTTTCACAAGTAGGTAGACAACTATATCTTATCTCTACTATTGCAGAAACTGGGACACAGAGGCTTAAGTAACTTAATAAGTTTTGGAATTCAAATTTGAACCCAGGTAATCTAACCTCAGAGCCTGTGCTACTAACCACTGCAGGGACTGTGGAGCTGTGGAGCTGTGGCCTTCATTAAATGAATGCAGTCACTTTGGAGCAACTTAGCCTTTGTCACCTGAACACTGAGAAAGTTGGTATAAGGATCGCCAAGATCTCCTTTAGCTCTCAGTCTCCATGCTTTTGGATCTGATTCATTCCCTACACAGAAGGCTAATAAATTCTCCCTTGACATTGATAGTGCCTTAATTTCTCATATCACTGTTAGACAATACTGTGTCAATGAATCTACTGGGCCCCTCCTCTTCCCCTGCCTTTTTTGGGGGTCGTTCATCATAAGAATGGTCAGTTTTACTTGCAATCACTACTACTAGACTGTGAGCCTCTTGTGATCATCGACTGTTTTCATATTCTCCGGAGCTCGCTTCAAAAGTGCTTAGGCACTCTACTCCAACTCCACCTAAAACCTCACCATTCACCAAGCTAGACCTGCTGTCATACCAAATTTCAACTAGAGCCTAGAGGTCCACTAATTCCATGATGACACACATGCCTGTCACACTTAGTCAGTGTTCAAGTGCATTTCCTTTGTATCATCCAAATCTTTCCTATTTTCCCCATCTCTTCCTCTTATGATATCTTTCTTCTATTATTTTATCTGATCTAGTCTTCCATTATGTCCTTCTCCAGACCTTTCCTTAGCAACCCATGAAAATCCCAACTCAGGTGAACAAATTCTCCTGCCTCCTCGATCTCAGTTTAATATCTACTTTTTGAGGAGATCATCTTTGACCTCAAGCTATGTATATGCTGTAAAATGCAGCAGCATACTTTCTAGAGAGTTGAAACTAGCATAATTGACATTAACATCCAAGTGTGGTGGATTACTTTACAGTCAGTGCAACTGCTCTTTAGGGGCTAGATTAAAAATAGCTACCCCACTGATTAAAAATAACTCAAATATTCCCCTTCCTTTAATTGAACCAGTTTTTACATATGTGCCCCAGCTGAAATAGCAGTCTGAAACTCAGTGCTTTCTGGAAAATACAAACAAGCAGCCAGATCTTCAGTCCGATCATATTTGAGATAAAGAAAACATACTTTAAATGTGAACGGATGTTTTTTTTAAAAGTTTATGAACAAAGATTATCATTGATAGTAGAATAATTTGTTTACACTCTTCAAGTTTCTTTAGATGTGTGGCCAATACTGGTCTACATATCTTCCAGCTCGGGCAGAAAAATAAGTGTGTCACATGCTGCAAAGTCTAAAATCTTATTCAAAATAAAAGTTCAAGGAATGATGGTTCTTGCTAAGGCCTTTCTATTTTGGAACGATAAATTGTAACTGTTAAAGAGAAAAAAATTATTTGAGGTTTATCAAGAATTGCAAGATTTTAATTAACATTCTTCATCTATTTATGTCCTAGATTATTGAAGTATAAATTGTCTGAGAAGTAACCTCTTTTCATTTTGTTAAAAAAAAGTTGACCAGAACTTTAATTCATTTGCTGCATTTTCCTCCAAAGAATAGTCCAAATTTATAGAGTTTTACATTTAATAACATATTTATCTACTACATTAATGGATATTTAGGGGCACCTATTATATATTAGGAATTATGAAAGAGCCTAAGAACACAGGAGTGAATAAACCAGAATGAGGTTTATTGAGGGTCATGTTGGAAGAGACTGACCCACACTTGACTCGCCATAATGCATAGTGAGTGTGCAACAATGGGTGAACAAAATGATGATGGATGGACATCACAGTGATTACTTTAGGCAGATTACTTTAGGACAAGGTAGAGAAAGTTACACGCAGAGCTCAAAAGTTTTAGGTAAGTTTTGAAGGAAAACTAGGAGTCTATGGTTGGACAAAGAGGTTAAGAGTATCTAGACAGGACCCATCATGTGTCCTCTGACAGCATATAGCCTTTCAGAACCAGATGTTTTGTTTCATTCAATTAGTTCCTTCCAACATGGAACTAGATATTCTAATAAGACTAAAGACTTGGCCCTTGCATTCCACTTCTGAGAAATCAAGGTGGAAAAATTCAAAGGAATAAGAAAGCAAATGCTTCTTATTTGTACAAATAATATATCTGAAAGAAATTGAAATTCGTTGAGACTAGGTTCTCCTTTAATCCAGAGCTGTGGTATGACTTCCATTGGACCTAAGCACTTTTACCTTTGTGGGTCCCTTCCTCCATTTTATACAAACACACACTAAAAATTATATTTTACTATTGTGTTGGTTAAAAAGATCGATATGCTACTATTATATATAAGACAGCTTCTTCTACCTAGAAGTTGTTATTTCTGATTTTAAAGAACATTAATACATTTTGTTGGGCCCCTAGGCACTATGGCTATTGTGCCTAACGGACAAATCACTTTTGGCAACTCCTTCCCATATTCTACTCCTTGTTTTGTTGCCAGAGAATACTTCTAAAAATTCCCTTTTCATTGGATCACAGAGAACCATCAAGGACAGCAACTCATTCAGTGTAGGGATCCCCAGATCTCTGCTTGGATCAGGGCTTCATTCAATATTGTTTTGCCTGGCAACCTGACTCCTAAATGCACCTTTCACTTCTGTCAGGCCAGTATCTTTAGTCCAGTGCTGTGTATTGGAATAACCTAGGGAGGTTTGGGGTTTGTTTTCATATTTACATTAAAATTTTGATTCCAAAACCAATCAAATTAGAATTTCTGGGTGTGGGACCCAAACATCAGTACTTTTTAGTGCCCTTCAGGTGATTCCAATCTGTAACCAATTTTGAAAACCAGTGCTCTAAGCAACAAAAATACAACAATCATTCTCCTGTAATGTGCTATGGAGCACAGGAAAAAGAGATATACACACACATATACAAGTATCATATGGCATTGTAATAACTTGTTTATCCGTGATTCTCTCTACTAGATAGAAAACTTCAAGCATCACTTCTGAATTATTTTTATTTTACCCACCACCTAGTTCAATGCTAGCATCAAGTAGATACTCAATAAATGTTTTTATTGAACGAATTGCCACATGTTCTTAAACTTTTACTTTTCCTCTTCCCTTTCCCTTCTTCATTGTATTACTCCAAAGTTCTCAACCCTGCCAGGACATTAAAATCAGTGGGGAACTTTGTAAAAAAATAATGGGCCCCACCCTAGACCAATTAGGTCACAATTTCTAAGGGTGGGGCCCAGGTAGTGTTTAAAAGATTAGACTATTCTAATGTACAGCCAGGGCTAAGAATTATTGATTAATTTTTACTCACTCTTTAAGACCCTCTTAAAGAGCCAACTTATTCAGGAAACTTTTTCGGGTACTCTTCCCAAATATATCTTTCAATTTCTCAAATACTGATTGTTCTTGAGAAATATGCAGTTTCAGTCTTAAACATATTGTTGTGTCATCCCTGTGAATGTGAAGCTAGCACTTGAGGGCAAGAATCATGCCTCCTATTGCTTTGTTTTCCTCAGAGAGATGACAACAGGGCTGGGCCTAAATTCCAATACTTAGTGACTAAAGGCAGTTACATGGATTCCCTGTTAGAAGATCATGTTTCTTAATCTGGCCTTGACACATGCTATTCATTAAGCAATCAATGAATTGCTTAAAATTCTCAATGTGCTGTAGTAGCCTATTCATTTTCTCAACCAGTCACTAGTTTTAAAGGTTTTGACTTAAACTAGGACTTGAGTTTGACTCCACACATGATGATCAGCTGCCTCAAAGTCATAATTCAACTTATTTATCAAATGAGGATCCACAGGTAGATTTCAGTTTATGAAGGGACAAGGAAAGGAGATTCAAAATTCAAATTACATTGCACTCCTCTACATTTCTAACCTTTTAGTGATATTTTCCCTGGGGAAGTAAAGGTGGTGCAATAATTTGGGAGGCACCTATTAGCCCTCACCTTAGGCATGTGAACACCTGATTACTTTCATGCCAGATCAGAGAATACCATAATGCTTATTAAAAATGCTGATTTTTTATTAGTCAGCATTACAATGCTGCTGAGTGGTATGAATTTGGTAACTTACCCGTTAATGGATATGCATTTACTGATGACTGTGGACTGTTTTAGTACAGTATTTCATGTACATATTTTAGCCACATTCTTTTGGACTCCGACGTTTTGAAATTTATTTTCTTCATTCTTCAGTTTAAAAATAAATATTAAACAAATAAGTGGTTCTCCAGCCAGGAAACATGCGTATGCCTCACCTGTATTAAACAGACGAAACGAATATAGAGATTTGGTCAGTCTGTAATTGATGAATAAAAGGTGCTTAACACTTGAGGGGTAAAATACACATTTATAATTGCATAATGCAGATGCAGAATTTGAGCTAATTAGCATTTTAAAGTTTTACTTATCTGAAACTCTTGTTAAATAAAGTCAGCAGAATAATGATTTTGATAAACTTCTATACAGTCTATATGTTCTCATCAGGACTAAAAATACTATAATTTTTCAAAAGGAATTTAGTGAGCCATTTTTTAAAATAATAAAGATGTCTATTTTTCATCCATAAATGTTGTTCTTAATGTTAATCACTATAAGTACAAATTCATGGAAGTCTTTGATGAACATCTGCTTGGAAAAAAAAATCTGCTAAGTACCAAATATTTGTAAAACATTCAAGCCCACACAGACATACACAGACATGCACAAACACCCCCCAAAGAAAGGTTTTGGTTTATACTCTGAGATCTAAATGGAGAAATGATTATGTAATAAAAAAACCAGTTAGGCACCAAGTGTGCAGAAGTGATTGAATTAAATTACACATCTAAATGCCTTATATTAAGTTAAATATTTAGAATCTGGTATCTTTGCAAACCCACACTCTTTATATACCAAAGCAAATAATGAAAACACAGAGGTCTCTACTGACTCATTTGTTTCCGTTTTCTTGAAAGAAATTAACAATGGATGATTTTGTTCATGATAGAAACAATTTAGCTATATTTTTTGTTAATATTGTATTCATGTGGGTGAAGTGGCAAAAGTAGTAAAACAAAACAAAAAAAAAGATGAAAAGCCAATTTCTTTCTTCATCCTTTTCCTGTATCTATTGTGTAATATCAGGAAGAAAAGACAACGCATGTGTTTTAGTCCATTTTCAAGCTGCTGATAAAGACATATCTGAGACTGGGCAATTTACAAAAGAAAAAGGTTTAATTGAACTCACAGTTTGATGTGGCTGGGAAGGCCTCACAATCATGGCAGAGGCAAGGAGGAGTAAGTCACAAGTTATGTGGATGGCAAAAAGAGCTTGTGCAAGGAAACTCCCCCTTATAGTACTGTCAGATCTTGTAAGACTTATTGGCTATCATGAGAACAGCACAGGAAGGACTCACCCCTATAATACAATCATCTCCCAGCAGGTACCTCCCACAATAGATGGGAATTATGGGAGCTACAAGATGAGATTTGAGTGTGAACACAGAGCCAAACCATATCATTCCACCCCTGGCCCCTCCCAAATCTCATATCTTCACATTTCAAAACCAATCAAGCCTTCCCAACAGTCCCCCAAAGTCTTAACTCATTTCAGCATTCACCCAAAAGTCCAAGTCCAAACCTTCATCTGAGACAAGGCAAGACCCTTCCACCTATGAGCTTGCAAAATCAAAAGCAAGCTGGTTTCTTCCTAGATAAAATGGGGGTTCAGGCCTTGGGTAAATACAGCCATTCCAAATAGGAGAAATTGGCTGAAACAAAGGGGCTGCAGACCCCAGTGCAAGTCCGAAATCCAGCAGGAAAGTCAAATCTTAAAGTTTCAAAATGATCTCCTTTGACTCCATGTCACATGTCCAGGTCATGCTGATCTAAGAGGTGGGTTCCCATGGTCTTGGGCAGCTCTGCCCCGTGACTTTACAGGTTATAGTCTCCCTCCCAGCTGTTTTCATGGGCTGGAGTTGAGTGTCTGCAGTTTTACAGGTGTAAGCTGTTGCACGGTACAAGCTGTTGGTGGATCTGCCATTCTGGTCTGGAGGACTGTGGCCCTTTTCTCACAGCTTTGCTAGGTGGGGTCCCAATAAGGACTCTGTGTGAGGGATCTGACCCCACATCTCCCTTCCACACTGGCCTGAAGGGCCCCACCCCTGCAGCAAACTTCTGCCTGGACATCCACGTATTTCCATTCATCATCTGAAATCTAGGAGGAGGTTGCCAAACTTCAATTCATGACTTCTGTGCACCTGCAGGCTCACCACAATGTGGAAGCTGCCAAGGCTTGGGGCTTCCACCCTCTGAAGCAACAGCCTGAGATGTACCTTGGCCCCTTTTAGTCACAGCTGGAGTGGCCAGGACACAGGGTAGCAAGTCCCTAGGCTGCACACAGGATGGAGACCCTGGGCCCAGCCCATGAAACCATTTTTTTTTCCCTAGGCTTCTGGGCCTATGATGGGAGAGGTTGCTGTGAGGACCTCTGACATACCCTGGAGACATTTTCCCCATTGTCTTGGGGATTAACATTTGGCACCTCATTATTTACACAAATTTCTGCAGCTGGCTTGAATTTATCCTTAGAAAATGGGATTTTCTTTTCTATTGCATTGTCAGGCTGTAAATTTTCCTAACTTATATGCTCTGTTTCCCTTTTGAAACTGAATGCCTATAACAGCACCAAAGTAATCTCTTGAATGCCTTGCCACTTAGAAATTTCTTCCACCAGATACCCTAAATCATCTTTCTCAAATTCTAAGTTCCACAAATATCTAGGACAGGGGCAAAATGCCACCAGTCTCTTTGCTAAAACGTAACAAGAGTCACCTTTACTCCAGTTCCCTACAAGTTCCTCATCTCCATCTGAGACCACCTCAGCCTGGACCTTATTGTTCATGTCACTATCAGCATTTTTGCCAAAGCCATTCAACAAGTCTCTAGGAAGTTCTAAACTTTCCCACATTTTCCTGCCTTCTTCTGAGCCTTCCAAACTGTTCCAACCTCTGCCTGTTACCCAGTTCCAAAGTCGCTTCCACATTTTCAGGTATCTTTTCAGCAAAGCCCCACTCTACTGGTGCCAATTTACTGTATTAGTCCATCTTCATGCTGCTGATAAAGACATACCTGAGACTGAGCAATTTACAAAAGAAAGAGATTTAATTGGACTCACAATTCCATGTGGCTGGGGAGGCCTCACAATCATGGAAGAAGGCAAGGAGGAGCAAGTCACAACTTACGTGGATGGTAGCAGGCAAAAAGAGCTTGTGCAAGGAAATTACCCCTTATAGTACCGTCAGATCTTGTGAGACTTATTCACTATCATAAGAACAGCACAGGAAAGACCTGCCCCCATAATTCAATCATCTCCCACCAGGTACCTTCCACTACATGTGGGAATTATGGGAGCTACAAGATGAGATTTGGATGAGGACACAGAGTCAAACCATATCAGCATGCTTTACATTTTTTAAAGCATTTTTATATACATTTAAAAATTTTTTTCTTACAGTGACCTATGGAATTTGTATTGTTTTCCCCATTTACTAGAGATGAAGTGAACAATAATCAGAAAGCCTCAATGACTTTCCCAAGTTTTTACACTCCTTTAAATCAATGGTAAAAGATATTATATCAAGTACATATATGTAGCTGCTGTGTAACAGGGAAAGGAAGGTAACACATCTTAATTTCTCTGTCATAAGAGACACAGTACCATTTGAATTTCAGATCAAAGCCTGGCTACCTTATCATTGTTAATACTTCTCACTTGTGAAATATCTTGAGATGAGCAAAGCCATTCACTGAGATTCACTAACAGTCCTGAAATATTTGGAAATAAACTGGCTGCTGTAGTTCTCATGAACTAGTAATTGCTGTGATCACTCCTAAATTAAAGTCTAGGAAACTCCAGTAGCTAAGATAAAAGCTCATTCATGCTTACTGCCAAATAGTCTCTTCAGTCTCAAGAGTTGGCACGAAGCTGGCAGTACTGTCACACAAAGTGGTTTTTAATAAATGTTGATTCCTAACATCATGGTGGTTATAAATGTTAATAAACTTCCTACAAGGGAAGTAGAAGTGGAAAGTTTTGTTTGTTAAACGCTTTATCACTCTACTTGGTTAGCATGGACAATTACCCCAGTTCCCTGAGGCACGTAGTCCCTGAGTGTTTAGCAGTTAATGAATATAAATAGTAGCAAGCCAGCAATTTTTAAAACCATAAATAATTGTTCCTCTGAAAGCTCATGCTAATGGAAAAAATGTTTAAAAAAACTGACGTAGCAAAAAAATTACTTATTAACTAAGGCCAAAATTGAAGTTCAAAATCTTAGTAACTTGTACCATCTTAGGACACTGTGAATCTATTCAATTAATTCACAGACAGAGCTTTATAAATGTCCATTTTAAGCAATTGTCTTTCTTATATCTACAGTATTTATTCATTATATAATCCCCTATAAAACAGACAGACTACTGTTATTGCTTAGCAACAGTATAATGTCCACTGATGCTCAATTTTATCTCAACTGATAACCCTTCTTTACAACTTTTTTGAATTAGCGATATTCCATTAAAAATACAATTTGCGTAGTAAATCAAACAACAGAGAAATTAATAAAGAAGAGCTAATATCAGTTGACCCTGAATAACACAGGTTTGAATTGTGCAGGTTTGCTTATATGTGAATTGTTTTCAATAAAGGTTATACTGAGTGTGCCTACCTCTTCTCCTCCTCTTTCCCTTCTTCCACCTCTGTTACCCCTGAGACAGCAAGACCAACTCTTCCTCTTCCTCCACAGCCTACTCAATGTGAAGACAGTAAGAATGATGACCTTTATGATTATCCACTTCCATTTAATAAATAGTAAATATATTTTATTTCTTATGATTTTCTTAATATCATTTTCTTTTCTCTAGTTTTCTTGTAAGAAAACAGTATATGCATCTTAATTTCCCTGTCATAAGATGCAAAATACCATTTGACTTTCAGATCAAAGCCTGACCACTTTATCATATTGTCAATACTTCTCACTTCTGAAATACCTTGAGGTGAGCAAAGCCATTTGCCAAGATTCCCAAGCAGTCCTGAAATATTTGGGAATAAACTGGCTGCTTTAGCTCTCTCATGAACTAGGAATTGCTGTGATCACTCCTAAATTAAACTTAGGTAACTCCAGTAGCTAAGAACAAACAAAACATACAAACATGTTCATTAACTGTTTTATTGATAAGGCTTCTGCCAACAGTAGGCTATTAGTAGTTAAGTTTTGGGGGAGTCAGAAGTTATATGTGGATTTTTGACTATGCAGAGGGCAGTGGTCTTAATCCCTGAGTTGCTCAAGGGTCATCCATATTTTCCTTTTTCCTCTCCATCAATAAATGTAGTCATTGGCTTACCACTGTTCATTACGAATTAATGTGTCAAAGTATGTAAGAGATATTCAAATAACATGTTAACTCAGGATTTTAATGATATCCTAATAGTCGCTGGAGAAATGGCAGCTATCAGCAAAATATACAAAACGGGGACAATAGTAAAAATGACAATTCTTGTAGAATTTTTTAATTTGCTGATTAAGTTCATTTGCTGAAATATGTGTACTAGATTTTTATATGCGTTATTATGCCACCAAAAAACAGACTTTAAAATTGTTATTCCCATAGAAATGGGATTATAAAAGAATGCAATATTTTGGCAAAATCTGTACAAAGTTGGAGGAGACATCAAGCTAGAATTTCCTAGTTGCTTTTTTAAAATAAAATCCTTTTATTTCAGAAGAGTTGTAGATTTACATAAAAGTTACAAAGATAGTATACAGAGTTTCCACATCCAGTTTTCCTAATAGTTAACATCTTACATAAACACCACAGTACATTCATCACAACAAACCAACATTGGTATATTACTGTTAACTAAACTCTAGACTGTTTTTGGATTCCACCAGTTTTTCTCTAATATTCTTTTTCTGTTGCAAGATCCCATCCACAGTACCACATCACATTTGGATATCATGCCTCCTTAGTCTTCTCTGGTCTGTGATTGTTTTTCCTTGTTTTTGATGACCTTGACAGGCTTGAGAAGCACTGGGCACATGTTTGGTAGAATGATCTTCATTCTGTGTTTATCAGATGCTTTTCTTTTTTTTTTTTTTTTTTTTTTTTGAGACTGTCTTGCTCTATCGTCCAGGCTGGAGTGCAGTGGCACAATCTGGGCTCACTGCAAGCTCTGCCTCTCGGGTTCAAGCCATTCTTCTGACTCAGCCTCCCGAGTAGCTGGGACTACAGGTGCCCACCACCACACCCTACTAATTTTTGTTATTTGTAGTGGAGATGGGGTTTCACCGTGTCAGCCAGGATGGTCACAATCTCCTGACATCGTGATCGGCCCGCCTTGGCCTCCCAAAGTGCTGAGATTACAGGCATGAGCCACCCTGCCTAGCCCTGTCAGATGCTTTTCTTATTCTTAGACTGTGGCTATTGGTCTGGGGAAGAATGTCACATCAGAGAAGTGGCATTCTCATCATATCATATCAAGGGTACGTAGTATCAAAATTATATCACTGGGAAAGTTAACTTTGATCACTTCATTAAGATAGTGACTGCCAATTTTCTGCACCGCAAAGTAACTTTTCACCCCTTCCTATACTCTATTCTGTGGAATCAACTCACTAAATCCAGCCTGTACTCAAGAAGAAAGGGAGGATTCAGTGTTTTGTGAAAAAATGTTTGCTCAATTTTCCTGTAGTAAGCATAGGCAATAGAAATCAAGCTATTACTCTTTCTTTCCAGTTATAAAGTTGGAATTTATTTCCTCTAATCTGATGAGATTTTTTTAATCTGTTGCCTGCTATAGAAGAGAAAGGTTTTGACTCAAGGGAGGAAGTTAGGAATGGAAGAAAGGGAAAGAGGAAAGGGACATTGGGGAAAAAAGGTGAGATATCAGAGTTGAACACTTAGTTAGTATATATTAGACATTATTCTGGGTACAAAGGGTAGAGAGTGACAAGATAAGTTGCAGAGGTCACCTGCTTTTATGAAGAAACAACTCTTAGGAAAAAGAAAACTAGGACTACAGAAATGGAGAATAAACAAGTAAACAAATCAATAAGTTAGATGATTTTGATAGAAGTAAGACTGAAAAATACTGTGGATAATAAAGCAGAGGTGGGTGTAGAAAGAGCCTACTTTATGTTGGCTGACTGAAACTCCGATAATAAGGGCCTAGTTTGAGTTGTTGTGGGTGCTTTGGTTTGTTTGTGTTTTAATTTCTGGATGTTGCTGTTCTTGTATTCTCCACTTCTCTGTGCTATGGCACAAGTCCTGAAAAAGAAGAGTAATATAAGCAATATAAATCCTAAAGTGAATTCTAGCCAAAAAGCTTCTCAATCTAATTTTAATTTATATTCACCAATATCTCTCTAATATTATGTTATTTATATATTTAATATTGGACGATATTGGCACAGTTGCACAGATATGAAATGTAAACCTCAGTATGTTGAAGATGCTTTTTTAAGAGAGTAACTTAGTAATTAGTAAGTGTGACCCATTACAAATATAAAATTAACTTATCATATAAAAGTTAAAAATTAGAGGTCTACTCTTGCCTATAGAAAAAAATTTAATTTAACTAGTCTTCTAAAAATCCTGTAAACAAAACCTGTAGAGTTAGTTTTCATCATTAATGTACACCATTTACTTTTCTTGAAATTAAAATAACCTACTGTAATTACTATTTAATCATGTAAATATTAACAATTTTATCACATAATTACTATCTTAACTGCTATTAACTAGTCTTATAGCCTATTTTTAGGAATGTTTCTACCCTAAAAGGAAATATGAAAAAAAATACAAATTTTTATAAATGATAAGGAAACCAATTCATAATCTTTGATTTCAACAACAAAAAAAGACTTGGTATCCCTTGGCCAACTTTTCAGTTAGTAAATGTGTAGAATTGAGCTATGCACATTTCATTCCATTTGTTACCAGCTCTTTCATAAAAACTGTAGGAAAATTACAAGCTATCCATTGATACAATTTTGTTGAAGTGGGCATGGCTGACTAATAACAACTGCTCACTAACTTGCTTAGCTGATTTTGGGCTGTTCTCCTGCCCTCAGGTAACCGGCACACCTACATATTCTATCAGAAGCTCATTTTGGATTGTCCTAACAAGCTTCTCTAAACCTAAAGTAAACCAAATGAGGTAGCAACATTAGTCTTTGTCATCAAAGGATGCATCACTAATACCACCTAGACCTGGCTACTCCCTCCTATCCACCCTCTTTTTGTTCTCTCTTTTTAACCAGCCAGGGGTGGACATCTGGCACAAATGACAGACAATTCAATTAAATTTCATTTGGCAAAGGTTGCCCCTACTCTTTGCCAGATACTGTGCAAGGCACAGCAGTAATCAAACAAGTCTTGCCCTTGCATATGTTGTTTAGAGGAGACAGATAAGTAAAAGGACAATTTCAAAACATTACTATGAGTGTAAAATAACAGGTGTTATATGGTTTACATTGAAAGTTTTTAAAACCAGCTTTATACAGTCACAGAAAACTGCCCAGAGAAGATAAAATTCAAATAGTGACCTTAAAGTAAACAGAATTTAACTAGCATAAATCACCATTGTCTTCTATGTTGCTAAATCTGATTTTCCATTCTCAATCTTCATCTGATTTGAACTATCAGAAGCCTTGACAGTTGCTTGCTTCCACATCTTTGTAAAGCTTTCTTCACTTGAATTCTGGAACATCATACTTTTCTGGCTTTCCTGCTATCTCTCTCACTCAGTCTCCTTTGCTTGGACTCCTTTGTTCTTCAGATACTCTCAAGAATATTGGAGTACCTCTGGGCTCAATTCTTGAACTATTTCTCTTTTCTCTCTACTCTCAATCCCTTCATTTACATCCAGTTTTATGGTCTTAGATGTCATCTATGTGCTGATGATTTCCAAATTTATATTTCCAGCTTGATTGTCTCCTCTAAATCCAGAAGTTTCTACTGAACAGCCTACTTAAACTCTCCACCTGAGTTACTAATAGACATCATGAGCCGAACATATTAAAATAAATTTCTAACACTTACTCCTAAAATCTCTTTACGTAGTCTTTCCTGATGTCAGTTAATGGCAACTTGGCACTTTCAATTACTCAGGACAAAAACCTTGATGTAGTCTTTGATTCCTCTCTTTCTCTTTCAACTCAATGAATGCATTAACAAATCATATAGACGCTTTCTTAAAATATATCCAAAATGCAATCACTTGCTACAAACATTACTGCAACAACCCCGACTCAAACCACCTTCATGTTTTGTCTACATTATTTTAATAACTTTATTTGTCTGATCACTTTTGTCCTTCCTTGTCATCAGTCTAGTAATGACAAAGAAGCCAGGTCATGTTATGCTTTTGTTTCAGTACCACCTCCCCCACAATCTCTGTGGCTTCCCATTTCATCAAGAGGAAAGCCCAAGATTATGAAGGCTTTGTGCTATGACTATACCTTACTGCTGTGACCTAAGCTCCTTCTTGTCTCTCCCCTTTGCTCACTCTGCTCCAGCCATAGTGGTCTCTGCACTGCTCCTGGAATTTGTTGACAAGATCAAATAATTGATTTAGTTATGAGTACATGACGAAGAGATGGAATTAGGATAACACCTAAACTTGCAGCTTAGGCCACTCAGGGAATGGTAATGTATTCACTGAGAAAGAGAGTATGGATGGGATATTGACTTTGGAATTGCTAAAAGGAGAAAGAATGAGCCAAGTTTTTAAAATGTTAAATTTTAGTTGCCTCTGAGACACCTAAACAAATACAACAATCATTTTCTATGTGGGTTTGGAGTTCAGGAGGGAGAACTGCATTGCACATTTACATCTGGGAGTTATGAGTATGTTGTAATTAAAACCATAAAACTTGAGCTAACGGGGGAGTGGACCTAGCAATGGAGCAGTTATAAGCCAATGATGGGGACAATACTTAATGCACATTCAAATGTGACAACGAAGGAGTCAAATACATATAAAAGAAAACCCAGTGAGTGAGAAGTATTAGTTTGGATGCTTTTAGTTGAAAATAAAATAAAAGAATATACAACCTGGCATGGTGGTTCACATCTGTAATCCCAGCATTTTGGGAGGCCGAGGCCGGTGAATCACTTGAGCCCGAGAGTTTGAGACCAGCCTGGGCAACATGGTGAAACCATGTCTTTACAAAAAAAAAAATACAAAAATTAGCTGGGCATGATGGGACATGTCTGATTTCAGCCACTTAGAGGAGCTGGGTGGCAGAATCAGTTGAACCTGAGAGGTCAAGGCTGCAGTGAGCTGTGATCATGCCACTGCACTGCAGCCAGGGAGACAGAGCTAGACTTTGTCTCAAAAATAAAAGAATAGACTACTAAAAATAGCTTTAAAGGTAAGGATTTATTATTCACAAGACAAGTTACCGGGAAGTAGTCAGTTCAATGGCTCAATGAGGTCTCTAGAGCACAGATTCTTTCCCTTGTTCTATACTTCACTTTACTGGGTTTTGTTCTTAGGTGTATTTATTTTTTTCCTGCACCAGGAAAAACATAAACATTTTTCCTGCACCAGGCTCAATGCTTCAGAAAAATCAACTTATTTAAACCTCATCATAACCCTCTTAAAGCGTTACTATTGTTATCATCCTTATTCCCAGCTTACAGATGGGGAAATGTCAGCACAGAGAGATTAAGTAATTTACTCAAGTCATAAGAAAGCCTACCAGGGAACTGGAACTTGAACATCAGAGTCTAGAGTTCATGCTCTTAATCACTATGTTATACTGCTTCTTCTTTTTACTTATAAGATGGCTATCAGAGTTTTAGACATCACTTCCTCGTACAACTCATTTAAGGACTAAGACAGTTTGCCACAGCCCTCTAACTGAGCTCTCTCTGTGCCTTATTAGTGAGAAGTACATCATATGTCCTCCCCTAAAGCAGTTACTCACAGTGGAAACTGGGTTTACTTTCCTGGAATGCAGTGCCACCTGATACTTGAAAAAACTCTGGGTTAATTATAAAAGAAGAAGTAGATGTTGATAAGGAGATGCTGTTATAATGGAAACCTAGAGAAGACTGCTTCAAAGAGAAGGGAATAATACAAAATGTTAAATGTTATCATGAGGTTAAGTAAGATAAAGCTAAAAAATATTAATTGGATTAAGTGTCAAGAAGATCATTGGCAATCTTTTTGACAGTTTCTTTAGAGTTTGGGGTTAGATCAGCTCAGTGTGCTTTGATAAGTGTTACAGATGGAGAGAGAATAAAACTACTCTTTGAAGTGGAGGAAAAAGCAAAAGATTACAGTAGATAAATAGCGCTATGGAGTCGAGAGGGATTTTCTTATTTTAGAAGAAAAATTGGACTTCAGTGAATCTAAATGTTGAGAGAAGAGAATTAGGAGCAGGAAACTGGAGAAGTAAGCTCCTTCTTAGGAAAGAGAGGCTGGGATCTGAAGTGAAAGTAGAGGAAGTAAAAGTCAGTTACTTATCCCCTCCACTGATGGGATGGAAAGTATATAGGTTTAAGATATTTCATAAATATAAGATCAGAATTTGAGGTGACTCCTATCTAATGACAACCCTTGCATCCAGTCAGCAGTATTCAAGGTAGCAAGACTTTACCCACACTTGGCCCAGAAGCTCAATATTGTAACAGTCTGTTGAGACTACTCATCAAAATGCCCACAGCGTTTATAAGACTGGTCTTAGTTGAATGTAGCATCTGAGATCTCAGCAATGGCCTTCTCACAGCTAACTCCACAGACATATTCATTTATAGCTGAATATAAAGATAAATATTTTGCTAATTTCCCTTTTTTTTGTATTGCGTCACATGTTCCTGAATGGATTTCGATTCTCTCAAAAGTAGCATTTATATTTGTCATCTCCTAATACAAGACTATGTCATAGTGGATGGCCAATGACTAATAACATCAAGGGATGGGTGACAGTGATAATGATAGTCCATTAATTACTCTCATTATATACATATATATGATATATATATCATATACATAAAATATATAAGGGTCATTATATATATATATACACACAGAGAGAGAGAGAGAGAGAGAGAGAGAGACAGAGACAGAGACAGAGAGAGAAAGAGGAGACAGAGTTTCGCTGTGTTGCCCAGGCTGATCTCAAACTCCTGGGCTCAAGAGATCCACCTGCATTGGCCTCCCAAAGTGCTGGGACTATAGGAGTGAGCCATCACACCCTGCCAAACTCTCATATCTTTAACAATTCTGGCTTTTCCAGGTCAAGTTGAATTTTATAAATTAATTTTACATGTACAATAAATATTAATAAATTCCTGCTGGCCAGTAGCCATAAAATCTGTGATTTAATGGGATTTACATTCTAGACAAAACTGGGCAGTGTCCGAATTGGAAAAGGTATTCTGAAATGATAGATCACCCAGGTGTAGCGCATATCTCTGAGTCAGCTAAGGGTGCCAATCTGAATCATCATCAACCAAAAGTCTATGCCCAGGTAGAAACAACAGTCTCTACACAACTAGAATAGGTGGGAGTGGAGGATGGGTGAAGCATACAAGTAAAATTTCTCCTTATTTAAAACCAATCATACTTTATAAAAATTCACTGAGCAATTAATTGACACAGGCCCTCTCATGTCTTAAATTTAATTTTAGTCTAACAGTTGAAGATGAAGCTTATTGTTTTATTTTACCGACAGGTATGTCACTTCTAATTCTAGAGCAGGCAGGAAGCATGACATTCATTCATTCACTTACTCATTCACTCATGCCTGGTTGATTCAGCAGATATTTACTGAACACCAATTTTACATCAGGAACCAGGAATTCAGGCAAATATGGACATGAAGTTTGTCTTCAAGTACGTCACAATCCAGTGTATCATCTCACAGTCCAGTTGTGAATGATTTTAATTGGACAGTGGTCACCTAATTAATAATTTCTACTTAAAAGGTTAATTGCTCTGAGCTTATGTAATTAATGAAATTCTTCCTTTTTTTTCTTATCTTTATGTAAAAGGCAGCTGAAAAAAAAAGGAAAATGTAGAATACTGGTCTTAAAAAGGGGTGCTGCTCTTTCAATGATTGTGTAATTAATCAAAAACATTTACATACCTTTAAAAAAATGCAGAAACCAGTGGGAATTGTACACATGAGTTATTTCAGTTATGTGGCAAATATCTTAAAAATAAGATGCTTAATGAACAGTAAAAATATAAAAATGAAGCAAGTATTCAATGAATGATTCTGGCAGACCCAAACATAAAAAGCAATTGTACATTATCTTAATACTCTGGCCTATTTCTGTAAAATTTTTCAAAAATCTCATAAATATAAAGAATGCTATTTCAGTAAATTCATTCAGTGAAACCAAATGCATTTATTTGACATCTTGTTTTCTAAGTAAATTAAAACTAATTTGAATATTTTTGGTACTTCTGAAATTCAAGTAACTTAATACTTTCTATGGTTACTAGGAACTGTAGCTAATTATCTATGTATTAAAAAAACAATTAACCAGGGTAATGATGTTCCTCCTATGTCCTCATTTATTTACATGAAAGTGCCAGTACCTTACAATCTTTTTAATTTATTTTCCTTATTCATTTGTTTAAACAATATTACTGAGCATTAAATATATACAAGTCAATATCCTAGTCCAATGTAAAGAGGAGTAAGAGATGATTTGTTTTCAACAAGCTTGTAATTTAACAGAGGCAATAAGTTAGGCAGCCACATTGCCACAAAATCCAAATAGAATATCTGAGAAGTCAGTAGAGAGATTTAATGTATGACATGAGTTGAGGGGAGGGAGGATCTCTACTGAGGGTAAAGTAGGAAACACAGAAGGCTCTAAGGAGGTGGTGGTATTTAGCTTGCCCTTGAGCTTGATATTGGCAGGGGTGGATGAAGGGACATTGCAAGCTGAGGAAAAAGATGGGAAAAGACAAAGTGCTCCAGTTTGTCTGGAGTATAACATAAAATAGAAGATTTGGAAGATCAGCCTGGGCCAAAGAACTGATTACTAAGTAATAGAATTTTGAGTGGAGGTAATAGAAAAGGAATAATTGAGACAAAATCCTCCCAAATTTAATCAAGAAAAACAATAGGTATCTAGGAATTAAAGAAACACAGCATCTCTAATTGGCTAATGTCAAAACACCCTTCCCCCTGGCTTTTCATCCTATAAAGCGGAAGACTGCAGAGACACTCACTAATCATCCAAGAGATGCTCCTTAAGGTGTGGTTGGGAGGGGCTATCAGAAGTCTCCTCTTTTTCTTACCAGAAATACATTCATACTAAAATTATTCTAAATCATGCAAAGTCTACATGACAGGACTCATCTCAATGATTCAGCATATGAGTCATGGCAACTCATGATCAGTGTTTTTCATTGCAAATAATCTAATATTTCCATCAATACAGGATATCCCACAGAATGGTACAGGCATACTTCACTTTATTTTGCTTCACAGATACTGCAGTTTTTGCAAATTAAAGGTGGCTGCAATCCTATAGCAAGCAAGTCTATCGGCACCATCTTTTCAAAAAGCACATGCTCACTTTGTGTCTCTGATTCACAATTTGGAAATTCTTGCAATATTTCACAATTTTTCATTATTTTCATTATTATTATTAAGATATTATAATTATTATTCCATTATTATCATCCACTATTTTCATTATCTGTTCTGGTAATCTGTGATCAATGATCTTTGACGGTACTATTGTAATTGTTTGGGGGCACCATGAGCCACTCCCATATAAGATTACAAACTTAATCAATAAGCATTATATGTGTCCTGACTACTTCACCAACCAGTCATTCCCCAATCTCTCTCACTCTCCTTGGGCCTCCCTTTCCCAGAGACACAACAATATTGAAATCAGGGCAATTAACAACCCTACAATTATCTGTAAGTGTTCAAATGAGAGAAAGAATCACATGTCTCTCACTGTAAATCAAAAGCTAAAAATTAAGCTTAGTGAGGAAGGCATGTCGAAAGCTGAGGTAGGCTCAAAGCTAGGCCTCTTGTACCAAGTAGTCAAATCATGAATCAAAAGGAAAAGTTCTTGAAGGAAATTAAAAGTGCTACTCCAGTGAATACATGAATGATATGAAAGTGAAACATTATTGTTTATATGGAGAAAGTTTGAGTGGTCTGGATAGAAGATCAAACCAGCCACAACATTCCCTTAAACCAAAGCCTAATCCTAAGTAAGGCTCTGGCTGTCTTCAATCCTATGAACGCTGAGAGAGGTGAGGAAGCTGCAGAAGAAAAGTTGGCTGATGAGGTTTAAGGAAAGAAACTGTCTCCATAACATAAAGAGGAAAGTAAAGCAACAAGTGCTGATTTAGAAGCTGCAACAAATGCTGATTTAGAAGCTGCAGCAAGTTATCTAGAAGATCTAGCTAAGATAATTGATGAAGGTGGCCACATTAACAACAGATTTTCAATGTAGGTAAAACAGTCTTACATTGGAAAAAGATGTCATCTAGGATTTTCATGGCTGGAAAGGAGAAGTCAGCACCTGGCTTCAAAGCTTCTAAGGACAGGTTGACTCTCTTGCCAGGGGATAATGCAGCTAATGACACAATATGAAGCCAATGCTCCTTTTACCACTCCAAAAATCTTAGGGCCCTTAAGAATTATGCTAAATCTACTCTACCTGTGCTCTATCAATGGAACAACAAAACCTGGATGACAGCACATCTGTTTACAGCATGTTTTACTGAACATTTTATGTCTGCTTAAGAGACCTAATTCCCAGAAAAAAATTCTTTTCAAAATATTTCTTCTCATTGACAATGCATCTTATCACTCATGAGCTCTGATGGAGATGTACAAGGAAATTAATGCTTTCATGCCTGTTAATACAACATCCATTTTGTAGCCCATGGATTAAGGAGTAATTCTGAATTTTCATTTCTTATTATTTAAGAAATACAGTTTGTAAGGCTATAGCTGCCATAGCTAGTGATTCCACTGATGGATCTAGGCAAAGTACATTGAAGACCTTCTAGAAAGGACTCATCATTCTAGATGCCATTAAGAACATCCATTATTCATGAGAGGAGGTCAAAATATCAACACTAACAGGAGTTTGGAAGAAGTTGATTCCAACCTTCATGGCTTATTTGAGGGGTTCAAGACTTCAGTGGAGGGAGTAGCTGCAGATGTGGTAGAACTAGCAAGAGAACTAGCATTAGATGTAGAGCTTAAAGATGTGACTGAATTACTGCAATCTCATGATCAAACTTGAATGGATAAGGAGTTACTTTTTATGGATAAGAAAAGAACGTGGTTTCTTGAGATGGAACCTACTCCTGGTGAAGATCCTGTAAATTTTGTTGAAATGACAACAAAGAATTTATGATATTACATAAATTTATTTTATAAAGCAGCACCAGTGTTTGAGAGGACTGACTCCAATTTTGAAAGAAGTTTTACTGCGGGTACAATGCTAACAAACAGTATTGCATGCTACAGAGAAGGCTTTCATGAAAGGAAAAGTCCACCGATGCAGTGAACATTCTTATTTTCTTATTTTAAGAAATTGCCTCAGCTACTTCAGTCTTCAGCTACCACCACTCTCATCACTCAGCAGCCATCAACATTGAGGCAAGACCCTCCACCAGCAAAAAGGTTATGACTTATCAAAGGCTCAGGTGATCATTAACACTTTTTAGCAATACTGTATTTTAAATGAAGGAATGAACATTTTTAGAAATAATGCTATTACACACTTAACAGACTACAGTATAGTGTAAATGTATCTTTTTATGGACTGAGGAAATTTTTTTAAATTGTGTGACTGATTTAATCGCTATATTCACTTTATTGCAGTGGTCATCTTCTCCCAAATGTTAGGTCTCTGCATCTCCAATGCCTTGTTATTTTTCTCATGTTGTTAAGCAGATAATTTAAAAACATTTTGACCATGCTTTCTCATTCTCAGTGAAAAGACTGATTCTGTTTCCTAGTCCACCATTACTGGAAGTGAACGTCCTATCTAGAATTTTAATTTTTCTTCACCCATTCACGAGGCTGCCTCTCATTAGTCTAGAGTTTTCGAAGGAATGGAGAGATAGCTGGGGCAAAAGGTAGGAAAAGTCGTACTTAACTGACACCAATATTATCTGCTATTGGTTTCTTCTGTGTGATGCCAATGTTAAAACTGTCTCATTTTCTCTTGAGCACTCTAGTGGGCTTATCCTAGGGTCTCCTGCCTGGCCCCATGCACTGTCCCTCCCTGGATTTAGGCAACACTCTTCACTGACGATGTGTGAGCCCCCTCTGCATCCAAAGCTTCATTTTAGGATCTTTATGCTGAGGCTGCCTGGCTTCTTACAAGAAGCCTTCTTCAATGGAATCTTTTCCAAAACAATTCCAGGACAAAGTTCCTACTTCATATTCCATATCTGATTCCTAAAACATCATACGTCTTTGAGCCATCCTCAGAGGGATGATTTCCAAACACTTTTCCCCAGCTCCTCCACCATGGAATGCTTTAGCCAGCTTCTGGCCTTTTTCTTTATTCATGAATGAGTCAGACATGGCTATGTCCCTTTAATCCAGGGTCCCACTCAAAGCACTCTGAGTGATCTTTAGAAATCCTTTCTCCATAGGCTCACGGTGAAGGGAAAGAGCCTTCATACCATTGCCTTGGCAAGGGTAGGCTTCATAGTGCAACAATTTTCCTTATAGAAGAAGCCCTTAGTTTCTAGCAACTCCAAGCCTCTTCACTTTCAACCATTTTGTGTTTGAATGGGAGTAGGGGCTAAGAAGAGCAAAACTACTTTATATCACTTATTTTGAAAACTGGCAAGAAAAGAAATCAACTTCTCATTTTGGAATGCAGGGCTAGTTTGCCCCTATTGCTTGAGGTCTCAGACAAAATGGAGACATACTGAGTCCCAATGTAATAGCGCCTTCAAAAGGGACAAGCATGAGGAGACATAACATTTCTGGGTTACCTACTCTATGCCATCTCCTATACTATGTACTTTAGAGTACATATTTTTTTCATCTTCTTCTCCCAACCTTATGAAGCTACACTAATCACTGATTGAAAATTCCTATTAAATTAACCTGTATTTTCATCTTAACATTGGATAAAACAAGATTTTTTAATATAGCAAGAAAAGGTTCTAAAATTAAGAAACATAGTGAGTTAAGAAAATGTGCTTTATGTATTCGACTTAGAGAAATAGGATAATTATCAAACTTCTTCAAATTTTTCCATAAACTGGAAATAAATTTTCTGTCTGCATTCTCGTCTGTTGTGTAATGGGTAAATTACATGAAATAATATTTGTCTTTGTTTTTCTTCTTTGTTTCATGTAATCACAGTGCCCTTTTAATTTCTCTTCTAACCTCCACTCCCATGAATTCGCTGGTTTGTTCCTCATTACCATATTCTGCATAAACAGTACAGATCTCTGGTTGATTTCCCAGCCCTAGTAGTGTCCTCTTTTACTTGTCCATAAACACTGCTAGGAAACTAATCTTCACAGCACACTGTTTTCATTGTATCACTCTTTAATCCAAAAAAATTACCAAGCCATCCTACTGGTAGTTATATTTCCTGGGAAAAGTAGTTAAGGCCAAGACTACTAAACCTTGACTTGCAAAAATGAATGATGCCACAGCTAAATCTTCAAGAAACATATAGTCAAAAAAATCCATTCTATTATTTATTTTTAGCTCAAGTCCTTGGCTCCAAGCCCCAATCTAGTTCTACCCTACTGCCTACTGAACTTCTGTTTAGCCTAGACTACCTCAGGTATATACAGTATTTTTCTTGGCCTCTGTTTCAGTTCCTTCCCAGTTTTGTATGAAAGTGAATGATTAATCTGAAGAGGAACCTACCCATAGCTGCCTTAAAAAGATGAATTCCAAGAGATGAAAGTGCAAGAGAAATATATGGGGGAAAGATCCCAGCCCAGTCCTCTATACAATTCCTTTACTAACCCTGCTAAAAGCCCCAGACCAGGGGGCTGCTGGCAAGATGGTCGAATAGGAACAGCTCCGGTCTGCAGCTCCCAGCAAGATCAATGCAGAAGGCTGCATTTCCAACTGAGGTACCTGGTTCATCTCATTGGGACTGGTTAGACAGTGGGCTCAGCCCACAGAGGGCAAGCAGAAGCAGGGTGGGGCATCACCTCACCCAGGAAGCACAAGGGGTCGGGGAACTCCCTCTCCTAGCCAAGGGAAGCCATGAGGGACTGTGCCATGAGGAATGGTGCATTCCCACCCAGATACAATGATTTTCCCATGGTCTTCTCAACCTGCAGACCAGGAGTTTCTTTTCATATCCCATTGGCACCTGGAATGCCAGCAAGACAGAACTGTTCACTCCCCTGGAAACGGGGCTGAAGCCAGGGAGCCGAGTGGTCTAGCTCAGTGGATCCCAAACACACGGAGCCCAGCAAGCTAAGATCCACTGGTTTGAAATTCTCGCTGCCAGCACAGCAGTCTGAAGTCAACCTGGGACACTCCAGCTTGGTGGGGGAAGGGGGCATCCACCATTACTGAGGCTTGATTAGGCAGTTTTCCCCCCACAGCGTAAACAAAGCCGCCGCCTGGAAGTTCGAACTGGGCGGAGCCCACCGCACCTTGGCAAAGCTGCTGTAGCCAGACTGCCTCTCTAGATTCCTCCTCTCTGGGCAGGGCATTTCTGAAAGAAAGGCAGCAGCCCCAGTCAGGAGCTTATAGATAAAACTCCCATCTCCCTGGGACAGAGCACCTGGGGGAAGGGATGGCTGTGGGCACAGCTTCAGCAGACTTAAATGTTCCTGGCTGCCAGCTCTGAAGAGAACAGTGGATCTCCCAGCACAGCATTCAAGCTCTGCTAAGGGACAGACTACCTCCTCAAGTGAGCCCCTGATCCCCGTGCCTCCTGACTGGGGGACACCTCCCAGCAGGGGTCGACAGACACCTCATACAGGAGAGCTCCGGCTGGCACCTGGCAGGTGCCCCTCAGGAACAAACCTTCCAGAGGAAGGAACAGGCAGCAATCTTTGCTGTTCTGCAGCCTCCGCTGGTAATACCCAGGCAAACAGGGTCTGGAGTGAACCTCCAACAAACGCCAGTAGACCTACAGCAGAGGGACCTGAAAACTAACAAACAGAAAGGAAGAGCATCAACATCAACAAAAAGGACATCCACACCAAAACCCCATCCAGAGGTCACCAACATCAAAGATCAAAGGTAGATAAATCCACGAAGATGGGGAGAAACAAGTCCAAAAAGGCTAAAAATTGCAAAAACCAGAATGCCTCTTCTCCTCCAAAGGATCACAACTCCTCGCCAGCAAGGAACAAAACTGGACAGAGAATGAGTTTGACAATCTGACGGAAGTAGGCTTCAGAAGGTGGGTAATAACAAACTCCTCCGAGCTAAAGGAGCGTGTTCTAAGCCAGTGCAAGGAAGCTAAGAGCCTTGAAAAAACGTTAGAGGAATTGCTAACTACAATAACCAGTTTAAAGAAGAACATAAATGACCTGATGGAGCTGAAAAACACAGCACGAGAACTTCATGAAGCATACACAAGTATCAATAGCCAAATCGATCAAGCAGAAGAAATGATATCAGAGCTTGAAGATGAACTTAATGAAATAAAGCATGAAGACAACATTAGGGAAAAGAGAATGAAAAGGAATGCACAAAGTCTCCAAGAAATATGGGACAATGTGAAAAGACCAAACCTATGTTTTATTGGTGTACCTGAAAGTGATGGGGAGAATGGAACCAAGTTGGAAAATGCTCTTCAGGATATTATCAAGGAGAACTTCTCCAAACTAGCAAGACAAGTCAACATTCAAGTTCAGAAAATATGGAGAACACTATAAAGATACCCTTAGAGAATAGCAACCCCAAGACTCATAATAGTCAGATTCACCAAGATTGAAATGAAGGAAAAAATGTTAAGGGAAGCCAGAGAGAAAGGTTGGGTTACCCACAAAGGGAAGCCCATCAGACTAGCAGCGGATCTCTCTGCAGAAACCCTATAAGCCAGAAGAGAGTGGGGGCCAATATTCGACATTCTTCTTTTTTTTTTTTTGAGACAGAGTCTCACTCTGTCACCCAGCCTGAAGTGCAGTGGCCTGATCTCAGCTCACTGCAAGCTCTGCCTCCCAGGCTCACACCATTCTCCTGCCTCAGCCTCCTGAGTAGCTGGGACTACAGGTGCCCACCACCATGCCCAGCTAATTTTTTGTATTTTTAGTAGAGACAGGGTTTCGCCATGTTAGCCAGGCTGGTCTCAAACTCCTGACCTCGGGGTCCGCCCACCTCAGCCTCCCAAAGTGCTGGGATTACAGGTGTGAGCCACCATGCCTGGCCTAACATTCTTAAAGAAAATAATTTTCAACCCAGAATCTCATATCCAGCCAAACTAAGTTTTATAACCAAAGAAGAAAAAAAATCCTTTACAGACAAGCAAATACTGAGAGATTTTTGTCACCACCAGGCCTGCCTTACAAGAGCTCCGGAAGGAAGCACTAAAGATAGAAAGGAACAACTGGTACCAGCAACTGCAAAAACATACCAAGCTGTAAAGACCATTGATGCTATGAAGAAACTGCATCAAATAACAGCCAAAATAACCAGCAAGCATCATAATGACAGGATCGAGTTCACACTTAAAATTATTAACCTTAAATGTAAATGGGCTAAGTGCCCCAATTAAAAGACACAGACTGATCTCATTCTCACTTCTATGTGAAATCTAAAATAGTCCCACTCATGGAAACAAAGAACAGAAAGGTGGTTAGCAGGGGTCAAAGGGGAGGGGGAAATGGAAAGATGTTGGTCAGATGGTACAAACTTTCAGTTATAAGATGAATAGCTTCTAGGGAACTAATGCAATGGATGAAGACTATATTTTGTAATAACGTATCATATACTTGAAATATGCTAAGAGGAGATTTTACGTTTTCTGACCACATACACACACACAGACATACAAAGATAACTATGTGAGGTGATGGATATGTTAATTAACTTGATTGTGGTAATTATTTCACAATGTATACATATGTTGAGACATCATGTTGTATACCTTAAATATATTTAATTTTTATTTGTCAATTTTACCTCAATAAAGCTGGAAAAAGGTAAAACAAAAAAAAAAGACACAGACTGGCAAATTGGATAAAGAGTCAAGACCCATCTGTGTGCTGTATTCAGGAGACCCATCTCATGTGCAAAGACACACATAGGCTCAAAATAAAGGTATGGAGGAATATTTAGTAAGCAGATGGAAAGCAAAAATAAAGTAGGGGTTGCAATCCTAGTCTCTGATGAAACAGACTTTAAACCAACAAAGATCAAAAGAGACAAATAAGGGGATTACATAATAGTAAAAGGATAAATGCAACAAGAAGAGCTAACTCTTTGAAATATACATGTACCCAATACACGAGCACTGAGATTCATACAGCAAATTCTTAGAGACCTACAAAGAGACTTAGACTCCCACACAATAATAATGGGAGACTTTAACACCCCACTGTCAATATTAGGCAGATCAACAAGATAGAAAATTAACAAGGATATTCAGGACTTGAACTCAGCTCTGGACCAAGCAGACCTAATAGACATCTACAGAACTCTCCACCCCAAATCAATAGAATATACATTCTTCTCAGCACCCCATTGCACTTATTCTTAAATTTACCACATAATTGAAAGTAAAACACTCCTCAGAAAATGCAAAAGAATGGAAATCATAACAAACAGTCTCTCAGACCACAGTGCAATCAAATTAGAACTTAGGAATAAGAAACTCACTCAAAACCACAAAACTATATGGAAACTGAACAACCTGCTCCTGAATGACTACTGGGTAAATAACAAAATTAAGGCAGAAATAAACAAGTTCTTTGAAACAATGAGAACAAAGACACGACATACCAGAATCTCTGGGACACAGCTAAAGCAGTGTTTAGAGGGAAATTTATAGCACTAAATGCCCACAAGAGAAAGCGGGAAAGATCTAAAATCAACACCCTAACATCACAATTAAAAGAACTAGAGAATCAACAGCAAACAAATTCAAAAGCTAGCAGAAGACAAGAAATAATCAAGAAAGATCAGAGCAGAACTGAAGGAGATAGAGACATGAAAAACCCTTGAAAAAAAATCAGTGAATCCAGGAGATGTTTTTTTTTCTTGAAAAGATCAACAAAATAGATAGACAGCTAATCAGACTAATAAAGAAGAAAAGAGAGAAGAATCAAATAGACACAATGAAAAATGATAAAGGGGATATCACCACTGATCCCACAGAAATACAAACTACCATCAGAGAATACTATAAACACCTCTATGCAAATAAACTATAAAATCTAGAAGAAATCATTAAATTCCAGGACATATACAGCCTCCCAAGTCTAAACCAGGAAGAAGTCGAATCCCTGAATAGACAAAAAACAAGTTCTGTAATTTAGGCAGTAATTAATAGCCTACCAGCCAAAAAAGGCCAAGGCCAGAGAGATTCACAGCTGAATTCTACCAGAGGTACAAAGAGGAGCTGTTAACATTCCTTCTGAAACTATTCCAAACAACAGAAAAGAGGGAATCCTCCCTAACTCATTTTATGAGGCCAGCATCATCCTGATACCAAAACCTGGCAGAGACACAACAGAAAAAGAAATTTCAGGTGAATATCTCTGATGAACATCAGTGCGAAAATCCTCAATAAAATACTGGCAAACAAAATCCAGCAGCACATCAAAAAGCTTATCCAACACAATCAACTCAGCTTCATCCCTGGGATGCAAGACTGGTTCAACATATGCAAATCAATAAACATAATCCATCACAGAAAAAGAACCAATAAGAAAAACCACATGATTATCTCAATAGATGCAGAAAAGGCCTATGACAAAATTCAACACCCATTCATGCTAAAAACTCCCAATAAACTAGGTATTGATGGAATGTATCTCAAAATAATAAGAGCTATTTATGACAAACACACAGCCAATATCATGCTGAATAGGCAAAAACTGGAAGCATTCCCCTTGAAAACCGGCACAAGACAAGGATGCCCTCTCTCACCACTCCTATGCAACATAGTATTGGAAGTTCTGGCCAGGGCAATCAGTCAAGAAAAAGAAATAAAAGTTATTCAAATAGGATAAGAGGAAGTCAAATTGTCTCTGTTTGCAAATGACATAATTGTATATTTAGAAAACCCCATCATCTCAGCCCAAAATCTCCTTAAGCTGATAAGCAACTTCAGTAAAATCTCAGGATGAAAAATCAATGTGCAAAAATCACAAGCATTCCTATACACCAATAATAGAGAGCCAAATCATGAGTGAACTCCCATTCACAACTGCCACAAAGAGAATGAAATACCTAGGAATACAACTTACAAGGGATGTGAAGGACTTCTTCAAGGAGAAATACAAACCACTGCTCAAGGAAATAAGAGAGGACACAAACAAACGGAAAAACATTCCATGCTCATGGATAGGAAGAATAAATACTGTGAAAAATGGCCATACTGCCCAAAGTAATTTATAGAATCAATGCTATCCATTGACTTTCCATTAAGCTACCATTGACTTTCTTCACAGAATTAGAAAAAAACTACTTTAAATTTCATATGGAACCAAAAAAGAACCCGCACAGCCAAGACAATCCTAAGCAAAAAGAACAAAGCTGGAGGCATTATGCTACCTGACTTCAAACTATACTACAAGGCTACAGTAACCAAAACAGCATGGTACTGGTACCAAAACAGAGATATAGACCAATGGAACAGAACAGAAGCCTCAGAAATAATACCGCACATCTACAACCATCTGATCTTTGACAATCCTGACAAAAACAAGCAATGGGGAAAGGATTCTCTATTTAATAAATGGTGCTGGGAAAACTGGCTAACCATATGCAGAAAACTGAAACTGGACCCCTTCCTTGCACCTTATACAAAAATTAACTCAAGATGGATTAAAAACTTAAATATAAGACTTAAAACCATAAAAACCCTAGGAGAAAACCTAGGCAATACCATTCAGGACATAGGCATGGACAAAGACTTCATGACTAAAACACCAAAAGCAATGGCAACAAAAGCCAAAATTGACAAATGGGATCTAATTAAACTAAAGTACTTCTGAACAGCAAAAGAAACTATCATCAGAGTGAACAGGCAACCTACAGAATGGGAGAAAATTTTTGCCATCTATGCATCTGACAAAGGGATAATATCCAGAATCTACAAGGAACTTAAACAAATTTACAAGAGAAAAACAAAAAAAAGCCCATTAAAAAGTGGGCAAAGGATATGAACAGACACTTCTCAAAAGAAGACATTTATGCAGCCAACAAACATGAAAAAAAAGCTCATCATCACTGGTCATTAGAGAAATGCAAATCAAAACCACAATGAGATACCATCTCACGCCAGTTAGAATGGCGATCATTAAAAAGTCAGGAAACAAGAGATGCTGGAGAGGATGTGGAGAAATAGGAACCCCTTTACACTATTGGTGTGTAAATTAGTTCTAGCATTGTGAAAGACGGTGTGGCAATTCCTCAAAGATCTAGAACCAGAAATACCATTTGACATTATGCCATTACTGAGAATAAACACAAAGGATTATAAATCACTCTACTATAAAGACACATGCACACGTATGTTTATTGCAGCACTGTTCACAATAGCAAAGACTTGGAACCAACCCAAATGCCCATCAATGATAGACTGGATAAAGAAAATGTGGGACATATATACCGTGGAATACTATGCAGCCATAAAAAGGATGGGTTCATGTCCTTTGCAGGGACGTGGATGAAACTGGAAACCATTATTCTCAGCAAACTAACACAGGAACAGAAAACCAAACACCGCATGTTCTCACTCATAAGTGGGAGCTGAAAAATGAGAACACATGGACACAGAGAGGGGAACTTCACACACCAGGGCCTGTTGGAGGGTGGGGAAATAGGGGAGGGATAGCATTAGGAGACATACCTAATGTAGATGACGGGTTGATGGGTGCAGCGAACCACCATGGCATGTGTATACCTGTGTAACAAACCTGTATGTTCTGCACACGTATCCCAGAACTTAAAGTACAATAAAAAAAATTTTTAAAAAGGAAATAATCATATAAACTGGAACTCTCACTCTTTTAGCCAGCCCATTAATTAGTACACAATGAATCTTCAGTTTGTACCGCTCCATCAGGGAAGTCTCTCCATGTTTTGTTAAAAGTGTGGTTGGCCTGGAAAAGATTAATACCTTTCATTTATTGAACAGCTTATAGTTGGGGTGTTCACATTCCATTAGCTCATTTTATACCATAATGATTTTTTGAATTAAGCAGGAAAGTGGGAACATTACTTTCATTTTATTTAAAAAAAAAAAAAAAAAAGAGGAGCTCAGAAAAATCAGGCAGACTTCCCAAAGTTCATCTGGCAAGGTAGTAGTTAAAATGATGTTAGAATAGTGGTTTTATATGCTCTTCTTGCTACACCGCAATATACTCGAATGTTCTTTTTCACCTTAACATGACAATGACAGTCACTCTCTTAAACCAAAAATGATGACTAGAACAAGAATTTAGGGCCAGAAGCAACCATAGTAGATTCAGGCTTGTGTCTTATTGGAGTTTAAACTTCCAACTAGAATTAATATTTTGGTTAGTAATAAAGCTATAACCCAAACTCCAGCCTGTTACTAGATGATTTTCAGCCTTTGGGATATGTCCCATTCCAATCAAGCTGTTCCTTTTCCTGTCTTGAAATGTGCTAACCATATTTAAACATTTAGCTACAACGACTTCAACCAGATGCTAAATTAAATGGAAAAATTTGGGAATTTGATATTTCCCTTTCCCAAATGTCTAATTTTGTACCCTTGCTACACTTCTTACACTTACAATTCACTTCATTTTGTACTTCACCTTTGTTGTTGTTGCCAGTTTAATCACACAATGTTTTACTTCCATGCTATCAATTAAACATTTTTTTCTCAGAAAAAAAAAAAAAGCCCAGACCTAGAAGAGGGTTATGTTTCCATGAGCTCCCCCTAGAGGTTGGAGTGCTCATTAACACTAGTTAGCTACCAAAACAAATTCACAATCCACATTGTATTCAGAATAGACCACGTTCATCCAACATCATTTGCTTGTAATTCAGTAATAAAACACGAACAGATGACATAAGAAATTAAAAAGTGTCATAGCATTTAGAGAAAGGTTTGGCTGGTTGTTTCATTCATTCATTCATTCCATAAATACCTTGGGCTGGAACATAAATTTTACCTTTTAATTTTAGCATAGTTCTCTTTCCAATAGGTACAAATTATAGGGCCTAGAAGAAATAAAGGGCACATTCGGTCAGTATTTGGAAAGAGAAGAGTACCAAAGAAAAGTCTCTTTAAACAACAAAGACTCAGTTTGCCTGTTTCTTTCATTAATTTAACCGTTCAACGTTGTTGAGTGCTCATTATGTGTCAGAATGCATTTGATATGGGAATTGAACAGTGAACAAGGTATGACATCTGCCCTTATGAAGTTTTCAATTCAATGATTGCTGACAGGTCAGGTCACAAAAATAAAGTCACATGAAAGAATGTCAGTGGAGAAATAAGAGCAGAAAGCAAAATGGGATAAGTATTCTAGCAGAATGTGACATATGAGTCAAATTTTAAAGGACACATAAATTTGGGTTAGGTGGGGGCAGCAGGAAAGAAAGTTGGATAATGTCAAATAAAACTATCAGAGATGTATCATAGACCAATGAATAAACTGGAAATTTACATTTTGACTTCAATAAAACGTTTATTGCAGAATTTTTTAACGTAAGAGGAGAGGCAACACTTACAAATGCCTGGAGGCCTAAATGGCCCAAATTTTCCTCAGGGGCCCAAAAAGGTGATTTAAAATGAATAGAAACTCAGAGGACTGATGCTTAGAAGGGATGGGGTGCTTTAATGATAGAATTCTGTCTAAATTATTATTAGAAACACCTTTAATTATTGCAATACTGTCTTAAGGGCCTCAAAAAAAAACTCAACTAAATTCATTTTATACAATAAGTATACAATAGACAAGTTTTTTTCCACCAGCCCAACATCATCTTGTGTTTGAGAAAACAAAGATCCAGAGAAGTTAAGTAAATGAAGTTACACAGAAATTTGTGACAGGGGCATGTAAGTGAGATACAATTCACTGCTGCATGTACTATACCAGAATGAAAAAATCAAAACATCATATGTGGGCAATTACACAGAACTACATTGAAACCATTTGCTTTCCACAATCTGTTATTAAAGTTTGTCTTAATCCATAAACTGTTATTAAGAACTTCTAGAACATGTCGGTATAACAATAAATTTTTGACTGAGATTATTAAAAGCATGCAATTTTATTAATCAAATGATTTTTTTAAAAATCCATTTCCTAAGATTTGGAATTTTCCACTTTCCATGTTCTCCCTATGTTCAAATAAGAAAGGAAAAATACAGATTAGTTGAAAAACCTCTTCGCAGAGGTACCACATTACCATTCAAAATGTGTAAAGTTGAGCTTCTTTCATTTGAAGCTAATATTTGTGAATTACACATTCAATGAAGATTTATTGAGCACTCACTATGTGTACGGATTGTACCAAAGGCTAAGGATAAAACAGCGAAAACAAACATAAAACAAAACAAAACAGAAATAGATCTTGCTCTAGTGGCAAAAAGTGTAGTGAATAGCATGTAAGAACAGCATGTTTTCAAAACTGTTTATTTCAAACAGTATGTTTTCAAAATTATTTATTTCAATATTTTAGTGGCTTTTATTGAAATCAAATTACAGACTCAGATTCTATAATTCCAAACAGATTAGTTCTACATTTTTGCTCTCAAGGCATTGACTTTTTGACAATCTGATGACTGTAAAATGGTATGGCATTGGGTTTGTAATTTGCATATACCTGATAACTAAAGAGTTAGAGCATTTTCTTTCACGTATATATGGGCCATTTGTATTTCTTTTGTGAAATGTCTATTTATTTTGCCTGTATGTTTATTGAGTTATCGATCTTGGTTATATTTAGGAATTGTTATATATTGTGGATATTAATCTTTTGCTATCATTTGAATTTTGAGTAAGACACAAATGGCTCAGAGGCTTGATTTTGCCTGTGTCCCTTAGTGAATCTGCTCTCACATATATGTTAGCCAAAGCTGCTCTCACTTTTGTATGCTCAAATCTGTTTCCTGCAACTCCAATCCCTACCCCACCCAAAACTCCTGCCCTGAATTTGCAACTTTTCACTAAGGGTCATTCATCCTGTTCCAGAAGTTCTGAAACTACTTCAAATCCACCATTACATTTATATAGCCCCAACACTTAGAAGAGTATCTGACACGCTGTGGTTTTGTAATGGTTTAGATGACACCTTCTTGCTATTCCTTCACATGGTGGAAGGTCAAGGGGATCTCTTGAGCTTCTTTAATAAGGGCATTAATCCCAATCATGAGGGCTCTGCCTCATGACCTAATCACCTGCCAAAGACCCCAACTCCAAATACTATCACATTGGAAATCTGATTTCAACTTATGAATTTGGAGCAGGGGAACATAAACATTTAGACCATAGCTATGGGAAAATAAAACAAACATGAGTACAAATGAAGGCAAGAATCAGGGTTGTATGGAAATTGGAGCTTAAAGAGATGATATACAAATTACTATAACATTTCACCAGAGCAAAACTTTTTGCTTCGGAGTGTCTCTTGAAGTTTCTATTTCACGCATTTACCTACACTGGTCTTAAAGATTCTGGCTTCAGAATATGGAACATGCTACTTCCTCCCATTCTTTACTCCTCAGTACCAAACCGACTAAGTCAAATAGTATTTGAGAACAAAGAACATGTATTTCCATCCTTGGACTTCCTATTATGCATCAGGTATTTTTCATGCATCATCACATTTAATACTAAAAACATTACTTTATAAGAAGGCTCATTTTGCAAAAACAAAAATAAAAAGGAATTATAAATTGACAGTTAATTATTTCATAAGATTATGGTGAAGAATTTAAATGAGTAAACTAAGGCTAAAAAAGGAGAAGCTACTTGTCCAAAGTGACCAACTCGTGACCTGGTGGAGCCAAGATTTAAAGCCAGGAAAATGTTAAACAATTACAACATATGGTTGTATTTGGCACTAATCCATTCTAAATGTAATCTACTCCTAACCTTGTCCCCCAAGTTTTTTTTAACTAAACATGGATAAATACCTGAGACTGGGTAATTTATAAAGAAGAGAGGTATAATTGGCTCATGGTACTGTAGGCTGTACATGCATGGTGCCAGCAACTGCTTGGCTTCTGGGAGACCTCAGGGAGCTTTTACTCACAGCAGAAGGCAAAGTGGGAGCCAGTGTCTTCCGAGGCAAGAGAGAGAGCAAGAGGTGGGGGAGGTGCCACACACATATGAACCATGAGATCTCCCGAAAACTCACTATCAGGAGGACAGCTCCATGACATGAAGGATCTGGCCCCATGACCCAAACACTTCCCACCATGCCTCACCTCCAACATTGGGGATTAAAATTCAACATGAGATTTGGTGGGGACATATATTCAAACTATATCACTGAACTATATCACTATATCACTTCTCTCCTCAGAGTATTGGGACGCTGAGAGATTGCCCACTTGTTGAATTAAAGACTTATTTTTTGCTTTCTGATTATTCAATAAATCGCTAGGCAGCCAGGGTTTTCAAACATAGCATTCCTTTGAGTTCTCCCTTACTATCCACTCCCCATCCATAAAAACCTGGGCTAGAGTGTTTCAAAAATGTGTTGCTGTTTTCCTGAAAAAGCTGTGTTTTGATGCATTACACTTTGGACACCATACCATGTCTAAAAATTGAATTTTATATCAGTGCTTCTAGGAGAAGCACAGTGTCTCCCTACCCCATAGTTGACATATACCACAATAAAACTCACGCTAATCCTCAGACACAATGGAAATGCTTGTTTAAATTAATTTTATTAATATCATGTAAGAAATTGCAAGGAAGATGTATTTTCTTAGACATTGAATAGTCTAAGAAGTTAGGATCTAGAGTGGTGAGCATTTGATAAATATTGCATAGTGAAGCTAATGAAAGTCTAATAAGAGTCTAAATGTTTTATAGTCAATCATAATCTTTTTTTTTTTTTTTTTGAAATGGAGTCTCGCTGTGTCATCCAGGCTGGAGTGCAGTGGTGTGATCTCGGTTCACTGCAACCTCCACCTCCCGGGTTTAAGCGATTCTCCTGTCTCAGCTTCTCGAGTAGCTGGTATTACAGGCATGTGCCACCATGCCTGGCTAATTTTTTTGTATTTTTAGTAGAGATGGAGTTTCACCACATTGGCCAGGCTGGTCTCGAACTCCTGACCTCATGACCCACCTGCCTCGGCCTCCCAAAGTGCTGGGATTACAGGTGTGAGCCACCATGCCCGGCCCCATAATCTTTTAATGTAAACTTAAGTCACAACAGGGAAAATGTCCTTATTCAGCTTTACTATTCAATATTATATCCTTTAACAATCAGCATTTCAGTATATGTAAGATATTTTCCTTCATTCCTTTACCAGTCTCTTCTCTGTCATCATTTCTGATATAAAACTATATTTTTACATATAATTTTATCTTTAGATAAAAATTTTATTAAAATAACCAGATTCAGGCCGTTGAGCTGTGGTCGGGGGCTGGGGAATTCCAGCTGGTTTATTGCATTGAGTTCTCAAGGGAGGACAAACTAAGTCATAGGAAATTTGGTGCCTATCAGCTGAGTTAGATAAATCTTAAAAATCATATTTCAAATATTTTTCTCTTTTTTCTCTTTCTTTTTTGTTTTTTGAGACGGAGTTTCACTTTTCTCACCCAGGCTGGAATGCAATGGCCCGGTCTTGGCTCACTGCAACCTCAGCCTCCCAGGTTCAAATGATTCCCTGCCTCTAATCAGTTCTGTCCTCTAGACTTTGTAAGTAGATTGAGAACTTAAAGGAAATTTCTCAAAAAATTTCAACAGCTCTAAATTTTCCCATAAAGCATCTGGATTCTTGGGGATGGTAGCAACTGATCGGAAAAACAACTTTTTTATAGAGAACTCAAAACTTTGATTCTCTCTGTTGCTTATATCCATCAATTTTTAAAAATGCAATACTAATTTAACATAGAGACAAGACTATACACTTTAAATATTAAATACAGCCTAAAATGACCAGGTGATCTCTCTCCTCAAACCTTTAAGAAGCTTCTGAAAAATCTAAACCATCTGTGATTGCTAAACTCTGGTATTTTAATCTAACAAGTCAAGAAAGCTGGCAATTTTAATCAAGAATTCCCCTCCCTCAATTCCTCATAAATTTAGTATTAAATTTTGTTACTGGCTAACGCAAAATGTCTAGTATCCACTCCTTCCCAGCTCACTTCCTTCCCCATTCCTTATCTAGGAAGGATGTGGTTTCTCTCTATCTCAGGGGCAATTAATGTTTCCAGAAAGTATGCATCTATGTCTCATTATTTTAGCACACAACCGAAATTTTAAGTTTAAGGAAGACCTCTGGACATCCTAATATCTTAGTTTGTATTTAGTTGTCTAAAAAGAATGACACATGATGGTTAGTAAAAGTATACTTAAAGACTTATTTAACCAGCCTATTTCTAAAGCCCTAGGAAATGCTTACTGGTGAGAGAATGTTAAAACTGCCTGACAGCTAATTAAAGCGTGTGCACACACACACACACGTTTCTTTTATTGTACTAGAATAATGCCTGAATAAATGAAAACATAAATCAGGAGCCATATTACTTTGTATTTATAATTTACCTTAACGGTAATGCTTTACTCCTTATTTACCAAATGAAATGAATGAGAGGTAGCCATATATAGATTTCCATGATTTACAGAGCCATATAATATCAACTTATGTAGATGTAGCATTTCATATTACAGTCTCTCATTATCACTATAAACCTCATGAGAGCATTCCTGTAAAATCATGTGTTATCTATGTTTTTCAACTGAGTGAGCTAAGACTCAGACAAATTCATAGATTTGCCCAAAGCTGCAAAGCTAGTGTCAAGAGTGAGGCTCATTCCTGGTCTTTCACCCAGAATCTGGTGCTACTTATCCATAAAGAAAGCCCCATGTTCTCTACTGCCAGGATCAGACAGGTTCTTAGATATTATCCTAGAAACTACATGTGGTACAAAACTTGAGCAAGTTGCCAAAAATAAGTTTTTCAATTATTGGGGTGATGTTGCTACATAGAATAGTAAAGAAAATGAGCTTTGAGGTCTATCAACACTTGATTCTTTCCCTCTCTCCTGAACTGACTCACTCTGGGAACTTAGACAAATTATTTAACTTCCGTGTACCACAAAAACTTTACAAAATTATTGTGAGTAATAAAAGTAAAATACCTGGCTCCTCAGGGACACTCATTAATGGGAGTTATAAAAGGAGTGAAATGCCCCAGCAGAGGAGAAAACGTTTGGTGAATCAGCAGAACCGCCTGTGGAGCTTTGAAAATGCTGGTTTCTCTAAACTGGGTCTATAAGAAAGAAACCAGGCCAAGCACTTGATTACAACTTAATAACACGACACTACAAGATAGAAATTATTTTTCCCAAGTTAAAGAAAACAAGACTGACACTTGAAGAAATTAAAAATGATGGAGCCAGAATTAGAACATAAATCTCCCTAAATCTTTTCACTGCACACTTTATGTTTCTGCATATTCATGTTTGCTGCAACTATGACATATGTTGTCATTGAAGCTGGCTTCAAAGTTAATGTGATTATGGCAATGACGTACTTCTGAACCATAAAATTGTTGATTCTGATTAATGCCACATGAGATGAATAGAATGGAAATACACAGCATTGTGTAAATAGTTAGATTTTCTTTTCAAAGACCATGGTTGTTTACTTATTTCTCAAGACTGGACTTCTGAATATAGATCATTTGACTACAATGAATCATCTCTCCTAATAGTACTTACTATGGATGTCATCTTCAAGTAGGAGATTCTATAATTTAACTCCCTTTCAATGAAATCATATTTTATGTGCAAAGAAAGCTCATCCACACAATAACTAAAAATACGTAGTTGTAAATTTACATATAATTCATGTTTTCAGAATATCCATTATTTTGTAGAAAGTTTAACTGTTATGATGACATATTTGTAATATTAGGCTTCAGTATGATAGTCTAATATCTACATGAGTAGAACTCATGGTCATTTTCATTCATTCAATTATTCATTCAATCATTATATGGAGTATACACATTGTGTTAAGAATAAAACAGTGAATAAAATTATCAGGGTCCTCCTTACGAAGCTTTCATTCTAGTTAGAGAGATTGATGTTACTCAAGTAATCCCATAAGTAAGTGTAAAAATGCAACCATCTTAGGAACCATTAAGAAAACACATAGAGTGACATAAGAAGTCATAACTGGAAGATTTTTCTGATAAAGTGCACTATGAGTTCTGAACAATGAACAAACTTCATTAGGTAAAGAGTTATTAGTTAGTTAGGACTAATATGCAGGCAAAGAGAGGAGTCTGTGTAAATGCCCCATTCTAAGAACTAAAAGTACTAACTAGAAGACTAACAGAGAAAGAAAGCTGAGGTGGAAATTAAATGAGAACACACGATGCAAGCCTAGTAGGCTTAGGAAGAATTTTTTTCTTTATCCTAAGAGCATCTGCAGATGTGGAAGGATTGCAAGCCAGAGAATGACTTGTCAAATTTTTATTTTATTTTATTTTATTTTATTTGAAAAAGATCTACCAGACACAGTGGCTCACACTTGTAACCCCAGCACTTTGGGAGGCCGAGGCAGGCAGATCACGAGGTCAGGAGTTCAAGACCAGCCTGGCCAACACAATGAAACCCCGTCTCTACTAAAAAAAATATAAAAATTAGCTGGGCGTGGTGTCAGACACCTGTAATCCCAGCTACTTGGGAGGCTGAGGCAAGAGAATCTCTTGAACCTGGGAGGCAGAGTTTGCAGTGAGCCGAGATGGTGCCACTGCACTCCAGCCTGGGCCACAGAGCTAGACTCTATCTCAAAAAACAAAAAAGAAAAAAAGAAAAAGGAAAAGATCATTTTGGCTGCTTTGGGTAATAGATAGGAAGGAGACCAGAAGGCATATGTGAGAGTAGATTATGGTTTGAGCCAGGGTAGTGGTGGTAGGAAAAAATTACACAAATGCAAAAGATATTTAGGAAGTAAAATCACGAAAGAAGAATTGTGCTATAATTTGCTGAAAAGGGGGAACAAAGACAGGCAGATTTGGTGAGGTGAATAGGGAGAGGGCAGAGAGGGCTCAGATCATGAGTTCCATTTTGGATATGCCAAGTTTGAGGTGTCATTGAAACATCCAGGTGAAAACATAGGCCTTTAGATATTCAAGTTTGGAGCTCAGAGGAGAAGTCTAAGTAGAGATATGGGTATTTGAGCGATCTGCTGATAATTGAGTCTAGGGGAAGAGCACAAAAAGTGAGAAAAGAGGGGCTAAGATCACATTTGGAGGCAGTACAATATAGGACAGAGGAGGATGAACATAAAAAGATGAGTGGTAACAAATGCTCAGAGAAGAAAGAGAAAAGCCATGGAGGGTTATGTCAAAAAGTGAAGGGAAAAGGTAGTTTAAAAGAGGAAAAGATCGATCTCAACTTGTGCTGCCCAGAGGTTAAGTATCATGAGGTCTAAAAACGTGGCCAAACCTGTTGTATTGTTTTACTCCATTATATGTGCCTCTTGCATTTTATTATTTTAAATATTTATATACATATATTTAACTGCCAAAACATTTTATGGCTAACCAGGCATGTGAAACCTTTGTAAACAAAGGAATTTTTTGGTCCTGGGAGGCACCAAATAGATAATAAAGCCATGCTTCCTGATTATATTTCTCAGAGTAGGTAATTAATTGTTGTCACCAGGTACTGCTAACACACACACATGATCTTAGAATCACTCAATTGTAAAATGTCATGTGAAATCAAAAGCATTTTGGAAACCATGAAAATGAATTTCAAAATTTCTCAGAGCCAAGTGCATTTGTTAAAAAGTTAAGTAAAAGATGTTAAAAAGTTAAGTAAAAGATGTATAACCTCTGTTAGATCACAGAAACAAAACCTATCTATTTTCAATATGTAAAACACATATAAAACAAAGCAATTAAGAAAGACTAATAATGGGAGAACAGAGGCCGGGCGCTGTGGCTCACACCTGTAATCCCAGCACTTTGAGAGGCCAAGGCGGGCAGATCACCTGAGGTTAGGAGTTCGAGACCAGCCAGAATGGCCAACATGGTAAAACCCCGTCTCTACTAAAAATACAAAATTTAGCCGGGCGTGGTGGTGCGCACCTGTGGTCCCAGCTACTCTGGAGGATGAGGCAGGAGAATCACTTGAACCTGAGAGACAGAGATTGCAGTGAGCCAAGATCACGCCACTGCACTCCAGCCTGGGGGACAGAGTGAGACTCCATCTCAAAATAAATAAATTAATTAATTAAATTTAATTTAAAAAAAGAACAGGAAATGACACGATAGACAAATGCAAAGAAAAAGATATTTTCAGTCAAAATGGAATGCAAGACAAAAAAAGCATTAAATTTTAAAAAAGAAAAGTTTCTTATGATAGAAGCCAAGTATAAATAAAGATCCACTAAATGTGAATATTTATAATGAAATACAACTGTATTGAAAAGTATAAAGCAAAATTAAAACAAGTGTAATACAAGGATGAATATGCAGAAAACAATGTGAGGAAACTTCACTTATCTTACTATATCAGTTTGCTAGGGCTACTGTAACAAAGTACGACAAACTGAGTGGCTTAAACAAGAGAAATTTATTATGTCACAATTCTGGTGGTTAAAAGTCAAAAAAGATGTCGATAGGTTTATTCCTTCATATAGCTAGAAGGGAGAACCTGTTCCATGTCTATCTCCTAGCTAGTGGTGGTTTGCTAGAAATCTTTAGTATTCCTTGGCTTATAGCAGCATAATTCCAGCGTGTTCTTTCTGTGTCTACATTGCTTCTAAATTTTACCTTTTTGTAAGGAAATAGTCATTCTGAATTAGGGCCCACAATAGTGACCTCTTCTTAACTTGATCATCTGCAAAAACTCTATTCCCAAATAAGGTCGTATACATAGGCACTAGGGGTTATAATTTCAACATTTTTTTTTGGTAGGGGCAGGCACATAATTCAACCTATAACACTTACTCTAACTAATAATAAATAGGCTAAAAATATATAGGCACCATCTAATGTAACTAAATACAAAATACAACTTTTACAAATGATAATGGAGTATTTGTAAAAACTGACAAAAACCCAAGAGAAATGAAAACATATGTCCATAACTAGATTTATATAAAAATGTTTTCTAGCTAAATTCTTAATAAAAAAGCAAAACTGAAAATATCCAGGTGTGCATCATAGGAGAATAGATAAAGAAATTTGGCATATTCCTACAATGGAATACTTCCCCATAATAAGGAAGCAATTACTGATACATGCAACAACATGAATTAATCTCCAAAACATGCTCAGACTAAAAATGTCACACACAAAAAAAGCACATACTCTTAGATTCCATTTAGAGAACAGACAAACTAAACTATGGTGGAGAAGTATCAGAATAGTGTATGTCTCTGAGGGTGAGAGGTGGAGATTGACTGGGAAGAGGGCATGAGGGAACTTTCTAAAGGGATAGTACTATGACTTGAATACATGGATCCCTCCAAAATTCATATGTTAAAACTTAACTACTGAGATGGTAGTATTAGAAGGTGGTACCTTTAGGAAGTGATTAAGTGCCTTCAGGAGGTGATTAAGTCATAAGGGCAAGCAGTCAAAAACGGATATAATGACCTTGTAACAGAGACATGAGGGAGCTATTTGACTTTGTTTTGCACTTTTGCTTTAGCCACATGAGGACACAGCAACAAAGCACCATTTTCGGCGCTGAGAGCAACCCTCACCAGACAATGAATCTGCTGGCACCTTGATCTTGGAGTTCCCAGCCTCCAGAACTGTGAGGAATAAATTTCTGCTGCTTATGAATTACCCAGCCTAAGGTATTTTGTTATAGCAGCAGGAACAGACTAAGAGAGATGGTAACATTTCTATCTTAATATGGTGTGCGGTACACCAATATATGAATTTCTTAAACTTTAGCTAATGTATAATTTTAAGATTTTTGTATTTTAGTATATATAAATTTTACCTCAAAACAAGGAAAAAAAAACCCGAATAAGTACTGAATACTAGCTAATGATATACATGCTGAAGTATTTAGAGGAAAGTGCACTGATGTTTACAATTTACTTTAAAATGCATGAAAAAATAAGATGAATTAATGTATAGATAGATGTATGGCTAGATTGATTGATATGTGAAAAAGCACATATAGTAAAATGTTAATGGTAGAATCTCGAGGCTGGGTATATGGTGTTCTCTATAATATTCTGTCATCTTTGCTGTATGTTTAAATTTTTTCATAATAAAATGCTAGAAAAATAGACAAAATCAATAAATTATAAAGTTCAATAAATTATCAAACTGTTTATTGTACATTCTCTAATCCAAATGTAATAAAATTTATAAGTAATAATACAAACAACATAAACATTCTGGCCCACTAAAAAGAAATGTAGAAATAAGAAAAAAACTCTCAAATCAAAATTGCAAAAATTTAGAAAATAAAAATTATGTAAATATTACATACAAAAATCTTTGGAACACAAGAAAAAGAAATCAATTTCAAATACATGAATGTAAACACTCAATCCAAGGTAGAAAAAGACTAATAGGAAAAAATGAGGAAAGCAGAGAGAAGAAATCAATATGTTAAAAGCAGGAAATAATAACCATATCACAGGGAGTGTGATGGTTAATTTTATGTGTCAACTTGACTGGACTAAAAGATACCCAAATACCTGGTATTTCTAGGAGTGCCTTTGAGGGAGTGCGTTATTTCTTGGAGAGCCTTTGAGGGAGTTTCTGGAAGAGATTAACATTTGAATCAGTGATCTGAGTAAAGAAGATCCATCACCAGTGTGTGCGAACATGATTCAGTCTGTTTAGGGTCAAATAGAAAGGTGAAGGAAGTGCAAATTTTCTCTCTCTTCTTGAGCTGGGACAATTATCTTCTCCTACCCTATAAACATTGCAGCCCTTGTTTCACAGGTCAAAGGACTTTGAGACTTACACCAATCCTCTATTCCCTACTCCCTCTCTTCTCAGGTCTTACAACTGAATTACACCTCAGACTTTCCTGGGTTTCCAGTTTGCAGATGACATATCATGGGACTTTTCGACCTCCATAGTTGCATGAGCCAATTCTCATAATAAATTTTCTCTTCTGCCGGGCGCGATGGCCTGTAATCCCAGCACTTTGGGAAGCTGAGGCGGGCGGATCACGAGGTCAAAAGATCGAGACACGAGACAATCCTGGCCTATATGGTGAAACCCCGTCTCTACTAAAAATAACAAAAATTAGCTGGGCGAGGTGGTACGTGCCTATAGTCCCAGCTACTTGGCAGGCAGAAGCAGTAGAATCGCTTGAACCCCGGAGGCGGAGGTTGCAGTGAGTTGAGATCGCACCACTGCACTCCAGCCTGGCGACAGAACTTTATTTAAATAAATAAATAAATATTAAAAAATTAAAAAATTATCTTCTATTTATATATATTGTAGATAGTTACATACATAGTAATGGCTCTGTTTCTCTGAAAAACGCTAATTGGGGGAGGGCTCCTCCAATCGGATGTACCCACCCAAGACTATAAGACAGTGTTTCCAGAACCAGGATTCATGCCAAATAAATTCTGAAAACAAGCAGCAGAATTGGTTGCATTTATTTTGGATTTCCAGAGATAGCAAGGACAGCAGATGTGGTGGTACCATTGAGAGTCCATGTTCTTTGCATTGGCAGCACAAGCCACATCTGGAAATCAGCTGTGCCGTCTTCTTCTCCATGCTGTAGAGGGTCTTTGGAACATTGCTCTTGGGCATGTAGCCTCCTGGTTTAGTTCTGAGCATTCCAGGAGGTTCTGTGAGCCTCCCAAATACTTTCATGAATCTATTTTCCACTAATATCAGTCAGAATATGTTTTTATTTCTTCCAGATGAGAATCTGGACTGACATACAATAAAACGTAAATGAGCCTGGGTGTGGTGGCTCACACCTGTAATCCCAGCACTTTGGGAGGCAGAGGCAGGAGGATCATTTGAGATCAGGAATTCAAGACCAGCCTGACCAACACGGTGAAACCCCATCTCTACTAAAAATACAAAAATTAGTAACGTGTGATGGCGCATGGCTGTAATCTCAGCTACTCGGGAGGCTGAGTCAGGAGAATCCCTTGAACCTGGGAGGCAGAAGTTGCAGTGAGCCGAGATCACACCACTGTACTCCCGCCTAGGCGACAGAGTGAGACTCTGTCTCACAAAAAAAAAAAAAAAAAAAAAAAAAAAAAAAAGTAAATAAAGGCTGATGAATACATGTTTTAAAAATACAAACCCATCTTACATCTAAGTATCAATGTTAATATAAAAATCAGTTGGCCGGGCGCGGTGGTTCAAGCCTGTAATCCCAGCACTTTGGGAGGCCAAGGTGGGTGGATCATGAGGTCAGGAGATCGAGCCCATCCTGGCTAACACGGTGAAACCCCGTCTCTACTAAAAATACAAAAAATTAGCCAGGCATGGTGGCGGGCGCCTGTAGTCCCAGCTGCTCGGGAAGCTGAGGCAGGAGAATGGCGTGAACCAGGGAGGTAGAGCTTGCAGTGAACGGAGATCGCACCACTGCACTCCAGCCTGGGCGTCAGAGCGAGACTCCTTCTGGAAAAAAAAAAAAAAAATCAGTTAATAGAATACAGCAACTTCTTAGGAGAATACTTCACCATGACTCAGAGGGGTTTTCCCAAAGAAAGATTTTCAGTATTAGGACATCTGCTATAATTAATATAATTAAAAGGTCAAAATAAATAAGCCATTTAATCATTACTATAGATGCCAAAAAAAGTATTATAAAGTTTAATATTTATTAGTGATTCAAAAGAAACCTTTGTAAAACTGGAATGAGAGATTATTTCCAACATATAATATGTTTCTTCAAACTCAAATTGCATCATGCCTAATGGGGAAACTATATATTCTGACTAACATCAGGAACAAGATAAGCATCCCACAACTTTAATATTAGTTACTACAATTTTTTAAGAATTAAACAAAGTAAGTAGAAAAAAAGAAGAAATAAGTCACAAAAATTAAAGAACAAGAGAAAAAATGTCATTTATTTTAGATGGTATGATTGTATACCTGTAGGGGCTCAAAGGCATCAACTGATATTCAATTGTAAAGTTAAAAAATAATTAAGCTGGCTAGATACAAATTAATATAAAAAACATCATGGCTCTCCTACAATGACTTTCTTTACAACTAGTTAGGAAAATGTAGTAAAGATTTTATTTACAATAGCAACAGTAAAAAAAAAAATTAGGAATAAACGTAAAGGTGTAAGAATTATGTGATGAATAGCCAAAGAGAGATATTTTTAAGAGTTGAATAAATAACAATGCATACTTTTTTTAAATTTTCACTGCTATAGTTGTGTTTATTTCCCTTAATTTATTTTATAAATACAATGCAATCCCAATAAAAATACACTTTTTTTTTGAGACTGGGTCTTGCTCCCCTGCCCAGGCTGGATTGCAGTGGTGAGATACTGCAGCTTTGAGCTGCCTGGGCTCAGGTGATCCTCCTGCCTCAGCCTCCTGAGTAGCTGGTACCACAGCTTGCGCTACCACACCCAGCTAAATTTTATTTTTTGTAGAGACAGGGTCTCACCATATTGCCCAGGCTGGTCTTAAACTGCTAGACTTAAGCAATCCACCTGCCTCAGCCTCCCTAAGTGCTGGAATTACAGGCGTGAGCCACCGCACCTGTCCCAAATATGTTTTATGATGGAACAAGACACGGATTACAAAATTCATGTAGAAAATTAAAGAATACCAAGTCAATAAAGAAGTAATGAAGAAATAGCCCTATCAGATATTTAAATCTGCTATAAAGTATAGTAATTAAAGCAATGTGACATAAGTAATAGAAAGATCAGTAGAATAGAGGAGTCCAGAGAGAGACCTGAAGAGAGAGAGAGGACTTCATATATGATAAGGCAGCATTTTACAATAGTGAAAAATTATAAAGTATTCAAGAGATAATACTGGATAACTGTTTGCCTATTTGGAAAAGAACAAAACAAGCTGTATTCCTACCTAATTCCTTAGACCATGATATATTCCAACTGTATGAAGTGTTTAATGTAAATAAATGAAAAAGTTAAAGTTCTAGATGAAAGCCTGAGAGGATTTTGGGAGGAGGCCTTTCTTGATATTCAAAACATAGAAGCCATTAAAGAGTTTGATAAATGCATTAAAATAAAACATTCCTAAACAATGGCAATTATGTATATATAAATACATATACATAATAAATGTATAAGTATATAAATAGCTACACACACACATACATATATGTGTGCATCTATTTTGTGTGTGTAGAGAGAGAGAGAGAGAAAGAAGAGAGAGTAGTAATCATGTCAGAAAGGAAACACATTGGAAAGGAGTCTGGCAAGAGCTTACTCTGAGAAAGCTTGAGCCACTCAGGTGGCTAAATCCTGGGCAAGATAGAAAGGAAGATGGTGAAGCTCATTCTCTCTCATTCCCTTCTGCAGAGGAGCATGTTCCACCAGGGAGCTTGAATCATCACACTGTGAGAAGCAGGTACTGTAAGAGCTCTAGTAGAGCTGAGACCCATTCAAAGCCTCAAGCTCCAGTCCTGAATGTATAACCGCCAAGTCCTTGCTGAGTACAAATAGGAAGTATCTTAGCTTAGGATTATCAGGAAACAGCTTCTGAGATGGAGACTTTCACAATGGATGCTTATCAAAGAAGGAATGGTCTGGGAAACAACATCCGTAGTGGTGAAGGAAGTAGTATTGCATAGAAAGAGGTCATGAACTGCAGGAAACTCGTAGCAGCCAACCCTCTCAGCAGTTGAGAAAATCAGTTATTTAGTCTCAAAGGGCGATCAGGGCAGTTCTCTACAGCATCTACCACAGACAGCAAGAGTGCCCCAAACAAGCCTTGGCTAAAAACAGAGATGAACAAATGCATAAAAATTCTTTTCTAAACGCGCGCACGAGTGTGTGTGTGTGTGTGTGTGGTCATTAACGTCTGTTTAGTGTTTGGTCTTAGACTTGTATTTTGTTTACTGCTATATCCTTGTAGATACTTACATAGAACAAACCTTTAGACTCAGTATATGACCAATTAATAGACGTTGAATTAATAAATCCATAAATAAATGACAATTAAATTTTAATTATCTTAAAATATAAAGATTATTTCAACTATTTGGCCAATATCTGTCAATATTTTTAATGTATAAATCCTTTGGCTTTATAATTGCATATCTAGAAATTTTTCTATAGTGATATTCACATAGATGAGCAAAAAACGTGTGATAGAATATTGCTTGCTGCATTATTTATGATATTAAGACTATAAACAATATAAAGTCAATAAATATGGAACTGACTAAAGATTAATCCCAGATTGATACAATGGATTATCATGCAGTTGTTCAAAAGGAGGTAGTAGAATGTGCTTGTAAGCAACTATCTCAAACATATATTTTACAATGATAAAAGGATGATACAAAACAGTGGACATAGTGTCCCCACATTTGATAGAAACAAAAAGTATACATAGATAAAAATAAAAATCAAGTAAGAACATGATAAAAAAACAAAGTGAGGATTTCCTGCTAAATTTCTTTGGGTTTAACAAGGATATTGTCATGTTTTTTACCTCACCTATTAAAAGGGTTTCTGACTTTTCACCCTCCCAAAAATCATAAATAGAGTTACATCTTATTTATTTCGAGTATGCACTTGTAATAATCCTTGCTGGTTTTAGGCACTCTTTTAGATATGAGGAAACTTAAGCACATAGAAATTAAAGGCATTGTCCAAGATATAGCTCTAGTTATACCAGAAACATGCTAGAATGCCACATATCTGACAGCAATCAGGTATTCCTTCTGGTACAAAACAAACATTTCAGATTTCATCTAGCATGAGGTTTTTGGTTAGGTGAGACAGCTGAAAAATAAATTTTGACTTGTGAGAAGAAAAATATTAATAACCAAGTATGAATTTATTTTCAGACACAATGCAGCTGAAATAATCATCCATTAGGTAAAAGTCTGTTCCTTGGCTAAGTAGGGTGATTTTTTCAGTGTGAATCTGTATAGTACAAACTTCCTGAGAAAAATTAAGAAAACTTTTCTAATGGAACTCTATTACGTAAATCCTTATTTAAATATTCTTGAAATTTTTTTCTTAAAAGAGTTTATATTTCTGTTTAAAGAGGGTGTTTGAAAGCATGTATCATAAAGCTTTCTCTAAAAAGCGATTGAGATCCAAAGCTTATTTTGTAGCAACAAGCTTTTGCCCTTTGCTTTTAGCACAATGGTGAAGCACACAGACTGGTGTTAGACTTCCCTTGGTCAAATCTCAGTTCTTCCACTTAATATATGTGTGACCTTGGTCAATTGCATGATATTTCTGTGCCTCAGTGTCCTTATCTGTAAAATGTGTATGATAATACTACTACTTATCTCTATTAGCTGTTTTAGAAATTAAACTAGTGAATTGTGCAATATTATAATAGAACCAGTTAGATACCAAGCCTGTGTAAGAGTTATCTATTATTATGCAGAGATATGGCCATGCTTTTAAAGTTTTGCAGTAATAGGAGAAATAACTGGTAGTCCAGATCCTTCTTTCCTTCCTTCTTTAGTAAAGATTTACTAACTAGTTGTTTGGCCAGGCACGGTGGCCCATGCCTGTAATCTTAGCACTTTGGGAGGCCAAGGTGGGAGGATCACTTGCAGTCAGGAGTTCAAGACCAGCCTGGTCAAAATGGCGAAACCCCATCTCTACTAAGAAAATACAAAAATTAGCTGGGTTTGGTGGTGGGCGCCTGTAATCCTAGCTACTGGGGAGGCTGAGGCAGGGAGAATTGCTTGAACCTGGAGGTGGAGGTTGCTGTAAGTGGAGATCGCACCACTGCACTCCAGCTGGCAACTGAGAGAGACTCCATCTCAAAAAAAAAAAAAAAAAAAAATTTGCTGAGCACCTACTTGGTTCAATACACTTATCACCCTTGAAACAAATGTATTTCTATGGGAGAGGATAACCCACCTTGTAATCTTTCTCATTTTCAATATATTTTTACTCTTTTCCTGTACTGAGTGCCCTTAGTAGGGCATGAACTGAATTAATTTTTCTAGCATCCATTGTAAAATTGCTCAGGGTCACCTTGATTCCCTTTCTCACCACAACTTTGCATTTGTGAAACTGCAAACTCAAAATGGGAATATAGTTCCTGAATAAGGAACAAAATAGTCCATGATATCTACATTTTTCACCTCACCATCATAAATCTTTTTGATCCTATTACCCAAACTAAAACCTAGAACACTGAAATTAAAATGCTGCTTTAAAAGAAATCACAAAAATTCGTGTGCACTGTTTTTTGTTTAGTTTTAATGTGACTTTATACTGAAGTTGATTTACGGTAGAGACAACAGAGTTTAACCGTCAGTGTCCCCGTGAAGACAAGAGTTTAAGCTTCAGTGTCCCTTGCTTGCACTGGCTCCTTCGAAGGCACTGGGAGAAGACCTAGCCTTGTAGAACTTGGATGTTTTCTACTCGAAAAATATTTGATGAGTCCTAGCACAAGAAAACTTGATATGGTCCAAAAGCCTCATCACTCATTATGAAAGAAACTTGATAGTATCAAGTTTCTCTTGAGACAATTATCTTGATTTTCTCAAATTTCATAACAATTCAACGACTTCTCAGCCTTTTGACTAACATCAAGGGTAAGAAATTAACATGACATTGTCAGTAATGAGCTGTGATGCTGAATGAAATCTTTTTAAACTATGAAATTAAAAGTACAATAAACTGTGATAGAAAAAAGACTCAACTGTCTTTTTATTATCTCTATAGCAAATGATATTCCAAAATCAGTGTAAGAGAAAGAAGTGGTCAAGAAGTAAACAATATGCAACCAAAAACTATAGGGAAAAAATATGCCATGTAATTAATGAAATGTGTTACTTTTTTCTAAGTCTTATGGTGTTGTCACCAGTGGAGGGTGTCCAGGTTCTTGGCATCTTGAACAAAGAATTGGACAAAATGCACAAACAAACCTAGGAAGGAACGAAGGGGTTTATTGAAAATGAAAGTACACTCCACAGTGTGGGATCGGCCCAGGCATACGGACTCAAGGACCCCGTTACAGAATTTGGGGGAGTTTAAATACCCTCTAGAGGATTCCGTTGGTTACTTGGGGTATGCCCTATGTAAATGGAGAGGATGAAGTAAAGTTGCAAAGTTATTTACACGGTGTGCCCTATGGAGTTACCTGTCATAGCTGAAGTGTGAATCGGCCTTATGTTCCCTGTCTCCAGACCCATTTTCCTGCCTCAGTGTGTGTGGCATTTTTTTGTTATTTTTGTGTGACTCTTTTTCATATTCTAAATAAACATTCTCTTTCTGTCTAATTTGATATTTTGTATTAAATTTCTTTAAAAGAACCATTTTCGTTATAAAAGCTTTAGGCACCAAAAACTTTGTTGTTCAACCTTGTACAGGAAATAAACATTATACACAGTTGGGTATTTAATATAGAGACAGGAGATTTCCTATAGGAAAATGATAGGCTTGGCTGTGAACACACCCAAATCTTATCTTGAATTGTAGCCCTCATAATCTCCAAGTATTGTGGCAGGGACTCATTGGAAGATAATTTAATTACCCGAGCTGTTTTCCCATGCTGTTCTCGTGATAGCGAATAAGTCTCACGAGATCTGATGGTTTATAAAGGGCAGTTCCCCTGCATACACTCTCTTGCCTGCTGCCGTGTAACATGCACCTCACCTTCCAACACGATTGTGAGGCCTCTCCAGCTGTGTGCAACTATGAGTCCGTTAAACCTCTTTCTCTTTATAAATTACCCAGTCTCGGGGATTTCTTCATAGCAGTATGAAAATGGACTAATACAGAAAGCCCAATTAAGATCCTCAAACCAATCAAGAAAAGGACATTAGAACACATGGGCAGAGTGTCTCATCTAGGGCTTGCATACAGAAAAGAGTAAAATAGATTTCATCTGTGATGAACATTAATAACACCTAATATATATGTATAAATATCAAATCACCTAAGATTCACAGAGTGTTGACTATGTACTAGGCACTGTTCTAGGTGTTTCACAGGTATTATATTTTTATCCCCACTAAAGATCAGTGTAATTTAAAATGTTTTATCAACCCAGTGATAAGGAAACTAAGGGGCATTGAATTAATCTTTCAATGACCAGGCAACAAGAAATCAGCAGAACCTAACCCAGAGTCCGTACTCTTAACCATGCAGGGTCCTACTTCTAGGTAGCTTATTTTGTACAGTAGGGAAACAAACAAACAAAAGCCATGTAAATAATTAAATCTCAACTTTGTAATTCACTTGCTGTGTGGCCTTGGTCCTCTCTGAGGCCCAGTGTTATTATCCATAGAAAAGATATTAGTATGTATATCAGACCTAACTTTATGAAGATTAAATTACACTCTATGAGTCACCTGAAATAGATATTCAATGAATGCTATAATAGAATAAAGGTGGTGGCTCACGCCTGTAATCCCAGCATTTTGGGAGGCTGAGGTGGGTGGATAACTAGAGGTCAGGAGTTTGAGACCAGCCTGGCCAATATGGTGAAACCCTGTCTCTACTGAAAACTACAAAAATTAGCCAGGTATGGTGGCAGGTGCCTGTAATCCCAGCCACTTGGGAGGCTGAGGCAGGAGAATCGCTTGAACCTGGGAGGTGGAGGTTGCAGTGAGCTCAGATCACGCCACTGCACTGCAGCCTGGGGATCAGAGAAAACTGTCTCAGAAATAAATAAAAAAATAAATAGAATGGCACAGTGTTCATGAAAGCATTGCAATCCTGACTTATTTCTCTAAATTATTTTAAATTTATGGAATACAATAAATATTTGATACTGTATATTTTCCTCTGTTAATTATCGGCTTAGAGAAGAGTAACAACTCCGAAAATAATGACTAAAGTGTTTTCTTCTTTAACCAAACAACACAAAAAAAGGAATGTTATTTTATGACATAACTTGGCATCTTAGCTTTCTTTATCTTTTTCTGTGGAGCTTTTTACTACAAAGCTCAAAATATTTGTATTGAAACTGCCACATGTAGTATATTTCTTTTATTTTTTTGAAACGGGGTTTTGCTTTTTTTTTTTTTTTTTTTGAGATGGAGTTTCGCTCTTGTCGCCCAGGCTGGAGTGCAATGGCGCCATCTCGGCTCACTGCAACTTTCACCTCCTGGGTTCAAGTGATTCTCCTGCCTCAGCCTCCTGAGTAGCTGGGATTACAGGCACCCGCCACCATGCCCAGCTAATTTTTTTTTTTTTGTATTTTTAATAGAGATGAAGTTTCACCATTTTGGTCAGGCTGGTCTTGAACTCCTGACCTCAAGTGATGGTTCATTTATTCACAAAACACCTCATCGGAGAAGGAAGGTGTGCTATCATTTTTATAAACAAACCCTCCCTGACAAACCTGTAATTCATAATCACTGAACCTTAGTCAATGCTTTCATATAATTTACCTCAAATTTTAAATATATCCATTTCATTCTTACTAGCTTATATTTTGCCTTCCCTTCCATAATAAAACACAGCTCTTATTTTTGATAATCAGTGATAATTGCTAGTCCTGTAATGAAAATATATGACTAAGTGAAGGTAGTTCCAAGAATACAGAAGAATAAAAACCAAACATAATCGGTCATTTCTTGAACATCTATTGAGTAATAACTAGAAGCCATGGATTTACAGCTACCCCAGTGGCAGGTTGACTTATAAAATCAGGTCTTCATTGCTTGATTGATGTTCTGCTTCAAAGCCACACTTTGTATTTTGACTCAGACATAAGCTTCTATCCATAGAATATGCTTAGTAAATACGTTGAGAAAATAGAGAATGAAAATATAAACAAGAATCACAAAGAATGATGATTGCATACAATGAAAAAATATAGATTAGATATAAGATTTAGCTTAATATATAAGGATTACTTAAGGTTAAATTTTGAAAGTGAGCAATAGTCTAGTAAATTTTAAATGTACCCATTACATCATTTTTACCATTTTTGTTTTGTTTTTCCAAGATTTTTTTTTACATGAAAAAAATTGACAAGAAACTTAAAAGAGGGAGCGTGCATCTTTAAATAAAATTTTCGCCATTTGCTTCTAAAATAAATCACATGCAGCACTTATAAGTGAAAACAGCTGATTTACAGAGTAAGGTTTTACTTAAATGTCAAATGAAAAACCTAAATTTAAAAGCAGTATTTGCAGCTCTTCAAACAGTACCAGAATGGAATCAAGTAGAACCACAAAAAGAAGACATGTTCTGGACACTGAATGTTCTATAGGCCCTGTGTTCATCTCTGTAGAAGAGAAAATTTTGTGTGATAGCCAACAGCCCAAGGGTTGATTTGAAAACAGCTCAAAGTATAAAATTTGAAATATAAAATTTAAAATTTAAAATGGAAAAGTGGAAATGAAAAGACATTTTAAATCTCAAGAGCAGAGCACAATAATGACCACATTGCATTTGAAGTAATGGGTTTCAGGAAGCCTGAATGTATTAGGTTTAGATCTCTTCTGATAACTCAAAGGAGTCCATATATTTTATTTATCTTCATGACAAACATGAGTAGATGAAGAAACTGAGGGATAATAAATGTATGTATTTGCCCAAGGTCATGTGGTCAGTGCTTCAAATTACGTGTTTCTTTCATTGAACTATGTTGGAAATAATGATAGGGTCTTTGATATAAAGAGATTTACATTCTTTTTATATCAAAAAGATATTTAAAAATCTTTGATAAAAAGAGAGTTACTCTTTGATTAAATCTTTGCTATAAAGAGAACTCAAATCTCTTTATATCAAATTACATAAAATCAAGTTAGGCAATGTAAGTAGGAAGTACCTGATAACAAGATGAAAGGAAGAAAAGAATTTCATTTTATCTATGGAGAAAATGACTCATTTTTAGTATCTAACAGAACACAATCTATTATCTCTTTTTGTTTGTTTTTTGTAGAGACAGGGTCTCACTCTATCACTTAGGCTGATCATAGCTCATTGGAACTCTTGGGCTCAGATGATCTTCTGTTTTATTTTATTTTTTTCTTTTTTTTTGAGACGGAGTCCTGCTCTGTCGCCCAGGCTGGCATGCAGTAGCACCATCTTGGCTCACCACAACCTTCACCTCCCGGGTTCAAGCAATTCTCCTGCCTCGGCCTCCCAAGTAGCTGGGATTACAGGCATGTGCCACCACGCCTGGCTAATTTTGTATTTTTAGTAGAGATAGGGTTTCTCCATGTTGGTCAGGCTGGTCTCGAACTCCTGACCTCAGGTGATCTGCCCGCCTCGGCCTCCCAAAGTGCTGGGATTACAAGCGTAAGCCACCGCGCCCGGCCGGGCCCAGGTGATTTTCTTACCTCAGCCTCCTGAGTATCTGGGACTATAGGTGCATGCCACCATCATATTTTTTATGGTATTTCATTTGTAAATAAATTTTTATTAAAATATTTATTTTATATTATAAAAATAACAAGCATTTATTTGGAAAATATAGAAATACAAATAAGCAAAAGATGAAAATAAAATTGGCCTTTAGCCCCACCAATTACAGATAGCTGGTCCTAAAAAACATATTAAGAACCTGCTAACTGCCAAATACCACTGTGTCAGACTTCATCTCCCAGCATCCCCTTGATTCCCTTTCCACCAGGCATACTGGCCTTCTTGCTGTTTCTTGAACATTTCTAACAGCGACCATTTTCCCTCCATTACATTTATGTACTTAAAGTTGTAAAAAGATGAACAGTTCCTGGCATACAGTTATAATGCAATACATGCACACTATATATAGCATTTATTTTACTATTACATTACTAATTTGTAAGACTTAATGTTCACTTGATTTTATTTGTATTTCCTTGCTTCTTAGTGCAATCTATTTTTTCATAAGAGTACTAAGCAAGTTTTTATTGAATTAGTTGATCATGGCTTTTTCCTGTTTATTTATGTGCTTGTCATTTTCATGTGTGTGTTTTTTTCAACTTTTGTTTTAGGTTTGGGGGTATATGTGAAGGTTTCTTACATATGTAACGTGTGTCATAGGGGTTTGTTGTACATATTATTTCATCATGCAGGTATTAAGCCCAGTACCCATTCGTGATCTTTTCTGCTTCTCTCCCTCTTCCCACCTCAAGCAGGCCCCAGTGTCTGTTGTTTCCTTCTTTGTGTTCATAAGCTTTTATCATTTAGCTCACACTTTTAAGTGAGTACATGTGGTATTTGGTTTTATGTTCCTGCATTAGTTTGCCAAGGATAAAAGCCTCTGGTGCTATCCATGTCCCTGCAAAAGTCTCATTCTTTTTTATGGCTGCATGGTATTCCATGATGTATATATACCACATTTTCTTTATCCAATCTGTCATTGATGGGCATTTAGGTTGATTCCATGCCTTTGCTATTGTGAATAGTGCTGCAATGAACATTCACCTGAATGTGTCTTTCTGGTAGAATGATTTATTTTCCTCTGGATATATACCCAGTAATGAGATTGCTGTGCTAATTGGTAATTCTGCTTTTAGCTCTTTGAGGAATTGACATGCTACTTTTCACAATGGTTGAACTAATTTTTATACTCCAACAAACAGTGAATAAGTGTTCCCTTTTCTCCACAACTTTACCAGCATCTGTTATTTTTTCACATTTTAATAACAGTCATTCAGACTGGTGTGAGATGGAATCTCATTGTGATTTTGATTTGCACTTCTCTAATGATCAGTGATGTTGATCATTTCTTCATAAGTTGTTGAGTGCATGTATATCTTCTGTTGAGAAGCGTCTGCTCATGTCCTTTGCCCACTTTTTAATGGGGTTTGTTTTTCTCTTGTAAATTTGTTTAAGTTCCTTATAGATGCTGAATATTAAACTTTTGTCAGAGGCATAATTTCCAAGTATTTTCTCTCATTCTGTAGGTTGTCTGTTTCCACTGTTGTTAGTTTCTTTTGCTGTGCAGAAGTTCTTAAGCTTGATCAGATCCCATTTGTAAATTTTTGCATTTGTTGCAATTGCTTTTGGTGCTTTTGTCATGAAATATTTGCCCATTCATATGTCCAGGATAGTATTGTCTATGTTGTCTTCCAGGGTTTTTATAGTTTTTGGTTTTACATTCAAGTTTTTAATCCATTTTGAGTTGATTTTTGTGTATGGTGTAAGGAAGAGGTCCAGCTTCAATCTTCTGCAAATGGCTAGCCAGTTATCCCAGAACTGTTTATTGAATAGGGAGTCTTTTCTCCATTGCTGTGTCAGCTTTGTCAAAGATCAAATGGTTGTAGATATGTGGCCTTATTTCTGGGCTCTGTATTCTGTTCCATTGGTCTATGTGCCTGTTTTTGTACCAGTACCATGCTGCTTGGTTACTGTAGTCTTGTAATATAATTTGAAGTCAGATAATGTGATGCCCCCAGCTTTGTTCTTTTTTGCTTAGAATTGTCTAGGTTATTCAGGCTCTTTTTTGGTACCATATGAATTTTTAAATAGTTTTCTCTAGTTCTTTAAAGAATGGCATTGGTAGTTTGATAGGAATAGCATTGAATCTGTAAATTGCCTTGGGCAGTATAGCCATTTTAATTATATTGATTCTTCCTAGCCATGAGCATGGGATGTTTTTCTATTTGTTTGTGTCTTCTCTGATTTCTTTGAATAGTGTTTTGTAATTCTCATTGTAGAGAAGTTTCACCTCCTAGGTTAGCTGTATTTGTTTACCTTTTTTATTCATTTGGATGTGTTCTTTATTTAGCAAATATTATTATTTGCCAAGTGAATTTCCCTAGCATCATTTGTCTTTTAATTTTTTTATTATGAGCATTTTAAAAACACAGAAATACTTTAAATTTTATCTAATCAATCTTTTTCGGATAACCTTTGTCTTAATCATCACATACTCTTATTCGTTTGTTCAAAAAATACTTTTGAGCACAAACCATGAATTAAGTACACATAGTAGGTATTGTTCTAGGTGTTAGAGATACACAGGTGAACTGGAGAGACAGGATCATACATTCATGATCAGTACATTTGAAAGAGGGAGCAATAAACAAGTAAGTCAGTCCATTTTTTAAATTAGATTTTAAAAAGTAAAATGAAAAAACTAAACAAGAATATGTAATGAAGAAAGCACCTGGGAGATATGATATTTGAACTGATATCTGAGAATAAGACAACTTCAACCATCCAGAGGAAAACCACTCTGGTTGGAGATAACAGCAAGTGGAAGTGCTTTTAGGCAAAAAAAAAAAAAAAAAAAAAAAAAAAAAAGAGAGAGAGAGAGAGAGATTAAGAAACATAAAAAGCCCCGTATGACTAGACCATAGTAAAGGAGGAAGACAATTGTGTGAGGAAAAGTTAGAGGTAGGTATGGCCTTGTAGGCCACAGAAAAGCGTTTAAATTTTATTTCAAGAGCAATGGGAAGCTGTTAGATTTGACAGATGAAATATGATGGATAATATCAACTTTTAATAATCCAGTTGACCTTTGAACAATGTTAGGGGCACCAACACCCAATCCCCACACAGCTGAAAATTAGTGTAACTTTGACTCCCCAAAAACTTAACTACTAATAACCTACTAATGACCAGAAGCCTTAACAGTAACATAAACAGTTGACTAACAGTGGGTAGGCTTTGTATGTGATATGTGTTATACCATATTCTTACAATAAAGTAAGCTAGAGAAAAGAAAGTTATTAAGAAAATCATAAAGAAGAGAAAATATATTTACTATTTATTAAGTGACAATGGATCATCATGAAGGTCTTCATCCTTGTCATCTTTAACACTGAGTAGGCTGAGGAGCAGGAAGAAGAGGTGTTGGATCTCACTGTCTTTTTTTTTTTTTTTTTTTTTTTTTTGAGACGGAGTCTCGCTCTGTCGCCCAGGCTGGAGTGCAGTGGCGCAATCTCGGCTCACTACAAGCTCCGCCTCCCGGGTTCACACCATTCTCCTACCTTAGCCTCCTGAGTAGCTGGGACTACAGGCGCCCACCACCACGCCCGGGTAATTTTTTGTATTTTAATAGAGATGGGGTTTCACGGTGTTAGCCAGGATGGTCTCGATCTCCTGACCTCATGATCCGCCCGCTTCGGCCTTCCAAAGTGCTGGGATTACAAACGTGAGCCACCGCGCCTGGCCAGATCTCACTGTCTTGAGGGTGGCAGAGGCAGAAGAGGAAAAGGAGGTAAAAGGGGAGGCAGGAGAGGCAGGCACACTCAGTGTGACTCTGTGGAAATACAATATCATTTCTAACATTTTTGCTTTTTCATTTCTTTAAAAATGTTTCTATATGGCACCAATCTTCCTACCACAATTTGCTTTAGTTTTAGTCCCCATATCATAGAAGACTCTGTGTTGCAAAATAAGTCAAAAGCAGTCTTAAGTAATCAGAACCCTTTTGCCAGATTGTCTAATGTCAATTTGTTTCCTGGCACTGCTGCTTCTACATCTTCCTCTTCATCATCTGGCACTGGTTTGGAAGCACTCATCTCCATCCAGTTGTTCTGTTAATACTTCTGGTGTAGTGTCTATTAGCTCTTGAATTTCTCCAAGATCCATATCTTGAAACCCTTCACTTCCCACCACTTTTGCCAGATTCATGATCTTTTTTGTGATTTCTTTGATTGGCTCTATCATACAACCTGGGAAGTCATGCAAAACATCTGGACAGTTTTCTCCAGTCAGAATTCATTGTTTTGGGCTTCATGGCTTCATGGCTTTTTCTATAACAATGATGATAACTTCAATGGTATAATCCTTCCACACTTGCATGTTGTTCTCTCTGTCGAGATTATCTTCCATAGCATTGACAGTCTTTTCCCTAAAGTACTATGTGTAATGAGTTTTAAAAATCCTTATGACCTCCTGATCTAAAGGCTATTAAGAGATTGTGTTTGGAGACAAGTAGGCCACTTCAACACCACAGGACCACTTCAACACCTGTGGTGTTGAACTCATGGGGTTCTGGGTGGCCAGGGGCAAGATCTAATATCCAAAGAACTTTAAAAGGCAGCCCCTTACTGGCTAGGTACTTCCTGACTTCAAGGACAAAGCATTAACGGAACCAATTCAGCAAAAGGGTTCTTGTACAGACCTTGTAGTACAACCAAAAGACTAGAAGCTAGTGTTTTTCTTTTCCTTTCAAGAGTTAGGGGTTAGCAGCTTTATAGATCAAGGTAGTTCTGATCATAAATGCAACTGCATTTGTGCAAAACAGTAGAGTTTGCCTATTCCTTCCTGTCCTAAATTCTAGAGTTTGCTCCTCTTTCTTTTTTTTTTTTTTTTCTTTTTGAGACCTAGGCTGGAGTGCAGTGGCACCGTCTTGGCTCACTGCAACCTCCACCTCCCAGGTTCAAGCAATTCTCCTGTCTTAGCCTCCTGAATAGCTGGGACTACAGGCACCTGCCACCACACCTGGCTAATTTTTGTATTTTTAATAGAGACAGGGTTTCACCATGTTGGTCAGGCTGGTCTCGAACTCCTGACCTTGTGATCTGCCTACCTCGGCCTCCTAAAGTTCTGGGATTACAGGTGTGAGCCACTGAACCAGCCTGCTCCTCTTTCTTACTAATAAATGTCCTTTGTGGCATTTTTTTTTCTAAAATAGAGCACTTTTATCTGCACTAAAAATCTGTTCAGGCAGATATCCTTTCTCCTCAATGATTTTCTTAATGGTGTCTGCTACCTCTTGGTCCACAGAAGCTGTTTCTCTTATTGTCTCAACTTATTTTTAAACCAACTTTTCCAAATTTACCAAATCATTCTATGCTGGCATTTAATTCTTCAGCTTTAGATTCTTCACTGTAGTTTTGCTTTAAGTTGTCATATAAAGACTTCATTTTTGACTCAAATAATATTAGAGTCTAACTATAGATATGATTTTTATAGTAATCCTGCATTCACATAAAAGCTGCATTTTCCACAAAAGTAAAATGATATTTTGCAAAAAGTGCAAGGTTCTCACACTTGCTGGTGTGGCTACAGCTATAGCTTCACGAATTTCCTTTTCTATTTTTTTTTTACAGTGGTCCTTATGTTGGATTCATTTATCTTAAAATGGTGGGAAACTGAAGCTGCAGACCTGAATCTATGGTACATATCAAGCAATTCAACTTCTTCTTGTAATGTCACGACTTTTCTCTGCTTTTTGAGAGCACTTCCAGCATCACTAATGGCACTTTGTATGGGTCCCAAGGTGTTAGTCAGGGTTTACAGTATTGCACTAAACATGATGAAAAAGACACAAGAACCATCAGAGATTACTTTTTACTGGGATACACAATTTACTGGAGAGATGAACTGCTCAAGTGGAGGTGATTAGCATCACAGGGAGGTGTTTGAAGCAGGTAACCACCACACTTGAGGGCAGTACAATACCAACAGGAGCTGGCTCTGAATTTATTACCAAAGTACAGTATGTACTACAGTTAATTTCATGCAGCTATAGTCTAATGCTACATCTTTACATTTGTTTATATTACTCTTCATTGCAAATGGCACCATGTATGGTCTGTCAGTGTTTATGTGTTAGGTTTTGAGAAATCTTAATTTTTTATAGCAGATTTGTATATATTTTATGGTAGTAAATAATAAAATAGACTAGTATCTGTATATTTCATGAATTGTGACATACCTAACCTTTTCTCTTTTTTTCAATATTTCTTGGCTACATAGTTTGTGAGATTTTTCAAATTGTCAAACATGTCTTAAAAATTTTTCCAATATATTTATTGCAAAAATTGCATATAAGTGGATCCATGCAGTTCAAACTGTGTTTTTCAAGGGCCATCTGTACATGTTTAAAAACTAGGAGACCTTAAAATTGACATATATTCAGCCCAACTGCTTATGTGTAGCTGTTGGGACTTATTAAACAATAAATGTATAGGTTGGGCAAGGTCTATGGGAAATTGATCAGGACTCCTTCTCAATAATACCATCAAAAACTAGGGTTCTTTTTAGCATTTTTTTCTTATATCATGGATATAAGACTTGTTCTTCAGGTGCAAAATGGCTGCAACAGCTCCAGTCATCACACCGAGATGACTCCCGCAGTGTCTGCAACAACAATTGCATTTTAAAAAGAGCTTTTTTAGTCTTACTCCTTTACATTTGAAAAAAAAATTAAGGGCTTCAAAAATGCTGATGACTTTGATTTTAAAATTATATTTTTAGGAAATAGCTACATGATAAAATGAAGGTCATCTAATTTTTGAAGTTGATTTCAAAGAAGATAGATTCAGCCATTTATTCAATAAGTATTGAGTACTAGTATATGCTAGTCATTTTTCTAGGTGCTTGGAATATAACAGTAAACAAAGCAGACAAAAATTTGACCTTCATGGAATTTACATATTTGGAAGGGGAAGACAGGTAGTAAACAAAATATGAAAGTAAAATATGTAGCACATTAGATGTTGATGAATACTAATAATAAATCTTGGTGAATTGTGAACCTGTTCATTCCTATGGAAAATATTAAAGGAAAATCATTTTTTGTTAAGAGGATAAGTTGAGTTTTTAGTACGGTAATATGAAAAGATCCAGGGGACAATTTCTCAAATGGTTTTGAGCTTCAGGTAAGAGTAAGGGATAGAGGTAAAGCTTTGGAAGCAAGAAACCCTGAAGTGCTTGTCGAAGCTATTGGGAAAGATGTGAACCTCTAAAACAAGAGAGTAGTGATTCAAGAGAGGAAGAAAGAGGCTTCACATAAATGCCATCTTTGGAAATGACGGGGGTGAGAGAAGGAATACATTTTTCAGATGTTTGCAAAGCAATCCTTGTCCTTAGGGTAGAGTGAGGTTTTAGTTAAGAAAGGAAGTAAACTTTCCATGAGTATCTCAATGAGCATCTGACACTATTCAATCTACACAGCATTTAACCTTGAAGCTTTTTCCCAATGATTATCAAGAATCAGCAAACAAATATGCATCGCCTTCCGCAAAACAGTCCTGTGGCTCGTGTGGTGGATGTTGTTTTCTCACACCACTAATAATGAAATGTAATATCTATAAAAGGTAGAATTAATATGCAAAATGAGTTCATTTTAAGCCCAGTTCAGAGTCACAGCAAAATTGAGCAGAAAGTACGAAGAGTTCCCATAGAACCCCTGTACCTTTCTTTACAAGAAAAGCTCATGTGCTATCAGCATTCCTCACCAGAGTGATACAATTACTATAATCAATGAATCTACATTGACACATCAGTATCACCCAAAGTCCCTAGTTTACCCCAGGGATCATTCTTGGTGTTGTGCATGCTATGGTTTTAAAAATGTATAAAGACACGTATCCACCATGTTTTTTTTTTTGTTTGTTTGTTTGTTTTTTTTTTGAGACGGAGTCTCGCTCTGTCGCCCAGGTTGCAGTGCAGTGGTGCCATCTAGGCTCACTGCAAGCTCCGCCTTCCGGGTTCATGCCATTCTCCTGCCGCAGCCTCCTGAGTAGCTGGGACTACCAGAGCCCACCACCATGTCCGGCTAATTTTTTTGTATTTCTTTTTAGTAGAGATGGAGTTTCACCGTGTTAGCCAGGATGGTCTCGATATCCTGACCTCGTGATCCGCTCGCCTCGGCCTCCCAAAATGCTGGGACTACAGGCACGAGCCACAGCGCCCAGCCTTCTATCCACCATTATAGTATCTTATAGAATAGTTTCACTGCCCTAAAAATCCTTTGCGTTCTGCCTTTTCATCCTCACCCCCAATCCCAACTTCTGGCAACCACTACTCCTTTTACTGTCTCCATAGCTTTACCTTTTCCAGAATATCATATTGCTGGAATCCTACGGTAGGTATCCTTTTCAGATAGGTTTCTTTCACTTAGTAATATATATTTAAGATTCCTCCATGTCTTAAATATATGATGGTACCACATTTTCTTTTACTGCTGACTAATGCTCTACTGACTGAATATATCACAATTAATCCGTTCTCCTTCTGAAGTACATCTTGATTGTTTCCAAGTTTTTGAAATTAAGAATAAAGTTGCCAAAAACATTTGCATGCAGCTTTTGTATGGACATACTTTTCAGCTCATTTTGGTAAATATCAAGGTGTGTGACTGCTGGATCGGGTATTAAGAGTATGTTCATTTTTGTAAGAATCTGCCAAGCCATCCTCCAAAATGGTTATACTATTTTGCATTTCCATTAGCAATGAATGAAAGTTTTGCTTGTTTCATTTCCTCACCAGTATTTTGTGTTGACAATGTTCTGGATTTTGGCCATTCCAATAGGTGTGTATTATCTCATTTTTGTTTTAATTTGCATTTCCCTGAAGACATGTGTTGTGGTAAATCTTTTCATATGCTTATTTGCCATGTATTACATGTGTATTCTTTGGCACTGTGTCTATTCAGGCCTTTGACTTATTTTTTAACTGGATTGTTTGTTTTCCTATTTTTGAGTTTTAAGACATCTTTGTATATTTTGGATAACTGTCCTTTATCTGAAATGTTTTTCGCAAATATTTTCTCCCTGTCTGGGACTTGTCTTCCCATTCGTTTTTGACAGTGAGTTTGTGAAGCAGATGTTTTTAATTTTACTGAAGTCCAAATTGTCAATTACTTTTTTCATGAATCATGCCCTTGTGTATCTAAAAAAAAATCATTGCCATACCCAAATCCGTCTAGATTTCCTTCTATGTTATCATCTAAGACTTTTATAATTTTACATTTTACATTTAGGTCTATAACCTATTTTGAGTTAACTTTTTTATTAAAAGTGTAAAGTCTGTATCAAGAGACTTTTTTATTTTTTATTTTTTTGTTTTGCTTGTTGATGTTCAGTTTTTCTAGCACCATTTGTTGAAAATGCTATCTTTGTTCCATTGTATTGCCATGTATCCCTTGTCAAAAATTAATTGACTATATTTATGTGGGCCTATTTCTGGACCCTATCTATTCTATTGATCTATTTGTCGATTCTTTTGCAAATACTATGCTGTCTTGACTACTGTAGCTTTATAGTAAGTCTTGAAGTAAGATAGTGTCAGTCCTGCAACTTTGTTCTTCTCCTTCAGTAATGAGTTGGCTTTTTTGGGTCTTTTGCCTTCCCACATAAACTTCCTTTTTTTGAGACAGGGTTCTCACTCTATTGCCCAGGCTGAAGACCAGTGGTGTTGATCACAGCTCATGGCAGCATCAACATCCTGGGCTCAGGGAATCTTCCCCTCCCAGTATCCTGAGTAGCTGGGACTACAGGCATGCACCACCAGGCCCAGCTAATTTTTTTGTAAACCCAGAGTTTCACTATGTTGCCCAGGCTGGTCTTGAACTCTTAGGCTCAAGCAATCCTCCTGCCTCAGCCTCCCAAAGTGCTAGGATAATAGGCAGGAGCCACTGTGCCCAGCCTCCATATAAACTTTAGAATAAGTTTGTCAACATCCACAACACAATATGCTGGAATTTTTATTGAAATTATGTTGTATCTATAGATTAATTTAAGAAGAACTGAAATCTTGACAATCATGAGTCTTTCTAGCTATGAACATGTAATATCTCTCCATTTATTTAGTTCTTCTGATATTTTCATCAGTTTGGTCATTTTTCTTATACAGATCTCATATATATTTAGTTAGATTTATACCTAAATATTTAATGTTGGAGGGTGTTAATGTAAATGGTAATGTGTTTTTAATTTCAAATTCCACTTGTTGATTTCTGGTATACAGGAAAGTGGTTGACTTATGTATGTTAACCTTGCATGCTGCAATGTTGCTATAATCACTTCTTAGCTCCAGGAGTTTTTTGGTCAGTCTTTATAAATTTTCTACATAGATGGTCATATCATTTGCAAACAAAAACAGTTTTATTTCTTCCTTCACAATCTGTATACCATTTATCTATTTACTTATTTATCTATTTATTTATTTTTGTCTTATTGCATTGACTAGGGCTTCCAGTATGATGATGAAAAAGGGTGATGAGTCAGGTACAGTGGATCACTCCTGTCTGTAATCCCAGCACAATGGGAGGCCGAGGTGGGCGGATCACTTGAGGTCAAGAGTTCAAGACCAGCGTGGCCAACATGGTGAAATCCTGCCTCTACTAAAAATACAAAAACTAGCCAGGCATGGTGGCACACTCCTGTAATCCCAGCTACTCAGTAAAATTGCTTGGACCTGGGAGGAAGAGGTTGCAGTGAGCCAAGATCACACCACTGCATTCCAGCCTGGGTGACAGAGTGAGACTCCATCTCAAAAAAAAATAAAGAAAGAAAGAAAAAAGAAAATGAATGGTGAGAAAGAACAAAATTGTCTCACTTCTGGTATTAGTAAGAAAGCTTCTGGTCCCCCATCATTAATTACAGTGTTAGCTATTAGTTTTTTGTAGATGTTAATCGTCAACTTGAGGAATCTTCCCTCTATTTCTACTTTGTTGTTTGTTTTTATTATGATGGGTATTGGACTTTGTCAAATGCTTTTTTCTGCACTATTAATTGTGTGATTTTTCTTCTTTACTCTGTTCATGTGATAGATTTTCAATTAAATGTTTAATGTTAAGCTAGCCTTACATACTGGGACAAATCTGACTTGGTCATGTTGCATAATTATTTGTATATATTGTTGGACTGGATTACCAGCATTTTGTTGAGTCGTTTTGCATATATGTTCATGAGAGATATTGGTATGTTATTTTATGTTCTTGTAATGCCTTTACAGTCTATGAGGTAATGCTGACCTTATAGAATGAGTTAGAAAATATTCTTTTCTGCTTCTATCCTCTGAAAATGATTACAAAGAATTGGTATAATGTTTTCTTAAATGTCTAGTAGTACTCACCAGTGAACTTATATGAGCTTGATTCTTTCTGTTTTGGAAGGTTATTAATTATCGATTCAATTTTTTAAATAGGGATAGGCCAATTCAGATTGTCAATTTCTTATTGTGTGAATTTTGGCAGATTGTACCTTCTAGAAATTCATCTAGGTTATCAAATCTGTGGTCAAAAGTTGTTCATAGTATTCCTTTATTATCCTTTCAATGTCCATGGGATCTGTAGTGATGTCTCCTCTACTATTTCTAGTTTAAAAAAAACTTTTAGATACAAGGTCTCCTCTGGTACCCAGGCTGGAGTGCACTGGTGTGATCATAGCTCACTAACCTCGAACTCCTGGGCTTAGGCAATCCTCTTGCCTTGGCCTCCCAAAGTGCCAGGATTACAGGCATGAGCCACCACAGTGGAGCTCTCAATTCTGATACTAATAATTTGTGTCTTCTCTTTTTTTCCTTAGCCTGACTAGAGTAATTAACTTTATGTCTTTTAAAAGAACCACCTTTTTGGTTTTACCCATTTTCTTTTTTGATTTTCTGTTTTTGATTTGATTGATATCTACTCTAATTTTTTATTATTTCTTTTCCTCTGCTTACTTTGAATTTAATTACTTTTCTTTTTTGTAGTCTCCTAAAATAGAAGCTTATATTATTGATTTTAGATCTTTCTTCTTTTCTATTACAGCACTCAATGCTATAAATTTCCCTCTAAGCATTGCTTTCACTGCATCCTACAATATTTCAACTCTATTGTTATTTAGCTCAAAAGAGGTTCTTAATTTCTATTGGGATTTCTCTTTGACCCATGTGTTATTCAGAAGTGTTCCGTGTGATCTCCAAATATTTGGGAGTTTTTCAGCTATCTTTCTATTATTCATTTCTTGTTTAATTCTATTGTGGCCTGAGAGCATATATTGTATGATTTATATTCTTGTAAATGTGTTAAGGTGTGTCTTATGGTGCAGAATGCGGTTTATCTTGCTATATGTTCCTTAGAGAATAATGTATGTTCTGCTGTTATTGGATAAAGTAGTCTATAGATGTCAGTTACATCTCGTTGATTAATGGTGCTGTTGAGTTCAGCTATGTCCTAAATGATTTTCTGTCTGCTGTATCTGTCTATTTCTGACACAAGGCTGTTGAAGTCTCCAACCATAATAATGAATTAATCTATTTTTCTTTGCAGTTTTATCAATTTTGTCTTATATATATTGATGCTCCATTGTTTGGCACATACACATTAAGAATTGTTATGTCTTCTTGGAGAATTTACCTTTCCATAACATGTAACATTTCCCTTTATTCCTGATAATTTTTCTTGCTCAGAAGTTTGCCCTGTTGGAAATTAACAGAACTACTCTGGCTTTATTTGATTAGTGTTAGCATGCTCTCTCTTTCTCTATTCTTACACTTTTAATGTATACTTGACTTTGTATTTAAAGTGGGGTTCTTATAGAAAACATATACTTGGTAGGGTGGGAAGTAAAATAAAAAGAAATACTTGGGTATTGGTTTGATCCACTCTAACAATCTCTATGTTTTAATTGATGTATTTAGACCATTGATACTTATTTTTTTATCCTCATCCCTGTGATTACCCAGAGAGCTGCTTAAATTGATTATTGATATAGACAAATTAATAATTAATATCTACCGTTTGTTACTGTTTTCTATTTTTCATTGCCCTTACTTTCTGCTCCTATTTTTTGCTCCTTTTTCTGTTAATTTAGGTTTTGAGTATTTTATATCATTCTATTTTCTCTCCCTTCTCAGCATATGAATTATCTTTCTTTTTGACTTTTTTAGTGGCTGCCCTGAAGGTTGCAATGTACATTTACAACCAGTCCAATTCTCCTTTCAAAAAACACAATACTGTTTCATGGCTAGTGCAAGTACCTAATAATAAGAAGTCACTCCTAATTTCTTTCTCTCATTCTTTGTATCTTTACTGTTATTCATTTCACTTGTACATAAGCTGTAATCTTTCAATACATTATTGCTATTATTATTTCAAAACATGTTATCTATTATATCTATTTAAAATAAGAAAAATAGGCCAGGTGCAGTGGCTTACTCATGTAATCCCAGCACTTTGGGAGACCGATGGATTGCTAGAGCTCAGGAATTCGAGACCAGCCTGGGCAACATAGTGAAACCCTGTCTCTACTAAAAATACAAAAAAAAAAATTGCTGGGCATGGTGGCATGGGCCTGTGGTCACAGCTACTCGGGAGGCTGAGGTGAGAGGATTGCTTGAGCCTGGGAGGCAGAGGTTGCAGTGAACCAAAATCAAGCTACTGCACTCCAGCCTAAGTGACAGAGTGAGACCCTGTCTCAAAAAAAAAATGAAAAAGAATTATTTTTATTTATCTTCACTTATTTCTTCTCTAATGCTCTTTGTTTCTTTAGTATGTAGATCCAAGTTTCTAACCTGTATCATTTTTCTTATCTCAATAACTTCTTTTAACATTTCTCACAAAGCAGATCTACTGGCCACAGAATGCCTCAATTTTCATTTGTCTGAGAAAACCTTATTTCTCCTTCACTTTTGAAAGATAATTTTGTAGGGTACAGAATTCTAGGTTGTAGGTTTTTTCCCCTCAAAGTGAAATATTTCATTCCACTCTTTTCTTCTTTGTATGGTATCTGAGAAGAAGTCAGATGTAATTCTTATCATTATTACTTAAAAGATTGCTTCTGTTCCTTTCTCTCTTCTCCTTCCCTTCTTTCCTTCTCTGTATATTACACCTTTTATAGTTGCCCCATATTTCTTAGATATTATGTTTTGGTTTTCTTCTGTGTTTTTTTCTTTGATTCTCAGTTTTAGAAGTCTCTATTTATATATCTGCAATCGCAGGGATTCTTTCCTCTGCCATGTCCAGTCTACTAATAAGCCCTTACAGACATTGTTGACTTCTGTTCCAGTGTTTTTGATCTCTAGCATTTCTCTGATTATTTCTTGGAATTGCCATCTGTCTACTTACATTACCAACCTATTCTTGTGTGTTGTCTTATCATAGTAATTGCAGTTGTTTTAATTTCATAGGTATTGTAATTTCAACATCTCTACCATATTTGACATTGATTCTGATGCTTGCTCTGTCTTATCAAGCTATGTTTTTGTCTTTTAGTGTGACTTCTAATTTTTTGTTGAAAGCCAGGCATGATGTACTGAGTGAAAGAAACTCAATACATTGTAATGTGACGATAAGAGTTCAGGGGAAGTGAAGCATTCTATAGTCCTATAGCAGGTCTCGGCCTTTTAGTGAGCCTGTGCCTATGAACGGTGACTTTCAACAAGTGCTTTTCATTCCACTCTTTTCCTGTCCTTAAGTGGGACAAGATCACTGGGGGGGGGCTAGAATTGGGTATTTCCCTTCTCCAATGTAGAAGCTAAAGAGAGGGCTGGAGTTGGGTATTTTTCTTCCCCTGTATGGAAAGCTAGAGGCAGTTAAATTTGGATATTTTCCTTCTTCTAATTCAGTTAGGCTGCGACAAAAATCCCGACAGTTTAGGCTCTAATATTATAAAATAATTTCTCTTGAGTATAGGCCTTATTAAGAACACTATACTCTGATGGAGCTGAGGGGGAGTTTTCTCTGATATTCACTGCGAGAACCTCGTAGAGCTCCAGGAAGCAAAACTCACAAAAGTGTGGGAGTCTTCCAGAATTTTTCCTTTGCAGACTTATCTGCACTGAACCTCCAGAAATTCATCAATTACAGTTCAGGTTTTCCTACCCAGGTACTGGTTTTCATGGAGGTTTCTGCCTGTGCATTTCTGCTCCAGTAAGTTGTTCTTCTTGTATGGTCTGTCTTTCAAATTTTTTAAGTAGGGTTATGACCTGTCGCCTCACTTCTCTGACAGTTCTGAGAGTGTTGATTTTTCAGTTTGCTTAGATTTTTACTTGTTTTTAGGATGAAGTGACAATTTCCAAGCTCCTCCCTGACATGCCAGATCAGAAACTGAAAGTCCTAAGCCTCATATTCTGTGCGTGGGTATGTTCACATCCTGCCTGCTCCAGTGCCCCCACCTCACACTCTCTTTCCCTTCCTTGTCCCCTTGTGAGATTTCTAGGTCCAATACAAAGACTGTGTTCAACTCATTCAACTACTTTGGCTCATCTGAGTATTATAATGAACAATCACAAAAAAAAATGAAGTAAAAGAAAAATCCATCAAAGAATTGAGATATTTGAGAAAAAGAAAGGAGATCAGTGTTTTATAAAACTTAGAAATAGATTTTTTAAGTGTTTCTTCATTGACTTATGTGAAAGGACTTTTCTTAATTTAACAAATTATGTGCTTTCGTTTATAGCCTCAAAACTTCTTGTGTAGCTAAGAATGGGTAAATAATCAGGCTTTACTAAAGGACTAACGTAAAGATCTTCTGTAAGTAACATTTCTGCTACTCAAGGAAGAGATAAACTTCATGGCATAACCTTGCCAAAGTATACTAAGAATAACCCTGACACAAAGCTCTTTTTTCAGCCAACATGCCATGAAAGAAAGAAGACAAGGGGTGATCTCCACTCTCTAAGTGAACCACTAAACCCACCAAAGAAGAAACGAGGGAAATAGAAAGAGGACCCTTGCCTGAGATAATGGATCTGTATGTATGAGTAGTAGAACCCTGCTCAAAGTACAAGGAAGGGAAAAAAAAGTTAGTTTATTTGGAATTTTGGACATTAAGAGTCTTTATTGTTCATTTTCTTTTAACTCACATGAATGGCTTATCACTTCAATTAATAAATATTTCATTTCTTTTCAACATATTCATGAAACAAATCTGAAATGAACAGTGCAACATGTGAATGTTTAGAACATTATAAAATTAAACACAAAATCTGTCTGGCAATCTTCCTAGCATCTTAGGAAAAAAGTTGACAAAATTTCAAGCAGCAGAAGGGGGCAGTAAAACTCAACAGAAAGCTCTGGAAGATTTTTAAGATTCTTCCTTATTTTCTTTTCATGTAGATTATTTCCCAACAAATTTCAGACGCTAATAGAAATTTTGTACAACAGATCCATATATTTGCCTAAAATAGACACAGAAACATTGAATATATGCAAACATGAGAGCTATAAGTTTTACATGATCAAACCTTTTTTTTATGGTACACAATAGTCACAGTACTTTTCCATATAAAACAGGTTTAGTGGTCTTAATTTAGTTTGGCACATTTAATACACTCCCATGACCAGCATCCCAAATGTACCTATCCGTTTTATTTTATTGTCTCAGAATTGTCAGTTATTTAATAAATTATGTAACTTTTTTCCTTATGCTCAGATTTGCACTTCTTTCTAAAACTCTGCCCATCCTTAAAGTCCCAGATTCTCCTTGAACTTTTTTTTTTGACTTTCCAAGTACATGGAACTCTTCACTCTATCCTGCTATATAAGTGACAGAATTTCCACTATGGGATAGATGGAGTTCAATTCCTTTGAGTTTAAAATAATCTAAATATAATTATTCCTTATGCCCTGTTTTTCCCTCACTTTTGTATCCAAATCTCTTTTCAGACAACAGAACAATTAATGTCTGATAAGGAAGACAATGATGATGATCACTTCAAAATGAATTCAGGATTGTAATGTAAAATTTTAGTACTCTCTCACAGTATGGATTCTAACATGGCTTCTAACCCAAACTAACATTAGTAGCTCTAACTATAAACTTCAAATTTCAGTAGATGCAACCTACTCCTTTAAAATGAAACAGAAGATTGAAATTATTAAATTATCAAAAAGAAAATGATCCACGCTCTTAGTTGAAATTTCATGTAAGATTCCATGCAATAAATAGGAGTGCCATAAATGGAATGATGAAATATGACTAGAGGAGGAGAAAGGCTTCCTAGATGAGATGGAATTTTAGTCATCCGTGTCTCATGAAGAATCAGATGTGTACACTAAGCAAAACAGTTAAAAAAAAAACCTCCAAGTGAGTCTCTTATTTATTTTTTTCTTATAAGACTTCTACAAATTGAGGTACCTGGTGTAGTTTTATTTCAGGTTTTATGCTGTCATTTTCCTGTAATGCTAAGGACTTAGGACATAACTGAATTTTCTATTTTCCACTTCTTTTCTGGTGTGTGTGTATATATATATGTATATATACACACACACATATACATATATATATTTTTTAGTATCTCACCCTCACATGCTCCTCCCTGAGCACTACCCATGATAGATGTTAAACAAAAGCAAAGATGAAATTCCAACTGTCAAAATCTCCCTTCCATCTAATTAATTCCTCATCCAACTATGTTCCAAAACGAGAATAGAAAATTAGCCCCAATAAGCCCAGGCAACTGAAAAGTAAATGCTATGTTGTACTTTGATCCATGGTCACAACTCATAATCTTGGAAAAGTGGACAGAAAAGACAAAAGAGTGAACTTTAAAACTCGAATTTATTTTACCAGTATCTCCTATGAAGGGCTAGTAACCAAAATAATCCACGCATCAGGGAGAGAAATGCCTTAAGGCATACGTTTTGGACATTTAGCGTCCCTGCAAATTCTGGCCATCGCCGCTTCCTTTGTCCATCAGAAGGCAGGAAACTTTATATTGGTGACCCGTGGAGCTCACATTAACTATTTACAGGGTAACTGCTTAGGACCAGTATTATGAGGAGAATTTACCTTTCCCGCCTCTCTTTCCAAGAAACAAGGAGGGGGTGAAGGTACGGAGAACAGTATTTCTTCTGTTGAAAGCAACTTAGCTACAAAGATAAATTACAGCTATGTACACTGAAGGTAGCTATTTCATTCCACAAAATAAGAGTTTTTTAAAAAGCTATGTATGTATGTGCTGCATATAGAGCAGATATACAGCCTATTAAGCGTCGTCACTAAAACATAAAACATGTCAGCCTTTCTTAACCTTACTCGCCCCAGTCTGTCCCGACGTGACTTCCTCGACCCTCTAAAGACGTACAGACCAGACACGGCGGCGGCGGCGGGAGAGGGGATTCCCTGCGCCCCCGGACCTCAGGGCCGCTCAGATTCCTGGAGAGGAAGCCAAGTGTCCTTCTGCCCTCCCCCGGTATCCCATCCAAGGCGATCAGTCCAGAACTGGCTCTCGGAAGCGCTCGGGCAAAGACTGCGAAGAAGAAAAGACATCTGGCGGAAACCTGTGCGCCTGGGGCGGTGGAACTCGGGGAGGAGAGGGAGGGATCAGACAGGAGAGTGGGGACTACCCCCTCTGCTCCCAAATTGGGGCAGCTTCCTGGGTTTCCGATTTTCTCATTTCCGTGGGTAAAAAACCCTGCCCCCACCGGGCTTACGCAATTTTTTTAAGGGGAGAGGAGGGAAAAATTTGTGGGGGGTACGAAAAGGCGGAAAGAAACAGTCATTTCGTCACATGGGCTTGGTTTTCAGTCTTATAAAAAGGAAGGTTCTCTCGGTTAGCGACCAATTGTCATACGACTTGCAGTGAGCGTCAGGAGCACGTCCAGGAACTCCTCAGCAGCGCCTCCTTCAGCTCCACAGCCAGACGCCCTCAGACAGCAAAGCCTACCCCCGCGCCGCGCCCTGCCCGCCGCTGCGATGCTCGCCCGCGCCCTGCTGCTGTGCGCGGTCCTGGCGCTCAGCCATACAGGTGAGTACCTGGCGCCGCGCACCGGGGACTCCGGTTCCACGCACCCGGGCAGAGTTTCCGCTCTGACCTCCTGGGTCTATCCCAGTACTCCGACTTCTCTCCGAATAGAGAAGCTACGTGACTTGGGAAAGAGCTTGGACCGCTAGAGTTCGAAAGAACTCCGTGGATATTCCAGCTTTCCCACAAGCACTGATCATTATGAGCCAGTTACTTAACCGATCTGAGACACTCTCACCTCCTAAATAGGGATAGATGATACTAATTTGCAGGTTGTCATTATGATAAGACAGGATCTGATCAATATATGTGAATTGTTTATATTTGGAACCTTTTTATTGAGTGGAAGAAGTTGTTTTAAATATTCTAGTCAGTTCTTTCCTGCTCCCAGGAAAGCCCGGATTATGTTTTAAGATAAGCAAAATGTCTTAAAAGTAAGCTGTTTTACTTTGAATTTTTCCCTAAATGTTGATTAGTGTACTAGATCCATTTTAATTTGGAAAGTGAAGTGCTACTTATTTGAACTTCTTAAAAATGCTAATTTTAACATCTAAAGAGTTAACTAAGAAAAGCTTAGTAACATGATGTACCAAGTTGAATATGCTGTTATCCTTATTTAGAATAGAAAATTGGTATTTCTACGTTTTATCCATTCTAAGGCAGGTTAAAAAATTGTATTTCCATGACTACCTATATATTTCTTGAATTTATTATTGTAAAGTTGATTCATAGTCAAACAATTAAATGTTTAAATTAAGATTAAGACACTAGAGAATGATTTATTTGCTGTCCTTTAATTGCAGCAAATCCTTGCTGTTCCCACCCATGTCAAAACCGAGGTGTATGTATGAGTGTGGGATTTGACCAGTATAAGTGCGATTGTACCCGGACAGGATTCTATGGAGAAAACTGCTCAACACGTAAGTTTGTCCTTTGGTTGCCTCATTAGGAGTGGGGCTGGATACAGTTATCATTGTATAGATTTGTGTCTTATAATGAGTCCCATTAATTTCTCCCTCCCTTTCTTCGTCTTCTTGCAGCGGAATTTTTGACAAGAATAAAATTATTTCTGAAACCCACTCCAAACACAGTGCACTACATACTTACCCACTTCAAGGGATTTTGGAACGTTGTGAATAACATTCCCTTCCTTCGAAATGCAATTATGAGTTATGTGTTGACATGTAAGTACAAGTGTCTTTCTAAGGTTTTTAGCCTTCTCAAAGAAAAATATGCTTTATAATACTGTAAGCCTAATCTAAAAACATATTTCCAAGCTTATCAAAAAGACTTTAAGATAGCTTTTAAGTTTGCCTTCCATCTTAATCGCCAAAAATATTGACATTTAGTCCCATCCAGTTTATACAGTCTGCTCACAACTCTGTATACCTCTTCTAACCTTTACTGTTTGGTCAGTTTGTGGAGGTAGCATGGTCCAGCTGTTTATTGAATGCCCATGGGCCACAGAATTGTTCTGAACATGTAGCACCCATTAAAATAAATTTGGATTTGGATCAGCAAGAAAATAACTTTCCATGATTCTAAAGTGGGTGCCATACTCAGCCATTCCTTTCATAGGCCTCTTGGATAGTGAGCAGATGGCTACCTGAAAAATCAATATTGCCAGATTATAATGTGCAGAGTATATGTATTTTATTAAAGATGTATTTCAAGTGGCCATTAGACTATAAAGTGTAGTTGTTTAAAAATAGATTTTTTTTATTTTGGAGTTACATTCAACCTCAGGTGCCACTTTCCACATTTTACAATAAAAATAATGGTTGATTTACTTAACAAATGAGAATAAATAAAACATTTTTTTCTTTGAAAATTTCAGCCAGATCACATTTGATTGACAGTCCACCAACTTACAATGCTGACTATGGCTACAAAAGCTGGGAAGCCTTCTCTAACCTCTCCTATTATACTAGAGCCCTTCCTCCTGTGCCTGATGATTGCCCGACTCCCTTGGGTGTCAAAGGTGAGTAAGAAGAATCCATTAGAGATGTATTAACTATAAGACGGGCTGCATTGCTGCCAAAAAAAAAAATTGACCTTAGACTACCATTTATTTATTAACAAAAGCAGTTTTTACTTTTAGCATGGTTATCTATGGGTATTTTTTAAAGTATGAGTCTATATAAACTATTATGTAAAAGCAAATGAGCGTCTTGGTATAATGTCTTAATATTTTCAAATTATTTCTTTAGAAATGAAATAATTCTAATTAAAATAGATAAAATCATTCAGTAAGAAGTTGTTCCACCATATCTTAGAACTGTTGTTTATATTATGATCCTATTCACAATTGTAATTCTCATATAAATGAAGAATTCTTGGTAGATTGACAGTCACCATCTCCTTTCTTGAATACATAGATGGATTCTTACCTTAGCTTTCTCATTTTTCAGGTAAAAAGCAGCTTCCTGATTCAAATGAGATTGTGGAAAAATTGCTTCTAAGAAGAAAGTTCATCCCTGATCCCCAGGGCTCAAACATGATGTTTGCATTCTTTGCCCAGCACTTCACGCATCAGTTTTTCAAGACAGATCATAAGCGAGGGCCAGCTTTCACCAACGGGCTGGGCCATGGGGTAAGATAGAGTTAATATCTTAGAGTTAGTAAAATTATACCAAATCATAGTCAAGGGCTAACATTAAAGGAGATATACAGATAGATAGATCCAAATAACTTATCCACTTTTTTTAAAAAGAAGTCTTATCTATAAAAACCTTAAAGGAATTTTCCATTTACTTCACTGGTCTAGTAAAATTATACACACACACAGACATGCACACACATATATAAACATTCACACACATACATATGTACAGGTATTGTTATTTGTAATTTGACCCTTGTATTTTTTAGTTTAAAATGTTAGTACTGCAAAATGTTATGTCCTCAAAAACACATTGTACCATGATTATGCCGCTTTCAATATTGTAAAGTGAGGTTTTTGCCGCATTATTATTTTTTGGATTTCAATAGCATAGCTTCAAGTTATTCGTAAGAATTTTTTATAAATAATACATTTTTATACTTTTTTATAATTACCATATCATCATAGTGAAGTATATAATATATATGATATAAGCTCAATATAGTATATTAATTCCGTTAAACACAAAGACATATCAGTTTGTAGCTTTGGTGGATAAACAAATTAATTTAGCAATTCATGGCTATGAAAAATGTATATTTTATTTAAAAATTTTAAAGAAAGCTAAATGATCAAATTATTTAATGATGAATTATATGATAGACACTTTATATAAGAAAAACTTCAACAGCAACAAATTAAAATTTTTTCATCATTTTCTAGGTGGACTTAAATCATATTTACGGTGAAACTCTGGCTAGACAGCGTAAACTGCGCCTTTTCAAGGATGGAAAAATGAAATATCAGGTATGCTTCCTTTGACTATTAAGACTTAGTTATTACCGCTTATACCCATATTTTAAAATCCCTAAAAATGTGTTCCTTAACTTTTTAACTGATGTTTATTTATTTATTTATTTTTTTAGATAATTGATGGAGAGATGTATCCTCCCACAGTCAAAGATACTCAGGCAGAGATGATCTACCCTCCTCAAGTCCCTGAGCATCTACGGTTTGCTGTGGGGCAGGAGGTCTTTGGTCTGGTGCCTGGTCTGATGATGTATGCCACAATCTGGCTGCGGGAACACAACAGAGTATGCGATGTGCTTAAACAGGAGCATCCTGAATGGGGTGATGAGCAGTTGTTCCAGACAAGCAGGCTAATACTGATAGGTAAACAAGAAAATGATTTATATAAAACCCTCTTCCCCAGGGAAAATTAGTGTGCTATCTTTGTTATGTTTTGAGTAAATGACAAGATGTGGTAAATGAAAACTCACACATTCTATATACATTAAATATGTAAGCATGACTGATAAAATAGCTATCTTTTGATACTGACAAGGAAGAAAACAGAAATGAAGGAATAGCAAATTTTAAAAATTGCATTCCAGTTGCTTGAAAGCTTGTGATCAGATGCAATAAATGTTTTTATTATTTATTTTGTGCAAATAGGAGAGACTATTAAGATTGTGATTGAAGATTATGTGCAACACTTGAGTGGCTATCACTTCAAACTGAAATTTGACCCAGAACTACTTTTCAACAAACAATTCCAGTACCAAAATCGTATTGCTGCTGAATTTAACACCCTCTATCACTGGCATCCCCTTCTGCCTGACACCTTTCAAATTCATGACCAGAAATACAACTATCAACAGTTTATCTACAACAACTCTATATTGCTGGAACATGGAATTACCCAGTTTGTTGAATCATTCACCAGGCAAATTGCTGGCAGGGTAAGCATTATTATTGAAAACCAAAACAAAAGACTAGTCAGTAACTTTAGAATTTCTGCCACGGAAATTATTTTTCTTAAACTTACTAAAAGAGTAGTTAGTTATATTGCTAGTAAAATTATTTTATTGATATAAGAAGCCTAACTTTGTTTGAAAAGTCTAAACTTTTAGTCTAGTCTACAGTTGTCAGACAAATAGCAAATTGTACCCCTACCTTAAAAATATTTTCAAAAAGTATCTATAATCTTATAGGAATAAATATTTTAGGCTTGAATACTAGTGTTATTTTTGAAATGTAAAAAGGCAAATTAGTTCTAGGCTGGTGTCCCATTGAATTTTAAGCAGAGCTCCTGTTGAAATGTAGGTAAGCATCTTTCCAGCAAATAAAAATTGTCTCCGCTGGGAGTTTCAGTTTTACCTGATTTGTACCTAAGGCAAGCTGAATACAAACAGTAAATATGCCTAAAATTCTTGTTTTACAACTAATTTTACTTTCCACAGGTTGCTGGTGGTAGGAATGTTCCACCCGCAGTACAGAAAGTATCACAGGCTTCCATTGACCAGAGCAGGCAGATGAAATACCAGTCTTTTAATGAGTACCGCAAACGCTTTATGCTGAAGCCCTATGAATCATTTGAAGAACTTACAGGTAAGAAACAGTTTCTAAACTTCTTCGTTTTTTGTTTGTTTGTTTGTTTTTGTTGTTTTTGGTTTTCTTTTCGAGATGGAGCCGCCCTCTGTCACCCAGGCTGGAGTGCAGTGGCGCCATCTCGGCTCACTGCAACCTCCGCCTCCTGGGTTCAAGCAATTCTCCTGCCTCAACTTCCTGAGTAGCTGGGACTACAGGCTCACGTCGCACGCATGGATAATTTTTTGTATTTTCAGTATAGACGGGGTTTCACCGTGTTAGCCAGGCTGGTCTCAAACTCCTGACCTAGTGATCCGCCGGCTTCGGCCTCCCGAAGTGCTGGGATTACAGGCGTGAGCCACCGCGCCTGGCCCCTAAACTTCTTAAAAGAATCAGGGGTCAAATGGAAACAGAGAAGTTGGCAGCAAATTGAGCAAAAGAATCAAACTGTTTTTTATTTTGTGAAGTTTGACATTGGTTGTATCTCTGTCTTCATCGCCTTCACAGGAGAAAAGGAAATGTCTGCAGAGTTGGAAGCACTCTATGGTGACATCGATGCTGTGGAGCTGTATCCTGCCCTTCTGGTAGAAAAGCCTCGGCCAGATGCCATCTTTGGTGAAACCATGGTAGAAGTTGGAGCACCATTCTCCTTGAAAGGACTTATGGGTAATGTTATATGTTCTCCTGCCTACTGGAAGCCAAGCACTTTTGGTGGAGAAGTGGGTTTTCAAATCATCAACACTGCCTCAATTCAGTCTCTCATCTGCAATAACGTGAAGGGCTGTCCCTTTACTTCATTCAGTGTTCCAGATCCAGAGCTCATTAAAACAGTCACCATCAATGCAAGTTCTTCCCGCTCCGGACTAGATGATATCAATCCCACAGTACTACTAAAAGAACGTTCGACTGAACTGTAGAAGTCTAATGATCATATTTATTTATTTATATGAACCATGTCTATTAATTTAATTATTTAATAATATTTATATTAAACTCCTTATGTTACTTAACATCTTCTGTAACAGAAGTCAGTACTCCTGTTGCGGAGAAAGGAGTCATACTTGTGAAGACTTTTATGTCACTACTCTAAAGATTTTGCTGTTGCTGTTAAGTTTGGAAAACAGTTTTTATTCTGTTTTATAAACCAGAGAGAAATGAGTTTTGACGTCTTTTTACTTGAATTTCAACTTATATTATAAGAACGAAAGTAAAGATGTTTGAATACTTAAACACTGTCACAAGATGGCAAAATGCTGAAAGTTTTTACACTGTCGATGTTTCCAATGCATCTTCCATGATGCATTAGAAGTAACTAATGTTTGAAATTTTAAAGTACTTTTGGTTATTTTTCTGTCATCAAACAAAAACAGGTATCAGTGCATTATTAAATGAATATTTAAATTAGACATTACCAGTAATTTCATGTCTACTTTTTAAAATCAGCAATGAAACAATAATTTGAAATTTCTAAATTCATAGGGTAGAATCACCTGTAAAAGCTTGTTTGATTTCTTAAAGTTATTAAACTTGTACATATACCAAAAAGAAGCTGTCTTGGATTTAAATCTGTAAAATCAGTAGAAATTTTACTACAATTGCTTGTTAAAATATTTTATAAGTGATGTTCCTTTTTCACCAAGAGTATAAACCTTTTTAGTGTGACTGTTAAAACTTCCTTTTAAATCAAAATGCCAAATTTATTAAGGTGGTGGAGCCACTGCAGTGTTATCTTAAAATAAGAATATTTTGTTGAGATATTCCAGAATTTGTTTATATGGCTGGTAACATGTAAAATCTATATCAGCAAAAGGGTCTACCTTTAAAATAAGCAATAACAAAGAAGAAAACCAAATTATTGTTCAAATTTAGGTTTAAACTTTTGAAGCAAACTTTTTTTTATCCTTGTGCACTGCAGGCCTGGTACTCAGATTTTGCTATGAGGTTAATGAAGTACCAAGCTGTGCTTGAATAATGATATGTTTTCTCAGATTTTCTGTTGTACAGTTTAATTTAGCAGTCCATATCACATTGCAAAAGTAGCAATGACCTCATAAAATACCTCTTCAAAATGCTTAAATTCATTTCACACATTAATTTTATCTCAGTCTTGAAGCCAATTCAGTAGGTGCATTGGAATCAAGCCTGGCTACCTGCATGCTGTTCCTTTTCTTTTCTTCTTTTAGCCATTTTGCTAAGAGACACAGTCTTCTCATCACTTCGTTTCTCCTATTTTGTTTTACTAGTTTTAAGATCAGAGTTCACTTTCTTTGGACTCTGCCTATATTTTCTTACCTGAACTTTTGCAAGTTTTCAGGTAAACCTCAGCTCAGGACTGCTATTTAGCTCCTCTTAAGAAGATTAAAAGAGAAAAAAAAAGGCCCTTTTAAAAATAGTATACACTTATTTTAAGTGAAAAGCAGAGAATTTTATTTATAGCTAATTTTAGCTATCTGTAACCAAGATGGATGCAAAGAGGCTAGTGCCTCAGAGAGAACTGTACGGGGTTTGTGACTGGAAAAAGTTACGTTCCCATTCTAATTAATGCCCTTTCTTATTTAAAAACAAAACCAAATGATATCTAAGTAGTTCTCAGCAATAATAATAATGACGATAATACTTCTTTTCCACATCTCATTGTCACTGACATTTAATGGTACTGTATATTACTTAATTTATTGAAGATTATTATTTATGTCTTATTAGGACACTATGGTTATAAACTGTGTTTAAGCCTACAATCATTGATTTTTTTTTGTTATGTCACAATCAGTATATTTTCTTTGGGGTTACCTCTCTGAATATTATGTAAACAATCCAAAGAAATGATTGTATTAAGATTTGTGAATAAATTTTTAGAAATCTGATTGGCATATTGAGATATTTAAGGTTGAATGTTTGTCCTTAGGATAGGCCTATGTGCTAGCCCACAAAGAATATTGTCTCATTAGCCTGAATGTGCCATAAGACTGACCTTTTAAAATGTTTTGAGGGATCTGTGGATGCTTCGTTAATTTGTTCAGCCACAATTTATTGAGAAAATATTCTGTGTCAAGCACTGTGGGTTTTAATATTTTTAAATCAAACGCTGATTACAGATAATAGTATTTATATAAATAATTGAAAAAAATTTTCTTTTGGGAAGAGGGAGAAAATGAAATAAATATCATTAAAGATAACTCAGGAGAATCTTCTTTACAATTTTACGTTTAGAATGTTTAAGGTTAAGAAAGAAATAGTCAATATGCTTGTATAAAACACTGTTCACTGTTTTTTTTAAAAAAAAAACTTGATTTGTTATTAACATTGATCTGCTGACAAAACCTGGGAATTTGGGTTGTGTATGCGAATGTTTCAGTGCCTCAGACAAATGTGTATTTAACTTATGTAAAAGATAAGTCTGGAAATAAATGTCTGTTTATTTTTGTACTATTTAAAAATTGACAGATCTTTTCTGAAGATAAACTTTGATTGTTTCTATACATCTTTGTCATATGACATAAGATTTCTCTGAAGCATTACTCTTAAACCATTATCTTGCATTCTCCTACCTATTCAAAACTAGGACTGGCCCTTCATGAAATGGTTTTGCCCTCAATTATATAGAGGCTTCCTAGAGTCACTATTTAAATCTCATAATCCTTATTCACTGCGACACTGTGTTGGAAAATGTCTAGTTTGTGTATCTTTACAGAAGATGGCAAACAAGCTTATTTTCATTGCCTAGTCTAGAAGAAGAAGAAAAAAATACACAATAAGGCAAAGAATAAGACATATATTATGAAGGGGGCACAAAGTTAAGAAGTTCAAAGAGGAGGAAATTATACAAAGTTGGGCAAATCATTGATGCAAAAGCTCATAGGCTTTTGTTGTACCTCTATCCTTGACATCTTGGTAATTTCAATATCTACATGGACCACATATTTAGCATCTTCCCTGGCCTCTCCTCTTTGGCCTTCTCCATTCCAGGGATGGCCTCTTCCACCATATTTCCTGAAATCATACATATCTTGATATCATTATGATTAATTACAGCACCACTTTCAAAATCTTGATTCCAAGCATCTTCCAGCTCACCTATTTTATTGCTTACACTCTAACATCTAACTCTCAGTCTCACTGAACCTACCGATCCACCAACCTCATCACTTCACTATTTATCACCTGTTTTATCTTTCCATTTACTTCCATATGCATCTAGCTCAGATTCTATTGTCCATCATTCTAATCATTCCCCTCTGCTCTGTATATTCTCCCTCTACTGTGCTGAATTGACACAAGTTGATTAAATCCAGCCATTCTCCTAATCTGTTTTTTATTTGGCTTCTCAGTAGCATTCAACACAAATAGCTATAATCTCTTTACTGAAAGAACCCCTGCCCCAACCTTGGCTTCATGGTTTGATACTCTCCTGGTCTTTCTCTACCTTTCTCAGAGCACTATTGCTCAGTCTTTTCTCTCTCTCTTTTTTTTAAGCTCTTTCTCTTCTACTGTATGTATAAGTTGAAGTGTCTTGATATCTGCTCTGTCTGCATTCCTCCAGATTAATCACATTTAAGCTCATTATTTGAAATAATAAGCACTCAGAAATAAGCACTCCAGGACCAACGTCTAATTGTCAATTGACAACATCTCCAAATTGTCAATTGACAACCTCTCCACTCAAAGTCATCAATTTAATTGCTTCTTTTACATTCTTCCCTCCCAGAACCATATATCCCAAATAATAATTGTCCAACGTTAAAGACACCACCATACTCTTTCCTTCACTTGCATAGCCAATCCAACAGCAATCCTGTTGACTACAACCCACAAATAAATCTTAAATCTGTCACCTTTTTTCCAACTTCACAACCTAGCAGTGTAATAGTCTATTAATTGGTGTTCTCTTGTCTATTCTTTCCTCAGCCCAAACCATTCTCCTTATGGCAGTGGCAGTAATTTTATATATATATATACACACACACTTTATACTTTAAGTTCTGGGACACATGTGCAGAACGTGCAGGTTTGTTACATAGGTATACATGCGCCATGGTGGTTTGCTGCACCCATCAACTTGTCATCTACGTTAGGTATTTCTCTTAATGCTATCCCTCCCCTAGCCCCCCACCCTTCGACAAGCCCCAGTGTATGATGTTCCCCTCCCTGTGTCCGTGTGGTCTCATTGTTCAACTCCCACTTATGAGTGAGAATATGCAGCGTTTGGTTTTCTGTTCCTGTGTTAGTTTGCTGAAAATGATGGTTTCCAGCTTCAACCATTTCCCTGGAAAGGACATGAATTCATCCTTTTTAATGGCTGCATAGTATTCCATGGCATATATGTTCCACATTTTCTTTATTCAGTCTGTCATTGATGGGCATTTGGGTTGGTTCCAAGTCTTTGCTATTGTGAACAGTGCCACAATGAATATACATGTGCATGTGTCTTTATAGTAGAATGATGTATAATCATTTGGGTATATACCCAGTAATGAGATTGCTGGGTCAAATGGTATTTCTGGTTCTAGATCTTTGAGGAATCTCCACACTGTTTTCCACAATGGTTGAACTAATTTACAATCCTACCAACAGTGTAAAAGCGTTCTTATTTCTCCACATGCTTTCCAGCATCAGTTGTTTTCTGACTTTTTAATGATTGCCATTCTAACTGGCATGAGATGGTATCTCATTGTGGTTTTGATGTGCATTTCTCTAATGACCGGTGATGAGCTTTTTTTCATGTTTGTTGGCTGCATAAATGTCTTCTTTTGAGAAGTGTCTGTTCATATCCTTTGCCCACTTTTTGATGGGGTTGTTTGTTTTTTCTTGTAAATTCATTTAAGTTCTTTGTAGATTCTGGATATTAGCCCTTTGTCAGATGCATAGATTGCAAAAATTTTCTCCCATTCTGTAGGTTGCCTGTTCACTGTGATGGTAGTTTCTTTTACTGTGCAGAAGCTCTTTAGTTTAATTAGATCCCATTAGTCAATTTTGGCTTTTGTTGCCATTATTTTTGGTGTTTTAGTCTTGAAGTCCTTGCCCAATGTCTATGTCCTGAATGGTATTGCCTAGGTTTTCTTCTAGGGTTTTTATGGTTTTAGGTCTTACATTTAAGTCTTTAATTCTTCAATGCAGAAAAGACCTTCAGTAAACACCCCCTCATGCTAAAAACTCTCAATAAACTAGGTATTGATGGAACATATCTCAAAATAATAAGAGCTATTTATGACAAACACACAGCCAATATCATACCTAATGGGCAAAAGCTGGAAGCATTCCCTTTGAAAACTGGCACAAGACAAGGATGCCCTCTTTCACCACTCCTATTCAACATAGTATTGGAAGTTGTGGCCAGGGCAATCAGGAAAGAGAAAGAAATAAAACTTATTCAAATAGGAAGAGAGGAAGTCAAATTGTCTCTCTTTGCAGATGACATGATTGTATATTTAGAAAACCCCATCATCTGAGCCCAAAATCTCCTTAAGCTGATAAGCAACTTCAGCAAATTCTCAGGATACAAAATCAATGTGCAGAAGTCACAATCATTCCTATACACCAATAATAGACAAACAGAGAGCCAAATCATGAGTGAACTCCCATTCACAATTGTTACAAAGATAATAAAATACCTAGGAATCCAACTTACAAGGGATGTGAAGGACCTTTTCAAGAAGAACTACAAATCACTGCTCAACAAAATAAAAGAGGACACAAACAAATGGAAGAATATTCCATGCTCATGGGTAGGAAGGATCAGTATCTTGAAAATGGCCATACTGCCCCAAGTAATGTATAGATTCAATGCTATCCATTGACTTTCCATTAAGCTACCATTGACTTTCTTCACAGAATTGGAAAAAACTACTTTAAATTTCATATGGAACCAAAAAAAAAGAGCCCGTATAGCCAAGACAATCCTAAGCAAAAAGAACAAAGCTGGAGGCATCATGTACAGTAACCAAAACAGCATGGTACTGGTACCAAAACAGATATATAGACCAATGAAACAGAACAGAGGCCTCAGAAATAATACCACACATCTACAACCATCTGATCTTTGACAGTCCTGACAAAAACAAGCAATGGGGAAAGGATTCCCTATTTAATAAATGGTGTTGGGAAAACTGGCTAACCATATGCAGAAAACTGAAACTGGACCCCTTCCTTACACCTTATATAGGCAGTAATTATGTTTTAACATAAATCATATCATGCCTTTCCCATGTTTAAAATCTTCCAGTAGCTTCCTACTACACAATGGAAAAATATAATCTTCTTATCCTACCCTATGAGGATCTCAATGGTCTATTCCCTGCCCATCTATCTGAGCTTATCTACTAAAATTCCACACTCTTATTCATTATGCTCCAGACACAGTGGCTTTCTTGTGATTTCCTCAGTAGCTGTGATTCTCAGGTGTTGCCCTATTTTGAATATTTCTTATGCAGATTTTCACATCCTTCTCAACATTTAGATCTCAGCTCAAATTTCCCCTTTTTAGAAAGGGCTTCTCCAACCACCAAACTAAAGCAACTACTAAGGCTGTTTGATTTTCTTTATACCATTTATTTTATCTAATATTGTCTTATTTGTGTGTTTACTATCTATGTCCCCTTTCTGGAATTTTGTGTCTGTGAAAGCAAGGACCTTGCCTGCATTATTCACAGGTTCCAGAACAGTGCCTGACATTTAAAAGGCATTCAAAAATAAATATATGATTAATAAATAATAACAGACTTCATGAAAGAAGTAGAATATGTGGTGATTCTTGAAGAAAGAGTAAGATCTTAGAGAGCAGAGACATCCACGATGAAAAAGTTTGGTAATTTATTCTTGAATTAAAAATTCACTTACTTATATGTAATGCCTTTCTGCTTATGTTATTAACAAAATACTGCAAAATTATGAGCTCAAATTCATTATCTAAAGTTCTGGAGGTTAGAAGTTAGAACTTCTAACTTATGAACTAAAATCTTATGAATTTTATGAACTAAAATCTTATGAACTAAAAACTTAAAAACTTATGAACTAAAATCTTATGAACTAAAATCAAGATGTCAGCAGGGCTGTGTTTCTTCCGAAAGCTCTAGGGGAATTTATTCCTTGACTTTTCCAGCTTCTAAAGGTTGCCTTGGCTCATAATTTATTTCTCCATCTTTAAAGCCAACAGGATAGCATCTTCCAAAGTCTCTAACTCGGATTGTTTTACCTTCCCCTCTCATAATGACCCTTCTGATTGCCCTGGGGCCCATGCAGATAATATAGGAAATTCTCTCCTGCTCAAGATCCTTAATTTCTTCACATTTACAAAGTCCTTTCTGTCATGTAAGATAACATTCACAGGTTCTTGAGATTAAGGCATGGACATTTTGGGGGAGCCATTATTTTGTTTACCATACCACACAACCCAACTGTATTTGCACTCTTGACCAATTATCCAAGAATTGTACTTCTTGGCCTTTACCCCCCAAAAATAAAAACCTATGTTCATGCAAAAACCTGTGCATGAAAGTTGTAGCACATTTATTCATGATAGCCAAAAGCTGGAAACAACCCAAAGTCCATCAATAGATGAATGATTAAACTAACTGTACCAAGCTGTGGTATCTCTGTGGTATCAATGAAATACTATATAGTGAAAGGAAAAAAGCCTACTAATACACACAGCACTTTGGATGGAACTCAAGGGAATTATGTGTAAATTATGCTGAGTAAAAAAAGCCAGTGTTAAGTTCCACGTGTAATTCCATTTATATAACATTCTTGATATAACAAAACTATAGAGGTGAAGAAAATATAGTGGTTGCAAGATTAGCAATTGGTGGGAGGATTAGAAGCTATAAAAGAGTAGTGTAAGGGATATGTGTGCTGCTTGAACAGTTCTTTGATTAAGGTAGTAGTTACACAAATCTCTATACATGGCATAATTGCATAGAACTATACACACACAAAAAAACATGTAAATGCATATATAAATTGTGAAATGTAAATATGTTCTGTGGATTGTACCAAGATCAGTTTCCTGGTTTTGATATTGTACTATAATTATGCAAGATGTCAACATTGGGGGAGGTATTATGAAGTTTGCATCTTTCCTCTTTATACATTTCTTTGCAACTTTCTATGAATTTATAATATTTCAAAATAAAAAGCCTTTTTTAAGGAAAAGATGCAAGGTTCTTCTTGTTGATGGGGTTAGGTTTGCAAGCCATTTTTGCACCACATGATTTCCTTTATCCTCATCAAAACTGCCAGAATAGATTATCCGCAGAATGAATACTGAACCCAAGCTAGAAAATAAAATTCCTTCTCTTAGGAGTTTGGCAATTAGGATGAAGAACCTAGTTCAGACTGACAATTTTACAGTTGACAATGATGACTATGCAATCTGATTGGTAAACCAAAATCTCTTTTCAGTAAATAGTATAGGAACTACTGAACATTCGCACAAATAGAAAGAACCTTAATTCTACCTCACAACACTCACGAGTTAATTCAAATGGTTCCTTTATCTACATATAAAACCTAGAACTATAAAGCTCCCGGAAAAAAATATTGTATATCTTTATAAGCCTGAGGTAAGCAAAGATTTTAGATAGGATCCAGAAGGTACTAATTATAAAAGAAAAAATTGATAGAATGGACTTCAAAAAATTAATAAAATTGCTCATCAAAAGACTATATTAGGGGCTGGACAGAGTGACATACGCCTGTAATCCCAGCACTTTGCGAGGCCAAGGCAGGCAGATCACTTGCAGTCAGGAGTTCAAGAACAGCCTGGCCAGTATGGTGAAACCCTGTCTTTACTAAAAATACAAAAATTAACCTGGCATGGTGGCAAGCGCCTATAATCCCAGCTACTCAGGAGGTTGAGACACGAACATCGCTTGAACCTGGAAAGTGGAGGTTGCAGTGAGCCAAGATTGTGCCACTGCACTCCAGCCTGAGCAACAGAGTGAGACCCTGTCAAAAAAAAAAAAAAAAAAAAAAGACTATATCAGGAAAGTAAATATACAAACCACAGACATATAGAAAATAATTGCAGTACACATATAGAACAAAGGATTTGAATATAGAATTTATAATTACCTTCTTCAACTCAATAGCAAAAAAGACAAACAATAAAAATAAACAAAAGTCTTAAGCAGGAACTTTACAAAGGAAAACATGAGTGCTCAATAAGTAAATGAAAATGTGTTCAGCATCATCAGTCACCAATAAAATGCAAATTAAAACAGCAGTAAGATACTACTACACACCCACTAGAGTCATTAAAGTTTAAAAGACCAACTGTGATTGTTAATTTTGTGTGTCAACTTAACTAGGCTTTGATATCTATTTGTTTGGTAAAACACTAGTCTAGATGTTGCTGTGAAGGTATTTTTTCAGTATATAATTAACATTTACATCAGTAGAGTTTGAGTAAAACTTATTTCTTTACATAATGTGATGAACCTTGCCCAATCAGTTGAAGTCCTTAAAAGTAAAGTGTAAGGTTCCCCAAAGAAGAAATCCTCCTTAAGATTGTGCCCTGGTTTAAATGATGGTGCCCTCTCTCTCCAAAATTCATGTTGAAACCTAATGCCCAATGCAACAAACAGTATTAAGAGGTGGTGTGTTCTTTGGGAGGTGATGAAGTCATGAGGGCTCCATGCTCACGAATAGGATCAGCACTCTTATAAAAGGGCTTGTGGGAGTAGGTTCCCTTCCGCTCTTCTGCCATGTTAGGATGCAGCAAGAAGGCTCTCACAAGACACATAATCTGCCAGCAATTTGATTTTAGAATTATGAGCCTCTAAAATGTGAGAAATAAATATCTGATGTTTATAAATTACCGAGGCTGTGGTATTTTGTTATAGCAGCTCATATGGACTAAGACTGACTGGAACATAAAAATCCTACCTGAAGGCCGGGTGCGGTGCCCCACGCCTGTAATCCCAGCACTTTGGGAGGCCAAGGCAGGTGGATCACGAGGTCAGGAGTTTGAGACCAGCCTGGCCAACATGGTGAAACCTCGTCTCTACTAAAAATATAAAAATTAGCCAGGTGTGGTGGCAGGCACCGGTAATCCCAGCTACTTGGGAGGCTGAGACAGGAGAATTGCTTGAACCCAGGTGGTGGAGGTGATCTCAGCAGTGAGCTGAGATCATGCCACTACATTCCAGCCTAGGTGACAGAGCAAGACTCTGTCAAAAAAAAAAAAAAAAAAAAAAAAAAAAAAAAAAAAATCCCTGCCTGAGTTTCCAGCCTGCTGCCCTTCAGAATTCTGACTCAAAACTATATTAACTCCTACTTGAGTTGTCAGCCTGCTGGCCTGCCCTACAGATTTCAGACAATCCAACACCCTACAATCCCATAATCTGATTCCCCTTAAAGTCACTCTTTTTATCTCTCTTTTCCTTCACACACACACACACAAACTCACATCTATACACACACATACACACACACATATCCCATTGTCAAAATCCTGCACCATGGTGGTACATTGGTTACAATTGATGAATCTACACTGATACAGCATAATTATCCAAAAGCCATAGTTTACATTAGAGTTCACTGTGGGAGTTGTACATTCTACATTATAACAGTGTACAAAGTGTTTTCACTTTCCTAAAAATCCTCTTTACTCTACCTCTCCAACCCTCCCACTGCCACCCACCAACTCCTGGCGACCACTGATCTTTTTATTAATACTATATCCACAGTTTTGCCTTTTCCAGTATATCAGACGCTAAAAACGACCATTAGAAAAAGCACATGGTGTGTATGCATGCATGTGTATTACATATGAAAGTCAGTCTGAGTCTTCATTAATTTACGGGAATAGATGTCAGCAGAACTGGAAGAGTTCTGGTAGCAAAAGGTCTCCCCTGGATGTTTTCTTAGCTTCAAGTAGTTAATTCAACTCTCTCAAACCATATGGCTTCCTGGATTCTATGAAGGAGAATCCTATATTTACAAAATATTGTAGGACTATGGAGTCAGAAGAAGAAATAAATTTTGGGATCAAGGGAGTTGTATATTAGCAGGATTGTTTTTATTATTTTCACTGCATGTTATGAAAGGAAAAAAAAAATAGTCCTAGAATCTGCACTAATCACTGACACTGATCACAAACATAGGACCACCCATTAAGAGCCAGAATATGTTTATTTTTGTTATAATTGTTTTTGTGTGTTGGGGGGGAGGAGGAAGGAGTGTGAATGGTTTAGGTAAAGGGTGGGAGTGGAAATGTTTATTAAAAAACATAAATAAATTTTGTTCTTAAGTAACTTCCTCTGAATGAATCTGACTAATCTTGCCAGTGTTTTCTTGGCTTCCAAGCAATCTTTATCACACCAGGAAGTAGGTCAGCCAGACCTGGGGCAAGACAAGACAATTGGTTGGTATGTAAATAGCTGAAAGCTTTCTCCTACAAATCAGTAGGGGATTTGTAAAATTTCTATACTTAAAATGTTGCTAGTCATATCTCAGAGGCTCTCCCCACCTTTTCATCTTCCTTCACCCTGAATTCACTGATACAATTATGTATGCACACAAATTAAGAGGTGGAAATATTCAGTAAAGTCAGTTTAATAAGAAAGTAGAATTTTTAACACTACAGAACATGTCTATTATGTAGATAAAGCTAAACAGGAGAGAAACACCGTTACATTAAATACAACGTAACGACTCTGTTAAAAATATGATTCCTCCTAGATTGATTCTAAAAGCTATCATTTATGAATAGAAAGTTTTAGTTACTGGAGAATATGATTGCATATGTCTCAGAATAAAGTAGCAACTCTTAGAGATGTGGTCTATAGACTCCCTAGTCCATACTATCCTTCAACAATCTATAATTAGACATTGAGAGTTTTGACACATGACTCAGAGTCTTGCACCTCTCCACAACTCTTGCCCACCTTTTAGAAGGTTTCAGGGGCTGTGTAGATAACTCATTCAATGGCCTATGGTTTTCAGTTCTACTCCATTCAGCCACCATCCACCCCTTTCCAAGTCCACCCTTATCATCATTCAGCATCATCCCATCTCCTAAAGTTTAACCCACAGTCTTTCACCTGACTCTTGGATCAACAATTCTCTCCTATCTTAGCTAATGCCACATTACACTCTCACTTCAGGTAGGCCTAGTCCCATATCCCTCTATTTTATTTAACTCAATCGGTCTTCTTTTGAGTTTTCTTTCTTCTCCATCATATATTCTCATTGTCTAGTGATAATTATTCCTAATATTTTGAAAAATAAGAACATTAAAATATTCTAACTTGAATAGAAATCTTACTTTTTATATAGTTATAACTATATATAAAAACTACTACATATATTTATATATAAACTTTTTTCTAGCTTTATTGAGATATAATTGACAGGTGGGGGGGAAGGGGGAGGGATAGCATTAGGAGATATACCTAATGCTAAATGACGAGTTAATGGGTGCAGCACACCAGCATGGCACATGTATACATATGTAACTAACCTGCACATTGTGCACATGTACCCTAAAACTTAAAGTATAATAATAATAAAAAAAACTAAAAAAAAGAGATATAATTGACAAAAATTGTATATATTATGGTGCGCAATATGTTTTGATGTATGTATACATTGTGAAATGCTTGCCACAATCAAACTAATTAACATGTCTATCATCTCACATAGTTTTGTGTGTGTGTAGTGAAAACATTTAAAATCTACTCTTAGCAACGTTCAAGTATACAGTACTTTATCATTAGCTATAATCACCATGCTGTACAATAGACTTACAGAATTTATTCATCCTGTCTAACTGAAACTTTTATTTTTCATAATTTTAAAATCTTGTTAAAATACCGTTCACTTTAAGGTCTACATTGTATTCTACTAATTTCATAGTTTTATGTTTCACAATTGGGTTTTAATCCATCAGGAGTTCACCTTTGTAAAAGTGGAATAGGAGTGAAAACTCGAGGAGCTCAGATCTGAGAAGCATCAGGGAGTGCCGTTGGCATGGATTAGGCAGGTGAGCTAAGGACATGAGACTTCCCTACTGTCTGCAGCCGGGCACTACACACCCAGCCCTTACTCCCCAGGCAGGAAACCATAGGCCTACTCTCAGGAGAAGTTACACTAGATGGATTTTGGACTCCATACAGCAGAGGAAAGGGTTAAACAGCAGCAGGAAGGGATAAAAGTATTTGTCAAAATAGAAGGAATAAGTGAATCTCTATATACTAAATATTAAGATTCCCAGATAATTCCCTTGTTCAGAACAGATATACACCCTCTAAACAAGAGATTGGAACCTTCTTTCCTCAAGACAATAGACTGCACTAGAGAGAAGTGTTCCAGATACAATGAAGTAGTGGTAAATACTATGAAGAAAATAGCTTTGGGAGGCCGAGGCAGGTGGATCACCCGAGGCCAGGAGTTTGAGACCAGCCTAATCAACATGGAGAAACCCCATCTCTACTAAAAATACAAAATATTAGCCGGGTGTGGTGGCACATGCCTGTAATCCCAGCTACTCGGGAGGCTGAGGCAGGAGAATTGCTTGAACCTGGGAGGTGGAGGTTGCGGTGAGCCGAGATCTCATCATTGCACTCCAGCCTGGGCAACAAGAGCAAAACATCTCAAAAAAAAAAAAGAAAAAGAAAAAGAAAAAGAAAACAGCATATGAATTGGGGTAGATTATTTTATTTGGAAAGGCCAGTGGTGGCCTTAATGATTAGGTGACATTTGAGCAGATACTTGAAACAAGTGAGAAAGCCATGAGGGTGATACGGTTTGGATTTGTGTCTCTGCCCAAATCTCATGTCAAATTGTAATCCCCAATGTTGGAAATGGGTCCTGGTGGGAGGTGATTGGACCTTGGGGGCGGTTTCTCATGAGTAGTTTAGCAACACCCCCCATAATGTGGTTCTCATGATAAAGTTATCATGAGATCTTGTTGTTTGAAAGTGTGTGGCACCTCACATACACCTCCCTCTCTCTTCCTTCTGCTCCAGCCATGTAAGACATGCCTGCTTCCCCTTTGCCTTTCACCATGATTCTAAGTTTCCTGTGGCATCTCCAGAAGCAGAAGCCACTATGCTTCCTGTATATAGCCTGCAGAACTGTGAGCCAATTAAAACTTTTTTCTTTATTAATTACTCAGTCTCAGGAATTTCTTAATAGCAGTGTGAGAATGGACTAATACAGATGGTAACAGAGAAAAAGTTGTATCAGAAAGAAGAAACAGAACTTGCAATCCTCCTGAAGTAGAAGTGCTTGGACTATTTGAGGAACAGCAAGGAGCCCAGCTGGTTGCAGTGGCATAAGCAAGATGGAAACTAGCAGAAAATGAGGTCAAAGAAGAAGCCATATGCTGAATCATCTAAAACTTCATAGGCCATGGTGAATACTTTGGATTTATCCTAAAAGGGATGGAGATTCTCTGGAAGCTTTGAACAGAGGTGTGACAAGAACTGACTACATATGGAGAATCTGACTACCTTTTTGATTCTTACAAATTATTGCTTCTGGTATCTTCCTTGTCTTGTTTCTGCTGTCTTTGTAAAGAGAAGGATCTTAATGTTTGTTGATTTTTATGGTGTAAGTTTGGGCGTAAAGAAAAACTAGTAGAAGTCTTCAGTCCAGGTCGTGATCCATCCTGTCTTAATGTACAAATATGTCCAACATAGAAGATTATTTATTTTCTTTAGGAAACTTCACTTACTGCTGAGGGAGTGATTCTACCCATTTACATGTCTTTGATTTTATTTTGAGAGAGCTACTATTAATATGCCTGATATAATTATAAACAAAAGTACACGCATTCCTCTTTCCACCCCTGCTCTGAGTTTTATTTCAAAGCTTTCCTGAGTTGACTGACAATGAAGATTGCTATGCTCAAATTATTTTTTTTATGATTGTGGACTGGCTTTCCCATGTGGAAAGAAAGATGATTGATGGAGTTTCCTGATAATATACTTCCATCTCCAAGACCCAAAAGAGAAATCCTCTTCTCCAGTTCCAATAAAACTCCAAAAGGAAAGCTTCTGGTTGGCCTAGCTGGGACCACATGTTCATCCTTGGCTTAATTACTGTGGCTACAGGAATGAATGAGTCACTCTGACAGGCCAGGTCCAGCTCAGGTGCCCATCCCAGCCCTGAGGAGAAGGTGGTATGATGGGTAGCCTAGCAGGAAGAGGAGGAGAGACAAGGCATACAAAAAAATATAAGCACCTAATATACATGACATACAAAACCTTTGACAATCTGATGTCCACCTACTTCTCCAGCCCTTATCTTGTTCCACTCATTAATTTGAACTTTGTGCTCCAAAAATGACCAGAGTAGTTCAGAGCATGAGCTGTGAGGTTAGCATATCTAGGTTTGCATTAGAAATTTACAATTTACTCATTACATTACCTTGAGTAATTTTTTTAACCTTTCTAGTCTTTGTTTCTTCATTTCTTAAACATAATAAATAATAGAACCAAAGGAAATGATGCAAGTAAAACATGTGGCATAGGGTGGCAAGTGCGAGATTTTAGGAAGTTTATAAATAGCACCCCTCTTTTCCTCCTTCATGTTTGTTTAATTTAGAGATACACCCAGCAATCAGGAGAATGAAAATACCTTTAAAACCTGTCAGGTCATGTCTTTCTGCTCAAAACTGTACAGAGGTTTCCCATCTCGCACAGAAAAAAAGTCAAAGTCATTATAGGCCCACAAGGCCCTGAAATCATCTTCACCACTCCCCAAATCTCAATTAGCTTTTATCCTCATCCCCTATGGTTTCCTCCTTCATCACATTACACAGCCACGCTAGCCTCATTACCTTGCATCAAACATTTAGAAAAGCTCTCACCTCAGGTCCTTTGCCCTTGCTTTTCCCATTGCCAAAAAGACTATAGGTTCATGGAGAGTACCTAGCTACTCTCCACTTAGGGAAGGAAATAGACATAGTCTTTGCCCTCATTGAGCTGACAGTCTAAAGGGGAGATGGGCATTAAACACATAAACAAACAAGAGTGATACGATTATAAAGTGTGATAAGTACTATAATATAAAATGTCTATACTCTCTGGGAAAATAATAGGATGGAAGTACTGAATTCTGAATGGTGGACAAGGGCAGGGCCTCACAAGGAAGCATCATGAAGGTAAGAGTGGTATGAAAATAACATAGGCCGGGTGCGGTGGCTCACACCTGTAATCTCAGCACTTTGGGAGACCAAGGCAGGCGGATCACAAGGTCAGGAGATCAAGACCATCCTGGCTAACATGGTGAAACCCCGTCTCTACTAAAAATACAAAAAAATTAGCGGGGCATGGTGGCATGTGCCTGTAGTCCCAGCTACTTGGGAGGCTGAGGCAGGAGAATTGCTTGAACCCGGGAGGTGGAGGTTGCCGTGAGCCAAAATCATACCACTGTACTCCAGCCTGAGAGACACAGTGAGACTCCGTCTCAAAAAAAAAAAAAAAAAAGAAAGAAAGAAAAAAGAAAATAACACAATTGGAAAGTATAGACCATGTCCAAGACCCATTATCTAACCTATCAGAGATAGGACGATAATGAACAGTTACCTGAGAGTCAGGCAGAGAAGAAGTCAGCCTCTGGAATGTTCAGACACACCCAGTCACTGGTAGATTGGAGGTCAAGAACAGGAAATTCAGTGCATGTGGGAATCCAATTAAAAGGGAACTAGTCTAATGAGATCAGAGAATAACCAAGAATGAGACTGATTCAGTGCTTTATTGAGAACTAATTGGTGGGCCTTCTTATAACCCCTCTTTCTTAGAGAAAATTGTTCTTGGAACAAAATGGAGCTCTTTCTTTACCTCTCCACTAAAATGCAAATAAGTAAGGATAACATTATTTGAGGGGTAATCTTGGCTATTTTCAAAATAATTTTTTAAATTTTTTGTTTTAAATAATTGTACACTCAGAGAAAGTTGCAAAAGATAGTACATAGAGTCTTCTGTACCATTTGCCTAACTCCTCCTAATACTGACATTTTATGTAAATGTCATATGATATCAAAACCAGGAGACTGGCATTGGCACAATATTGCTAATTAGACCACAGACCTTATCCAGTTTTTACATGCAGTCATTTCTGTGTGTCTGTGGGTGTGTGTGTGTATGTGTGTACTCCAATGCAGTTTGATAGCACATCCAGATTAATGTAGCCACCATCACAATCAAGATACAAAACTGTTCCATCAGCATAAAGAAACTCCTCACACTCCTATTACTTAGTCAGTCACCTTCCCATCCCAATCTTGATCTCTGGCAACCACTAATCTGTTCCTTATATTTATGGTTTTGTCATTTTTAAGAATCATATACTATGAAACCTTTTGAGATTGGCTCTTTTTTTTTTTTTACAGAGATCCATTCAAGTTATTGATGTATCAATAGTTCATTCTTTTTAAACTGTTGAGTGGTGTTCCATTTTATGGATGTACCAGTGTTGGCGTAACCATTTACACTGAAAGACATTTTAGTTGTTTCCATTCCATTTTTATCTTTAAAATTTGCAAACTTCAGGTCTTTCACATTTACAAATAACTTTTAATCTACCTCAGTAGTGATTGGTATGGATTCAGGGTTGCTGAGCAAGGTGAATGCAGTTGGAGGTGACAGAAGGTAGATCATGAAAGCTGCTACCATTTGTAATGAGTATCACATAGGCTTTCACTCTGTGTAAACATGACTTTGTAAGGGTAACTTTTTTTTTTTTTTGGAGATAGAGTCTCGCTCTGTCCCCAGGCTGGAGTGCAGTGGCGCGATCTGGACTCACTGCAAGCTCCACCTCCCGGGTTCACGCCATTCTTCTGCCTCAGCCTCCCAAGTAGATGGGACTACAGGTGCCCGCCACCACGCCCGGCTAAATTTTTTTGTATTTTTACTAGAGACAGGGTTTCACTGTGTTAGCCAGGATGGTCTCAATCTCCTGACCCCGTGATCCGCCCGCCTCGGCTTCCCAAAGTACTGGGATTACAGGCTTGAGCCACCACTCCTGGCCTGTAAGGGTAACTTTTCAAATTATCTGAACACGAATTAACAGAGAGCTTAATTCTAAATTGGGTCAAGTCTTAGGTGACTGTGGTGGGAGGGAACCAGAGATGGTGAGCATGAGGCAAAGAGGGTTGGTCCACTGGAAATGTCACATAAGCATAAAGAGGAGGGGCGACAGGGTGAAATGGTGTGGGAATGAGTAGAACATACCTTTCCTGTGGTTCTGAAACAGGAAGATGATCACATATGCATCACTTCCACTTCCCATTTCCCTCAAATCATCACTGGCTGGGCTGTCACTCTCATCTCAGTACCACGTCCCTTTGTGCCTGCACTTCATGCCTCATAATAAACATTCCATTACTGATTTTAAAAAGCTATATATAGAAAGAAGACAAAAAAAAATGGCCATGTTCTGTGCTAGAACAAATTCAGAAGAGTTTTTTTGTTTGTTTGATTGTTTTTGTTTTTTGACAGAGTCTCATTCTGTGGCCCAGGCTGGAGTGCAGTGGCACGATCTCAGCTCACTGCAACCCTTGCTCACTGCAACCTCCACCTCCTGGATTCAAGCGATTCTCCTGCCTCAGCCTCCAGCCCAGGCTGAATGTGTTCTTTTTTAAATCAACTAAGTTCTTATGTATTTGAAGTTAGCTTTAGTCCACTTTGGGTGAATAATTTACCCTATCTTAACATTAGTTGCTATACCGATCAAGCAGAAGAATCACCTTCTCATCCTGAAGACAATAAAACAGGTAAAAATAAAACTCCTTGAACTGCTACTTTTCTTATTTCATTAAAATATAGTATTCTGCCAAAATATTCTATGAGAAAGATAAAGTCCCTAGGTGAACAAATATAAATTTTAGACACAGTCTCTGCTCTCAGTAGGCTCACAATTTAACTGGAGAAAGCCAGAGTTGAATGTATAAAACATGAAGTATATGCAAATGGAATTACTCTAGCAATTAAAAATAAATATTTCTGCCGGGCACGGTGGCTCACACCTGTAATCCCAGCACTTTGGGAGGTCAAGGTGGGCTGATCATCTGAGCTCAGGAATTTGAGAGCAGCCTGGAGAACATGGTGGAACCCCATCTCTACTAAAATACAAAAAAATTAGTTGGGCATGATGGCACTTGCCTGTAATCCCAGCTGCTTGGGGGGCTGAGGCAGGGAAATTGCTTGAATCTGAGATCATGCCACTGAACTCCAGCCTGGGTGACAGAGTAATACTGTCTCAAAAAAAAAAAAAAAAAAGGAAGAAAATAAAATAAATAAATAAATATTTCTTGGTTCCTTGACATCCTCTTCCTCATTCTACCTTAGTTGGCCATTCTCATGGTCATCACTAAAACAGAGCCATCACACTATTAAATCACACATCCTTCTCTGTGACCATTTCCTCTTATCCTTCCAGACTGCTTTTTGAAACTCCTCGTGGGATCACGCACGCCTGGACCTCCTTGGGCTCTCCAGTCCTTTACATGTCTGCTGGGTCTCTCTTTTTTCTTTCTTTCTCTCTTTCTTTCTTTCTTTCCTTCTTTCTTTCTTTCTTTTCTTTGTTTCTTTCTTTTTTTCTTTTCTTTTCTTTTTTTTTTTGAGATGGAATCTCACTGTGTCTCCAGGCCGAAGTGCAGTGGCACGATCTCAGCTCACGACAACCTCCACTCCCGGGTTCAAGTGATTCTTCTGCCTCACCTCCTGAGTAGCTGGGACTACAGGTGCACGCCACCACACCCAGCTAATTTTTATATTTTTAGTAGAGACGGGATTTCACCATGTTCAGGATGGTCTCGATCTCTTGACCTCATGATCCGCCCACCTCAGCCTCCTAAAGTGCTGGGATTACAGGCACGAGCCACCACGCCAGGGCTGTGTCTCTTTTATTTAGGTCCCTTCAGTCATTTGTTCTCTTCCTTTCCAGAATAAATACAATGGTCTATCCCCTCAACAGTTCTTTTGCCAAAACCTTCAAGTCCCTTGTCCCTCTACTTATCTGTTTTTTGTGGTAAAATCTCTGGAAGAAACTGTCCACTTTCTTCACATTTTCTCCACAATTTCTTCATACTTTCTCTATACTCATGCACCAGAATTTAAATGAAAAAGTCACACAAGAGAGAAAGCTGGTACCTTTTTTTAAAAAAACACTTTTGTTTGGTTTCATTTTTTAGAGACAAAATCTCACTATGTTGCCCAAGCTGGCCTCAAACTCCTGGCCTCAAGCAATTCTCCTGCTTTGGCCTCCCAGAGTATTGGGATTACAGTCAAGGGCCACTGTGCCTGGCTTGGTACCCTTATGATTACTAAGTTCAAATATGCCTTCAGTACTCCTAGTAATCCCACTCTGCTTCTCTGGGCAACTCCTCCTCTCTTTTCCAAGAAGGCTTTTTCACACCCTGTCTCTCCTCAAATTTCTGCCCTTGCCCCATTCTTAACTCTTGCTCCCTGAAAATGACCTACCTGTAACTTCATAGAGAAAATAGAGGCAGCAGAGATGGACTCCAGCATGTTCCTCCTGTCATACCTAGAAAATGTTCCTGCTCCTGGACCCATGACAGCCACCTTCCCTCCTGTTTCAGAAAATGTGTCCCTCCTCCTATTCAAGGCCTAGCCTCAACCTGGGTTCCTAGTCTCTTTTGAACCCAACACCATCCATTGTACCTTCTTTCTCTGGTCTCTTTATACTTCCCCTCTAATCAGTCCTTCCCATCAGCACTTAAACATGCATGTTTACCTCAGAATGCAGAGTTCCTCCCTTAATCTCACTTCCTCCTTCAGTTACCATTATCCATCCTCCCTTCCCTAGTTTACCATGAAAAAATAAAAAGCTGTTTACTACGACGTCTATAGTTTATGTGCCATAGCTATCCACTAGTGCCATCCTCCCTACCTATCCCTTTTCTAGTAAATGACCACACCCTCTACTACAGAAGTGAACACATGCCCCAAGCTTAACCAATCATGGTCATTCTCTGACCTCAGAAATTGGTGATTGGTCCTACAACCTGTATGAACTCAACAGAAATCTCTCTGAGTTTTTCAAAGAGAGGAATTAATTCAGGGAGGTTTTTCTACAAGTTTGGAAGGTCAAAAGAGCAAAAAGGAAATTAAGAAATGCAGGAAGCAGCCATTATTCCCTAGGGCTGGAGAAGCCAAAGAAAAAGGGTGAGGGTTGTGACTTAGGAACTCACTGGAGGGGGTCTATAGACCTGGTGTTCCAAGCTGTAGCAGGAAGCTCTCCACATGTGACTTAAGGATAACTGAGGAGACTTGGCCAGGCAGTTGTTTGGACAGCCCAGGAGGTGCAGCCGAGCAACTACACTCCCAACTGCATAGAGGTTGAAGCCTGGCAGTTACTGGTTCCTCTAAGGAGCATAGTAGAGAAGATGCTGATGAGGTGGTCTCATTGTCTGGGGTCAATACCCGAGGTTCACAGTCTGGCGCTAAGAAGATTAAGGACATGGACACACACAAGGAGTGAGTTTAGGAGCAGAGATTTAATAGGCAAAAGAAAGAGAAAGGGGGCCAGGTATGGTGGCTCATGCCTGTAATCCCAGCACTTTGGGAGGCTGAGGTGGGCAGATCACCTCAGGTCAGGAGTTCAAGACCAGCCTGTACAGCATGATGAAACCCTGTCTCTACTAAAAATACAAAAATTAACAAGGTGTGTGGCATGCATCTATAATCCCAGCTACTCAGGAAACTGAGGCATGAGAATCACTTGAACTCGGGAGGTGGAGGTTGCAGTGAGCCACGAGTGCACCACTTCACTTCAGCCTGGGCAACAGAGTGAGACTCTGTCAAAAAAAAAAAAAAAAAAAAGAAAAGAAAAGAAAAAGAAAGAAGAAAGAAAGAGAGAGAGGGAGGGAGGGAAGGAGGAAGGAAGGAAAGAAAGAAGGAAGGAAGGAAGGAAAAAAGAAAGAAGGAAAGAAAGAAAGAGGAAGGAAGGAGAAAGAAAGAAAAGAAAGAAAGAAAGAAAGAAAGAAAGAAAGAAAGAAAGAAAGAAAGAAAGAAAGAAAGAAAGAAAGAAAAAGGGAAAGAAAGAAAGAGAAGAACAGCTCTCTCTCGTGAGAGAGAGTGGGTGCCTGAATGGGAATTCTGGCTCATGGTGGAGTGCACCAGATTTTACAGACAGATTTGAGGAGTGGGTGTCTGCTTTACATAGGGCCCAAAGATTGGTTGGATCAGGTGTGACATTTACAAAGCACACGGGGAAGCTAGCGGCCCCACCCTAATTTTATTATGCAAATGGAGTCTTTGCCTGGCACGCACCATGTTGCCTGCTCCTTACTGCACAAATGACTGGCAAAAACAAGGGAAGATGGAGACGCCATTTTGAACATGCCTAATCCCAGGTAGCCTTCTCCTATTGGCACAACTGCCGGCATTCATCAGTGCAAGCTTCCAGCTTGCTTGTCTGTGTTTGCAGCTCGATTTTACAGGCTGCTCTTTGTTAGAAAAGAAAATGATTTGGGGGCTGGTTTTCATTAAAAGGAAAACCTTACCGGGGACTCCCATACCCTCACTATCTGCCTAAGTAATTTTTTCTTAATCGTATGTTACTGAGAGTTCAGAAAGAAGATGGAAACTAGAGCCACATTTATCTTGCTGTTGGAGTAATAAGGTAAGAACTGAAAAATGAGGAAGGACTTCCTTCCTGCCCACCTCTTCCCTTCTAATCCTCCTCTACTGCTTCCCATTGATCAAACCTAATAAGAAATTAAATTAGAAAGGAGTCTGAGAAATGTTAGCTGAGTCCCAGCCCCAGCAGCACACAGCAGAGTGTAAAAGTTGAAACTTACAAATGTGGCAATAGGTAAAATCCTGGTATATGATCCAAGCTGGATTTCACTTGGAAATTCAGATCAATAGGAATCTTTTTCTCCTCTCAACCCATGCTGTCATGAGGATTGATCTAAGTCCAAGCAACCAATTCCCAAGCACATGAAAAACCCTGACCAAAGACAACACCAAAAATAAACAGGAATAAGAATCCTAACACTATCATTGCCCAGCTTCTAAGACTCTAACATTCTAAGGAAAAAGGAATGGGATCTCCAACGATATCTACCCAGGGGTAGAGGAATTTTAAAGGATTTTTTTCTTTAACTGGCTCAGGTTTGAGCATTGAAAATAGGATCTTTTCATAACAAATGTTATGTTTTGTCAGTAAGTACATGTTCAGCGTAACAGTTACTCCAACATTTTTGAAGAGGAGATTGGAGAAGGAAAAGCCAGGTAAGAGGCAGAGAAGCTTTTGCCAGAGAGTCAGGAGACATCAGAACAATGTCCCAGAAGTCAAAGGCAAAGAGGGTTTCAAGAACTGTGCACTAATGTTCAGTGCCATCAAATGAATTACCCAGAGTGAATGATTAGGATAATGCTTGTTAGTCGCCCCAGGCTAAATGTTTGTAACTAATGATTCATTTTATAAATACCCCCACATCCAATAAATCCTTTCAGTAATATATTTCTAAATTCCTGATTAAGATCGAGGGCCAGATTCCTGGTTTATAGTTTACAGAATTTATTTTATTTTATTTATTTTATTCTTTTGCTTTAATCAAGTAATTAAAGCTGGAGTATCTAATAGATGACAGTCTCTTGCTATTGCCCAGAAAATGCACAGAAAACAATAATATGGCTTAGCTCATTTTCTGAAGTAACCTACAGGTGAGTCAGGGAGAACCTTCTGATTTAAATTGAGGAGCTCTGGATCTTCTGCCAACTTCAGGAGGAAGTCATGACTTTTATATTCTACCGCAGATGTATTGGAAACAATTCTTTTAAATATCAGAAAACACTTACTAGGTCATATTGCACACCTGTGTGTTAGTTTTATATGGCTGCCATAACAAAATACAACAAAGCTTGGTGGCTTAAGCAATAGAAAAAAATTTTTTTTTTTTTGCAGTTCTGGAAGTCAGAATTTCAAGATCAAGGTGTTGGCAGGTTTGGTGTCTTCTGAGGCCCCTCTTCTTGGCTTGCTGCTGGCTGCCTCCTCACTGTGTGCTCACGTGTTGTTGTTGTTGTTGTTGTTATTGTTGTTGTTGTTTGATAGGGAGTCTCGCCCTGTTGCTCAGACTGGTGTGCAGTGGATCAATCTCGACTCACTGCAACCTCCGCCCCCCAGATTCAAGCAATTCTCCTGCCTCAGCCTCCTGAGTAGCTGGGATTACAGGCACCCGCCACCATGCCCAGCTAATTTTTGTACTTTTAGTAGAGACGGGGTTTCACCATATTGGTCAGGCTGGTCTGGAACTCCTGACCTCATCACCTGGGCCTCACGTGGTTTTTCCTCTGTGCTCACATGTGTCAGTGTCATAATCTCCTCTTCTTATAAGGACCCCAATCACATTGGATTAGGACGTACCCTAATGACTTTATTTATCTTCATTACTTCTTTAAAGGCTCAATCTTTGTTTTGTTGTTTTTGCTTTTGTTTTTTATTTTGTTTTGTTTTCTTTTTTTTGAGATGTAGTTTTGCTCTTTTCGCCCAGGCTGGAGTGCAGTGACGCATTCTCGGCTCACTGCAACCTCCGCCTCCCAGGTTCAAGCGATTCTCCTGCCTCAGCCTCCTGAGTAGCAGGGATTACAAGCATGTGCCACCACACCCAGCTAATTTTTGTGTTGTTAGTAGAGATGGGGTTTCGCCATGTTGGCCAGGCTGGTCTTGAACTCCCGACCTCAGGTGATCCGCCCACCTCGGCCAAAGTGCTGGGATTACAGGCTTGAGCCACCACACCAGGCCTAAAGGCCCAATCTTTGAAAACAGTCACATTCTGAAGTTCTGGGGGTTAGGACTTCAGTATATGAATTTGGAGGGGGGAAGCATATTTCAGCCCATCACACTCTGAAAATCAATTCTATACAATGTAGTGATTTATGCAGCCAAGTTAGTATGATCCATTAAAAAGTGGTGGATATTCTACATGGATGAAATCATTTTCTAATTCACCAGACAACTTATTTTTAAAGAAATTAGACAAAGATCACATTATTTCAAGCCAAACCATTTCAAAATTTGCCTAGGAAGAAATATCATCTACCTAATAAATATTAGCACTTACAATGGAACGCTCTCAACTTTCAGTCAAGCTACGTATTGGCATGAGTTTTCTGGGCTTAGGTCAGTTCCTCTGCTTTTCATGGCAACAGTTGGCTGTGATATCTGCTGTTCTCATTCCAACTCAGAGTCTTTAAAGAAAAGTCCTTGAGTGTATATACTGTTTACTTTTTACAGCCTTCATGGCAACAGGGTTTGGTATCTCTTGCATTTAAAAAGCTCTTTTCCACGTCCCTCACCAGGCCCTCTAGGAGAAAAACATTTTCCACATATTCTGCTTATGTTTCTTAGTAGCTGATTATACCTACGTTTGTTTCCAAAATACTGCCCGTTACAACTTGCATAACTTGGAAGCAAGCATATCATTATGCAAAAGTCTATATTTACATGAAAATTTGTCTCCTTTTCCTGCAGGCATCAAGTTGCAGTGACCTGCCCTTCTGAACCATTCATAGGTTTTGGAAGGGCAGAGCACACACTTATGCATCATTGCCTTGGCTGAAGAACTGGCTGGTCTTAATGCTCCCCAAGGGGAATTATGTGTCTTCTATTAGAAGGCAGGGAGGGAAACCCTACATCTCTTACTCCAAGAAATTCGTTAGGAAAACTGGGTGATGCTGTAACCTGCTACATTGGATAAGATTCTGACTAGAAACAGTGAAAGTCAAACAATAGTGTAAACAAAAATGTTATTTATTAATGGCAAATCATTATACTAATTAACATCAAAAGTGAATGAGTAGGCCGGGCATGGTGGCTCACGCCTGTAATCCCAGCACTTTGGGAGGCCAAGGAGGGCGGATCTCCTGAGGTCAGGAGTTTGAGACCACCCTGGCCAATGTGCCAAAACCCCATCTCTACTAAAAATACAAAAAATTAGCCGGGCATGGTGCTGGGCGCCTGTAGTCTCAGCTACTGGGGAGGCTGATGCAGGAGAATTGCTTGAACCCAGGAGGCAGAGGTTGCAGTGAGCCGAGATCGTGCCACTGCACTCCAACCTGGGTGACAGAGCAAGACTCTGTCTCAAATAAATAAATAAATAAATAAATAAATAAATAAATAAATAGAAAAGTGAACAAGTATGTAGAAATTAACTCCAAATCTAAGAAATCTATCCTAATTTCTAACTAAAGTGATAAATGTAGTCTTTTAGAATTTAGACCTAGAAAAAGTGTTTTTCCTCCAGAGGAACAAAGAGGTGCCCTTTTCCCTGGTAGTGCAAACTATACTTTTTCAATCATGATGCCATGGCTTACAGGTAGACCCCAGGGTGTTTACCAGTGTGCCCAAACTCTGATTCTTTCCACCCTCAGGTTAGCTGGAACCCAGGATAAATAATTTTTTCCTATATTCCTTAAAATTATTACATTATTTTGTCTATGCTATTATATAATAAGAAGTAAGAAGCTCTGTTGTAACTAATCATATTTTCCTTTTTATTTTCTTGTATATCAGGAAGCTTTGAAACAACTAAATTTCAACTACATATAATATCATAAAATTTGTGTATTTTTTCCTTTCTTTTCTCCCTTTGCTCTGATTTTCTGTTTTGGTATTCTTATCTTGCACATGTTTTGTGCATATAAATCAAATCCTTTCAAAAAATAAGATAAAAATTTCTATTACTGGTGTTAGAAAAGTTAAAATGTAAAATATAGTCGTACAAACATTGCCCTGCCTGCTTAACAAATAAAAGTGATGATCATCCTAACAAGAGAAGTGACCTTTCATGAAAGTGCTAAAGTAGACTGCAGTTAAATACATGTTTTCAAATCTAATTCACAGTTGTTTCTTCCACATGGTCACTCACTACATTGTTCAAAAAATGTATATTTAGCCAGGCCCCGGTGGCTCACACCTGTAATCCCAGCGCGTTAGGCCAAGGCAGGTGGATCACTTGAGGTCAGGAATTCGAGACCAGCCTGGCCAACATGGTGAAACCCTGTCTCTACTAAAAATACAAAAATTAGTTGGGCATGGTAGTGCATGCTTGTAATCCCAGCTACTCAGGAGGCTGAGGCAGAAGAATCGCTCGAGCCTGGGAGGTGGAGGTTGCAGTGAGCCAAGATCACACCACTGCACTCCAGCCTGGGTGACAGTGCGAGATTCTGACTCAAAAAAAAAAAAAAAAGTATATTTAGCGAGTCTTCCATAAGTCAATACTATTCAGTTGATATGTGCAGTGCATTATTGAATGCAATCACATAGTTAATATGTAATGGTACACAGCAGCAGAGGGGATGGGCCATGTAGGTAGCTCTTAAGATGAAAAACTTGAAATCCATGATTCAGTTTCTTTAAAAATAAGTCCTTCAATTCTATTCTACCTTCAAAGAATATTTATTTCTCACCACAGTTTATTACGGATAACATTACTAACCAAAATCTTGGTATCCAAGAAATAATGGTTAGAAATAGTTCTACCAGGATCTAGAGTATTACAATTTTCCATGACTTCATTTATCCTATTACTGGTGCCCCAAAATACTAGGACACTATTAAATTTGCCCAAATGCTATAAAATAGAATGAAGGAAAAACGGAAACATAACTAGCAATGTATCTCATTGTTCATAGGAACTGAATAAACCTCAAATCAAGAGAAGCCAAACTATTCCTGGTTTTGAGTTCATAAATGAACCACACACTGTAAGGTGGTACAATAGAAAAGAAATATTCTGCTAATATATATTTTTAGTTTCTTAGAGACAGGGTCTCACTGTCATGCAAGTTGCAGTGCAGTGGCACTATCCTAGCTCACCACAGCCTCAAATTCCTCGGCTTAAGCAATCCTTTCACCTCTTGAGTAGCTAAGACTACAGGCGCATGTCACAACACCTGGCTAATTTTTTTTTTTTTTTTTTTGTAGAAATGGAGTCTTACTATGTTGCCCAGGCTAGTCTCAAACTCCTGGCCTCAAGTGATCCTTTCACCTTGGCTTCCCAAAGTACTGATATTATAGACATGAGCCTCCACACCCAGTGAGGACCTTTTAATATGCCATAATATCTTAACCCCATTTACAGGTAAGTGTGGCTCAACAATGTCTAAAATTTGGCTCCAGTCAGATTAGTATTCCCTTGGACAGTTAATATTTCTTTGGAATAAGGAACAAGAGATTGTCCTTTACTTTGTTTCTCAATCAGTAGTTCAATAACTCTTTGAGCCTATAAATTAAAGAGAAATGAAATGCAACTTTCCAATACATCCAGAAAGCATAATCACCCAAAAATGTTTTAAAAATAATAATAGAATTTTGAGCTCTTGACTTTTAAGCACGCTAGAAAATTATGTTTTTGTGAACTAGCTAAAAAGGCCCAACATTTCTGGAAAAAAAAAATATTCCTGGATCCAAGAACTGTGGATAACATACAGGAAATGATTTTTTAAGACCTTAATTTCTAGTTTAATCAACAAAATATAGTGATTAGTCATCAACAAATATTTCTATATACACAAAGAATAAACCCTCTCTGGTGGCTTCAAAATCCAAAAGAAAGGGGAAAAATCAAATGATTTTTGTTTTGTCTGTGCGGGTGTGAAGTCAGCATAATGATCCCTGACCAGTAGCTAAGTCTATAAAGATAATGAACAACCAAGTAGAAAAATATTCTCTAAAGCGTAGGCATAATTGGCAATTTTACTCTAATTTTTTTTGTTTTGAACATTAAATATATTTTCAAAAATTCTGTAGACTGCAAGACAAAGTACCAGAAAGACTAACCCAAGATTTTCCTTATTTAATAAGGAAATAATTTTCTTATTTAACAGAAAACAAGAAGACAAAATGAATAGAACTGAACCTTCAGTACCAACCATGGGTTCTTAGGCTCTCAGGCAACAGAAATTGACAGGAGGCTGAGAAAGTTTCCCAGACGAGGCTTTGTTGGGGCTTATGCTTGAGCGCAAGGGATATAGCATAAGAACAAGAGTTCTCTGGCTGGCTCCCGAAGGGCAGGTCTTTATGGTGCTTTAAGAAGAATGACATGAAGAAACAAGAGGTATGCGAGTGTCATCACAGGTGCAGACTGGAGTGCAGAGTGTGCAGCTGCAGTGAGAAATCATGTTAGTAGGTACATTACATAATCAATAAATGGCAGACAACCCGCCCCAGGCAGGGATTTTAGTTGTAGACTGAGATAAGGGTCAGAATTGGTCAGTCTCCTGGTCTTGCCTGCACATGGGTGATGGGGTTAACTTCCTTAGGTAAGATTTGGTGGAATGCTGCTTATCTTAGATTCCTCACATAGTTTGCAAGGTCTTTAGTGATCTAGTATGGCACCAGCGCAGGTGATGGTTAGAGGATATGTATGGGAAACCTACCTGTTCCTGGAAGTGAGGCCAAGTCCCGTTCCTCCTGTGTGCCCATTTTTGAATTGGTCTTTGTTGGGGTTGAATTGTAGCAATTGTGAGTGTTTGATAGATTTCTAGAAATATTAGTTACACTTCAATTTTTGGTTTTCCAATGCTTTTTTTTTTTTTTTTTTTTGAGGCAGAGTCTAACTGTGTCACCCAGGCTGGCGTGCAATGATGCAATCTTGGCTCACTGGAACCTCCGCCTCCAGAGTTCAAGCTATTCCCATGCCTCAGCCTCCTGAGTAGCTGGGACTACAGGTGCCTGTGACCACGTCCAGCTAATTTTTGTATTTTTAATAGAGACAGGTTTCACCATGTTGGCTGGCTTGGTCTCGAGCTCCTGACGTCAAGTGATCTGCCTGCCTCGGCCTCCCAAAGTGCTGGGATTACAGACATGAGCCACCACACCTAGCTACATTTTTATTTTTTTATAACAGTTTTATTTCATAGAGCAGTTTTCAGTTCACAGCAAAACTGAGTGGAAGGTACAGAGATTTTTCCATCTACCCACTGCCCACACCCAGATATAGCTTCCCCTGTTATCAACATTCCCCACCAGAGTGGCATATTTGCTACAAACATATACATAAATATTTATTATAAATTTTCCAAACCCATTGAATGCACAACACCAAGAGTGAACCCTAATGTATACTATGGATTCTAGTGAGAATGTGTCAATGTAGGTTCATCAATTGTTCAGACAGTTTAAAATCATAAAAGAAAAATAAAATTGTCTCAGACTCCCTCATTCATTTATCTGTTCAGGACATGACCCTCAAAATATACAGTCTATGAAGCAAAGAATGGTTTTGGAATAAGGTAATGAGCACTATGTAGATACAGGTATTATGGGGGGAGAGAAGCATTGAAAGCAAAAGGAATGGAAAGGATGGGAAGAATTGAAAGAAAAAAGAAAAAAAGACCAGCAAACTTACCTTCTCCACCCTTGCGAGAGGGACACTAATGAGATTACTCGTTGCTTTTTGGGACAATTCAGCCCTACCCAGGTCTTTTAAAAATACAACTAGTAGACAGACCAGAGAATCCCATCTGATGATTCAGCTGTTATGCAATGACAATGATTCATTTCTCTTCAATCTATATTTTCTCTCTGGCTCTCTTTTCCATTTCTGTCACCTAGGCTGCCAACTGAATGTCAGTGACTTACAAATCTTTATCTTTTGCTCATACCTTTTTCTTGGTTACAGACTCCTTTACCTAACTGACAATGAACTAGCTTCACCTGGTTTTCTCAGAAGTTTCTCAAAGTCCATATATGCAAAGTTGAATTCATAGACTTCCCCCACCAATTTGATCATCCCTGTATTTCTATAATTCATTAATTAATATCATAGTAGAGACTCATATTATATGATCCTTCTTCCCCATCAGCAACTTCTAATCTGTCCCACTCTACTGTTCTTTTATAAACATTTCCTTCTATAAACACTTCCTAAACACTTTCTTCCCTCAATTTCCATTGTCAAAGTACTATAGCACACTAATGTTTACAATGAATTTTTTTTTATTATACTTTAAGTTTTAGGGTACATGTGCACATTGTGCAGGTTAGTTACATATGTATTCATGTGCCATGCTGGTGCGCTGCACCCACTAACTTGTCATCTAGCATTAGGTATATCTCCCAATGCTGTCCCTCCCCCCTCCCCCCACCCCACAACAGTCCCCAGAGTGTGATATTCCCCTTCCTGTGTCCATGTGATCTCATTGTTCAATTCCCACCTATGAGTGAGAATATGCAGTGTTTGGTTTTTTGTTCTTGCGATAGTTTACTGAGAATGGTGATTTCCAATTTCATCCATGTCCCTACAAAGGACATGAACTCATCATTTTTTATGTCTGCATAGTATACCATGGTGTATATGTGCCACATTTTCTTAATCCAGTCTATCATTGTTGGACATCTGGGTTGGTTCCAAGTCTTTGCTATTGTGAATAATGTCGCAATCAACATACGCGTGCATGTGTCTTTATAGCAGCATGATTTATAGTCCTTTGGGTATATACCCAGTAATGGGATGGCTGGGTCAAATGGTATTTCCAGTTCTAGATCCCTGAGGAATCGCCACACTGACTTCCACAAGGGTTGAACTAGTTTACAGTCCCACCAACAGTGTAAAAGTGTTCCTATTTCTCCACATCCTCTCCAGCACCTGTTGTTTCCTGACTTTTTAATGATTGCCATTCTAACTGGTGTGAGATGGTATCTCATTGTGGTTTTGATTTGCATTTCTCTGATGCCCAGTGATGATGAGCATTTTTTCATGTGGTTTTTGGCTGCATAAACGTCTTCTTTTGAGAAGTGTCTGTTCATGTCCTTCGCCAACTTTTTGATGGTGGTGTTTGTTTTTTTCTTGTAAATTCGTTTGAGTTCATTGTAGATTCTGGATATTAGCCCTTTGTCAGATGAGTAGGTTGTGAAAATTTTCTCCCATTTTGTAGGTTGCCTGTTCACTCTGATGGTAGTTTCTTTTGCTGTGCAGAAGCTCTTTAGTTTAATTAGATCCCATTTGTCAATTTTGTCTTTTGTTGCCATTGCTTTTGGTGTTTTAGATATGAAGTCCTCGCCCATGCCTATGTCCTGAATGGTAATGCCTAGGTTTTCTTCTAGGGTTTTTATGGTTTTAGGTCTAACGTTTAAGTCTTTAATCCATCTTGAATTGATTTTTGTATAAGATGTAAGGAAGGGATCCAGTTTCAGCTTTCTACATATGGCTAGCCAGTTTTCCCAGCACCATTTATTAAACAGGGAATCCTTTCCCCATTGCTTGTTTTTCTCAGGTTTGTCAAAGATCAGATAGTTGTAGATATGCAGTGTTATTTCTGAGGGCTCTGTTCTGTTCCATTGATCTATATCTCTGTTTTGGTACAAGTACCATGCTGTTTTGGTTACTGTAGCCCTGTAGTATAGTTTGAAGTCAGGTAGTGTGATGCCTCCAGCTTTGTTCTTTTGGCTTAGGATTGACTTGGTGATGCGGGCTCTTTTTTGGTTCCATATGAACTTTAAAGTAGTTTTTTCCAATTCTGTGAAGAAAGTCATTGGTAGCTTGATGGGGATGGCATTGAATCTGTAAATTACCTTGGGCAGTATGGCCATTTTCACGATATTGATTCTTCCTACCCATGAGCATGGAATGTTCTTCCATTTGTTTGTATCCTCTTTTATTTCCTTGAGCAGTGGTTTGTAGTTCTCCTTGAAGAGGTCCTTCACATCCCTTGTAAGTTGGATTCCTAGGTATTTTATTCTCTTTGAAGCAATTGTGAATGGGAGTTCACTCATGATTTGGCTCTCTGTTTGTCTGTTGTTGGTGTATAAGAATGCTTGTGATTTTTGTACATTGATTTTGTATCCTGAGACTTTGCTGAAGTTGCTTATCAGCTTAAGGAGATTTGGGGCTGAGACAATGGGGTTTTCTAGATATACAATCATGTCGTCTGCAAACAGGGACAATTTGACTTCCTCTTTTCCTAATTGAATACCCTTTATTTCCTCCTCCTGCCTAATTGCCCTGGCCAGAACTTCCAACACTATGTTGAATAGGAGTGGTGAGAGAGGGCATCCCTGTCTTGTGCCAGTTTTCAAAGGGAATGCTTCCAGTTTTTGCCCATTCAGTATGATATTGGCTGTGGGTTTGTCATAGATAGCTCTTATTATTTTGAAATACATCCCATCAATACCTAATTTATTGAGAGTTTTTAGCATGAAGGGTTGTTGAATTTTGTCAAAGGCTTTTTCTGCATCTATTGAGATAATCATGTGGTTTTTGTCTTTGGCTCTGTTTATATGCTGGATTACATTTATTGATTTGCGTATATTGAACCAGCCTTGCATCCCAGGGATGAAGCCCACTTGATCATGGTGGATAAGCTTTTTGGTGTGCTGCTGGATTCATTTTGCCAGTATTTTATTGAGGATTTTTGCATCAATGTTCATCAAGGATATTGGTCTAAAATTCTCTTTTTTGGTTGTGTCTCTGCCTGGCTTTAGTATCAGAATGATGCTGGCCTCATAAAAAGAGTTAGGGAGGATTCCCACTTATTCTATTGATTGGAATAGTTTCAGAAGGAATGGTATCAGTTCCTCCTTGTACCTCTGGTAGAATTCGGCTGTGAATCCATCTGGTCCTGGACTCTTTTTGGTTGGTAAGCTATTGATTATTGCCACAATTTCAGATCCTGTTATTGGTCTATTCAGAGATTCAACTTCTTCCTGGTTTAGTCTTGGGAGAGTGTATGTGTCGAGGAATTTATCCATTTCTTCTAGATTTTCTAGTTTATTTGCGTAGAGGTGTTTGTAGTATTCTCTGATGGTAGTTTGTATTTCTGTGCTATCGGTGGTGATATCCCCTTTATCATTTTTTATTGCATCTATTTGATTCTTCTCTCTTTTTTTCTTTATTAGTCTTGCTAGCGGTCTATCAATTTTGTTGATCCTTTCAAAAAACCAGCTCCTGGATTCATTAATTTTTTGAAAGGTTTTTTGTGTCTCTATTTCCTTCAGTTCTGCTCTGATTTTAGTTATTTCTTGCCTTCTGCTAGCTTTTGAATGTGTTTGCTCTTGCTTTTCTAGTTCTTTTAATTGTGATGTTAGGGTGTCCATTTTGGATCTTTCCTGCTTTCTCTTGTGGTCATTTAGTGCTATAAATTTCCCTCTACACACTCCTTTGAATGCGTCCCAGAGATTCTGGTATGTTGTGTCTTTGTTCTCGTTGGTTTCAAAGAACATCTTTATTTCTGCCTTCATTTCGTTAGGTACCCAGTAGTCATTCAGGAGCAGGTTGTTCAGTTTCCATGTAGTTGAGCAGTTTTGAGTGAGATTCTTAATCCTGAGTTCTAGTTTGATTGCACTGTGGTCTGAGAGATAGTTTGTTATAATTTCTGTTCTTTTACATTTGCTGAGGAGAGCTTTACTTCCAAGCACGTGGTCAATTTTAGAATAGGTATGGTGTGGTGCTGAAAAAAATGTATATTCTGTTGATTTGGGGTGGAGAGTTCTGTAGATGTCTATTAGGTCCGCTTGGTGCAGAGCTGAGTTCAATTCCTGGGTATCCTTGTTGACTTTCTGTCTCGTTGATCTGTCTAATGTTGACAGTGGGGTGTTAAAGTCTCCCATTATTAATGTGTGGGAGTCTAAGTCTCTTTGTAGGTCACTCAGAACTTGCTTTATGAATCTTGGTGCTCCTGTATTGGGTGCATATATATTTAGGATAGTTAGCTCTTCTTGTTGAATTGATCCCTTTACCATTATGTAATGGCCTTCTTTGTCTCTTTTGGTCTTTGTTGGTTTAAAGTCTGTTTTATCAGAGACTAGGATTGCAACCCCTGCCTTTTTTTGTTTTCCATTTGCTTGGTAGATCTTCCTCCATCCTTTTATTTTGAGCCTATGTGTGTCTCTGTACATGAGATGGGTTTCCTGAATACAGCACACTGATGGGTCTTGACTCTTTATCCAATTTGCCAGTCTGTGTCTTTAAATTGGAGCATTTAGTCCATTTACATTTAAAGTTAATACTGTTATGTGGAATTTGATCCTGTCATTATGATGTTAGCTGGTTATTTTGCTCGTTAGTTGATGCACTTTCTTCCTAGTCTTGATGGTCTTTACATTTTGGCATGATTTTGCAGCGGCTGGTACCAGTTGTTCCTTTCCATGTTTAGCGCTTCCTTCAGGAGCTCTTTTCGGGCAGGCCTGGTGGTGAAAAATCTCTCAGCATTTGCTTGTCTGTAAAGTATTTTATTTCTCCTTTGCTTATGAAGCTTAGTTTGGCTGGATATGAAATTCTGGGTTGAAAATTCTTTTCTTTAAGAATGTTGAATATTGGCCCCCACTCCCTTCTGGCTTGTAGGGTTTCTGCTGAGAGATCCGCTGTTAGTCTGATGGGCTTCCGTTTGAGGGTAAGCCGACCTTTCTCTCTGGCTGCCCTTAACATTTTTTCCTTCATTTCAACTTTGGTGAATCTGACAATTATGTGTCTTGGAGTTGCTCTTCTCCAGGAGTATCTTTGTGGCGTTCTCTGTATTTCCTGAATCTGAACGTTGGCCTGCCTTGCTAGATTGGGGAAGTTCTCCTGGATAATATCCTGCAGAGTGTTTTCCAACTTGGTTCCATTCTCCCCGTCACTTTCAGGTACACCAATCAGACGTAGATTTGGTCTTTTCACATAGTCCCATATTTCTTGGAGGCTTTGCTCATTTATTTTTATTCTTTTTTCTCTAAACTTCCCTTCTTGCTTCATTTCATTAATTTCATCTTCCATTGCTGATACCCTTTCTTCCAGTTGATCGCATCGGCTCCTGAGGCTTCTGCGTTCTTCACGTAGTTCTCGAGCCTTGGTTTTCAGCTCCATCAGCTCCTTTAAGCACTTCTCTGTATTGGTTATTCTAGTTATACATTCTTCTAAATTTTTTTCAAAGTTTTCAACTTCTTTGCCTTTGGTTTGAATGTCCTCCCGTAGCTCAGAGTAATTTGATCGTCTGAAGCCTTCTTCTCTCAGCTTGTCAAAGTCATTCTCCATCCAGCTTTGTTCCGTTGCTGATGAGGAACTGCGTTCCTTTGGAGGAGGAGAGGCGCTCTGCTTTTTGGAGTTTCCAGTTTTTCTTTTCTGTTTTTTCCCCATCTTTGTGGTTTTATCTACTTTTGGTCTTTGATGATGGTGATGTACAGATGGGTTTTTGGTGTGGATGTCCTTTCTGTTTGTTAGTTTTCCTTCTAACAGACAGGACCCTCAGCTGCAGGTCTGTTGGAATACCCTGCCATATGAGGTGTCAGTGTGCCCCTGCTGGGGGGTGCCTCCCAGTTAGGCTGCTCGGGGGTCAGGGGTCAGGGACCCACTTGAGGAGGCAGTCTGCCCATTCTCAGATCTCCAGCTGCGTGCTGGGAGAACCACTGCTCTCTTCAAAGCTGTCAGACAGGGACATTTAAGTCTGCAGAGGTTACTGCTGTCTTTTTGTTTGTCTGTGCCCTGCCCCCAGAGGTGGAGCCTACAGAGGCAGGCAGGCCTCCTTGAGCTGTGGTGGGCTCCACCCAGTTCGAGCTTCCCAGCTGCTTTGTTTACCTAAGCAAGCCTGGGCAATGGCAGGCGCCCCTCCCCCAGCCTCGCTGCCACTTTGCAGTTTGATCTCAGACTGCTGTGCTAGCAATCAGCGAGACTCCGTGGGCGTAGGACCCTCCGAGCCAGGTGTGGGATATAATCTCGTGGTGCGCCGGTTTTTAAGCCCGTCGAAAAAGCGCAGTATTCGGGTGGGAGTGACCTGATTTTTCCAGGTGCCGTCCGTCAACCCTTTCTTTGACTTGGAAAGGGAATTCCCTGACCCCTTGCGCTTCCCAAGTGAGGCAATGCCTCGCACTGCTTCGGCTCGCGCACAGTGCGCGCACCCACTGACCTGCGCCCACTGTCTGGCACTCCCTAGTGAGATGAACCCAGTACCTCAGATGGAAATGCAGAAATCACTGTCTTCTGCGTCGCTCACGCTGGGAGCTGTAGACCGGAGCTGTTCCTATTCGGTCATCTTGGCTCCTCCCTTATAATGAATTTTTTATTCACTTCCCTTCTCTATTTTAAATTAAGAAATCATCAGAGACTCTCCTTACTATCACTTATTTTCACCACTCGTTTAGTGCTTCATTTTCTAGCGTCATTCCCCACCATCCTCTCCCTTAATTTTTTTTTCATTTCTTTTGTAATTTCTAGGCAAAAAGGATTGCCAGCTCCCCAAAAGTGCCAAACTTTATCATGCCTCTATGCAGGCATACAGCCTTTCCCTCTACCTGGAATGACTTTTCCTCCGTCTTTGCCACACCTCATAACCTGCCTTTTCCACTGGGCTTTCTTAGTCATGCTTAAAGACAGCTTTTCCACTTTCTCCTTGAGTCCTTTCCACACCTGTACCCTTTCCCCCAGGCAGAGTGATTAGCAATTCCTTTTTCCTTGGGGATGAGCCAGAAGTATGAGTAGGAAAATCCCTTCTCTTTGGATGCAGACAGAAGAGTCAAGAGAGAAGGACAGAATTTGAAGTCCAACAAATCCAATCTGATGGATTCATTTGCACGAGTTTTTCTGTTCAGGACTGGGGACGGAGAAGTCCTCTGACTTTCGTTTTTCCATGGTGGTCTATTGCTGATCACTCTGTGCTTTCCTTGGTCTTTTCAGAGAGACACATCATTTATTTAGAAACATTAATATTACTGATTGGACTGAGTCAATTCTTATGCAGGCCTGAGAACCTCCCTCTTTCTTCGAAATGATTATGTCTATTTCTTTTTTTTCTTCAAGTCCAGCCAACATCATATATTTCTTATTTTATTTCTTAGTTTGGATTTTATAGTTTAACTGTCAGAAGTCAACCTCATTTCCAAGTTCTTAAAGACAGCTCACTGTGCTCTTGTATCCAATTTACATTAGTGATTTCTGAATTTATTTTTTTTTTTGACAGAGTCTTGCTCTGTTGCCCAGGCTGGAGTGCAGTGGCCTGATCTCGGCTTACTGCAACCTCTGCCTCCCAGGTTCAAGCAGTTCTCCTGGCTCAAATACCTGGGATTACAGGCTTCCACCACCACGCCCAGCTAATTTTTGCATTTTCTGTAGAGACTGGGTTTCACCAGGCTGATCTCCAACTCCTGACCTTAGGTGATCTGCACACCTTGGCCTCCCAAAGTGCTGGGATTACAGGCATGAGCCACCACGCCCAGCCAGATTTCTGAATATTTTTAATATTGATTTCTGTTGTCGAGAGAGACTGAGAGAAAGGGAGAGAGAACATGGAATATTATCATATAAAATGCACGGAAGAAGAGATGTTCTAGTTGAAGCAAGAGCAGGAGTGGGGGCACAAACAGTCAGCCCCAAGGCCTGTCTCCCTCTTGTCCCTCTTCAAAGCAGTGTACTCTCCAACTCACATCCCAATTATACCTACTATTTACTGATTAATGTTAAGTTGTCATGCAAGTGTTCACTGATACAAGAATTTACAAATATGGGCTTCTATAGTGGTTGTTCTTGATTTTCTTTTTTTTTTTTTTTTTTTGAGACTGAATCTCGCTGAATCACCCAGGCTGGAGTGCAGTGGCACAATCTCAGCTCACTGCAACCTCTACCTCCTGGGTTCAAGCAATTCATCTGCCTCAGTCTCCCCAGTAGCTGGGATTACAGGTGCCCGCCACACCTGGCTAATTTTTGTATTTATGTAGAGACAGGGTCTCACCATGTTGGCCAAGCTGTTCTCAAGGCTCCTAACCTCAAGTGATCTGCCCACCTCGGCCTCCCAAAGTGCTGGGATTACAGGCATGAGCCACTGTGCCCAGCCTATTTTTGAGCTTTTATGGGTTATGAGCTTCATGGGAAACTAGAAAAACTATGAACAGTTCTCTTCAGAAAAATATTCATATAGCAAAAAATAAAAACCTCAAATTTTGTTTATATTTTCAGGAAATAACAACACCTCTGAAATCCTATGTAAGCTATAGATTAAGACGTATTTTCTATAGTTAGGAAAATCCATCTATTAATTGAACAGAATTTCATGGTAAGGGAGAAAGAGTGGAAATGATAGTTGTCACTTCCAAACAGAAACTCCCGAAGTCAGAGCATGATAAACCACATTTGCTTTCTTTGTCCCAGTGGTAATGAAACAGTTCCTAGGTAATGCCTTCATCAGCTTGTGTTCCTGAGTGACAATAATCAAAGACACCTGTGACCAGTGAGTTCTTTCCCTACTTTCTATTGGTCACAAAGGAACAAATGACAAGTCCAACTTTTAAACTTTGATACACTTCATAAGTATCCTCATCAAATATTATTTATGATAATATACTTGTTCTGTTACTAATATTCTAAATTCTTCCTCTGAGCTATACATGTTTTGACTTAAATCTTCTAAACTTGAAAAATCAATTCCTTAGCTTTTGGTAACTGTCAAGATAAAAACATACTACCATAGTTTGGAGGGAGATGGCATACTCAGTTATTTTCTATGAAGTAATTGTAAAAAAAAAAAAAAAATCAGCGTTGTGGTGCCCATCTTCTACTACTCCAGGGCATGTAGGCAGAGACAAACATTTGGCTATCATCTGTTGCTAAAGGCATCTCTGGTCCTCCAGCCCTTCCTATAGGACACCGTAGCCTTTTTTGCACTTGCTTCACTGACCCATAATTGTTTTTATGCCTTTCTGCCTCATTAAACTGTTAGCTCATTCATCCAACAAATATTTGTTTTTAATCTCCTTTATCTTTATATGCCTTCTATGAACACAAGGCCTAGCACAAATGAGAGTGTAGAATTTATAAATAAATTAAAGAATATATTGAATACTCATTATTATTTTTACAGTAATAGTTGCTAGTTATTGACAGAAAGCCAGGATTCTTAACTAATTTAATGAGCACTTTTTATATTCCAGAGTTTGTGCTAAGTGTTTTACATGTATTACCTTCTTTAATCCTCATAATATCCCTAGGATATTAGGAGATTGGTATTTAATAGATGACTGACTCTACTACATCTCCGACATTGCTAGGGTTTAACTGTGCCCCTTCCACCAAATTTATATGTTGAAGTTCAAACCCTCAGTACCTGATTATGACCTTATATGGAAACAGAATCCTTAAAGTCATAATTAGTTAAGTTAAAATGAGGTCATACTGGAGTAGGGTGGAACACTAATCCAATCTGGCTGGTGTCTGTATAGAAAGGCAAATTTAGACACAGACACACACACACAAGGAGCCCATCATGTGAAAACTGGAGTTATGCTGTCACCTACCCAGAAGCTACCAGGAACCAGGAGAGGGACCTGAAACATTTTTCCCTAGCACCTTCAGAGTGCAACTGCCCAATGGGTTCACCTTGCCCACTGCCTAGACACAGCCAATTTATAAGGCAGGGGAATTGCAATAGAGAAAGTGTAATTCACATAGAGCCAGCTGCATGGGAGACCAGAGTTTTATTATTACTCAAATCAGTCTCGCTGAGCATTCGGGGATCAGAGTTTTTAAGGGCAATTTGGTGGGTCGGGGGAAGCCAGTGAGCTGGGAGTGCTGATTGGTCAGTTCAGAGATGAAATCCTAGGGAGTCAAAGCTGTCTTACTGCACTGAGTTAATTCCTGGGTTGCCGGGGTGGGCGGGGGTTGCCACAAGATCACATGAGCCAGTTTATTGATCTGGGTGGGGCCAGTTGATCTGTCAAGTTCAGGGTCTGCAAAATAGCTCCAGCACTGATCTTAGGAGCAGTTTAGGGAGGGTCAGAAATCTCGTAGCCACCAGCTGCATTCCTAACCCATAATTGCTAATCTTGTGCCTAATTCATTAGTCCTACAAAGGCAGTCTAGTCCCCAGGAAAGAAGGAGGTTTGTTTTAGGAAAGGGCTGTTATCTATTGTCTTTGTTTTAAACTAAAACTAAGTTCCTCCAGAAGTTAGTTCAGCCTATGCCCAGGAATGAACAAGGACAGCCTGGAGGTTAGAAGCAAGGAGTTGGTTAGGTCAGATCTCTTTCACTGACTCAGTTATAATTTTGCAATGGCAGTTTCAAGAGGAAGCATAGTTTTGCCAACATCTTGATTTTGGACTTCTGGCCTCCGGAAATGTAAGACAATGAATTTCTGTTATTCTAAGCCATCCAGTTGGCACTTTATGATGGCAGCCCTAGGAAACTGACACACACTCTCAGCATCTCCTCTCTCCCACTCAACTAGTGAATGAAAGACTTTAATCAATATCAAGCAGCTCCTCTTCACCAGAAGGTTATTGATCTGCGATATAAGTATAGACTCAAATATTCTCAACTTTTCAAGGATCATACAACTCACTACATGTCTCTTCGATATAACAAAGGACCTTTTCTATTTTCATGTGTGAAAAAAATAGAAATCAGCAGTGATTTTCTCTCCATCTCATGCCTCACCATCCAATCTTACCTGCATCTGAACCCATTCATTTCCATTTCCCCTGCAACAATAGGAAAGCTGTTTTCTTTCCCACCTATATTCGTCAGGGTTCTTCAGACAAACAGAATGAATAGAGTATCTGTAGATACATGTATAGGAGGAGATTTATTATGGAAATTGGCCATCATTATGGAGACCGAGAAGTTTTATGAAATGTCATCTGCAAGCTGGAGATCCAGAAAAAACAGTGGTATTATTCAGTCCAAGTCCAAAGGCCTAAGAAGCCAGTGATGTAACTCCCAATCTGAAGCCAAAGGCCTGCGGGGCTGAGTGAGGAGATGGCGTAAGTACCACAGTGCAAAGCCCCAGAACCAGAAGCAACAACATCCGCAGGGCAGGAGAAGATGGATGTCCCAGCTCAAGGAGAGAGAAAAGAAAGAAGAAATAAAAAGAGAGAGAGAAAAAAAAAAATCTTCCCCTGAGAGAGAAAGAGAGAGACCTTCCCCTGCTCCTTTGTTCCATCCAGGCCTTTAATGGACTGAATGATGTCTGCCCACATTGGTGAGAGAGGATCTTCTTTACTCAGTCTGCTGATTCACATGCTAAAAACACCTTCACAGACACACCTAGAAATAATGTTTTACCAACTATATGGGTATCCATTCATCCAATCAAGTTGAGACATAAAATTAACCGTCACACCATGCAAAGTCATTTATTTTACTTCTGCTCTGAATTCCATTATCTGCCCTCAAGAATCACCTTTCATTAGTTTTTCTCTTGTTTTCTACATTTCAACCTCTCAATCCCTTCTTTTGTCTTTCCAATTTAATGTTTATATATTCTCAACTACCTCCCATCTTAAAAAAGGCGAGAATATATTTATCTTCTTTTCTCCAAATCTACTTTGAGCTAATATCCTACACCTGCCCTGTAGTTTTATGGGCAGAGTTATTGCCGGGATCGTTGACACTCCCTACCTCCTCATTCTCAGATCGCATTCATTTTTCAGCTCACTGAGTCTGTCTCTTACTCCCATCATTCCAATGAAACAACATCACCAGGGTTATGTCTTTGTTACTTAACCCAGTACCCATTTTAATCCTTTTCTTACTGGGTCACAAAGGCTTGTGTTTTTTGTTTTTTGTTGTTTTTTTTTTTTAATCTTTAAAGAAATTCCTGGATTTGAAAATCTTCATTCTTTGACCATGTTATTACCCTTCTTTCTTTTAATCCTCCCTTCTCTTAGACTTACTCTCCTGTTTCATTATTAGTATTTCTTCTTCTTCTTCTTCTTCTTCTTCTTCTTCTTCTTCTTCTTCTTCTTCTTCTTCTCCTTCTCCTTCTCCTTCTCCTTCTCCTTCTCCTTCTTCTTCTTCTTCTTCTTCTTCTTCTTCCTCTTCTTTCTCTTCCGCCTCTTCCTCTTCTTCTTGTTCTTGTTCTCTGTCTCTGGCATTTTTTTTTTCTTCTTTTTTTTTGTTTTCTCAAACCTCGGTTCTGAGCTCCCTCTGGCCTTCCCATTTCAGTCTGCAGCAGGAGGAGCTTTTCTTTCTCTGATCATTCCTTAAATTTGAATTATTTCTATCCTCCACACTTTTTTCTTCCACTGCCATCTTCCCCTTGATCACATGCTCTCCACTGGCTTCAATTACCATCTTATTGCTGATGATTCTCATATCTTATCTAAAGCTTTTTCATACTTTGCTTGTTGTGGATAATTTGCAGTCAGCATCTATTACTATACTCTTCTAGGTATTTCTTCATCTATTTCAGAGGCTGAAAGTGACAACATTTCCAAGATTCACTTGCTTCTCGAGTTTTATGTGAATTAAATTCTATGAAATAGATGTATTAGCAAGAGATTTGGAAGGCAGAGTAGGTGCAGACCACTTTCCTGTTGCTTTGACTGTTTCTTCTGGCAAGCAACATTGTGGAAGCATGGTATTCTGCATCAGTATTACAGCTCTGTGGATGTTATAAAGTATTATGGCAGCAGCAAGGGTAACTTCTTAATTTGGTTTCCTGATTTCTGGATCGCAGGTACAGGGGTATGTTCTTGGATTCAGTATCTCTAGTGGAAGCCTTATAATTTCTTTCTGTCAGAGGTGAGAACTTCCATAGAGGTCAGTTCTGCCTAAATTCTATTTCTCCTGCTCATCAAAAACTTTATTAAGCATCTACCTCTTTGGGTTTCAATCCTTTTCTGCCTGAAGTAATTAGAAGGATTTCTGTTTCTGAAACAGGTAGATAATTTGATAATTTTATTCCTAGATTCAGGGCATTGTTATAACAAAACTAAAAATGTGTAGTATTAGCTTGGTGGCTGGGTGATTGGTATCAAAAGGACAGATATTTTAGAATTAAAACTTAGGAATGCTTGTTTTATATTTTTAAAAAGTTTTGGTAAAACTGTCACAAAATTTGAATACAAACCATTTGCTAACAGAGCTTATAATTCAAGTGGAAATAATTGGAAAAATTCATAATATCAATGTTAGTCAGCTGCTTCTTGCCTCTTGTACCAAAGTCCCAAGAAAGACATGAACTCATGCTTGTTATAAGGTGATTCTGGCTCTAGGGAAGTAACACTAAGGAAAACAGGCTGTAGCCCACCCTTTCTAAGGCATCTCCATTAACATTTTGCAAGCAGGTAATGAGGAACTTGCTCATGGCAAAACTTCACCCTGGCAAAGTCAGATTAAGAGTATTGCCTTCCTATACAAGGCTCTTCTTTCAGACAACTTCAATTTGGGGGTCGGGAGTGGAGGTAGACAGAGCATCAAAGGCAGGGGGGAAAATAGTAGAGATTTCAATCATACTATGCCTAGATGATATGCATTTCTGTGGTTGCCTGTAAACACCAGAAGCTTATCAAGTTTTTGAGGAAAATGTATTGCTGAAAACCTATAAGACTGGCTCACAAGGCCTATGATTTTTTTTTAATCTCTAAAGAAATTCCTGGATTTGAAAATCTGCATTTTCAAGAAGCAAGTTCAAAAGATATTCAGCCTGCTAAGGAGGGCATAGCCCCACTACCCACTTCAGTTGTAAACGCAGAAAACAGTGGACAGGGCAATTCCTTTCAGAAAGTGGAACAAGCAACTGAAAGACAGAGTAACCAAAGTAACTCTACCATCTGGGTAGGGAATTTATCCAATTTTTCCTGCTAGTGGGACTTGAAAATTGCTAGGGTCCTGTCATTTTTATGCATTTCCAATTCTTTCATTTCCTGAATGGGAGTACGTACTGCACTTATTTTGTTCTATCCCATCTTTGTATGCCAGTTGGGGCAGAGGTGTGTGGAGAAAATATTTCTTTTAGTTTATAGATCACTGGATCATAAGATCCACATCCAGCCCTAATTGAAAGGCAGCTGAACACCCAGGGATACTGCACTTTGCATCATCCTGCAATCCTGGACTTTAAGCCAAATGTAGTAAATGAATAATTCCTGGGGATTGTCTCCCTTGCCTAAGAGGTGAATATGTCCTATGGGTATGCACAGAGATTTTTTGGTCACTAAAATGTCAGACTGGCAGAGGTTTCTAGTTGTGCCCTCAATATCTGTCCTCTACTTCTATAATAATGGAAATTTTGATAGGAATATGGCCTCAGAGCTAAAGATTGTATTTCTTAGCTTTAATTTTGTAGCTAAATGTGAACATGTAACTAAGTTCTGGCTAAACACATGTAACCAAAAGTAATGTGTGAAACCACTCATGATTTAAAAATAGAATATACCCAACCTTCTACTTTTCAAACTTCTACTTTTATTACAAGGAATAACAGGTTCATTTTTGGACCTGATCTACATTTCTTTCAGGGGTTTCCTTTGACACTGCTTCACTTGTAACATGTTTCTACTGCATTGACTCAGAAGGTTGCAGTATGACAGGATTAGAGGGTATAGAAGGTATAGTTACCTAAATCTATAGCTGAACCTTAGTTTTGTATGTAGGCCATGATAATTACTTACTTCTCAAAAAATAAACAATTTTTCAAAAATGAATGCAAAGATAAAAATGTGATCTTTTAAATTTTTTTCTTTGTATATATTTTTATTTTTTTCTATTGCTGTTGAACAAATTAATTTTTCTAAGGGGAAACGAACTTATTTCTCCTTTTTGTTTATTTATTTGAGACTTGGTCTTGCTCTGTCTCCCAGGCTGGAGTGCAGTGGCATGATCACGGCTCACTGTAGCATTGACCTCCCAGGCTCAAGCAATCCTCCTGCCTCAGCCTTCCAGGTAGCTGAGCCTACAGGCATGTGCCTCTATGCCCAGCTAATTTTTGTATTTTTTCATTGAAACAAGCTCCCACTATATTGCCCAGGCTGGTCTCGAACTCCTGGGCTCGGGTAGTCCTCCCACCTTGGCGTACCAAAGTGCTGGGATTCCAGGCATGAGCCACCATGGCCAGCAAGAATGTAGTCTTGAAGAAAGAGCCCGAGAGCCATAATTAGAAGACCTGGATGTGCATCTCAGCACTATCATATGAAAGCTTTGTATAAATCATAGATGATTATAGAATGGATAGTTTCCATTACCTGACAGAAAATGGTGTTCTCTTCCACAGGAGTTACAGAGCTTCTCTGAGGCCAGCAAGATGTGAGTGGATTTGAGAAATGTCACACTTTTTAAAAAGTTTTTAAAAAGTGAGTGAAAATTAGGAAGATTGTTTAGCACTTAGTTTTTTTTGTTTGTGTGTTTGTTTTTTGAGGTGGAGTCTCACTCTGTTGCCCAGGCTGGAGTGCAATGGCGTGATCTCGGCTCACTGCAACCTCCACTTCCCGGGTTCAAGTGATTTTCCTGCCTTAGCCTCCCAAGTGGCTGGGACTAAAGGGGCACACCACTATGCCTAGCTAATTTTCGTATTCTTAGTAGAGATGATATTTCACCATGTTGGCCAGGTTGGTCTTGAACTCCAGATCCCAAGTGATCCGCCCGCCTTGGCCTCCCAGAGTGCTGGGATTACAGGTGTGCCACCATGCCTGGCTGCACTTAGTTTTGTTTTGTTTTTGTTTTTTATACTCTGCTTATTTTTCTAATATGTTTGCTTTGAAAGTAATATGATTAAAGATCTGAAGGAAGATATGGAGATCTGCTAAATTATTAAGTGACATTATAAATACTTAATTTTTTAATGTCATCCTATTACATTGATTGGGAAAAATGTTGTTTCTAATCTTAGCTTTATTATCAGTTATATTTTACACTGAACTTATGTTATTCAATCACTATATTAAAAACCAATAGAAAGTACCTCAATATTTATATATTTTCCTATTGACTTTTATAAAATTTTATTAAAACAAGTGATCTGTTTTTTTATTTAAGAAAAACTTGTTTGGGTAGTAAAATCATCATCCAGAAAAAATTAAGTCTTTCTCAGGAGAAAAAAGTAAGTAACCAGTTTGAAAGAAAAGCTAATACTTTCATATGAACAACCATAATGAAAGTTTATAAAAATCAAACTAAACAGGGAATATTCAATCATTTTGATCTAAAACAGTCTGAAATACATAATCAGGGGAGTCCATTAATTCATTGAAAAGTGTTCATTATGCAGAAAGTAAAAACTGCAATCAGCTTCTTTTCCTGTTTTAACCAGTTGCCTGATTCACTTTACCAGTGTTTTGTTTTGGTATCGTTTCTTTTGTGTTGATAAGAAATTTCAGGAAAGGATTTAAAAACTGAAAGCATAATAAGGTCTATTCTGAAAACGTCCAGATTTGTTTGATTATAAACTGAGGACTAGAGCTGGAAGGGCCTTGGCATCTCCTGCAGGAGCATATGAGCAGTTTCTGGCTTCTGTTAATGAAAGCATAAATAAAGTAGGTTGTATAAACATGCTGCACAGCTGAAAGTGGGGTTGCCCTAAAATAGCAATAGCATGCCAGTTTTATTGAATAGCCCAATAAGGACAGATGATATTAAATGTCCCTAATTAGGTAGGGTTAAAAATAAAACCATATTATAATTTTAAAAAGTTGCATTTTTAATCAGAGAACTCAAGCAAGGCTTGTAGAAAGTAATTCCAAAATTTTATGAGCAGTGGCAGAAAACTAGTAACATGTGAGTTCACAATTAGAGAAAACTTGAAAATAACTGCAGGTGAGTTCAGAGACCTGGAGTCACAGCACTGAGATATAACTATTATTCATTGGTTTAGACTATGTTTAGAATTTGTGTTTATTAATATCTCTTTGTCACTAAGACAACTAAGAAACAAAGCTATGCTGAACCACAGAGTCAAGCTGGGCAAGCAGATAAGAGAATTGCAGAAGCTCAGTTGAAAAAAGACACAGATTCAAAAGAAACTTGCTTAGAATTTTATTTTTGACATGGCTACAGAGGAAGGAAAGGAAAGAAAAGAAGGGAGGGATTTGTGACGAAAAGGGCTTTCCAGAAAAGCAGCGTTTCAGTGCAGTGTTTCCCACTGTTCCGAGAAACAATAACTAAAGTCCTTCCCAAATCTGTGACTCCTGTGATCAAAAAAAAAAAAAAATTTGATCAAACTGTTTCTTTAACTTTGTTGCTTGAATTTTGACTAATTTTGATTACAACCCAGATATGAGTTGGTTGTAATTAATATAATTTGTTTAAGATTAAAGTGAATTAATTAATTGCTTTCTTTTTCATTTTTAAACCAACCTACCTACTGTTGGCTGAAATTTAGCAGTCTTCACATCTAATTTCAGTGGCTCTGTCCTCTACTGAGCTTTAAATCTCAGGTCAACTCACTGTTGATGGCATCACATAGGCCAAGGACAAAATTCAGAGAGGTCAGATATGTTCCTTTAAACATGTATTCCAAATTATAGAGAAGAATCCCTGATGTATCAAAAATGGTAATAACTGAGGAAAGCAGAAATAGAAGAAAATATTTTGATATGGCAGTTTTGACACAGTAATAAGAATTTTAGGTTGAATTTTGAGAAAACTTTAAAAATACAATTAAAAAATTATTCAATAACATACCACAAACACCTTCATCTTTACACATATCTAAACTTCATTCTTGATTTTCACCATTAAGATATAGGTTAAGTTTGTGAAATGCAGTGAAGCTCAGGAATGGGGTAGGGTCAGGATTAGGGTGGGGATCAAAGGAAGTTCTACTTGGGAAGAGTAGGAGTGACTAAGTGTGTCTCAGGGATAGAGTAAATCTCAGGGATGAAGGGGATCAGGGATGGACTGAGGGTAAGCTAACATGTATGTGAATCTATATGGAAACCATTACCCACATGGTTCAGTCAGGAGTTTTACATTCAAAGAAGAGCAGAAAAATAAGAATTTTGATTTTTCTTTATGTTGTTCCCCCAGGTCATCAGGAGAAACCCAAGTACGTAAGTCTACAATAACTCATTAAATTTCAATTTCTGGCCAGGCGCGGTGGCTCATTGCCTATAAGCCCGGCATTTTGGGAGGCCAAGACAGGCGGATTACTTGAGGTCAGGAGTTCGAGACCAGCCTGGCCAAAACATGGTGAAACCCTGTCTCTACTGAAAATACGAAAATTAGCCGGGCGTGGTGGCACTTGCCTGTAATCCCAGCTACTGGGGAGGCTGAGGCAGGGAAATTGCTTGAACCCGGGAGACGGAGGTTGCAGTGGGCAGAGATCGCGTCATTGCACTCCTGCCTGGGTGAAGAAGTGAGACTCCCTAACACGGTGAAACCCCGTCTCTACTAAAAATACAAAAAATTAGCTGGGCGTGGTGTCGGGCGCCTGTAGTCCCAGCCGCTCCGGAGGCTAAGGCAGGAGAAAGACGTGAACCCGGGAGGTGGAGCTTGCAGTGAGCCGAGATCCCACCACTGCACTCCAGCCTGGGCGACAGAGCGAGACTCCGTCTCAAAAAATAAATAAATAAATAAAAAATAAAGAAGTGAGACTCCGTCTCAAAAACAAACAATCAAAAAAAAATCCAATTTCTGTCCTTTTCAGTTCTCCAACACCCTGAAAATCCCAGATGGTTATCACTTTCCTCCTACCCAGGATGACTCTTTTTCTCAAAAGTATTACTCTGTTCCCCAGATCTCCCTGATCACATCTCTCATTTCTGCACCTAAAACTTCCACGTCTTGCTAATAATATGTCGCATGTTCAGATATTGCCAAGCCCCTGAAGAGTTTAGCTTATCTTCCTTTTTTACTCCTTTTCCTAAATAATAATTGTTTAAAAATAGTCTGTGACATTTATTCTTGCTACTTTTTCCCAGATTCCAGGATTCTGCATAACACTCTTCAGAATCACAGTGGGTGTGACAGAACCTCCTTCTGTATAGATGAAGTGGGCACAGCCTAAGAACAGTCATATATTAATAATTCTTGTCGGCCGGGCGTGTTGGCTCACGCCTGTAATTCCAGCACTTTCGGAGGCCGAGGCGGGCGGATCACAAGGTCAGGAGATCGAGACCATCCTGTGAATGGTGAAACCGTGTCTCTACTAAAAAAAAAATACAAAAAATTAGCCGGGCGTGGTCGCGGACGCCTTGTAGTCCCAGCTACTCGGGAGGCTGAGGCGGGAGAATGGCGTGAACCCAGGAGGCGGAGCTTGCAATGAGCTGAGATTGCGCCACTGCACTCCAGCCTGGGCGACAGAGCGAGACTCCGTCTCAAAAAAAAAAAAAAAAAAAAAACTACTACTACTACTACTAATAATAATTCTTGTCCAGTCACCCATAAATTACAGTAATAATTAAAATATCAACATTTAAATATTTTAGCTGCAAAATAAGTATGAAAATCAATATATCCATGACAACCTAAATAATGATCATGTCGAAATGTCACTACTCCAGTGAAGAGGCCAAAAGTAAAAATCCATTTAAAAGCTGGAATAAATTTATTTCTTTATGCCACATAATAATGGACGCTTAACACTTAAGAAGACTCAAAACTTCTGACACAGAGAGGGCTGTAAAAATGTTTATTCTCGTCATAAAGGTATTACCTTGTGCCCCAAATTTGCTAATGTGCTCAATCTTAAATACAAGTCTAAATGTCATATTCTTTTTAGGTACTTTGTAATAGCAATACTTCAAATCCATCACCAAATTCTATACTAATCGGCTTTGCTGAGGTGATAAAACAACTCAAACCAAGTGGCTTACAACAACAAACATTAAATTTTCCTCATGGTCCATGTCAGGACCAGTAGGTCATCTGCAAGGGCTCTGTTCCTCATCTTCCTCTCATAGGACCCAGGATTACAGTGCGGTCCCTATTGGGGCATGCATCCTCCTGGCAGGAAGTTGGTGGATACACGCAATGATTCATAAACCTTCTTCTTCTTTTTTTTTTTTTTTTGAGATGGAGTTTTGTTCTTGTCGCCCAGGCTGGAGTGCAATGGCACAATCTCAGCTTACTGCAACCTCCGCCTCCTGGGTTCCAGCGATTTCTCCTGCCTCAGCCTCCTGAGTAGCTGAGACTACAGGCACCCACCAACACGCCTGGCTAATTGTAGAGACAGGGTTTCACCATGATGGCCAGGCTGGTCTCAAACTCCTGACCTCAGGTGATCTGCCTGCCTCAGCTTCCCAAAGTGCTGGGATTATAGATATGAGCCACTGTGCTTGGCATATCACCTTGTCTTAGTCTATTTGTGCTGTGCAACAAAATACCCAAGACTGGTATAAACAATAGAAATTAATTTTCTTGCAGATCTGGATTCTAGGACATAATTCTCTCCTGCATCTTCTCTGGCCTCCCCTTCTGTGTGCTTCCCATGCTCTCCTTCCTTTTCACCTTGGAAAGTGCTGTGGCCCAACTGAGTGCTGTCCTTGGCCACTATCGTCTTCCTGCTGTTTGTGGTCAGCCTGTATTCTCTCGCCCACGACTTCAATTGTTTACTGAGTGAAGATAATTCTGCAGTGTGATTCTAACCTAGATCTTGCTCCTCACCTTCGAACTTGTGAGTCCCTATTAGACATTTTCTAAAATATTCCATGTTTCCTTGCACCTCCAGAACTTTACAATCCTGTTCTTTCAGTCCAAAAGATCCTTCACCTTCTACAGTCTAATCCTTATTCAGACTGTAATATTTAACGCAAGTAGGCCAGGCGCGGTGGCTCACGCCTGTAATCCCAGCACTTTGAGAGTCCCAGGCGGGCGGATCACGAGGTCGGGATATCGAGCCCATCCTGGCTAACATGGTGAAACCCCATCTCTACTAAAAACATAAAAAAATTAGCCGGGCGTGGTGGCGGGCGCCTGTAGTCCCAGCTACTTGGGAGGCTGAGGCAGGAGAATGGCGTGAACCCAGCAGGCGGAGCTTGCAGTGAGCCAAGATCACTCCACTGCACTCCAGCCTGGGCGACAGAGTGAGACTCCGTCTCAAAAAAGGTAAATAAATATCCAAGTATTCCCTCTCTGGAAAGCTCTCTCCAACATCCTATTGTGAGCTGGCAACCTCTTCTGTAGAGTCCTGTGCATGGCCCCATTATGGCACCCATTGCCCTGTACTGTCATTGTTAGATTGTTTGCTTCTCACCTGTATTAGAAACTCAGCTCCTTTAACAAAAATACAGTGATTTGTCTTTGTATATATAGCAACAGTTCTATGTCTAGCATATAGCAGATACCGAATAATGTTTTTAAATGATAGATTGAATAAAGAATAAGTATATTTGTGAGAGATAGGTGGGATTCTTTTGAGTCAGGAGATAAGTTTGGAAACAGAAAAGGATGAGTTATGGTATGTCTTTTTTTCCTCCAAAAAGTTCAAGGCAACAGTGTCTGCAACAAAAGAAGTTGGGAATGGGAAGTACAAGAACATCAGGTATTCAATGTCTCCAAAACTTGCTATGTAAAAAGCCAAATAAGAATGAATAACAGAAATATTTTTCAACATAATGTAGGATATCTTATGAGAATTTTTTATTGTAAAATTTCATTTTCATAATCATCCAAAAATAATTCTATTCTGCATTCTATGAGTGACTTTGTTATAACCAAATATCCCACAGGATTTCATTGCCCATGTTTTCATTTTTGTCTGTAATCATGTTGCTGCCAAGTGGAACTATTTTAGTTATGCTGGGCATATCAGTCAGAGAGTTCAATCAGGGAATAAGGACTATTAGGGATCTCTCTCTCTCTCTCTCTAAAAGGATTTGTTACAGGTGTTTGACCTTACACAATTATGGGAGCTAGTTAAGAATCAGCATCTGATGCCGGATCTTAATATCTGCGAGGCAGGAATGGGAGCAGTGGCACATGCCTATAATCCCAGTGCTTTGGGAGGCCAAGGCGAGAGGATCACTTGAGCCTAGGAGTTCAAGAACAGCCTGGGAAACATAGTGAGACCTTTGTCTCTACAAAAAATCCAAAAATTTGCCAGGCTTAGTGTCATGCACCTGTAGTGCTAACTACTTGAGAGGCTGAGGTGGGAGGATCACTTGAGCCCAGGAGTTCGAGGTTGCAGTGAGTTATGATAGTGCCGCTGCCTGGGTGACAGAGTGAGACCCTATCTCAAAAAAAAAAAAAAAAAAAAATCCGTGAGGCTGACAGTGAAGAAGGGAAGATGCCTGTAAAGTCAGGAGATTAAGAATAGGCAGGAACCCACAAGCACAAGCTGGAACCTGTGAGGATGGACTAAAACTTGTGTTAGTTCTTGTTGTCTCTGCCCTTAGTGGTGTGGGTGTCCTGGAGAAGTCAGGGTGCTTCACCATGGAGCTAAACAAACACACCTATCCTGGGAGTCAGAGAATCTGTGAGAATCTCTAAGAAGATCCAGGGGAAAGTAGAAGAGTAGTAGGCCCAGCCACTGACTCACACAAATTGCGTGAGCCAGGACATAAATGACAATGCATGTGAGCTACAAAATAATTGCTTTTTCACTTATGCCCTCCAAGTTTTGCACAAGAATGTTTCTTGTGGTTTACTCTAACCAGAAACACACAGGAAAGATAACTTGGCCTAGCCAACACATTGCAGAGCCACCACACAGGCTTATGAATAGTCAACTATAAATAATGTGTTATATACCAGATGACATCACAGCCTGCTGTACAAGTAATAATAATTACTATTTATTGAAATTTTTATGTAGGTTCTATTCTTTAGGCATTAACCCATTGAATTATCACAACCCATTGCTGCAGGTACTATTATTGTTACCCTTTTCCAGAAATGGAAACTGAATCCCAAAGTGATTAGGTAACTTGCCTAAAGTCACAGAGTCAGTAATTAATAACAGAAGCAGGATTCACACCACTAGGCGATCTTGCTGTAGAGCCTCTGCCCTTACCCACTAGACTCTGCCAGCACCCTGTGTGACAATGTGAGAAAAGCTGTAGCCAAATGGAGTCAATAAATGCCACATTGCAGCTGATGTTGGCCAACTGCAAAGGAACCTAGGCATGTGGAGAAAAATCCTTGTGAGTTGTCACTGGGAATGTAGACTGGTATAGCCATTACGGAAAACAAGATGGAGGCTTCTCAAAAAATTAAATATAGAACTATCACATCACCCCGTGATCCCTCATCTTTGCATATACCCCCCAAATTTAATCACCACCTTGTAAAGATACCTGCACTCCTGTGTTCATTTTATTTTATTTATTTATTTTAAGATAGAGTCTTGTTTTGTTGCCTAGACTGGAGGGCAGTGGTTCTATCTCAGCTCATTGCAACCTTTGCCTCCTGGGTTCAAGCAATTCTCCTGACTCAGCCTCTGAGTATCTGGGATTACAGGCACCTGCCACAACACTCAGCTAATTTTTGTATTTTCCTGTGTTCATTGCAGCATTATTCACAATAGCCAAGATATGGAAACAATCTAGGTGTCTGTAAATGGACAAATGGATAAAGAAACTGTGTGTGGTACATACAAAACAATGGAATATTATTCAGCCCTGAAAAAGAATGAGACCTTGACCTTACTACAAATGGATAAGCCTAGAAGACATTATTCTATGTGAAATAAGCCAGACACAGAAAGAAAAAATATTGTATGATTTCATTTATATGAGGAATCTAAAAAAATTTTCAAATATACAGAAGTAAAGCATGAACAGTGGTTTAGTGGGGGTGGAGTGGTGTGAAATAAGGAGATACAGGTCAGAGGACACAAAGTACAAGATATGTAGGATGACCAAGTCTAGAGATCTAATATATGACATGAGGACTGTAGGTAATAACATTGTATTTGGAATTCATGCTAAATGAGTAGATCTCTTGCCCTCAAAATAATTTTTTGTTTGTTTGTTTGTGGGTTTTTTTTTTGAGATGGAGTCTCACTCTGTCACCCAGGATGGAGTGCGGTGGCGTGACCTCTGCTCACTGCAAGCTCAGCCTCCCAGATTAACACCATTCTCCTGCCTCAGCCTCCCAAGTAGCTGAGACTATAGGTGCCCACCACCACGCCCGGCTAACTTTTTGTATTTTTTAGTAGAGACGGGGTTTCACCCTGTTTGCCAGGATGGTCTTGATCTCCTGACCTCGTGATCCACCCGCCTCGGCCTCCCAAAGTGCTGGGATTAAAATAAATTTTTAAAAAAGGTAATTAAGATAATGTATATGCTAATTTGCTTCACTCTAGTAATCTTTTTACTATCTATATGTATCCCATAACATCTTGTTAAATACCTTAAATATACACAATGCAATTTATATATTAAAAATAAAAATAAAAAGACCTGGGCCATAGCTGTCAGCACCTAGCCTATTGTGGGCAGTAAAATATTGCTCATCTGATTAAGTTAATGATTCAAATTTTGCTTGGATTTCTATTTTATAGACTTATTTTTATTTTATGTTGTATAAAAACTATAAGGAAGTGTAAGAAATTTAGTCCCCATTTATATTTGCATGCATAATTTTTATGATAAAAATAATTAAAATCAATACAAGTCTCAAATAGTGAACAGCTTTATTCATATTTGGGCAAGCTTGACTGTTTCTAACAGATAAATGGGATGTGAGGGGCCAACATATCTGAGTAATAAATTAAAGGATGAGTAAGTGCATTAACACTAAATGAGTGAATCATTAATTAGGTCCATAGGGAAAATGTTTTGTTAAAAACCCTCAATCCCTCCTGTATGAGAGATGCTTTTGCCAGATGATATTAACTTATTGAATTAAACGAGCGTGCAGTTTTCCTCATCCATTCACACACAAAAAACACCCACCAGATTTCCACAACAAAATACTTCCTCTTTGTCTTTGGGGGCAGGTTTTCAAAATGTCCCGAATGTGCTCTTGGAAGCAAAGCCAGTTGGAATCAAGGCTCTCTGGTTGGAAGTCTTCTGAGACTTTCCTTGTGCAATCCTGTGTGTAATTCAGCATTTGAAAATGAAAACGCATTTGGAGTTTTCGGTGACAATGACTGCATTGCACAAGTCTCAAGCTGCTTTCGATCCCTTAACCACTTCCTCCTTACAGGGATTGCCTGCATTTCCTTTACTGCACGTTGTGCGTTCAGAGGCACCGTGTCTGCCTATTAAGAGTGTCTCACCTGCTGAACGCTGTGACACTGAACTTGGCACCCAGCCTGCTGGACAGAGACCGGGCCCTAACTGCAGTGGCTCAATACTGGAAAGCTAATTTGTATGAAATCCTGAAACTACAAGTCTTTACAAATATAATCTATTATATATAAAATATATTTTTCCCAAACATAGCCCATTAAAAGCCTTGTCTGCAGATCATCCGCCTGCCCCAGCCCCGGAGTGGCTCCTGTTGGGGTTCACTCTGGATGGATGACGCTGGCCACACCCACCACAGGTCCAGTGGAGTTCGACTTCACCTCATCTGCTGCTTGGAATCGTCTGTTATCTCCTAAGGAGTCCTAATGATTCCCCACAGAACTCTCCCATACTTTTTTACTTCCTCTAATTCAAATCAGCTCCCTCTCATTGCCAAAACCCGACCCATCCACTGTCCATCCACTGCCCTCTGTCTCAAAACTGTAGATCAGCACTTTCAGATGGACAAACACTTTGTTTTAGTCTGAGGGGAATAGTGATCAGCTCAAACGAAGTCCTTTCCTGACTCCATCACACAGTTGTTTTTCTCTCCATTCTCCCAGAGTATGCTTTAGACCTCTTTTTCTTTCTTTCCTTTTTTTTTCTTTAACCTGACACAGGTATTGTCATTGCCTCTTATAAAATTTAAAAGTCCTGGGTTCCAATTCTGTCTTTTCTACTACCCATGCAATCTTGTTAAAGTCACCCAATCTTTCTGATACTCAGTTTTCTCATCTGCAATGTATTAATAATAATCACAATAAAATATAGCAATAGTCATAAGATCTAGCACATAGAGAGCTTACTCTGTGCCAGGCACTCTCTTAAGAGTATGTATGTATACGAATATTTCAATAATGTAGAAGAATGATTAAATAATTTTTAGCATAACCATACCACAGAATACTAAGTGGCCATTAAAAAGAATGAGATGTGGGCCAGGCACGGTGGCTCACACCTGTAATCCCAGCACTTTGGGAGGCCGAGGCGGGTGGATCATGAGGTCAGGAGACTGAGACCATCCTGACTAACACGGTGAAACCCTGTCTCTACTAAAAATACAAAAAAATTAGCCGGGTGTGGTGGCAGGTGCCTGTAGTCCTAGCTACTCGGGAGGCTGAGGCAGGAGAATGGCGTGAACCCAGGAGGGAGAGCTTGCAGTGAGCCGAGATCGCGGCACTGCACTCCAGCCTGGGCGACAGAGCAAGACTCCATCTCAAAAAAAAAAAATGAGATATAAAAACATGCAAATGTATTGATGCTAAAATAATAAGTAGAAAATCAAGTTGCAGAACAATATAACATGATCACTTACATTAAAACTACATTAGACATATAAATAACATTTCTCTCTGCTTATATCTATAGATCTATCAATACATTTACACAAGCACACATATACAGTGTGAATTTTCACAAACCATGTATTTATATGTCTGTATAGATTAATTTCTCAGTGATCATTTTAAAAACAATGAATAGAAAAAATGACTATAAAAAGAAAACCTGACTTTAACAAACATATCAGAACTGGCAATTTAAGTAAATTAATGTTGTGCTCATGAAAATAAAAACTGGCTAGAAATTACCTTAATTCCAATAATAATTTTAAAAATAGTTTTCATGTACCCCTTTAAGAACTGCCAACTAAGTCAGGATTGCATTTTTCTGAATATCCCCAATGACAGCATAGATTTCTAATTTGGGGATGTTTGATTTTCCTTTTTAACAGACAGTGGTCATTTGTCATCACAGCTGATGACTATAATTGCTAATCAGTCTGGGTAATGCTAATTTTGGTCAAAACTGTATCACAGACTTCTCATTATTATTCAAAGAACTGTAATTTTTAAGGGATATTTCAGAGGCAACACTTCACTCCTTTTACAGGACACAGAGCTTCAAAAATGTTTCCAAAGTCTATTTCAAAATAATAGGCCTGATTATGCATTGTGGGAAGAAATCAACAGGAATAGTGTGCATAATATAAAAAAAAAAATCAGCACTGACTTCATCTGTAATTTTATGCACCAGTGTAACCAATGACTTTCTTAGTTTTGAGGTCATAATAGAAATGCCCCCATTTCTTCACCTATCAAAGATTAAAACATTTTATTCATTTTTAATTTTTTTAATCTATTGTCCCTTGAAAAATTTTAGCAAAATCAAGAACTTCATACACTTTACTTAACACTCAAATTTTATTTCACAAGTATCTCAGAAATTGTTATTGTGGTCAAGATTTTTGTTGTTGTTGTTGTTAGTTATTATTGATTTTGTTATTTTTGCAATGTTTTGGCAGTCTATTTACTTATCTAAATTTCTCTACTCAGCTCCCATTCTAATAAGTTGCCGATCAGAATGAATCTTTAAACTTTTCAATAATTCCATCAATCTGGATGTTACTAGATAAATAGATTACCGATCACCTTAGAGTTCTTTCCTGACTCCTTTAATAATAATATTCCTGTTATTACTTCACCTCTATAAGTAATTTTTATTACTATTATTATTTTTATTTTTTTGAGATTGAGTCGCCCTCTGTCGCCCAGGCTGGAGTGCAGTGGTGTGATCACGGCTCACTGCAACTTCCACCTCCCGGTTCAGGCGATTCTCCTGCCTCAGCCTCCCAAGTAGCTAGGATTACAGGCATGCGCCATGATGCCTGGCTATTTTTTGTATTTTTAGTAAAGACGGGGTTTCACCATGTTGGCCAGGCTGGTCTCGAACTCCTGACCTCAAGTGATCTGCCCGCCTCAGCCTCCTAAAGTGCTTGGATTACAGGCGTGAGCCACCACACCCAGCCAGTAATATTCAAATATCAAGTATCTCACTTACATACCTTATAACTCATTCTTGCTTTGAAATGAAAATATATATATATATATATTTAAGTCTGTCATAGTTACCAGCACAATAATGAGTAGCAGATCTTAAAAGTGCTGTTACTTCAAGTTGAAATCTGATGCAGCAACACTCTCAACTTCCTGCCTCACCTCCAACACGTATCTAGCTCTGCACCGTGGCTTGTTTATGTTTCTTTCATTAGTGAACAATTCTGTCCAGGATTAATCTCTTGAGCCACTCTCAGAAATTTGCTCCACCATTTAGATCCATTCGTCCTTACTATCAGCCTGTGTTTTCACCTAGGTTTTACCCTCTCAATATTTAAAGGAGCTTAAGTCATTCCCATTGAAACTTGAAAGAAAAAGACAGAGACAAACAGAAAGACAAGATGAAAGAAAGAAAATCTTGAGCCCTAGGTCTTCTTCTAGCTTCTGACCAATCATTTACCTTTTTCTTTTAAACAATCTTCTTGATCAAGTCATCTTTACCTGCCCTCTTAACTTATGCTCATATTCTTCTCCAGCCACAGCATTCAGAGTTTTGCCTCAATGACTCCAGTGAAATGGTTTCAATCATGGTCACTAATGACCATCCATTTTCCAAATCCAACACGTAATTTTCAAGCTCTTACTTCACTTCCTTGGCATTGTACATTTCTCCACTCCTCACCACTTCCTCCTTGAAACCTTACCTTGGTCTCTGTGAAACCACACCTTCTTTGTTCTCCTTCCACCTCCTGTTTCTTTTTTGTGTATTTCAAAGACATCTTTTTTTTTCCTTGTTTTTTTTTTTTTTTTTGAGATGGAGTCCTGCTCTGTCGCCCAGGCTGGAGTGCAGTGGCGCCATCTTGGCTCATTGCAACCTCTGCCGCTCCAGTTCAAATGATTCTCCTGCCTCAGCCTCCCGAGTAGCTGGGATTACAGGCACGTGCACCACACCCGGCTAATTTTTGTATTTTTAGTAGACATGAGGTTTCAGCATCTTGGCCAGGCTGGTCTTGAACTCCTGATCTCGTCATCCACCTGTCTCAGCCTCCCAAAGTGATGGGATTACAGGTGTGAGCCACTGCACCTGGCCCGAAGACATCATTTTTAACTTGAAGCTCCACCATAAGCCTTTTCTTTTCTCATTCTACACATTTATCCTGACTATCTCTTCCTTGGTCAAGGCCTCAACTACTACTTCTACCTCATGGAATCATACTGTTTGAGTCTGAGCTGAGCTTTGTTTCTAGAGTACCAGTCTGAATTCATCTGAATTCATCATGTGGCTGTACAAACCCTCTTATCCTTGGTGCTGTCTTTTCAGCAAATGACACTTGACACTACCCAGTTGTTCACATTAGAAATACAAAGCCCTCCTAGACTTTCTTTTTCCTCACCTTCCATATCCATTGATCATTAAACCCTGCCAATTCTATTTATTTATGTGATTTGCTTGCTTGTCTATTTGTTTATTTAGACAAGGTATCACTCTATTGCCCAGGCTAGAGTGCAATAGTGCAATCACAGCTCACTGCAGCCTTGATCTCCTGGGTTCAAGTGATCTTCCCACCTCAACCTCCTAAGTAGCTGGAACTACAGGCGTGCACCACCATGCCTGGATAACTTTTATTTTTTGTATAGACAAGGTCGTACTATGTTGCCTAGGCTGGTCTCAAACTCCTAGGCTCAGCTGATCCTCCCTTCTCAGCCTCCTAAAGTGCTGGAATTACAAGGCGGAGCCACCATGCCAGGCAACTCTGCTTGTTCAATGCTTATTCAAATGCCCAACATCCTAATTCAAAAATCTGACATCTGAACTGCTCCAAAATCCCACGCTTTTTGAGTACCAACACGACACCACAAGTGGAAAATTCCACACTTGACCTCATGTGATGGGTCGCAGTCAAAATGCACGTGCATATACAGTTTATTCAGTGTCCCCCAAGGGAAAAAAGATGCCCCTAGCCCCCTTCAGCTGCGATATTCCTTTACTGCAAACAGCATGATAGTGATGCTAATCAACCACAGATTGTCTACATGGGTGGCTGAGATAGTGACACCTTTGCTTTCTGATGGCTCAATATACACAAACTTCGTTTCAAGCACAAAATTACTTAAAATAATGTATAAAATTGCCTTCAGTCTATTTGTATAAGATATATATGAAGTATAAATAAATCTTATGTTTAGACTTGAGTCCTATCCCCAAGATATCTCATTATGTATATGCAAATATCCTCAAATCTGAAATCTTAAACATTTTGATCCCATGCATTTTGGAGGACTCACACTTTCTTTTTTCTTTTCTTTTCTTTTTTTTTTCTTGAGATAGAGTCTAGCTCTGTCACCCAGGCTAGAAGGCAATGTCACAATCTCGGCTCACTGCAAGCTCTGTCTCCCGAGTTCAAGCGATTCTCCTGCCTCAGCCTCCCAAATAGCTGGGACTACAGGCGCCCACCACCACACCTGGCTAATTTTTGTATTTTTAGTAGAGACAGGGTTTCACCAAGTTGGTCAGGCTGGTCTTGAACTCCTGACCTCAAGTGATCCACCCGCCTTGGCCTCCCAAAGTGCTGGCATTACAGGCATGAGCCACTGTGCCCAGCAGTCCCATGCATTTTGGATAAGGGATACTCAACTTGTATCAGTTTAGGGCTTTTCTACTTCTTGCTAGATTCCTACCAAAGCCTCGCTGAACCTCTGCTGTTAGTCTCATGTCTCCCAATATATCCTCCCCAATGCCATCACAATGAGCTTTCTAATATGAAAATTTGTAGCTTCCCATCAACTTCCAGATCAAACCCAAGCCCAAAGCTGTACATCATCTGGCTCCTGCCAACCTTCCCAGTCTTATCTTCTCTCTAAACTTCACAGGTAACCCAAGATCTGGCCACACTCAACAGCTTGTAGTTTAGTGGACATAGTCTCTCCTTCCATGCCTTCTCATTATTTTCCATCCCTTTTCTCTCTTCTCAGTCCAGCTAATTATTATTTCATCAAGAAAATCTCAATTTTCCTTTGTTAAATTAAAATTGTAGGAGGCCATTGTTTTGGACTAAGTCTCTGCACTAGGCCGCAAAGACCAGACAAAACCAAAATGGAGTCACTCGTATTAAAGTTCTATGCCACCAAACCAAAACTAAGTTGTTGTGTGACTTTCTAAGAAATCAGGAGTGAGAGGTAGCAGCCAGAATCTCAAACAAGTCAGTTTCAGTTGGCATAGTGATGAAGTTTCTTCTGTTTTATTCTTTACAAAAAAGTAATTTGAAGTAACCTGATGTCAACCACCGTGTTCCCTTCTACAAGGAAAGTAACTTTAAAATGACAGTCTACTTTTTTTTTCTTTGTTTAAGTGCTCTTTACCCCTCTTCTGCTTGGCTCATTGAAGCACTCATGCTGTTTATGGAATGAAGTGTTGTCTAATTCTAGAGTCACAAATGAAGCCAAATGAGAACTTTAAATTTCCTGTAAACATTTTGTTTTCTGACAGATCTGGCAACCATGAAGGGAACTGCAGGAGACTGCTGATGACCCTGAGACCCCTTGTAGAACACAGGAAAGGTGTCACTGATCCCCTTTCAGGTACTCTGTCTTCTTCATGGAGCCCTGAGAGTTGTGAGTTCCGCTTAGGTCCGAGCTCTGCTCTCCTTTGCATTTGAGCTCTCTGACATCTTTGGCTTTTGGAGTACCAAGGGTTAGTTGGTGCTATGGCAGGGTATATGACATTTGGGTTTGCAGTGACTGCTGAATCACTGGCAAAAAGCCAGTTTTTAAGGTAAATGACGGCAGTTGTAGTAAGCGGTTATTATTGCAAGGCTTTTTCTTATTTTCTTTTTGCACACCAAGGTAAGAAAAACATTGACTAAGTTGGTGAAGAATATCTCAAATCCAAATATCACAGCTTTGAGACACCCAAAATCCAACATAAAAATGGAATTGTTAATTGTAATTGCCAGACAGGTTCCTCTCACTTGCTGCACCGATAAATCCGATTTACTGAAGCAATGGTATTGCAGTAAAGAAAGAACTGAATTAACACAAGGCCGGCCAAATGGTAGGACAGGTGTTTATTATTACTGAAATCAGCCTCCCTGAGAACTGAGAAGCTAGGGTTTTTATGGATAATTTGGTGGGCAAGGGGCTAGAGAATGGGTGCCGCTAATTGTTTGGGGGTGAAATCACAGGAATGTGAAAAATGGTCCTCATGTGCTGAGTCCATCTCTGAGTGGGCCACAGGATAGGTTGAGTCATGAGTTCTGGGTCCAGACGGAGTCAGTCAGTTGCGAGAATGCAAAAGTATGAAGAAAGCACATCAAAAGACCAATCTCAGGTTTTACAATAGTGATGTTAACTTTAGGAGCAATTGGGGAAGTAACAAAACTTGTGAGCTATGGCCACATGACTCCTGAGCAGCAAGGGATCATAGAACATCAGGCTAGAAGGTAATAGCTGTTTATTGTTTAGCTACACCTTCATTTTGGCAGAATCCAGGCTCCTCCCACAAACCTAATCTTGTGTCCTTTCATTCGTCTTACAAAGGTGATTTCGGTCCGTAAACAAGGATGGGGTTTATTTTAGGGAAGGACTATTATTATCCTTGCTTCAATGTTAAACTATAAACTAAATTCCTCCTACAATTAGCTTGGCCTACACCTAGGAATGAGTGAGGACAGCCAGCCTGTGAGGCTAGAAACAAGGTGGAGTCAGCCATGCTTGGCTTTTCTCATTGGCATAATCTTTGCAAAGGTAGTTTCATAATTTCTAAAGATCTGAGTACTCCACTTTCTTGTATGCCTGCCTTTTTCATGTATAAGAATTATAGCTTCAGAAGCTGCAAATACTTACAAAAGTGACCAAATCTTACTAAAGCTAACTCAGAATTACAATGGCCATTAAGTGGAATGTTCCAGATGAACAAGATTGTTCCTCTAAGACATACACTCAGATCCCAAGCCTCCTAAATTAAGAATAGAGAATGTGATTCTTATTTCAATTGGCATTCAAAAAACTTCAGAAAGACAATAAGATTTTAAAAAACTAGCTTTTTAAAAAGATTCATTATGAAAAATCAACGACAGGTTGAGCACGGTGGTTCATGCCTATAATCGCAGCACTTTGGGAGGCCAAGGTGAAGGGATCACTTGAGGTCAGGAGTTCAAGACCAGCCTAGCCAAAATGGTAAACCCCTGTCTCTACTAAAAGTACAAAAATCAGCTAGGCATGGTGGTATGTGCCTATAGTCTGAGCTACTTGGGAGGCTGAGGAACAAGAATCGTTTGAACCCGGGAGGCAGGGGTTGCAGTGAGCTGATATTGCGCCACTGCACCCAGGCAACAGGGCAAGACTCTGTCACAAGAAAAGAAAAAGAAAAATCAATGAGAAGTGAAAAATGCAAGCTATGCCCCATACCAAGGACAATAGAACCGGCATGCTCCTACTGCTCCCCTCTTACTTTGCCTGAATATGTCTAATACATTCTATTCCTGAATATTCACAGTCTAGTAACTCCGTCTGAATTGCTTTTTGTGTGTGTGTGTGTGTCTCTGAAAAAGCAGTCAAATTGCTCCTTTATAAAATAAAACTACCTGAAAATTCAGGAGATAATCCCTGAGTCACTTACATTCTCTGGACAAAAACAGGGCTTAGGCTATAAAGAATTTCCCAATCCTAGGGAAGACCCTCAAAATTTTCTCAAGAATTCAGTCTTAATTGGAACCTATGACTCCTGGATATCTACCCTCTATTAACAAATGCACATGTTGCTGGGACCTGAGGAAGCCCCAAAACGGATGTAAGAAGCAGAACAGTATTCTCCTGAGAATGATATCAAGGACCCAAAAAGCCCCACCTCATTTATTTATGAGCCAAAGCCTTAAACATCCCAAATGACCTTTGAAAACTATTCCTGATGTGTCCCCCACCCACACTGACTGGTCTATATCATCTAGGCCTGCAGGTAAAAGAAAAATGTGTCTGTTATTGATTTTAAAATTTGCTTGGAAGCCCTATTTCTCAAGGTATTCCAGCTTCCACCAAACTGATGATACAATCCAGCCAGCCCTAGCTGCCTTTTTTGAAATGCGCTCCTCCTGGAGATTAGCAGACTCATAAAAACAAAACAAAAGATAGGATGGGAGGCTACAAGACCAGCTGAACTAATAATTATAGGTGAACATTTTGAAATGATCTGAGAATAAGATAAGAAACAAAAGGCTTCTAAATTAATATCCTAGCAATTATAACAATTTCATGGCAACCAGCAAACTGGAATGACTTTTGGACCTGCCCCAGGGCACTTTTCCAGTATGCAACTCCTAAAACAACCATTTCCAAAAAATTGTTGCTATTTGTGCTAACAACTGGGACACTGCTAAAAGTCCTGCCTCCAAAGATTTTTTAAGGGAAGCCCCAGAATACAGGCTGCCCACCCTCTGATAATAATCTCCATGTTACCAGTGGACAGACAGACCTCCAAGGGAAGGTCCAGTAAGCTTCTGCCATTTATTCATTTGAAAAATCAAGGGGATACACAGATAAAAATTAATGAAGATTTTTTTTCCAATCTTAGTTGACACCAGAGCTACTGGTTCCAGCTTAAACACTACTTTTATAGAATAACTTCTCCCTAGTAGTAAAACAGAATTTCAGTGGTGGGGTTTTCAAATCAAGTTCAAAAGGAATTCATGTCTTATGCTACACAAACGACTCTAGACCCTTTCACTGAAAAATATTCTCTTTTGTTGTTTGACACAGCTCTAGTCAATTTATTGGGCAGAGACCTTCTGTCTAAGCTAAAAGGTCTGATATGGTTTGCCTCTAGTGGAGATGTGACTCTGGAATTTTCTGACCCACCTGAGCCAGATCTCATATGGACTTTGCGGTCTGTCCTACACATAGAGGAAGAGGACAGTCCACAAAATGCCCCAGTCTAACTGAACTACCCAATTGCTATGAGCCACATTAAATACTGACCTTGGAAGAATAAAAAGTGCAGAGCACTCAAATTCAAGTAGACCTCACTAAACCCCTTCCTCAATTACTGCAATACCCGTTAAAGCCTGAGGCCGTAAAAAGTCTTGTCCCAGTGTCAATGATAGAAGACTTAATTGCTCAAAGATTAATTATTCCATGTAGCAGCCTTTGTAACACCCCGATTTTACCTGTACAAAAACCTAATGGATAAGGATGGCAATTTGTTCAGAATCTAAGAGCCATTAACAGGATAGTTATGCTGTTTCCCAGTGGTTCCAAACCCTAACGGTCATTTGTCACAAGTTCCCCCAGATTCTAAATGGTTTACAGTTGTAAACTGTAACATGTTCAGCCTTTCTTTAACATTCCAGATGACTCTGACAGTCAATCCTGTTTGCTTTCACCTGGAATAATCAACAGTATTGGAGGGTCATGTCTCAGGGGTTCATTGAAACCCCCTTCTATTTCTCTTAAGTACTCTGTCGAGACTTGAGCATCCTCCAGTCTCCTAGAGGGTTGACTCCTTCAATACACCAATGACATCTCACTTTGTTCACTTACTAAGGAGGCATCCCAGCAGGATTCCTTCTATTTATTATAGCAGTTAGCAGAAAAGGGACTTAAGGTCTCCAGAGACAAATTACAAGTATCAATAGATGCTGTTCACTATTTAGGACATGATCTGAGTGCCGCAGGCATCCAGATCTGGTGTCTGCTAGTTAAGCTTTCCCAGGAATTTCCTAGGTTGGTAACTAAGAAGAAACTTTCCAGGTTCTTAGGTTTAATTAGATGTTGTCATCAAGGGGTCTCTAGTTTTCCCCTCTTAGGGTCTTTACTGTATGAACTCACTAAACACTTAGTCCCTGAACCCCTTTCTTGGGAAGAAAAACATGAACCAGGACGTTGTAAAATTAAAACAGGCATTATAAAAACTCCCTGCTTTGGGATTGCCCAGTTACTAAAAACATTTCACCCTATTTGTACCTGAAAGAAATAATCAGGCCTTGAGAATCCTTGCACAAGAACATGATAATAAGCTTAGCCCATTGCCTCTTGTAGTGCTTGATTAGACTATTGCCAAAGCGTCTGTGGATCTAACCTCAGGTAATAATGCTTATCTCCACATATCACACAAGGTGAAAAGTCTTCTCAACTCTAACCTTACCCAATATCTTTCTTTTCTTTTTTTTTTTTAATTTGTGGTTAAAAAATAGACATATAATTTTGTATCTTAACCATTTTAAAGTGTACATTTCAATAGTGTTAAGGGTATTCATGTTGTGAAACACATCTCAATAACTTTTGTTTTTATCTTGGTTTCCTTATATTTGTTCTTTCGACAAATATTATTGAGCAGTTAGAATATACAGGCGCTGTTCAAGCACTGAGGATAAAGCATTAAACAACTCAGAATGAGATATAAGATTAGACCTGTTTATTTCACAAATCTGTTTTTTGAGGTTAAATTGAAACAATGCATGTAAAATTTATGAAGTATATCAGTAGTTCTCAAAATTTGGTCTAAGGGCTTTTTTACACTCTTAAAAATTATTGAATACATTTTAAAATGCTTTTGCTTATGTGGGATGCACTCACACAAACTTGTGTATATATATTTACTATACTAGAAATTAAAATGAAATATTTAAAATATATTTTCTAATTCATTTAAAATAAAAATAATACATTTATTGCATGTTTGTATAAATAACATATTTTTAAAATACTATATTTTATTAAAAGCATTTACCTAAACAAAAAATGTTTAGTAAGGCTGGATGTGGTGGTTCATGCCTATAATCCCAGCACTTTGGGAGGTCAAGGTGGGAGGATTGCTTGAGGCCAGAAGTGCTAGGCTAGACCATAGTAAGGAAAGAGAAAAAGAAAAGAAAGAGGGAAAGAGAGAGGGAGGGAGGAAGGAAGGAAGGAAGGAGAGAAAAAGAGAGAGAAAGAAAAAGAAAGAAAGAAAGTAAGCTTAGTGAGAGGAGAGGCATTGTGATGCATTTTGTAAATCTCATTAATGTCTGGCTTAATAAATGACAGTTGTATTCTCAAGAGTGATGTCGTCAAAATGGGAGAATAGAAATAATCTAGCTTCAGTGTTCCCCACAGAAAACCAAAAACAACTATCCAGTACCTAGATTATCATCACCAGTAACCAAGAACTGGGCCTTTTGATGATTTTTGAGACCACAGAAAAGTGAAAAACTACAAGCAGAAAGTAAGAGAAATGAACTTCAGTTTCTTTGATATGCCTCCCCTACCTAAGTTGCCAGGCACTACATGGAAAAGTCCCCCTAGACTTAGGGTTTCACCAATGGAAAAAGTGAGATCAAGGCAGGCAAGACAGCAGGCTTCCCCACCATCTTGGGTTTCTTAGCAGGACTGCCATTTCTGCCTCAACTCAAGAAGCATCACAAGTGCCTGTAGAGAGAAATATCCTAAAGGCGGCTAGACTGAAAAAAAAAAAAAAAGAGAGAGAGAGAGAGAGAGTGGAGAAGGGATAGCAATCCCAGGGTGCAAAATGTAGGGCTGCTCTTCAGCTCAGCAAAAAGAGACACCAAACCAGAAGAGCAGTTCAGCAGCACCGGGCTCTAGGAGGCATTCTTCATGGGTCCTCAGGACACAAAACTCTACCCAGCCTCCACACACAACCAAGGAATCTCCTTTGGGACTCCTCCTGCCACACAGCCCCCCATCTGACACAGGCAGTTCTCCAAACTTTTTTGAGAGCTGTGGCAAACTTGGACTTAGGGCACCATCTAGTGCCAAAAAGGAGGCAGCAGTCCGGGGCTAAGGGAACTCAACATGCAAACCACACAGAACCTCTAAACATGCATAGCCTAGAAAGACCAAAGCAATCCAGACAGTGAAGACTGGAATCAATAGCTAAACCTTTAGTGCAAAGACAGAAATGTAAATCCGTAAGAAACAACAGCAAACAGGAAACCATGACCTCCCCAAATGGACAAAGCAAAGATCCGGTGATAGGCAATGGAGCAATGGTGTGGGCTCTCAAATCAGGAATTCAATATGGTAATTTTGAGGAAACTCCGTGAACTCCAAGATAACAGAGAAAAACAATTCAGAAATTTATCATAGAAATTTAACAAAGAGATTAGAATAATTTTTAATAAGAACAGAAATCCTAGAACTCAGAAATACTTTGGCTGAACTGAAAAATTCATTGGAAGGTCTCAGCAGCAGAATTTATCAAGTGGAAGAAAGGTTCAGTGAGCTTGAAGATAGGGTATTTAAAAACACACAGGGAAGAAAAAAGAAAAAATAATTTTTAAAAAATGAAATATGCCTACGAGGTCTAGAAAACAGCTTCAAAAGAGCAAACCTAAGGGTCATTGGCATTTAAGAGGGAATTGAGAAGGAGGCAAAAGGTAGAAAGCTTATTCAAAGAGATAATACAGTAACACTTTCCAAACCTAGAGAAAAATATAAATATGCAAGTACAGAAAAGTCAAGGATTGTCAAGGATTATAAAGGATTATAAAATAGATTCAACCCAAATAAGACTACACCAAGGCATATAATAAACAAACACTCAAAGGTCAAGGTCAAAGAGAGAATTCTAAAATCAGCAATAAAAAAGAAGCAACATCATATGAAAAAGCTCAAGTTCATTGGGCAACAGACTTCTCAGCAGAAATCATACCCAGGAAGGAGTGAGATAATATATTCAAAGTGCTTAATGAAGAAAACTGCCAAATGATAATACTGTATCTAGCAAGCTAGCCTTCAAACATGAAAAATAGATAAAGACTTTCTGAGATAAATAATAGTTGAGGATATGACTTACCACCAGACCAGTCTTACAAGAAATACTGAAGGGAGTTCTTCAGTCTGAAAGGAAGCTAACATGCAACAGGAAAACATCAGAAGATATAAAATTCACTGGTAAAAGTTAGTATAGAGACAAATTCAGAATATTCTAATACTGTAATTGTGGTGTGTTAATCACTCATATCTTTAGTATGAAGACTAACAGACAAAGCTATCAAAACAATAATAACAACAAAATTTTGTTAAGAAAGATGCAGTTATGAAAAGATGTAAACCGAGAGAATAAAAAGCCAAAATATGGGGAGGTGGAGTTAAAGTGCAAAGTTTTTAAGTTTTTCTTTGTGTTTGCTTCTTTTCTTTACTTTATGATCAAAGTGAAGTAGTTATCTGCTGATAAAAAACTTGTTATAACTATAAGATGATTTTATAGGCCTCGTGGTAACCATAAAGCAACAATTTATAATAAATATCCTAAAAATAAAAATAAGCAATTAAAACATACTACCAGAGAAAATCACTTAACCACAAAGGAAAACAGTGAGAGTGGAAGAAGGGAAAAGTTACAAAACAAAGAGAAAACAAGTAACAAAATGGCAGTAGTAAGTCCTTATTATCAATAATAACATTGAATATAAATGCAATAAATTCTCCAATTAAAAGACATAGACTGGTTAAGTGGATTAGGAAACAATACCCAACTATATACTTTCTATGAGAAGCTCACCTCATATATACACACACACATAGACTGGAAGTAAAGGGATGAAAAAAGATTTTCTGTGCAAAAATGGAAGCCAAAAAAGAAAAAAGCAGAGCTACCTATACTTAGATAAAATAGGTTTTAAGGCAAAACCTGTAAAAAAAGACAAAGAAGTTCATTACATAAACAGTAGTAAATATATATGCAACCAATATCAGACCACCCAAATATGTAAAGTAATTATTAATAGATCTAAGGAGAGAAATAGACTATAATACAATAATAGTAGGGGACTTTAACAACCCACTTTCAATGATGAACAGATTATCCAAACAGAAAATCAATGCACATGTACCCTAAAACTTAAAGTGTAATAATAATAAAATAAAATTTAAAAAAAAGAAATTTGAGTTAAACTACACTCTACACCTAATGGACCTAAGTAATATTTTAAGAACATTTTCTCCTTCTGATACAGAATATGCATTCTTCTCAACTGCATGTGGAACATTATTCAGGATAGATCATATGTTAGACCACAAAACAAGTCTCAGTAAATTCAAAAAAGTCAAAATTATATCAAGTATCTTTTCTGGCCACAATGAGATAAAACCAGAAATCCATAACAAGAACTTTTGAAACCTAACAAATATATAGAAATTAAACCATATGCTCCTGAATGACCAATGGGTCAATGAAGAAATTCAGAAGAAATTTTTGAAAATTTCTTCAAACAAATGAAAATGGAGTCACCTCATATCAAAACCTATAAGACACAGCAAAGGCAGTACTAAGAGGGAAGTTTATAAAAATAAATGTCCATGTCAAAAAAGTAGAAAGGATTTAAATAAACAAGAAAATGATGTATCTCAAGAAACTAGAAAAGCAAGAACAAACCAAACCCAAAATTAGTAAAATGAAAGAAATAACTATTGTTATTGTTACCTATATATCAAACCTTCACATGTACCCCTGACTCTAAAATAAAAGTTAAAAAAATTAAATTTGACTTCACCACTTAAAAAATAATAATAAAACAATAAAAGTACAAACAAGTGCAAAGAAATAAAGGGTGGAAAATTACAAGGTCTAGGAAGGGAAACGAATATCCAGATTTATGAAGTCTTCTAATAGATTGACTCTAAAGTGGCCTATACTAAGAAACATTATAATTAAATTATACAAAGTCAGAGACAAAGAGAATGTTGAAAACAGCAGAGAAAAGTAACTCATCACATATAAGTGAACCCCCACAAAACTATCAGCAGAAACCTTGCAAGTCAGTAGAGAGTTTGATGATATATTCAAAATACTAAGAAAAAACTGCCAACCATGATTACTCGACCTAGAAAAGATGTCCTTTAAGAATGAAATAGAGACAAAGACTCCTAGAAAAAAAAATTAGGGAGTTTCTCACCATTGGACCTCTCATTCAAGAAGTATTAAAGGAAGTTGAATTGAAATTAAAAAATCCTAAACAACAACATGAAAGCATATGAAAGTATAAATCTCATTCATAAAGGTAAGAATAAAGACAGAGTATTGTAATACTGTAATGGTAGCACACAGTTTTTAACACTAGTATATAAATTAAAAGACAAAAGCATTTCACATAAGTATAACCACAGAAAAATTGTAATGGAGACACAATATAGAAAGAAGTAAGATCTGACATCAATTACATAGAGTTGGAGGGGGGCGGTAAAATGTAGAGGTTCTATCTGTAATTGAAGTTAACTCATTATCAGCTTAAAACAGACTGCTATACCTATAAAATGTTTACTATGTGCCTTATGGTAACCACACACGTGCACACACACACACACACACACACACAAAACACACAACAGGTATGCAAAAGATAAAGAGAAAAGAATCCAAGCATACCATTAGAAAACAAATCATCAAACCACATGGAAAGAAAATAAGAAGAAGAGAGAAACAATAAAATGATACAACAGAAAATAATTAACAAAATAGTAAGTTTTACCCATCAATTACTTTAAATGTTAATGGGCTAAATCCCCCAAAGACATGGAGTGGCTTAATGGATAAAAAAACAAGACCCAGATGTATGCTTTCTTTTTTTTTTTTTTTTTTTTTTGGTGGGGGATGTGGGGGGAGGGCGGGGGGACGGAGTCTCACTTTGTCGCCCAGGCTGGAGTGCAGTGGCGCGATCTTGGCTCACTGCAAGCTCCGCCTCCCGGGTTCACGCCATTCTCCTGCCTCAGCCTCCCGAGTAGCTGGGACTGCAGGCGCCCGCCACCGCACCCGGCTAATTTTTTGTATTTTTAGTAGAGACGGGGTTTCACCGTGGTCTCGATCTCCTGACTTCGTGATCCGCCCGCCTTGGCCTCCCAAAATGCTGGGATTACAGGCATGAGCCACCGCGCCCAGCCCAGATGTAGGCTTTCTATAAGACTTACTTTAGATTTAAGGATGCACATAGATGGAAAGTGAACAGGTGGAGAAAGATATTACACACAAGTGGCAACCAAAAGAGAGCAGGGGTGGCTACACTCACATCAGGGAAAATAGGCTTTAAGTCAAAAACTATCACAAGACAAAGGTCACTCTCTAATAATAAAAGGGTCAATTCAAAAATAAGATATAACAATTACATATGCACCCGATTTTAAAAGCCTGAAAGGAGACATAGCAATACAATAATAGCGGGAGACTTTAATATCTCATTCTCATAATGGATAGATCATCCAGACAGAAGGTCAATAGGGGAATAGCAGAACTGAACAATAGACCAAATAGACCCTACAGATATATACAGAACATTTCACCTAAGAGCAGTAGAGTAGGCATTCTTCTCAACGTTTTTTTTTTTTCCAATATGAAAGATCACATACTAGGTCATGAAACAAATCCTAACAAATTCTAAGAAGACTGAAATCTTTGAAAGTATCTTTTCTGACTATAATGGAATGAAACTAGGAATCAACAATTAAAGGAATGGACAAATTCACAAATTCATGGAAATTAAGCAACACACTCAAACAAATATTGGGTCAAAGAAGAAATTTAAAAAAAATTTTTAAATATCCTAAGAAAAATGAAAATGAATATACAACATACCGAACCTTATAGGATGCAGCAAAAGCAGTACTAAGTGGGACGTTTATAGCAATAAATTCCTACACTAGAAGAGAAGAAAGATATTAAATAGACAACCTACCTTTATACTTGAAGAAACTAGAAAAGGAAGAGCAAATTTTACCCAAAATTAACAGAAAGTAGAAAATAATAAAGATTCAAGCAAAAGTAAACAATTTAGAGAATAAAAATGTATCAAAAATATCAGTACATAAAATTGAAACTGAAAAAAATACAAAAGATTTACAAAATGAAAAGTTGGGTTTTTGAAATTGTAAATAAAATCATCAAATCTTTAGTTAGGCTAAGAACAAAGGAGAAGACTCCAACAAAATCAGAAATAAAAAAAAGAGACATTATAACTGATACCACAGAAGTATAAAGGATTATTAGGAACTATTATGAATAACTATACACCAACAAATTGGAAAACCTAGAAAAAATTATAAATTTCTGGAGACATACAACCTTAAAATATTAAACCACAAAGAAATAGGAAGCCTGAGCAGACCAATAATGAGTAATAAGATAAAAACAGTAATCAATAGTATCCCATCAAAGAAAAGCCCAGAACCTGATGGCTTTCCAGCTGAATTCTACCAAACATTTAAAGAGGAATTAATACCAGCTCTACTGAAACTCTTCAAAAAAAAAAATTTAAGAGGAGAGAATACTTCCAAACATTCTACAAGGCTGGCATTATTCTCATACCAAAATTAGACAAGGACACAACACAACAAAAGAAAACAACAGGCCAATCCCTGATGTTCATATATGTAAAAATCCTCAAGAAAATACTAGCAGACTAAATTCAACAGTACACTAAACAGATCATTTACCGTAATCAAGTAAGTTCATCCCAGGGATGCAAGGATGGTTCATCATACACAAATCAAATGTGACACATTAACAGAATCAAGAACAAAAATCATATGATCATTTCAATAGATGTTGAAGATACACTCAATAAAATTCAACATTTCTTCATGGCAAAAACTCTCAACAAACTGGATATAGAAGAAACATACCTCAAAACAATAAAGGCCATATATAACAGACCCACAGATATTATACTAAATGGGGAAAAATTGAAAGCCTTTCCTCTAAGATCTGGAACACAACAAGGATGCTCATGTTCGCCACTTTTATTTAGCATGGTATTGGAAGTTCTAGCCAAAGTAACTAGGCAAAAGAAAGAAATAAAGGGCAGGCACCCAAATTGGAAAGAAAGAAGTAAGATTATTCTTTTATTTTGTAGAGACAGGGTCTTGCCATGTTGCCCAGGCTGGTCTCAAACTCCTGGGCTCAAACAATCTGCTCGCCTAAGCCTCCCAAAGTGCTGGGTTACAGGCATGAGCCACCACAACCAGCCTCAAATTATTCTTGTTTGCAAATGATATAATCTTATTCTTAGAAAAACCTAAAGACTTCACCAAAAAAAAAAAAAAGTATTAGAACTCATAAACTCAGTAAAGTTACAGGATACAAAATAAACATTCAAAAATGACAACAGAGGTAAACAATCTGAAAAAGAAATCAAGAAGTAATCCCATTTACAATAGCTATAAAAAATTTCTAGGAATCAGTCTAACCAAAGAAGTGAAAGATCTCTACAAAGAAAACCATAAAACATGGATGAAAGAAATTGAAAAGGACACTAAAAAATGTAAAGATTTTCATGCTGATGGTTTAGAACACTTAATATTGTTAATATATCCATACTTTCCAAAGTGATCTACAGATTTAATGCAAGCCCCATCAAAATGCCAATGACATTCTTCACAGAAATAGAGGAAAAAAAATCCTAAAATTTGTATGGAACCATAAAAGCTCCCAAATAGCCAAAGCAATCCTGAGTAAAAAGAACAAAGCTGTAGGCATCACACTATCCAATTTCAAACTATACTACAAAGCTATTATAACCGAATCAGCATGGTAGTGGCATAAAAGCAGACACATAGACCAATGGAACAGAATAGAGAACCCCAAAATAAACCCATGCATTTACAGACAACTCATTTTCAACAAAGGTACCAAGAACATACACCGGGGAAAGAACAGTCTCTTCAGTAAATGATGTTGGGAAAATTGGATAACCATATGCAGAAGAATGAAACTAGATCCCTACCTCTCACCTTATGTAAAAATCAAATAAAGATGTATTAAAGACTTAAATGCAAGATCTGAAACACTATGAAATTACTAGAAGAAAACATGAGAGAACTACACCTTAGGACATTGGTCTGGGCAATTTTTTTTTTTTTTGGTAAGTCATTAAAAAGCACAGACAACAAAAGCAAAATTACACAAATGGGATTATATCAAGCTGAAAAGCTTCTGCACACCAAAAGAAACAATCAGCAAAGTGAAAAAAACAACCTATAGAATGGAAGAAAATATTGGCAAACTATCTAAGATGAGATTAATAATTAGAATATATATGGAACTCAAACAACTCAATAGCAAAAAATCAAATAATTCAAATAAAAAATGTGCAAGAGATCTGAATAGACATCCCTCAAAAGAAGACATACAGATGGCCAATAGGTATACGAAAAAATTTTCAACATCACTAATCATCAGAAAGATGCAAATCAAAACTACGAGGAGGTATCATCTTACCCAGGTTAAAATGGCTTTTATCTAAAAGAAAATAGAAGATGCTGAGGAGGGTGCATAAAAGAATAGCTAAGACTCTTGCTCTGTTGCTGAGAATTATAAATTAGTACAGCCACTACGGAAAACATTATCAAGGTTCCTCACAAAAACTAAAAATAGAACTACCACGTGATCCAGTAATCCCACTGCTAGATACATACCCAAAAGAAGAAAATCAGTATATTGAAGAGATGTCTGCATTCCCAAGTTTATTGTGGCACTATTCACAATTGCCAAGATATGGCATCAACCCAAGTATCTATCGAAGAATAAATGAATAAAGAAAATGTGATATATATATGTATATGGATATTATTCAGCCGTAAAAAAGAATCCTGTTATTTGCAGCAGCATGAAAGGAACCGAAGGGCATTTTGTTAAGTGAAATAAACCAGGCATAGAAAGACAAATATTGCATATTCTCATTAATATGTAAGCTAAAAAAGTTAATCTCATGGAGGTAGAGAATAGAATGGTAGTTATCAGAGACTGTAAAGGTGAGTGGAGAGGTTTTAAAGAGAGTTTGGTTAGTGGGTGTAAAAACAGAAAGAATAATTTCTAGTGTTCAATAGCACAATAGAACTATGGTTAACAATAATTTGTTGTAGCTTGAATAAAAGCTTTGGAATATTTCTAACACAAAGAAATGACAATCTTTTGAGGCCAGGCACAGTGGCTCATGCCTGTAATCCCAGCACTTTCAGAGGCTGAGGCAGGCGGATCGCTTGAGGTTAGGAGTTCAAGACCAGCCTGGCCAACATGGCGAAACCCCATCTTTACTGAAAAAAAAAAAAAACAAAAATTAGCAGGGCCTGGTGGCCTGCACCTGTAGTCCCAACTACTTGGGAGGCTGAGGCACAAGAATCACTTGAAGCCAGAAAGTGGAGGTTGCAGTGAGTCGAGATTGTGCCAGCCTGGGCGATAAAACAAGAGAAAGAAGGAAGGAAGGAAGGAAGGAAGGAAGGAAGGAAGGAAGGAAGGAAGGAAGGAGAGGTAGGGAGAGAGAGAAAGAGAAAGAGAAAGAAAGAAAGAAAGAAAGAAAGAAAGAAAGAAAGAAAGAAAGAAAGAAAGAAAGAAAGAGAGAGAGAGAGAAAGAAAGAAAGAAAGGAAGGAAGAAAGGAAGAAAGAAAGAGAGAGAAAGAGAACGAAAAGAAAGAAAGAGAAAGAAAGAAAAGAAAGGGAAAGAAGGAAGGAGAGAGAAAGAAAGAGAAAGAAAGAAAGAAAAGAGAAAGAGAGGGACAATTGTTTGAAATAACAGATATTCCAATTATCCTGATTTGCTTTTATGCATTGTATGCATATATCAAAATATCAGATATACCCAATAAACATGTAGAACTATTATGTATCAATTAAAAAGATAGTTGGATTCTTAAATCTGCTTCTTTAATCTGTTTTAACATATTGCTTTAGTTTTAGTCCATGAAAAAAATCCAGTGTCACATAAATATGTCGTTGGAAAGATGAGGATTATTTTAGTAGCCTTTTCAGATAATTACAGATATTCTTTGATACTACACCAACACTTGAATAGTGAGTTTCTTAAAGGTATAGTGCAATGTGGAGTCTGAAACTATACAAATAAACTTTTCATATTGGTATATTAAAATCCATTGGTCTATCTTGCACTTTGAATGAATCTTTTATCCATAGATGATTTTGAGCTCATGTAGATGATTTTGAGCCTAGTGTTTCCTAGAGCATGCTTGGAGAACAGTTGTGTCACGTAGAGTTATTTATGAAACTAACAGATATGTATTGGGTTGTTGCCATATGTCAGTCACTTTTTTATGAGATGGAGATACAAAGAAATGATTTAACATGACCTTTTCTACTAGAGCTCATCGTTTTTAACATATTACCTGAGAACTCTTGGCTTCATAAAGAGACTGTGTGGGAAATATTTCCTTCTCCACACCTCCTCCAAGTATTTTGTAAACCAAAAAGTTTCCATCCCAAACCATACTAGAGAGAACTTATTCTCCACAGAAAAAGACAAATGACACTTTCTTGGGTATGCAAGTAAATGGAGGGCAATTAAAATTGTTTACACACATACTTTCTGTATTGCTTTATTACTACCACCATCACGATAAACCACCCATATAGATTCTTAACTCTAACATCTTCATGCATTAAAGCCAGATGCCATCATCTTTCTTTCAAAAAATTCCAGAATCTGCTGTATCACCTCCAACTTTTTTTATTCTTCCAGGCACAAATTTATAATAAACGATTACTTCATAAGGTGACCTCACACATCAACTCCCTGAACTCTCTCTACATTAATTAAGCCACAATGATTTGAAATCGGGGAAAACCCCATATACTTTCTGTGGTTGATGATTTCCTCTATCTTGCCAATTTTTTTTTCAATTTTAGTCAACACTGTGTTATAGTTATAATCTTCAACTATACATTAAATAGCATAGTTTTCTAATCTGGATGTGAAGAAATAGCTTAATCAGAACTATGGAAAAGTTTTTTCAGGTTGTATTCTTTAAATTTCATCATAAAAATATAAATCAATTATTACTACTCAGAAGAGAAACTGCCTGATACTGGACAGCAAGGATATTTTTGTGCTCATATTTGTAGCTACTGTATGTTTTACTTTTATTAAAGCAGGTGCTACACGAATGTTTGTCAAATTGAAAACAAGAGGAGAGTCCAAACATAAGGAAACAGTTTCATAACTTTAATTGAAAAGTTCAGAGACAAAAATTTATGTGACAAGAAATTATACTAAAGATAAAAATGACAACTGAAATTGCTCGTCTAGTTAAAGGATAATCTTTTTTTTTTTTTTTCAGACGGAGTCTCGCTCTGTCTCCCAGGGTGGAGTGCAGTGGCGCAATCTCTGCTCACTGCAAGCTCCGCCTCCCGGGTTCACGCCATTCTCCTGCCTCAGCCTCCTGAGTAGCTGGGACTACCGGCGCCTGCCACCGCGCCTGGCTAATTTTTTGTATTTTTAGTAGAGACGGGGTTTCACCATGTTAGCTAGGATGGTCTCGATCTCCTGACCTCTGATCCACCCGCCTCGGGCCTCCCAAAGTGCTGGGATTACAGGCGTGAGCCACTGCGCCCAGCCAGGATAATGTTTAATAAACCTTTGAAAAATACCCTCAATTCCTCATCTTTAAAATGAGAAAAGAGAGTCTGGGTGCAGCGGCTCATACCTGTAATCCCAACCGTTTGGGAGGCTGAGGCAGGAGGATTCACTTGAGCCCAAGAATTCAAGATCAGCCTGAGCAACACAGCAAGACCTTGTCAATAAATTAATTAATTAATTAAATGAGAGGAGCAATACTTTCCAGCTCCAGTTGTTAAAGTAACACATGAAATAATTGATATAAAGCATCTGGCACAGTTCCCAGCACCTAATAGGACTCAACTAATATAGTTCCCTTTCTTTCCTCTTTTCTGAATCTCCTCCATAAGGATGATCCTTGGAATACACTCTTCTTGATTGACTAAAGCAAAACAATAAGTATCAATTACACTGTTAATGACTCTAAGGTTTGGGAGTTTCGGGTTTTTTTTTTTTTTTTTTTTTGACAGGATCATGTTCTGTCACCCAGAATGGAGTGTGGTAGTGCCATCAGGGCTCACTACTACCTCAACCTCCTGGGCTCAAGCAATCCTCCCACTTCGGCCTCCCAAGTAGCTGGACCCACCCACACATGCCACCATGCCCAGATAATTTATGTATTTTTTGTATAGACAGGGTCTCACTATGTTGCCCAGGCTGGTCTTGAACTCCTGGGCTCAAGCAATTCTCCTATCTTGGCCTCCCAAAGTGCTGGGATTACAGGCATGAGCCATCGCACCCAGCCACCAAGCATTTTAAAAATGTTTTTCTGTATGTGTTTTTAAAACAACAGTATATCCAATGAATATTTACTGAGTACCTACTACATGCCAGGTCCTGGACATATAGGTCTGAATGTGTCATATACAGTCTCTGAATCTCATAGAGAAGACAGGCATCTACCAAATAATTAATTATAAGTTTCCCTATTTCTTACTTTTTCTCCTTAACTCTTCTTATTGAATAGCATACAATATTCCTGGCCTGTTTACCTAGTTTATTGTTTGTCTCCCCTACTAAAATGTTTGCTTTATTCTCTACTGAATCCACCAACATTAGTGCTTTGATAGATAATATACACTCAATGAACATCTGCTAAAAAATGAGTGAATTACAATTTTAATGAGCACTTTGAAAAAGTTTAAGATACTATGTAGCCTTATGACAGGTAGATAAATCTGGGGTTTCATATTAAGGATGACAGAAAGATGTCGCACTATATTTAAAAGACAAATAAACAGACCGGTCATATAGAAATGTGAGAAGGTAATTGATGTCGTCTGCCTGAAAAGCCACAAGAAACTTGTTTATGTCTTTCACCTCCCTGGTTAGCTGTATTCCTAGGTATTTTACTCTTTTTGTGGCTATTGCGAATGGGACTGTGTTCTTGATTTGGCTGTCAGCTTGGATTTTCTTAATGTATAGAAACGCTACTGATTTTATTTGCATTGATTTTGTATCCTGAAAGTTTACTGAAGTTGTCAGATCTAGGAGTTTTGGGGAAGACACTGTGGGTTTTCTAGGTATAGAATCATATCATTTGCAAACAAAGATAGTTTGACCTTCTCTCATCCTATTTGGATGCCTGTTATTTCTTTTTAATGACTGATTGCTCTGTCTAGGACTTCCAGTACTATGTTGTACAGCAGTGGTGAGAGTGATCATCCTTGTCTTTTTCCAGTTCTCAAGGAAAATGCTTCAGCTTTTGCCCAGTCAGTATGATATTGGCTGTGGGTTTGTCATAGATGGCTCTCGTTATTTTGAGGTATGTCTCTTCAGTGCCTAGTTTGTTGGGGGTTTTTACATTAAGGAATGTTGAATTTTGTTGAAAGCATTTTCTGTATCTATTGAGATGATCATGTGGTTTTTAATTTTAGTTTTGTTTATGTGATGAATCACATTTATTGATTTGCATATGCTGAACCAAAGTTGCATCCCAGGAATGAAGCCTGCTTGATTATGGTGGAGTAGCTTTTTGATGTGTTGCTAAATTTGATTTGCTATTATTTTGTTGAGGATTTTTGCATCTATGTTTATCAAGGATATTGACCTGAAGTTTTAGTTTTTTGTTGTATCTCTGCTAGGTTTTGATATCAGAATGATGCTGGTCTCATAGAATGAGTTATGAAGAAATAAATTCTCCTGAATTTTTTGGAGTCATTTCAGTAGGAATAATACCAGCTCTTCTTTACATTTCTGGTAGAATTTGATTGTGATTCCCCGGGCTTTTTCTGGTTGGTAGGCTTTTTATAACTGATTCAATTCCAGAACTTGTTATTAGTCTGTTCAGGGATTCAAATTTCTTCCTAGTTCAATCTTGGGAGGTTGTATATTTCCAGAAATTTAACCATTTTTTTCTAGGTTTTCTAGTTTGTGTGCATTAAGATGTTCATAGTAGTCTCTGAGGGATTTTTGTATTTCTGTGAGGTCTGTGGTAATGTCACCTTTGTCATTTCAGATTGTGTTTATTTGGATCTTCTCTCTTTTTTTATTAGTCTAATTAATGATCTATCAATCTTATTTATTCTTTCAAAACCCAACTACTGGATTCTCTGATCTTTTTTATGGTTTTTCGCATCTCAATTTCATTCAGTTCAGCTCCAATTTTGGGTATTTCTTGTCTTCTGCTAACTTTGGAATTGGTTTGCTCTTGTTATTCTAGTTCTTCTCAGTGTAATGTTAGGTTCTTTTTTTTCTTTTTTTTTTTGCCTCAGTTTCCTCATCTATAGTTAGGTTGTTAATTTGACATCTTTCTAACTTTTTTATTTGGGTGATTAGTACTATAAACTTTCCTCTTAACACTGCTTTGGCTATGTCCCAGAGATTCTGGTATGTTGTATCTTTGTTCCCATTAGTTTCAAAGAATTTCTTAATTCCTGCCTTAATTTCATTGTTTATCCAAAGTCATTCACGAGCAGGTTAATTTCCATGTATTAAGTAATTTTGAGCAATCTTCTTAGTATTGATTTCTATTTTTATTGCACTGTGGTCTGAGTGTGTGGTTGGTATGATTTCAGTTTTCTTGAATTTGCTGAGAATGTTTTTATTGTTAATTGTGTGGTTAATTTTAGAATATGTGACATGTGAAGATGAGAAGAAAGTATATTCTGTTGTTTTGGGGTGGAGAGTTCTATGGATGTCTGTTAGGTCCATTTAGTCAAGTGTCAAGTTCAGGTCCCGAATATCCTTGTTAGTTTTCTGCCTCAATAATCTATCTTATACTGTCAGTGGGGTGTGGAAATCTCCCACTATTATTTTGTGGTGCTCCTGTGTTGGGTGCATATATAAGATAGATAGGCCCTCTTGTTGAACTGAACCCTTTACCATTATGTAATGCTCTTCTTTGTCCTTTTTGATTGTTGTTCGTTTAAAGTCTGTTTTGTCTGAAATTAAAGTAGCAACCTCTGATTTTTTCTGCTTTCCATTTGCCTGGTAGATTTTTCTCCATCCCTTTACTTTGAGCCTATGAGTGTCACTGCATGTGAGATGGGTCTCTTGAAGATAGCATACAGCTGGGTCTTGCTTCTTTACCCAACTTGCCACTCTGTACCTTTTAATTGGGGGCATTTAGCACACTTACATTCGAGTTTAATATTGATCTTGTCACTGTGTTGTTATCTGTTTATTATGCAGAGTTGATTGTGCAGTTGCTTTATAGTGTCAATAATCTATGGAGTTAGGTGTGTTTGTGTAGTGGCCCATAACAGTCTTTCCTTTCCATATTTAGCACACCCTTAGGCAGGTCAGATGGTAGCAAATTTCTTTATCATTTGCTTGTCTAAAATGGATCTTATTTCTCCTTTGCTTGTGAAATTTAGTTTCGCTGGATATGAAATTCTTGGTTGGAATTTATTTTCTTTAGGCATGCTGAATATAGACCCCCAATCTCTTCTAGCTTGTAGGGTTTCTGCTCAGAGGTCCACTGTCAGCCTGATGGGGTTTTCTTTGTAGGTGACCTGCCCCTTCTTTCCAGCTGCCTTTAACATTTTTTTCCTTCATTTCAATCTTCAAGAATTTGATGACAATGTGTCTTGGGGATGGATGGTCATCTTGTATGGTATATTGCAAGCGTTCTCTGCATTTCCTAAATTTGAATGTTGTCTTCTCTAGTGAGGCTTAAGAAATTTTCATAAATTATATCCTCAGTTATATTTTCCAAGTTGCTTTCTTTCTCTCCTTCTCTTTCAGGGATGCCAACAAGTCATAGATTTTTGTCCCTTTGCATAATCCCATATTTCTCAGAGGTTTTGTTCATTCTTCTTAATTCTTCACTATTTATTTTTGTTTGAGTTCTTTTGGAGAACTGGCCTTTGAGCTCTGAGATTATTTCCTCAGCTTGGCCTGTTCTGCATTAATGCTGCTGATTATATTATGAAATTTTTTTTTTTTTTTTTTTTTTAGAGGAGTTTCACTCTTGTATCCCAGGCTGGAGTGCAAGGCCACAATCTTGGCTCACTGCAAACTCCACCTCCTGGGCTCAAGCAATTATCCTGCTTCAGCCTCCCAAGTAGCTGGAATTAAAGGCACCTGCCACCACCATGCCTGGCTAATTTTTGTATTTTTAGTAGACACTGTATTCTTAAAGTCAGTTTTTCAGCTCTATAAGATCAGTTTCATTCTTTCTTAAAATTGCCATTTTGTCTTTCAGCTCCTGTATCATTTTATTGTATTTCTTAAATTCCTTGGATTGGGTTTCAACTTTCTGCTGAATCTCAATGATTTTCATTTGTATCCATAGTCTGAATTCTATATCTCATTTCAGCCATTTCAGCGTGGTTAAGAACCATTGCTGTAGATTCAATGTAACCGTTTGGAGGTAAGAAACACTCTGGCTCTTTGAGTTACCAGAGTTCTTGCATTGGTTCTTTCTCATTTGTGTGGGCTGATGTTCCTTTAATCTTTGAAGTTGCTGTCCTTTGGATGGGATCTTTTGCTTTTATCTTCCTTGATGACTTGGGGGTTTCATTGTAGCAAAATGTGGTTATAGTCAGCTGGCTTCATTTCTGGAAGATTTTAGGGTGCCAAGGCTCAGTTTAGCACTCCTGGGCTGCTGCATGCTCTAACTCTTGGGGGCTGGTAGTGGGCTCCTGGATTTGTTCTCTAGCCCTTTGAAGTTAAGAACTTGCTGCATTGGAGGGGCCAAGGTATTCCCAGTCCCCTGGTCACAACACTCCAATGGGTAGTGGTAGCCAAAATACTTCATCGAGGTGATGGCAGTGGAATCCATGTTCATTCACATGTGCCAGCAGCCATAGCAGCATGGCAGAGTGTTATTGTCTTTTTAAGACTTTAATTTTTAAGAACAGTTTTTGATTGATTCATAACAAAATATAGAGAAAGGTACAGAGATAGCCCATGTACTCCTTACCCCTACACATGCATAGCCTCCAAATTAACAAAATCCCCCACCACAGTGGAACATAGTCATAACCAAGGAACTTACATTTACACATTATAATTACCCAAACTCCATAGTTTATATTAGAGTTCACTCTTGATGTTTTATATTTTATGGGTTTGAACAAATGTATAGTGACATGTATTCACTATTATAACATCATACAGAGAATTTTCAATGCCCTATAAATCCTCTATGCTCTGCCTATTCATCCCTCCCCAAATGCTAGCCCCTGGAAATCACTGATTTTCTTTCTTTTTTTTTCTTTTTCTTTCTCTTTTTTTTTTAATACTCTCTCTGTGGTTTTGTCTTTATCAGTCATACAGTTTGAAACATACAGTTATGTATCCTTTTAAGATCATCTTTTTTCACTTAGTAAAATGTATGTAAGTTTCTTCCATGTCTTTTCTTGGCTTCATAGTTTATTTTTAGTGTTGAAAAATATTCCACTGTTTGGATGTGCCATAATTTATCATTTCACTTACTAAAGGACATCATGGATGCTTTCAAGTTTTGGCAATTATGAATTAAACTGCTATAATCATCGATGTTCAGGCTATCATATGGATGTAAGTTTCCAGCTCCTTTCAGGGAAATATCAAGTAGTGTAATTGCTGAATCATAGGGTCAGATTGTGCTTGATCAGGTTGTATAATTTTTAAAATATACTGTTGAATTCTATTTGCTAATATTTTGCTTAAATTTTTGGATCTAAGTTTATGAGATATATTAGTCTGTAGGTTTTTTTTTTCTTGTAATGTCTTCATCTGGTCTTGGTATTAGGGTAATGCTGGCCTAATGGAATGAGTTATGAAATAGTCTCTCTGCTTCTATGCCCTGCAAGATATTATGCAGAATTTGTATATCTTCCATAAATGTTTAGCAGAATTCACCAATGAACACATTTGGCCCTGGTGCTTCCGTTTTAGAAGATTATTCATTGTTGATTCAATTTCCTTAATAGTTATAGGTTTATTAGGGTTGCCTATTTCTTATGTGAATTTTATTTTATTTTATTTTTTTTGAGATGGAGTCTCGCTCTTTCACCCATGCTGGAGTGCAGTGGTGTGATTTCGGCTCACTTCAAGCTCCACCTCCCGGGTTCACACCATTCTCCCATCTCAGCCTCCTGAGTAGCTGGGACTACAGGCACCCGCCACCATGCCCAGCTAATTTTTTGTATTTTTAGTAGAGACGGGGTTCCACCATTTACAGGATGAACTTGATCTCCTGAGCTCATGATCCACCCACCTCGGCCTCCCAAAGTGCTGGGATTACAGGCATGAGCCACTGCACCCAGCCTCTTATGTGAATTTTGACAGAATGTGTTTTTCAAAGAATTGGTCCATTTTTTTCTAGGTTATCAAATTTGTCAGCATAGAGTTGTTCACAGTATTACTTTATTGTCTTTCTAATGCCCGTAGGGTCTATAGTGATGTCTCCTATTTCTGATATTGGTCATTTGTGTCGTCTTTTTTTTTTTCTTAGCCTGGTTAGAAGCTTATTGATTTTTTTGCTCTTTATAAAGAACTAGTTGTTTGTTTCATTGGTTTTTCTCTATTGATTTCCCATTTTTAATTGTATTGATGTCAATTCTACATTTTGTATTACTTCTTTTCTTCTCCTTTTTCCTAGTTCTATAAGGTGGAAACTTAGATTATTGATTTTAGATCTTTCTTCTTTTCTAATATATGTATTTGATACTATTAATTTTCCTCTTAGCATTACTTTCACTGTATCCCATCAATCTTGATAAATTGTATTTTTGTTTTCATTTAGTTCAAAATATTTTTATAATTTCCTTTAGAGTACTTGTTTGACCTATGTGTTGTTTAAATGTGTATTATTTCAGCTCCACATATTTTGGGATTTTTCAGTTATCTCTGTTATTGATTTAATTCCCTTTTTTCTTTTAAGAAGTTTTTATTTATTTATTTATTTTTATAGGCTTAGGGGGTATAAGTGCAGTTTTTGTTACATGGATATATTGTGTAATGGTGAAGTCTGGGCTTTTAGTGTAGCCATCACCAAAATACTGTATGCTGTATCATTAAATAATTTCTTTGTGGTTTAAGAGGAAATATTGTAAGATTTCTATTCTTTTAAAGTGGATAATGTGTATTTTATGGCTGTGCTGGTGAGTGTTTCATGTGAGCATGAGAAGAATGCGTATTCTGCTGGTTTTGAGTTGTCCCCTATATTCTGTTGATTGATGCTAGCATGGGGATGGGCCACTCTTCTAAAAGCAGCTTTCCTTGGCCTTTGCCTCCTCCAGATTGTTTCAGCCTTTCATTAGGATCCCAAAGCTCCTTTCAAAGGCACTATTATCATGGATGCTTGCCAAATTCATGTTTTGTGGTGTGACAAGGGCAGGAGACCTCCTATTCTGCCATTTTGCTGATGTTACTCCTCAAGATTCTTACATTCATTCTTGAGACTAAAAAAATAATATATTTGGCTGGGCATGGTGGCTCATGCCTATAATCCCAGCACTTTGGGAGGCTGAGGCAGGCAGATCATGAGGTCAAGAGATCGAGACCATCCTGGCCAACATGGTGAAACCCCGTCTCTACTAAAAATACAAAAATTAGATGGGCGTGGTGGCACGCACCTGTAGTCCCAGCTACTCGGGAGGCTGAGGCAGGAGAATTGCTTGAACCCAGAAGCAGAGGTTGCAGTGAGCTGAGGTCATGCCACTGCACTCCAGCCTTGGTGACAGAACAAGACTCCATCTCAAAAAATAAAAATAAAAATAAAATCTATTTTTATCCATTCATCCTGTGATAACTATTGATTTTTTTCTATGTCTTTGGGTTTAACTGAACATTTTGTTATTGTTTAATAGTAGTCTATTGTTGAAGACATCCAGAAATTCTAAATTATATTCACTGAGTTCATTTAATTAAACAGTAAACACAGATAACATTTACTGATGCTTTTTATGTGGCAGTCTTTTTTCCAAGCACTTTACATGAATTAATTCATTTAATCTTTACAATAAATAAATAAGTAATCTTTATAAAAGTAAAATTATGTGATTATAGTTATATAGATATATACTATATATAGATGCCACTGCTTCATTTTAAAGATTAAAAAAACCAAGTCACAAAAATTTAAGCAACCTGTTAGTAGGCTTAGGATGAAATTTAAGGCCAAGTAGTCTAAATTGGCCTAAAACCCATACACACAACAAATATGCTGCACTGTGAAAAAGTTCTGAAAAACTTATTTTGACAAATTAAATATAACTTTGAAGAACTTTTATTGTACATAGTTAGTATCTGTTAAAATTTTTACTGGCTTTTCAGTTATCTGATTAGTTTGGTAGTACATTTGAAAATAAACAAATTTGACTAATTTTGATATTCAAAGAGAAAAAAAGATACTTATTAAATTTGATTTGAAGCTCAGTAATATGAAAAAAATGGTGGTCAATATAATTTGATAACAGCTAAGTTTCTTATCATATTTAATATATGGTGGTGAAATTTATTATAAAATTTGAAGTCATGATGTATATGATTGCATGAGTGAGGCCAGTGTCACATAATGCCAGTTTATAGATTTGTAGTACTGTCTAATACATATAGCAATGGTTAATTTAATTTAACTTAATTGTTTTAGTTGGAGAGAAGGAATTTAATTTATTTAGGCATTATTCAGAGCCTCCATGTTACATAAACATACTGGTTTAAAATGCTATTTAGGGCCGAGCGCAGTGGCTCATGCCTGTAATCCCAGCACTTTGGGAGGCTGAGGTGGGCCGATCACTTGAGTTCAGGAGTTTGAGACCAGCCTGGACAACATGGTGAAACCTCATCTCTACAAAAACACAAAAATTATCTGGGCATGGCAGCATGCAGCTATAATCTCAGCTACTTAGGATGCTGAAGCAGGAGAATCGCTTGAACCCGGAGGTGGAGGTTGCAGTGAACTGAGATCCCTCCACTGCACTCCAGCCTGTGCAAAACAGTGAGACTCCATCTGAAAAAAATAAAAATCTAAAAAAATGCTATTTAGACAATTCTGTTACATTTTACTGTATCGGATGGTGCTTACATTTTTTAATTTTAAAATTAAAGCAAAAGTAATTTTCAAATCTAATTTTGATTAAATCATGCAACATGCAAAAAGAGAATAAACATTTTATGATCCTAATCATTAAAAATCTAAAAAATGCAAATGTATCTCCTGCGAGAAAAAGTAAATCAATAGTTATTAGGACAGCTGGGAAGAGCAGCAAGAGAGAAAGATTACAAAAAACAAGAGGGAAATATGTGAGAGTTTGGATCATAATCCCAAAAGACACAATCTCAAATGTTGAAATACCAAAATATCAAAATCTGTAAAAATTAAAATTGCTAAAGTCTATATCTCTAAGTCGAAAATCCGTAATGTCTAAAATCCTGAAAATCACAATAACAAGATTGCATCATGTTACATGGATATTACCTTGTTACTGTCTTTATGCAGATTTCAAATGAGTCCCCAAACCCAAATGACAAATTTGAAATCAGGTGTGATCAATCCTTCTCAAAGTGAATTTCAAGATATTACCAATAGTTTGTTTTTTTCATGCAGCCCAATGCATTTGGCAGAAAAGTCAGATGACTGAAATGGCTATGTGGTATGGCAGTGACAAAAACTTCAGTTTAAAAATGCAAAAACTTCAGTTTAAAAATATATCATTTGTCTGCTTTAACATTCCTTTCAGCTGATGACATTTCAGGGGACTTTAATGAATTAAATTCAAATTTCCCCAAAGAAGCCAATAAAGCTACTGACTAGCTCAAAAATAATTATTAGGTGGTGCAAAAGTAATTGTGGTTTTTGCCATTGAAAGTAATGGCAAAAACCGCCGTTACTTTTCCATGAACCTATGTGCAATGTTAAGAAGACACTTGACACAACAGTATTGCTGTTTGATTACCAGTATTGTTTCTGCAAAATTTGTGGTGTGTATCACAGTGCATGCAAAATGGATTTCCACATACCCAAAACAACATAGAGGCATGTCAAAGAAGACAGGACATTTTAATAAGGAATGCTGATGTCAGTGTACACTGAATCATTGAAGAAATTCAAAAAGAGAAGTGTCACATATAAAACGAATATGAATGTTGTATTAGTCTATTCTCATGCTGCTAATAAAGACATATCCAAGACTGGGTAGTTTATAAAGGAAAGAGATTTAATGGACTCCCAGTTCCATGTGGCTGGGGAGGCCTCACAATCATGGTGAAAGGCAAGGAGGAGCAAGGTCATGTCTTACATGGCAGCAGGCAAGAAAGCATGTGGAGGGGAATTCCCCTTCATAAAACCATCAGATCTTGTGAGATTTTTTTCACTATCACAAGAACAGCATGGGAGAGACCACCCCCATAATTCAATTACATTCCACCGGACCCCTCCCATGACACGTGGGAATTATGGGAGTTGCAATTCAAGATGAGATTTGGGTGGGGACAAAGCAAAACCATATCATTCAGCTTCTGGCCCCTCCACAATCTCATGTCCTACCATTTCAAGACCAATCATGTCTTCCCAACAGCCCCCAAAAGTCTTAACTCATTTCAGCATTAACTCAAAAATCCACAGTCCAAAGCCTTATCTGAGACAAGGCAAGTTTCTTCTGCCTATAAGCCTGTAAAATCAAAAGTAAGTTAGTTACTTCCCAGATACAATGGGGCTACAGGCATTAGGTAAATATACCCACTCCAAATTGAAAAAATTGGCCAAAACAAAGGGCCTACAGGCCCCATGCAAGTCCAAAATCCAATAGGGCAGTCATTAAACTTTAAAGTTTCAAAATGATCTTCTTTGACTCCATGTCTCACATCCAGGTCACACTGATGCCAGAGGTGGGCTCCTATAGCCTTGGGCAGCTCTGCCCCTTTGGCTTTGAAGGGTACAGCTCCCCTCCTGGCTGCTTTCATGGAGTGACGTTGAGTGTCTGTGGCTTTTCCAGGCACACAGTGCAAACTCTTGGTGGATCTACCATTCTGGGGTCTGGAGGATGGTGGCCCTCTTCTCACAGCTCCACTAGGCAGTGCCCCAGTGGGGACTCTGTGTGGGGGCTTTAACCCCATATTTCCCTTCTACGCTGCCCTAGCAGAGGTTCTCCATGAGGGCCCCACCCCTGCAGCAAACTTCTGCCTGGACATTCAGGCATTTCCATACATCCTCTGAAATCTAGGCAGAGGCTCCTAAACCTCAATTCTTGACTTCTGTGCACCACAGGCCTAACACCACGTGTAAGTTGCCAAGGCTTGGGGCTTGCACCCTCTGAAGCAAAGGTGTGAGCTGTACATTGGCCCCTTATAGCCATGGCTACAGCTGAAACAGCTGAAACAGCTGAGATGCAGGGCACCATGGTGGGAGGCTGCATAGATCAGGGGGGCCATGGGCCTGGCCCACAAAACCATTTTTCCCTCCTAGGCTGGAAGAGAGGAGGGAAAAATGGGAGGGGCTGCCATGAAGTTCTCTAACATGCCTTGGAGACATTTTCCCCATTGTTTTGGTGACTAGCATTTGGCTCCTCATTACTTATGCAGATTTCTGCAGCCAGCTTGAATTTCTCCACAGAAAATGGGTTTTTCTTTTCTACTGCATTGTAAGGATGAAAATTTTCCAAACTTTTATGCTCTGTCACTTCTTTAATGCTTTGCTGCTTAGAAATTTCTTCAACCAGATACCCCAACTCATCTCTCTCAAGTTCAACGTTCCACAGATGTCTAGGGCATGAGCAAAATACCACCAGTCTCTTTGCATAGCGAGAGTGTCCTTTACTTCAGTTTCTGACAAGTTTCTCCTCTCCATCCGAGATCACCTCAGCCTGTATTTTATTGTCCATATCACTATCAGTATTTTGGTCAAAGCCATTCAACAAGTCTCTAGGAAGTTCCAAACTTTCCTACATTTTCCTGTCTTCTCCTGAGCCCTCCAAACTGTTCCAACTTCTTCCTGTTACCCAGTTCCAAAGTCACTTTCACATTTTTGGGTATCTTTACAGCAGCACCCCATTCTACTGGTTCCAATTTACTGTGTTAGTCTGTTCTCACACTGCTAATAAAGACATACCTGAAACTGGGTAATTTATAATGGAAAGATATTTAATTGACTCACAGTTCCACATGGCTGGGAAGGTCTCACAATCATGGTGAAAGACAAAGGAGGAGCAAAGTCATGTCTTACATGACGGCAGGTGAAGAAAGCATGTGCAGGGTAACTCACCTTTATAAAACCATCAGATCTTGTGAGACCTATTCATTATCACAAGAACAGCACAGGAAAGACTCACCCCCATGATTCAATTACCTCCCACTGGGTCCCTCCTGTTGGAATTATGAGAGCTACATTTCAAGATAAGATTTGGGTAGGGACACAGCCAAACCATAATAAATGTATTCTCTGAGGCAAGCCATGTCCTAAAAGAAAAAAGCCACTATTCTTCATGATGCAAGCCTTCAAAGTATAGTTAATGATCATGAATGTTGGCCAGGTCTTATAATATGTGCAATTGCCCATAATTTGTCCTTGTAATATACTTTTTATGTATCAGATATTCTTCTTAGTTTTTCTCTTTTTTTTTGTTTATTCACTATTTTAAATTGTCAGCCTTATTTTTTACAATTTGCTATGCTATATAGTTCATCTCTGCATCATTTTCAATGCTTCAGGTATAAATTGTGCAAAAACTTTTAAGGAGTTCGTTCTAATTCATTTCATGCATTTTTTGCAAATGTGCTTCCATAAAAGTACATTATTACAACATTTAATTCATATTTAAGCATTGTGTATATATGTAAAAACATTGAAACTTCCTCAGTAAATGAAGAGATGTCCTTTTTGTATACCTGCATGTGTGAAAACTAAAATTTTTTGAGATCTTGGCTCTTTTGGTGAGTGGGGCAGTAGTGATGCAGTGGTGACCCATCATGTTTTTCATGTCAAAGGATTAAGATTGTTTATCAATGGTATTTCAAAGGACTACAGGTATAAATTACCAACTATAGTGATATACATTTACACATTTTACTTTTTGATCAATTTATGAATATGGTTGGTATGATCATAACTGTTATACCCATGTGACTATCATTAGAATACATGAGTGCGTTTAAGCTTGCAAAAATAGGTATGTTATTATTGTCTATTTTATTGTGTAAAGTGGCCTATCAAAGTGTTCTGTCATGTTTTTGTATGTTTCTCAAATCCCGTTATAAAAATGTCAATAAATATCCTTCAAATTATTTTTTTCCAGAATTACATACTCAGGACTTTGATCTTTTGGGATGCCAACATTCAGGATTATGGCTTTCAAGATTATGTTTTTTGAGATTATGATCAGCTCCCAATATATGGTGACATTTTCATGGTTATGATGGTTTAATAGGTTCATCCATATTTCAAAATTTATCAAATTATACACTTTAAATCTGTTCAGCTTATTACATGTAAAGTATGCCTTCATAAGGCTTTAAACAATGGCTGAGGATAACAAATTTGGCCAAACATGGAGAGCTATTTTCTGCCATCATACTACCCATCTAAGGAAAGCACAGAAGTTTTGGGACTCCATAAAAGCTTTTCCCCCATTTATTATCACATAACCCCAATTTTTTAATAAATCACTCCAGATATTCCCTGAACCCCAGTGGCCAGTGGCAGGAATGGTGGCTGTTGGCCAAGCAGTACCAGGCAATGCCTCACTTGGGGCACTGGCTCATGGAGAGGTCATGGTAGGAGAGAGATGTAGTAACCGTGGTCAAAGGAAATCACCAAGCACATGAATAAAACACAGGACTACAGTTCACCAAAGTACATTTTTATTTTCAAATACTTCTCCACAGTCTGCAAGAAAAGCTTATGCTCAACTAAGTGATAAACTTATTCCTAAAATAATTAACCTATTTGGTGAACAGTCATGAGCCCCTTCTGCATTGGAAGCTATTTACTCTAAAGGAGCTGTTCCATGCAGATTGGCACATCATTCAGTAAAACACAGATTACAGTGGGACTGTCTCCAGAAAATCTTGCATTGGAGGCTCTTCTTAGTTATTTTAGCTGAAGATGTAAGAGATAAACATCCATATACCTTTGTGCCAAAGGAAGGTTTTAGCGAATTACTTTTGTTCAAATGTCGTCCTGAAAAAAACTGCTGTGCCTTTGCTGCCTAGACTGATTTCTGTGATAAAATAATTGCTGGTCCATTCAGATGATGAAGGTTTGAAAGAGGATTGAACGTAATGGTACACCTAAGTGTCATTGGTTAGTCCTTCTCTAAATGATCACCTGAAATTACTGCTTACAAGTCCTTCCAAGAAACTAATGGATAATAAATTCAAAGAGCCAGTTGCTAGTGAATTACAAAAGCTGGAGCAGCATGATGGAAATGGAAGTGCCGTCATCATCAAATCTAAAATTCCAACATATTGCTTCACATACTATTGAATAAGAGAGCCAGCAATTATCTTACCACCTGGTGACAGGTGTTAAACAGTGCCCATCTTCATTCAGTTCAGTATATTCTTTTGTAAATCACAGCCGCTATTCATTATTTACTAGATTAAAATGAGTATACACAATCCCACTGAATCATAGTAAAATTATTCATCAACAAAAAAGAACAGTTAACAATGGTAAGCTATTAGAAGAAGTTCTATAATAGTAAAGTATTATGGGGATTATTTTTTATATTTTTATCACTTATGCAAAAAACCATGACTGAGGTTATAAGATCAGATGTCTTTCTGTTTTCTAGTGTGACTTATTTATAATATCCTTCTTGCAATCAATGTCTAGCTTGCACTCATCTTTATAGATATTTTGTGCTTACTTGGGTTTTATATTTATCAAGGCTATAGGAACTTAAAACATTTGTGAATTCACTACTAGTTATCTTTTGTAAATATGTATTCTACAGTGCAGAATTCTGCATTTTCTGGGACAAAAATTTTCCTCCCAGAGTAATTCATTCAAGAAAAATTTTAAAATGTATACATTTTCTTATAAGTTTATTGTTTTATTACAACTTGTTAAAAGTGTCTGAACTTTAGGTGTTAATTCTATTTAAATAAATGTTATTTTTGTATATTCTAGCCCCAAAATACAAATTTTAAGAGATATTCAGAAATTAAAAGTTTCACATTCAAAAAAATCACCTAAGCAATGAATAGAGCCTAGAGATTGAAGATGACTTACATAGTAAGGCTTTCATTATTGTCCACACCAAAACAATGTGCAGCTGGCAGTTCTTGGGTTGGGAACTTGGGAGCTGGAAAAAATTCATCATAAACAAGCATCATGGGAAACCAACATGTCCTTGAAAAGGTAGTCCTTCCTTGAAACCTGCCAGCCAAACAGATAATGCTGTTCTCTGGGCCAAAAATTGGTCAGTTCCATGCCCTGTCTAGTCACAGAGATGGGAATGAGAAGCCCCTAAGGGCTCAGTACTCCTACTGCCATCAATCAAATGGGAGGGCACAAAGGTCAGCTTTCTTGAGCATATTGGGGGTGGTGACTGATGCATACTTTGTGGTTCTACCAGATGGTGGAGGTAAAATGGGCTTGGCCATAACTCTGGCAATAGTTTGGGGTAGGTTATAAAGTACAACATAGCTACACATTGCTACTCACATAACTGAAACGTATAGGGTATCTCCCCACTGTGAACATTTGGATGTATGAGATTCAATTCAGGCTGAAGCCTCCTCATGGAGACTTTCCTCCAGGGTTGCCGCACTGAACAGGAAAGTGCACATATCCTACACATCTAAGGCCTTTCTGTTATGTGATTTGGCAGGTGTGTACTGAAGTGATTCCTTTGGGTAATGGATTTCGCGCATTCACTACACTCATAAAGGCTTTCTCCAGGATGTACTTTCTCATGTCAACTTAGTGTTGATCTAGTGATAGAAGACTTTCTGCTTTCACTACACTCGTAAGGCCTGTCTCCAGTGAGGGCTCTCTGATGGCAATGGAAGGTAGAGGCACAGGTAAAAGATTTCCCACATTCACCACAGTCATAAGGTCTTTCTCTCTCTAGTGACTCATGAGGTCATATTTTCCTCTAAATGATTTCTCACATTCCCCTCCCTCAACAGGCTTAACACCTGTGTGAACATTCTGGTAGTTGAAAGAGACCAGTACCTTCTCTACAGGATTTCCTACATTCACTGCATTCAAAGGGCTTTTCTCAAGTGTGAACTGTCCAATGTTCGCTGAGGTTAGAACTATGGTGAGATGTGCCACATTCACAGCACTCATGAGGTTGTGCTCCTGTGTGAACTTTGTGGTTTTCAGCAAGGAGATTTCTTTGGGTAAAAGATTTCCCATATTCTCTGCACTTGTTAACACCTTGTGCCAGTATGATTTCTCCAGTGTTGACTGAAGGTGGAGCTTTGTCTGAAGGATTTTCCACATTTGCTACACACATAAAGGCTTTCACCATTGTTGACTCTGTGATGCATGAGTGAGGATTTGTAGCTGAATTCCTTCCCACGTCTACTGCACACAAAATGCCGTCTTCCAGGGTGGACATCCTGCTCCTGAGCAAGTGTGTGTTTGCAGCTAAAGGCACTATCCCCATGTAGAATGACTTTTCCACTGTAAAAGTAGGCCGTGAACTAGATGATTATGACTGATTTCTCCCCATTGTGAGTGGTCTGCTGCTGGGGATAGCCCAAGGTGCCCTGAAAGTCTTCCCTAACCTCCCTTACCTACACCATGTTGCAGGTAAAGGGCTTCTGTGACTCACTGAATGTGCAGATCTTCCCTGTCCAAAATGATTCTGGAAGAATTTTCTCCCATTTGCTGTTTCTGGTGCTGTTGAAGTTTTGCCCTGAAATAAAATTATTTCATACATGTCCCACACATGCACAGTGTCTGAATGAGTTGTGTTCCTGGGTGTTTAGTCAAGTGGAATATGTCTCTCAAGATCAAACTACACATAGCATAGGGCTGGATGTTCTCGGAAGAAAAACCTGCCTTGGCAGTCCTGGCCTGTAACAAATATAGAGAAACACTCAGTTCAAAGGGTGCCTCTGTATCCTCTGCTCCACTCCAGCCACCTGAGCTGGGACCGCCAGCCTGGCTGCCACCATTGAACTTCATGGCCAGAGCAAGGCCAGGAGCCACAGGCGACCACTGTGGGGGCCTGGGTACAAGGGTGCCTATCCTGGCCCTGGCACATGTCACCTTGGACAGTGGACAGTGCTACCAAGCCTCAGATCTGCCTCTACAGCAGAACAATTCCTCTTGTGCCTTCACAATGGTTAATTTTAGAATTGAGCATTTCATCTGCATTAAAGCAAAGTCAACATCTACAAATATTGCTTTGGATTTCTACCTCTTGGATGTAGAATTTAGATTTTCTTTAACCTATCAAGTCTACGGTATGGATACCACAATATAATATTAGTAAAATCAACTGAATCTCAAATTTTAATCCAGAAGTAGAGAGTTGAAAGAGTAAGGAGGCCAGAGAAAACAAGATTAGATCAAGTTACCTGAATTACTTTCAAAGTGATGTAATGCAAGCGTGCTGGGAAAAGTGCCAAGGTATGAAATTGAAATAAGCAGGTAAATGTCATGGTATTAAAGTCCTTTGTATGCCAGATGTATTAGAAAAGCATTGAAGAGCTACTGAAAAATGTTGAGCAGGGACTGATACAGACAGCTTGCAGAGTAGAAAGGCAATCCTGGAAGCAGTGTATTGTGGATGTTGGGCTAAGAGTAGTGAGGAGAAGAGTGGGTGAAGGTTGATGGTATCACTGCACTCGAGGAAGCTAATAAACAAGATATTTAATAAGGAAAGCCTGAATTAAGGCAATGATATCAGCAACAGAAAGTTGGATCAGATTTGGTAAATAATTAGCTATATAAATACATAACTATATTTATTAGCACCTATACATATGGTTCCTCTATTTAAAAAACAAAACAAAACTCTGTTAATTACTCATGTGACCTTTACCTTCCTTCCTTACTGTACCCTCACAAACATCTCAATTCCTCTCTGTCACTCCCCACACATTCTTTTTCTTTTTTTTTTTCAGGGTCTCTCTCTCTATGTCACCCAGGCTGGAGTGCAGCGGCGCAATCACCACTCACTGCAACCTCTGCCTCCTGGACACAAGTGATCCTCCCACCTCAGCTTCCCAGGTAGCTGGCACTAAAGGCCCATGCCACCATGCCCAGCTAATTTGTATTTTTAGTAGAGAAGGGGTTTCAGGCCGGGCGCAGTGGCTCATGCCTGTAATCCTGGCACTTTGGGAGGCTGAGGCAGTTAGATCACCTGAGGTCAGGAGTTTGAGACCAGCCTGGCCAAAATGGTGAAACTCTGCCTCTATTAAAAATTAGCCAGGCATGGTGATGCACACCTATAATCCTAGCTACTCAGGAGACTGAGGCAGGAGAATCTCTTGAACCCAGGGGCAGAGGTTGCAGTGAACCAAGATGGCACCACTTCACTCCAACCTGGGCGAAAGAACAAAACTCCATCAAAAAAAAAAAAAGAGAGAGAAGGAGTTTCACCATGTTGCCCAGGTTGGTCTTCAACTCCTGACATGCATTCTTTTTTTGTGTTCTTGGCTTCAAATTCTTCCCAGGATGTTAACATTACCACTTAGCCACCATGATGTCAGGAAGACTACAAGCTCTTTGAGAATTGAAGCCAAGATTTGCTTGTTCACCACCCAAATGTCTGGCAATAGTGTCCAGCATACAGTAAGTACTCCGTATATTTTTGCTGAATAAATAAGTAGTTGGCTTCCCTTTAGCTACATTTGGAAGGTCTACTATGTCTGCTAGAGTTCTTTGTTGCTAGGTACAGAAACCATCTCTGAGGAGACAATGAGAAATGAAGACTTCGGGGTTGTAATAAGGAAAGCGGGTAAAGGTTGTATAGCTAATCAGCAAGGTTTTTAACTAAGCAATAGGGAATGTATTGGAAGGTCAATAGGAGATACAGAATCTATAGAAAGGCTGGCACAAACACAGGAAACAAAACAAATCTTTGAAGGCAAAAATATAAGAACTACAAAACTTTCTTGGTTAGAGCATTAAGACATCACCAATGAAATAAATACATTCTCTTTGTCACTTTGTTTGAGATCAAATTACAAGGTAATAACATCTAATTGGCACAATTTGTGTGAAATACCTAACTATAATTAAGGCTAAAACTCTATCACCAAGAACATAGCCCAGACAGTGAAGTCTCTGTGAGTACTTGTTCAGTTTTCAAAAGTTGCTGAACCTTTAGTTAGGACAGATCATGTGATTTCTGTCCAGCTGGATTATATCCAAGGGGAAAAGGTTAATTCACTAAAAGCAAATCTCATGTCAGAAGTAGAACAAGATATAAGGCAGCCAAAAAACCAATAAATATTTGCCACATCTAAAAAATGCTAAGAATACAGTAGGTTTTACCACATTCTGAATACTCAGGAAATCCTGTAATTAATGTTGTGTAATCCAACAGCATTTTAAAAAAGGAAGTGGCCAAGATAAAATTATATTTAACAATAAAATTGGGATGCTAAACCATGATTTCTTCCCCTTTTCCCTATCTCCTTATTTCCTACTTTCTGCAAAGTTGAAGTAATGTGGCTTCTGGGATACTACTTATGTGCCTTGCTTTTTTATTACTATTTGCAGCTGTTTATAAATTCCTCTTTTTTATTCCCCATTCTTTTCCTTCCTCCTTGGAAAGCAACAAAGAGATTATTTTCTAATGTGATAATAATCTTTCTTATGTTATTATTTTTCTGCTTCCTTGCTTCACTCTGGAATTCATCTCCTTCCCTGATTTAACCCAGCCCCAGAGTCTTAACATTCAGAGTATAACATCATTAAACATTTCCTCAACTGAGTCATGTAAATAAGGATAGCATTTACTATTAAAGTTTAACAATTTGCTAATATGAAACCTTTGGGCTGGGCGTGGTGGTTCATGCCTGTAATCCCAGCACTTTGGGAGGTTGAGGTGGGCAGATCATGAGGTCAGGGGTTCAAGCCTGACCAACATGGTGAAACCCCATCTCTACTAAAAACACAAAAATTAGCCAGATGTGGTGGTGCACGTCTCTAGTCCTAGCCACTCAGGAGGCTGAGGCAGGAGAATCACTCGAACCTGGGATGGGGAGGTTGCAGTGAGCCAAGATCCTGCCACTGCATTCCAGCCTGGGTGACAGAGCAAGACTCCATCTCAAAAAAAAAAAAAAAAAACACCCTTACCTTTTGCTAGATCCACATAAAACAGGATATGATAGAATGCTGTGAAGAGTGAAATGCTTTCTTCACAAAAGTAAAAATACATTATATTATTTTAACATATTATTTATATGGTGTTGGCATGATAGCCATGAGGTTTATCCAAAGCCTTGCAATTACTGATTATTATAAGGCCATCTCTAACTTGTTGAAAATAACATGAGAGGAAATGACAAAACTCATAATGATATCCATATTCAGAGTATTTTTTTTTTCAGGAAAAGCTCTGATGAATAATTATTAAAAGCAGGTGTGATGAGGTAAATTTCAGACTATAAAACTCTGGACAGAGTGAAAGGGATGCAGTCATGGTTTAAGGGTGGAAGTGTTGCCCACGTAGTTTCCTTGAATGATAAGGAGAATTTGATGCTTCCAATAAATCAGAATGATAGAGAATCTTATCTCAGAAGAGTAAAAAGAGTAAAATGTAGCAACATTGAAATTTTTATGTACCTCAGACACTTTTAATGGCTTGTGTGACTGCAGTACAGCAAAGCAGTGAAGGGTTAGACAAACTTAGGTTAAATTCTTGCTCTACTATTAAGAGTGTGGCTTTAAGTAAGGTTTCGCATTTAATTCTCAGTCTTGACATGGAAATAATGCTTTCTTTACAGAGTTGCTGAAGGAATTAATCACACAATATGTGTAAAGCTCATTAAACAGTTACTGACACGAAAGAAGTTATTAATATGTCAACTGAATATTTGTTTACAGAATACTATTCATAGAGACACCCAATGATGGTGCAACCTAACACCAAAGACACAGAAGAACCTGCTAAATGCAAAGATAAAACTTTCTGTAGTGCAACACTGAAATAAAATACATAGATTTAAAAAGCCATTTTTTTTTTACCCAAGCTATAATTTCTGTAAAATTTCTAGGAAATACATTAACTGTTTATTATGAGTCTCTCCTGATTTGGCTAAAAGGGAAGTGACATTATCCACTTTTCTATTTAAGTTGAGTCTATGAAGATAATTATATATCCAGATTTTGTGTGTGTGTGTGTGTGTGTGAAATGGTCTCACTCTGTCAGCCAGGCTGGAGTGCAGTTGTGCAATCATAATTCACTGCATCCTCCAACTCCCGGGCTCAAGCAATCCTCCCGCCTCAACCTCTTGAGTAGCTAGGCCTACAGGAACACAGCACTATGCCAGTCTAATTTTTTATTTTTATTTTTGTAGAGACAGAGTCTCACTATGTTGCCCAGGCTGGTCTCAATCTCTTGACTTCAAGTCATCCTCCTGCCTCAACCTCCCAATGCACTGGAATTATAGGTGTGAGCCACCACGCCTGGCCTACATCTAAATTTTTAAAAATATAGCAGTGGAGCATTTCTCCAGAAAAAAATAAAGATAGAAAAAAGGCCATAAAAATAATAATGAAATAGCATTTCTCTGTCTTTGGCCCTCAGCCATAAATGTTGGGATTCCAGATTCTCCCAACTTGTTCTTGAAGGCATCTGAGTTTATCATATTTATGCTTCACAATTGGCTCTCTGGTACCACAAGGCTTTCTCCCCTTCACCTCCTTGGTTACGGTTGTGTTATCCCTGAGTGTGACATTCTGTCCTGTTTCTTCTCTTTTCCAGGTGTTGTGTCTGTTCCACAACTCAACCTGCTCCAAAAGCAAACACAATGCAGAAATTTCCCTTAACCCACAGCACTGCCATACTCTGTTGCATAGGATAGAAAGGAGGGTTGCCTTGTCGTCTCAAGTTCTTAAATCTCTCTCCCCCGCCCTCTCTTTTTTTACTATCCCCTCTTTTGGGGCTCTGACACAAATCTCTGGGGACAACAGTAAAATAAAGGGGCAAGCCGAGGAGCACATCCCCAGCTTTCCTGAAAATTACCCTTCCATTATGACACTGACCCTTTAACTTGGGACTAACTCACACTCTTCTCTCAGAATGAGTTCTGTTCTGAATGGTTCCTCAGTCACTTATAGAAAATGACTCCTTTGAGGCTTCCTGTCCCAGTCTTACAGATGAACACAAACATATCTGAATCCAAGAGATAGGCTCCACAATCTAAGATTCCTACATCATATGAAAGAGGAAACGCTCCTCAAAATATAGCATAGGAGATCTAGTGTGTCCCCTCCACTCTGCCACTGAGTATACTCTTGCAAAACATACCGACAAGCCCTCATTGCCTGATCCACTGGGCCTTTTACATTTTCATTTGCTTGACCTTGGTGCTGTATATCTGGCACCATCATTGCAATTTTGTTTTTCCTTGCCTTTGCCAAAGCCAATCTCTCCTGCTTTTCTTTCTAGTTTCACTGTTTCTCAGACAAAGGTAATAATTTCTATGTCTCTCTTTCTAGCCATGATTATTACAGGTAAAATATTCATTATCATATTCCTAACTGCCTTTTGTATATGTAAACCTGGGTGGTCTCAAAACATGTCAATCTGACATGCTCAAAACCAGCTTCTCTTCCTTCCTGTCTCATATTAGTATTGTCATGCATCTACTTCTCTGTTTAAGGGCCTCACACTTCAACTTTTATTTCACTCCCAACATCAAACTTCTAACATCAATTATTACATTATGCTGATTGTATCTCTAAAGTACCTCTGAAGTACAAGCCTTCTTGTTAATTCTATTGTTGTAGCCCTAGTTTGGCCACTCATAGTTTATCAAATAATCAACAATGAGTTTTGCCCAGTATCTTCCCATTCAGGTATTCTTCACAGTAAACCCAACATTACCTCTAAAACCACATCAATTTGTGTCATTCTTCTGGTTCAAAACCTTTACTAAAACTTTCCATTGCTCATGGCCTTTTACAATCTGTTTCCAACCAATCTTTCCACCATCATATCACTCAAGGTTTTTATATCTCATTAAAAAAGCCCATCCATCATTTCCTGAGCATACTATTCACTTTTATATTTCCCTGCCTTTCATTATGCTACTAACTGTCTTGGAATATCTCCTTCCCTTTCTCTGTTACACATCTTTCAGAAGTATATAGTCAATTAATATTTGTGTTAATTGATTTAAAATATTAGTTTCCTTAAAACAATGGCTTACTTAGGATTTTCTGTAAACTGAATCTATTTAAAGGACCTGGACTTATATATTAAATGTCAGGTTAAAAAATAAATATGGGCCAGGCGCAGTGCCTCACGCCTGTAATCCTAGCACTTTGGAAGACTGAGGCAGGTGGATCACTTGAGGTTAGGAGTTCGAGACCAGCCTGGCCAACATGGTGAAACTCCGTCTCTACTAAAAATAGAAGAAAAAAAAAAAATTAGCCAGGCGTGGTTGCAGGAGCCTGTAATCCCAGCTACTCAGGAAGCTGAGGCAGGAGTATTGCTTGAACCCTGGAGGCGGAAGCTGCAGTGAGCCAAGACTGCACCACTGCACTCCAACCTGGGCAAAAGAGCGAGACTCCATCTCGAAAATGAATAAATAAATAAATAAATAATAAATATGAATTTTCTATGGCTATCAGAACATCATAAATTAGATACAATGCCTATGATTTAACCCAACAATTAAATTATTTGTGTCTAGATGAAATAAGTATAATTATTTTGGTTATAGTAACTGAAACTGAGTGACTAGTGAATTAAAAAGGGGACTATAGCGTAAGTAGTAAATTGTCTCACTGAACACAAGGACAGAATACAGCTTCCTCAAGAGCAACTGAGATGGAAATTTAAGTCAGTCAAGAGTCTCTCCCCAGCTTTAATCTTTGCTTATCTCTGTGAAACTACTTCACTATTCCCTCTCATCCTCCCCTCCCTTCTTCTCCCCTTTCCTCTTTTTCTCTGTCTCCCCCCACTACCCCTTACTTTTCTTGTTTTCAGGCCCATGCGACAGAAAACATGGCTCCCAACAGCACCCAAGGTTGAGGTTTAGTAATTCAGTAAGTAACTGTTCTCTCTTTTTTACAGTCTAATATCATATTCTTTTTGAGCTAACTTGAGTCAGGTTTCACCTATGGCCAGGAGGCAGGATCTTACTGCAGGAACAGCATGACTCTCATGCTGCAGGAGATAGAGAAAGGCGATTCCCTGGAAAAAAAAAAGAGCCAAAAAAATTGCTGGAAATGGTGCTGGGAAGGGAGGCAGTTATTAGCCAATGAAATAAATGTACGATTCACCAAGTGAAAACAAAACAAAACCAAAGAAACCACAAGGTAAACCTACAAATAATTAGTGAAATAAACTGATTTACATTCTATCATTTTATTTCCTTCTTTATCTAACTACAGTTTAGTTGAAATGACTTCTTGGCATGATAAGAAGAATAGAATAAATGATGATCAAAGAAACAGCATATATTATAAGTTGACTAATCAATAGCTGAATACGCAAAAACTGACTGTACAGCAGAGCATATCAAAGGGTGTTCATTGAAGCACTAGAGCCATCAAATGTCCCAGGACAAAATTATTTGAAAAAATATCAGCATACTGCAGCCCTCTCCTGGAAAGTCATGATATGTATTTATGTTCTAAGAACTTTGGAGAAGTAATTCTCTATAAACTCCAGGAAATTGTTCACATTCTAAACTTAATCCTTTTTAATGATTTTGAACTTATTGTTTTTCTAGCTACTGTTTTATATTATCCTTATGATATTTCTGTTGAGCCTTGCATCATTTTATGCTCTTAGTCACTGAATGTTGCCTAAACTTAGGATGGGCAAGAGTCTTGGGCTCATTAGACAATTTCCAAAGGGTTTAGACCAAGCATAGAAACTTAAGAGAAGCTTACTGTGTTCACTAAGGAACAGTCAGTGTCTTCACCTTTAATAAACCCTTTGTCTGACTCTTTAACAAATCTCACCTTATATAAGTCCTAGATGCTTTCTTACCCTCATTTGATTCCTGAGGCAACTAGGATTTTGGAGAAATTTGATGCAATTTAACAAACGAATGTTAAGCTAGTTTTCAGATTAAGGGCTAAACATGTATCTAGGTGGATTTGTTTGTAAGAATGCTAAATTTGCTTTTGTGGGTCCACAGATATTTTATGGTTGAAACTTTGGAACTTCATTAAATCTTCATTAAATCAATTTACTCTAAGAAACAGAAAAAAATTTGGCACAAAATATTTTTATAGGGCAAGTCAGGGCAATAGAACCATCTACTACATTAAGAATTTCTTGTTGAACTCCAAATTCGATGGGAATTTCCAACTCTATTATCTTCCCTGTAAAGCTTTATTTATTTTTTTGAAAACTCTTAAAAGAGTTAACATGGAAGGTGACATCTGTTTAAAAGTTAAGCATATATTGTATTTCAACAAATAGTAAGTCATCATATTACAAAGCATGGTGACACAAAGCCTGTCATGTCATAGGAAACTAATAATAAATATATTTTATATAAAAAGGAAGACAGAATTTTGCCATGACACTTATAGTTGCAAGAAATTTTATAGTTAGTTTTAAAATGATGCTAGGTTGAATCGTTTCTCCTTCACTGGTGTTTGGGTCTAAAATGTTACTTCTGAATCACCAAGCACACAAAAGGATCTTAGTGACCCTGAGAACATTTCTTGCCAGGTGTTTTCTAATATGTCATTTATAAAAAGGGGTCATGAGGCTATCCCACACTGCAGTTAAATGACTATAAGAAATTTAAAGGAAAATATTTGAACATTAAAGATTGGAAAATCCCGAATGCTTCCCTTACATTGGAAAAACCCCCATTAGCTGAACAAATAGATAAAGGATATATCCAAACAGAAGACACAAATAAGTGATCAGTATAGGTGTATATCATGCCCAGGTAGATACTGTAAGACAAATAAACTCATGGGGTGGGGACACAGAAGTATTTCTAAACACGAATATGTTTGCCGTATATAAAGAAAAAGATTTTGCTATACTATGTACATGTGACTGTAGAATAAAAACATATAGAATTAATTGCAAAAAAGTTTCAGAATAAATATTAGGAGTCCTATTGAGTCCTGTGACTTCCTTCCCAATAAAAGTATTTGGAAATACGTTGTAATGGTTAGATTTAATGTCTCCTGTATTTATCTTACAGGAACTTTAATCCACACTGTCTTCTTTTGAAACTAAAAATATTTAAGATAAATTTCATAAATTATTTGTATTTCACCTGCATCTAAACATAGCAACTTTTTATTCAAGTTCTTTATAATCTGGATGTTGTGGGTGGAGGATGGATTGGAAAGCAATTTCCCTTTATTTATATATTCAAAACATATGTATTGAGTCTTTACCTTACTCTCTCTGAGTCAATATTCTTGGCATGCTGTAAATAGAGGTGAACAAGAAGGACAAGTTCCTTTTTCTCCTGGAGCTCACTTTCTATTGGGGAGAAAAAGTAGTTAAATAAGTAAACAAGCAACAAATTTAGGCAAGGTAACTCGATTGTGACAAGAGCTAAAAATAAAGAAATAGGATAATACAAAAACATTCAGTTTACCCAAGGGGTGATGTTTGAATCGAGACATAGCTCCAGCCACATGAAAAAACCTGGGTAAAGGGCTCTAGTTACACAGAGCAGCAAATGCTAAGACCTCAAGAAGCAAAAGAATTTCATTCTGCTCTAGGAACAGAAGATAGTCCAGGGAAACTGCAGCATTAGTAGGAAGCAGGAGAGAAGTGTGAAATCAGCTTGATGAGGAAACCAGAGCTCAGGTTGTTGTAAGGATTTCCATTTTATTGAAAATGCAATGGTAAACCATTCAACTTCCTGGTTGGACTCAGAGGCTAACAACATAAAATGAAGTCATAAATATTTTAACATGTCAACTAATACTTATAAAGTTTGTGGATTCTTTCGTGGAAGTTTTTTTCACTGTGAAATCTTAACATTTTTCTTCCATACTCTTATCTAATTCTTGAAGATATGAGATCTTAGCTATAAAGTTAAATATAGTTATAATTCGAAAAAATATTATTTGGAAAGTTAAGAGTTTACATTTTGAAGTGATTAATGTGTATAGATCACAAGTAAGGAACAATTGATGCAAAGGAAGTTGTTTGGGGATAAAAAGTTTTCAGAAGTTGATTAATTTTTAATATCGAGGTTAAGAAAGGCTTTCTGAAGCAGAAGTTAATATACATTATTTGGTTAAAATTCTTTAGATGCTAATTTTACTGAATTTGGCAACTACAAAAAGGTACAAAGGAAAAAACAAGAATCACCTATAATAATATCATTTTCAATCTTTCTTAATCATTGTAATATATGTTTAGCAAAACTGAAATTTTACTACCTCATCATTTTAATTTAATATTATATTTTAGTAACATTTTATACCAGTAAGTATCCTTTGACAACACTATCTTAATATTTGCATAAGAATTCTTGTGGCTGTACTATAATTCATTTTATTCATTTATCTGATTTTGGTTTCTTTTTCCCTCTTTAAACTTGAAGGGGTTTACTAGAAGCAATTGTTTTTCATAGCATTATTTTTTAATTTTAAAACTTGTCCCATTAGAAGACACAGGACCAAACCTTGGCAAGCAGAAATATGGGAATTCTTGGTAGTGGAACACATTTCTCTTAGTTATGTTAATAAGAATTATAGTGACTAATAACCCAACCTCAACAATGACAACAAAAAATACTAATGGCCTGAACATTGGTGTGAATTTTATATATGTATATCAGAAAAATATTTTTCTGAGGCTATTCTCTCTCCTTACTTGATCTCCAGTGTAGCTTTAGAGGTTATGTTTACTATGGAATGAGGTGGGTGTTGTACATTCATTGATTCTGAATTTAAAGTGTGACTCTCAACTACCAAGAGAATTCCTGTATTTCTGCTTGCCAAGGATTGGTCCTGTGTGTCCTAATGTAATGGGACACATTTTAAAATAAAAATCCTACCATGAATAAGGAGATCTTTTTTGAGGCAAAACATTAGTGCTGAAGTTTTTATTGGAGATATCTGTTTTAGTCTAAAGGTCAAATGTTATTTCCTTATTCAACAAAGTTTACTTATCATCAACTATTTGCCAATAAACGTGATCTCTGCTTTGATGGAGTAAAGAGATAGACATCAACCAAGCTATCATACAAATAAAGAAGTAGTTCCAAGTGTCATTAAAAAGAACGAGTACTGTGAGAAAACCTAACAAAGGACCTGTATTAGCCTCGAAAAGGTCAGGAAAGTCTTCCCTAAGGAAGTGACATCTGAGGAAATGGGAGAGAAATAGATGTTAACTAGGTAAAGATACAAAGAAAAATAAAGACTCATTGCTTAAATTATAACTATTATAAATACTGGGAAGAAAGTTTTTTTTAACTAGTTCAAACTCCTGCTTATGCTTTCACAGGAGTCTAGTCAGTTTATTAGTCATATTTCATGCCATTTACATTAAATGGTGATGTCACTTACTAGGCAACCACCACTCACTCCAAACAGTGACATATAAATATTAAAAGAGAAAAAGAAACAGCATTGTTTTCAGTATTCTCTTATTTGAAGCATATGAACCAGGGCTTCATTTTAAAGAATAAAGACCTATGTTTTATACCCATGTCATTAGGTTATAAAACAACAATTGTGGGGAGTGGGAAAGTACGAACACAATTCGCTACTGTTTTTAAGATAGTTTTTAACTACAAAGACAGGTTATCTTACCTTTTTGCTCACATCAGTTTATTACATCATTTGGAAAGAAGATATAATAGCAAGTCTTTGTCATGGAGAAGTGGCATCCAGAAATATGCTCATGGTCAACATCAACATCATAAGTTCTGTGGTATACATTTGAAGTGAAGTATTCAAAGCTGCCAATATTAAGTCTCTGCTATAATCTGAAAAAAATCTGCCAATAAATAGTAGGAGTAGTAGGAAAAACAGTAGTGGTAGTAGCAGTAGTAGTAGTAGTAATTGCTATTTATTCTGAGTTTAACATGCACTTACCAGGCTATTGCTTTATCTCTAATATTTACAATTTTTGTCCAAGTCAGATATTGTGGACTTTGTTTTACAGACAATAATATTATAAAGTTCATCGAGGTACATAGAGGTAAGTGGCACTGTGAGCAGTGGAGTAAGGACTCAGCCCTGGTCTCTCTGCTCTCTTCTCCAAACCAACATTGCTTGGACCCTGGGAACTTGTCTGGTTCTTCTTCTGATGATGAGAAATGCTATTATGTTTCTCTCTGAGTGATTATTTTACTATTTCCATAGCAATAAAATAGTAAGCACAGTATTGCTTTTAATCATTATTCTTAATTTTTTAAATTTTAACTGGTCCCAATAATCCCCTCAAAATGAGGAATATTTTTAAAATAGAAACAACAGCTAAAAGAGATATTAGGACCTACTTTCAATGGGATCAATGTTTGAAGAAGAAAGGAGAAAATTAGAAATGGAATGCAACAGAAACATTATAACATACCATAAGGATTTATTGGCAGCAAGGGTCATATTCAATTCAAAACAGCAGCCAAGTTCCATTGAAAAATCTATATTTTCAGCTGGGAAGTAACAGGACCAACAAGTCTAATGTAAGTATGTTGTTCTTATCCATGCCTCTAGTAAAATTTTCAGATTAAATGAGACTAAATTTGGCATGAGGTCATCTCTCTCTAGATTATATTGGAAATGGATGAAACAAACCCCTCTCACACACACACAACCTTAACAATGTCTTATAATTTATTTGGGATATAAGAATAGATGAAAATACTAGTACATTTAAAGAAAAAAGAAAAAACTAGCATTAACAAAATTGAGCTTTCTCCTACATAAAATGAAATATAGACAAAAAGGTTGTAAGAAGATACATATAATAATCATGTTAGGATGTTTTACCCTTATCTCTTGAAGAACATTAGTGAAGAAATTATCTCATTGTTTTCTGTTTCTAGCACAAACAGCATGAAATGAGACTGCTACTCATGCTAGCTTGAGTTGATAGTTCCCTCTCCCTCACAATACGTAATAACATCTGCTGATTCTGACTGCAATAATCAAGGGAGGCAGACAAACACACAGACAGAAAGAGAAAGAAAGAGAGAGAGGAGACATCTCATGGATCAAAGGCCTGAAGAGCTCCACTTAGATTTCTTGCTTTTTATTTTTTGTGTATCCATTTTAAGTTTTTGTTTTGTGGTTACCATGAGGCTTGCAAATAACATCTTATTACCCATTATTTTAAACTGATGACAACTTAACTCTGATTATAAAACTCCACTTAGAAAAAATAGAAGCTGAATGATTGGCAGTCCTAGATGTCTGAAACCTAGTTTTATAGTGTTAGCTTGTGGGAAAGAGAGGGTTTAAAAATTTGAACGATTTGTGTGGCAGTATGGGAAGAAGGAAAGACAGCTCCATAGACTGCACAGAAGAGGAGCTGGAAAAGGGCAGTTGACATAAACAGGCCCTTTAAGAACTAAAGTTTGTTCTATTCTAGAAAGTATAGGTAGAACAAATTAAATAGAATAGAGGAGACATTTGCAATGAATTGGAGTGGAGACATTTTCAATTCAGGGTAGAATCTATACAAATTGCAATAAGCAGCTTAAGCCTGAAGTACACACCTGCATGCTCTTCTGAAGTGTGTGTGTGTGTGTGTGTGTGTGTGTGTGTGTGTGTGTAACTGAGCAGGTCCTTGTAAGAATTTTTCAGAATTAGACTGTTTTGATGAATTACAGGCCATAAAAAGAAATCTCTCTGTCTATAGGACCTGTATACTTACCCACGGCCCTTATATTTCAAAACAAACCTTTTTGTTTAAACCATGCTGCACAATTGAAAAGGAAGCACCCCTGCCAGCTACCTGCATTAATCAACATAGACTTTTATTTATAAATTTAATTGGTCAGTGGTTAGGATCACCAGATATTTTAAGAAAGCAAAGAAAGTGAAAGAGAAGATCAAGATGAATAAACAGAACAACTGATCCCAAAGGAAACAGATAATATAAAGCATTTTTAAAAAATTAAGCCAGGCGCGGTGGCTCAGGCCTATAATTCCAACACGTTGGGAGGCTGAGGCAGGTGGATCACCTGAAGTCAGGAGCTTGAGACCAGGCTGACCAACCTGGTGAGACCCTGTCTCTACTAAAAATACAAAAAATTAGCCAGGCGTGGTGGTGCATGCATGTAATTCCAGCTACTCAGGAGGCTGAGGCAGGAGAATCGCTTGAACCCAGGAGGCGGAGGTTGCAGTGAGCCGAGATCATGCCACTGCACTCCAGCCTGGGCAACAGAGTGAGACTCTGTTTCAAAATAATAATAATAATAAATGTTTAATTATTATACACAGAGAAATTGGAGAGGATATATACTAAACAAGAAGAGTGTTGTAGTAAAGGAGCAATCAGAGAAAAAGAAATAGATCTTAGATATTGAAATATTGTACCAAAAAATTAAACAGAAAGACAAATTAATAGAATTAACATGCTTGGAAACTAAATTATCCATCTGGAAGACAAAGAAATACTCCAGAATGTAGACTAAAACAATAAAAAAAAGGGGACGCTTAAGAAATAGGAGAAACCTAAGGGGTTTCATTCATCTCAGACATGCCTGTAGAAGAGAACAGAGAAAAATGAAGCAAGGAAATAAAAAGTAATTATAATTAAATATTTTTTCCTAACCCCCCACCCCCAACAAAACAACAAAAACTCAGGTTTTCAGTTTGAAAAGGCCCCAAGTGCCAAGCAAGGTAAATGAAGACAGACCCACAGCCTGGTAATCAGACAAGAATTCCTTGATCTTCCCTTCTAAACCTGTAAGTCCTCCTGCCTCTGCACCATCTACTTCTCCTTCTATCTAAGGAGGATGCATCCACCCATCTATCCCTCTCTCAAAAGCTAATCTTTCACTTGTACACTGGATATGAAAACTCACATATATTCAAGGTGTTCTTTCAGTTAGCCCCTTTTCTTCCAGCTATATCATTTCTATCAACAGGCAAATATGTTTGAGAATCTTACCCAAAAGCACCAACAAAAATTCTCCTATTATATTCTATTTTAGATCCCAATTTCTTAGCTCTTCTTGGGCACTTTTCTTTGTTGTAGATGTTTTTTAAACAACATGTAATCTCTTCCTTTACCAGTATGTATTAAAAAAAACAAACAAACAAGAATTGTCTGCTCCTGTTGTCTCTAGTTCCTCACTTCCCAATCACATATCAGCTCACTTCCACCTGGATGCCACTCCCCAGAAGTCCACTGGCATTACTTTTGTTAAGGACACCAGAGCCTAGATACTACCAAGCTCAATGGATTTTGTTTTCACCTTATTTAACTTCTCATCAGAGTTTGACACAGCTGGTCACACCTTCCTTTCCAGAAACTTTTTTCCCTACTTCATTGGCTTCTCCTCCTCATTCTCTTTTGCTGATTCCACCATCTTTACTAAGTTCCTAGATGGTAGGCCTCTTTAGATCTTGCAATCTCTCTAATGTCTTCTTTTCTCTTCTCTTCTTAGCTAATTTCATAGTTGCCTCGGTGTGACTACTGCATATATGCTGTCAACCCATATCTATATTTCTGGTGCACACTTCTCTAAACTCCAGACTTGCACATTCAACTTCTTTTCTGACATCTCAACTTACATGTTTTATCAACTTTTTGAACTTAAAATGTCCAAAATATGAAATAAAACCTGGACTTCACCTGTACTCCAAATCTTTCTACCTCGGTAGATGAAATTACCATCTACCCAGTTGCTCACACCAAAAAATCTAGAAGTCATAATTGATTTCTCCTTTCCCTTTAGCCTCCATATTAAATGTACCAGCAAATCTTGTTGACTCTTATCTTTAACATATATATTCACCCTGCTTGCCTCTCTCCATCCCCTCTATTACAAATAATCAATTAAGTGACTTGTAGCATTAGAGACTCTTTCAGTTACACTGTGATTTCTATAAGCATGATCTCATAATCCTTATAAGAAGAATATGATGGGAACTAGAGAAGAAACATTCTTACTCAAAGTAAGTAATCTGACCAAGTTTACACAATAAGCAGAGCAGATGAAATGCAAAACCAGAAATTAAACTATGTGAACAAGTGACAACTAGCATTTTGATTATGTGCTATGTGTTAAGCATTTTCCATATTTTATCTCATTTAATTCTTGTAACCAGAAAGTATAATTGTTATTATCTTATAAATAAAGTTCACAGACACATTTTAGGCCAGTTGCCAAAAATTACAGAGTTGCCTTTGCTCCTAGTCTTCCTTCCATGCTTCCATTAATATCACTGTAGACATGTGTCAAAAATACAATTCTCATCATGTCATTCTGCTGCTTAAAATTCTTTAATGTTCATATTTGGCTAAAGAATAAATTTATTGTCATGAAATTGAATTGTTTTTTGTGACCTGGCCCTCACCTACCTTTCAAACTCCATTTGCCCCTGCTTTCCACCACACCAGCCATATCAGTCGCATTAGAGCTAAATCTGAACAGGCTGTGCTCTTTCCTTCCTCCATGCCTTTATCCTTGCTCTTTCTTCTTAACTTGATTGTTCTTCCCACATATAGTGGAGCTGGTCATCTTGCTAACATCTGTTTTTGTTTCTTTTAATAGTTACTCCCATTTTTGTTTAAATATCCACACTTCTCTGGTTCTATGCTTTGAACTTGGCGCAGCTCTAGCTAATCAGCGTAATTTTACACTCTAGTTACAGTTCTTGGTTCAGATAACTCAGTTAGAGCCAGTGAGATGTAAGGTAAGGTTTATGTGAAAAAAATTTCCTGACTCCTCTGAGGTGGTTCTGGAATTGACACTCTCTCTTGCCATTGATGTGTAGCTGGTAAACATCTTATGAACAAGAGGGAGAATGAGTCTTAAACTAAAGCTTTACACTCTGGAAGGCAGAGAAGATAAAGGGAGATGTCAGGTCCTCAGTGATTTCATTGAGCTACTGAAACAAACCAACACTGAAGCTCACTTTACCTAGAACTTTCAGTATGTGCACCAATCAATAATCTTTATTGAGAAGATTTTTTAATGCTACTTGCAACTGAAAACAGCTAAATGTTATACCACATTTTACATTTTATATCTACTCATTATAGTTCTTCTTTAATCTCTCAAAGGTAAGCATTTTTTCTTTTGTGACTCTGAAATTTATTCTGTATTCTCCTATCAAAGTCCATACTACATTAATTTTTATTCTGCTTCTCCAGAATACTGAACACCTTAAGAAAAGGAGCTCTGAGTTTAGTATAAGACTGAATGTGTACAGAAACAACCCACTCTCTGTCAAAAAAATACTATTTTATTTGATTCAAGGTTCTTCAACTTCAGCACTACTGACATTTTGGGTCAGATAATTCTTTGTTGTGGAGTATCCTATGAAATGTATGTTTAACACCATCCTTGGCCCTGCCCACTAGATACCCATAACACCACCACCACCAAATGGTGTTAATAAAAAAATGTCTCCAGGAATTAACAAATGCCTTCTGGGGGATCAAATTATCATCAATTGAGTATGATTGACCTAAAATTATGCCCAAAAATTTAGATTTTATTACAAACATTTTGGGCTTTTAAGCCAATGGCAGTTTACAGAGGTTAATTCTTACAGGATCATACTATATCCAACCCTGAAAGTTGACAAGAGGGGCTAAGGATCCCACAAGGGCAGAGTATATCAGTTTCATGTGAAACTATTGGTTTGGTATGTAATAAAGCAGCGCTAGGGTAAACTCCACCTTTACTGGGTACAGGATGTGATCTCACACACGAAACCTGCTTTTCTCACAAACCAATCCCTCTCCAGTAACTTCCCATTCCAAAGAGATGGGTCACTTTCATCATTGGAAAAGGAAAGATCAAAAAAAGGATAAAATGTCTTATATAGTATGAATATTATACTCGGTGCCTGTGACAAAAGATCTTGTCACCAAACTTCTTTCATCACCTCATTTCTTACACATACCAGACCTAATCCTCAAATGCTTTCTCCTACCTTAGCGTGAGACCTTTCAAACTGTTACTAATTATAAACTTCTTCAGAGGCAAGATGTTTTCACTCAGAATGAACATGCAGGTACTTGAGCCCACGTAACCTCCTTGGCCTCAGGCAAGCAGTTTGCCTAAAATGCCTCTCAAATAGACAGGATGATGAAAACGGAAGCTGTGGAACTGAGTGAACCAAGCCAAAAATCTTGTTTGTATGATTAAGTTTTCTCTAATACATAAAGAATTCAGAGAAATGGTGTAAAATGAATACACCTATGATCTGAAATAACATAGTCCCTATCTTTATATCCAAAAAGTATTTGTATTTATACCAAATCACTACATGAATATGTGATTTTAGTAAACATAATCATAAATTTTTGGAGGTGAAAAATACAAACTATAGGCATCCATTTTGACTTTTCCCCTATGTGAAGTTAACACAATGTTTGTCCTTGAACCTAGATATACTTTTAAATATTAATTTATATATGTTGATTAAAACATTTATAAGACCTCAACTAAAATTCTTGATTCTGCACATAAGGAAATTAATGAAATCCATACCATTGTATATAAAATGTCATAATTAAGGTCATTAATATGATCAAGAATGGTAATGATGTATGGTATGGCTCATTTTCCCAGATACTCCAGGAAACAGTATAATTTGGGGCTATTGATGTAGTCATGGATGGAGCTCCTACATTGCCTTTATTAAAAAGAGATTTTACATTTTAAAAATAAGCTGATACCATAAATGAATTTCTCTAGAACCTGGAATGGAAAATTATAATGGGCATTTCCATGATATGGTTTATAGAAGGTAATATTCTTTAGAATTACCTTAGGGATTAGATATAGCAGGAAAAACAAACCATTTTCTGTTTTTCCTGTGCTACTCTCAACATAGCACAGAACACTTCTGTGGGTTTGTTTGTGTGCTTGTTTGTTTGCCAGACTGGCCAATTTTCCATCACTTTGGATAACTTGGCCAAAGTCACATAGCTTGCAAGAAATAAACCACATTCTTCCCATGAAGTAAGACAATCAGTATCTTGTCTATCAAATAGATTCATAATCTAGAAGGAATCATCTGGGTCCTTGCATTTCACTAAAGGAGGCACATCAAATGTGTAAGTAGCACAAAGCTGGAATGAAAGCTAAAAAAGTTTCAAATGAACTTAGCAAGCTAGAACAAATCAAAAATCAGTAAGATTAAATCATTATGAGAATAGATGTAATGACTTATTTATGTCTAAAAACCACAATTAAATGAATAATAAGTGATGGGTTGGGGCGAAACCCTATCTGTCAAGAATAATTATGAGCAGTTGCTACTGTCACTTTACTAAATATCTTAGGTGTCTATAGCATTACCTTCATCTATCAACCTAGCAACCCTAGCAGAAATAAAACTGATTTGTTTATCATGACCTGTTCTCTTGGTACTCATGCTGGATTCTAACTCAAAATAACATTACTTAAGTCTTCCTAAGCTATTCATTTAGTAATATATTCTAGAAAATGTTCCCAGGGATTAACGTGAATTTTACTCTTTAGAAATCTCCCAACTCTACCCTATTTCTTTAAAAAAAAATCAGAGCCACTCTTCTTCTCTAAACCTCTGCCATTCCTACACAATTTTCCAAAGACTACCAACAGAGAGCTTTATGGTCACATATCAAAGTACTTTCAGAAATCAGGGTGTAATTCCACTGGATGTATATAGTTTGAGTACAGTGTGAAGATATTAGCTATCTTACTAGTTGGAAACAGAAGAAAACTTAAGCACTGTTCAATATCCTTCAAACATATTATTTCATTTGACCCAATTATATCAATAGTCCAGTAGGTATTATTATTTCCATCTTAAAGATGAAGAAAATGAAACTTTCCATACACTCAGCTTGACTAGATCAAACATCTTTCCCTAGTCACATATCCAGTAGGACATAAATCAAACCCTGGTTTAATGTCAGACCCTATAATTTTTCCATTATTTTATACTGGCATTGCTTGTCTTAGTCCCCTTTCCCAAATTCCAATTTTCTCTTTATAGTCACCAATTAACACATATCAGCAGGTTAATGTAAATGCCATTCTCTTAGAAGAAGATGAAAGCAAAATAGCTTTGTTTTCTTTCTGTGATTGGTTAATTTTAGTTCTCCATCTCTAAATAGTAGATCTGTGTCTACCTAATTCTTCTTATTCTGAACATCACTAGCAAAATAAAAGACAAAGAAAGAAAGAAAAGAAAGAAGAGACAGAGAGTGGAGGGAGGAGGAGGGAGGGAAGGAGAGGGGAAGGAAGGAAGGAAGGGAGGGAGGTAGGGGGAGGAAGAGGGAGGGACGGAGGGAGGGAGGGAGGGAAAGAGCTAATACATAAAGAAATAAAAATTTTTGTTGTTTATCATTTTGCAATTCTTCATTGATTATGAACTCCAAGTTGCCACAGACATATCTCTTAAGTTCTACGTTATTCATGCATTTCTCAACCACTTATTTTTTGTCATAATTAAACCCAGAGAAAGAGTTTTTCTTATCACTTCCATTTAAGACATTAAATTTTCAGAATAAATTACACATTTTTATATATTGTACTTTTACTCTAATCATAATGACATATATCTGGTTAGTGGAAATCACCCAAAACACTATATCTTGTTTATATATAATAGTGTGTTTGAATACCTTAATACAGAAAGTCTGTTTCAACATCATCTTGAAAAGATTCAGCTCATTCAAAATATGTTTTTACTTCTAATAAAACAGGTAGAAGGCCAAGAAACCAAGAAGTGCTGGTGCTAATAGGAAATTTAGATAAGCTATTCACTGAGAAAAAATGTGTAATTTCTTAGTACAAACTTTCCCTTAAAATGTATTGATTTTTTGTTTACACTTGTAACGAAGGAATTTTCCATCTTTGTCACAAGATTACCTTAGAACATCTGTTGTAGGGGCAATGTTGATTTCAACACATCTGAGAATGGTTAATATTTGGCATATGAATAGCTGGTGATTTAAAAATACAGTCAACCTTTAATACATTCTGAAATTTAATTTGAAAAGAATGTTTAGAAAAATATAGTGGTATTTCTTCTCTTCCTGTCTATCCACTCTAGTTTACTAAGTTCCTTCCTTCCCCATCCACATCTCACATTCCCAATCATCACACTGTATCAACTATCATTTTAATGACTGATTCTAAATTTCATTTCCAGTTGTATTTGCTCATCCAAGCTCTAGCCCTCTACTATTACCTCTTCATAACTCCTTCCTTCCAACAAACAAGAAACAAGGAGGAAAATCTTTTTCTATCTTGGGAGTATTTCCTCTGCCAGACCTTCTTCTTACCTACTGCCTTAGTTTATACCACTTATAATCTCTCACCAAGATAATAAGAATAGCCTCTAGCTGATCTCCTGCTAAGTAGTATTTTTACTTTCTTGTTCAACATCTATGTGCCATATCTGATTATTTTCTAATTTAAATCCTTCATTGGATCTCTCTTGGTTTTGAGATAAAACTGTTACTCATTGGCATTGAAATTCAGAGCTGGCCTCCACTGATGTCTGGTACCTTTATTTTTGCTTACCCTATGTTCCTAACCCTATGTAAAAAGCAGATATCATTCCTAAGAACCTTGAATTTATCTTCCCCTGAATATGCCATGCTCTTTCACAACCAGTTACCTTTAATTATTTGCTTCATTTGGCCTAGAAATTTGTTTTTTGTCTTCTCTACATGTATCTTCTGATTCTTCAAACTCACCATCAGTATCACTTCCTATATGATTTGATTTTTCTTCCTAAGTGAAAATTAACCATACCCTCCCTTTGGTCCACAGACTTCATTCGTAGTACTTACAAAATATTGACTTTAACAAGTATTAATTTAAACATGGTGAGTAAAGCACTATAATAGTGGTAGATAAACTATATAGAGTGAAAAGGAGAGGGAAAAAATTAGTTCTTGATCTGAGTCCTGCCTTAAACTGTGAGTTCACAGAAGACAGCAACCTGGCTTGATTCACTGTCCATTCAATTTGGACTCTTATCATTGATACATGGTGAATATTCAACACACTTTTCTTTAAAAGATGGTCTCTCTAAAAAACTTTAATTACTAACCTTTACAAATGCTTTTAACAATGAATTTCATGTTCTTCTATTTGTTTTCAATTGTTTAGTGTGTTCAAACCTAGTCTGCCCAATAGGAAGACTATACTTTTTAGAGGTGAGGTACTCAAAAGAGTCAGACTGAATTAAATAATAATCTTAAACTCAATAAACCACTTTTACCTCAAAATTTGATTCCCAAATTGAATTTTTAAATCATTTCTGTATAAACATACCAAAATTGGATACCATCTGTTGAGTGGTCATTCCACAGTTTACTGAAAATGCGATTTGAATATATTCACAATCTGGGGGAATTTTTCCCACAATGATGATGCAAGATGTGGACAAATATCTCAGGGATGACACAAAAAATTTAATAAGTTCTCATTTTAAGTTATCACAGAAATCCTGTTAGTTATATGAATCTCATTAGTTATATAATAAAGAAAAAAATCAGCCAATAAATTTTAATCATTTTAGAGTTTCCAATGTTACCATTGTTTATGCCAGTTTTAACAATCTGAATAAAATCTTAGCACCCTGTGTATGCTATTTGTTTACATAAAACAAATGCTGGGTTTTAAAATATAATATAAAACCAGATCAATTCTGTTTATCTAAAAACTTTACCTAAAGTTGAAAGATTTTTATCTTTTTAAAAATCACTGGAAATACTTTAAAACCCAAGTGGGTTTGGGGACTTTTCTGTTCCCTTTACATACGTTTATGAGAAATGTTATTTTCAATAATTTCAAATTTTTGATTATTTAACTTTGGCTGAAGATTAATTCTTAATAGTTTCCTTGCCGGCTAACATCTCTGATTAGAATCATTTGTAATTTGGAGTATCTGTGATCTACCTTAAGGAAACAATTCTATACTATAAAAAAATACATACAAAGCTGTCTATCTATCATATTACTATGCAAAATATAAAGTTGAATACAACTTCAGATTCTAAAATTAAAGTAAATATTATAAATATTAGACTCGATGTAATATTACAGAGTTCAAAAGACTGCACCAATGTAAAAAATGCTTATGTTAATTTTCCCAAAGCAAGATATAAAATTGCATATGTATTTTGATTACAAACATGAAAAAAAGATTATCTAGAGGGAGGTGTTTGGGGAATCTTAAGGAAGAGACTTCAAAATGTTAGAAATGGTTGTGTTCAGTTTATGGATTGGGGGTGTGTATGTGATTTTTCTCACTTTATTTCCCAAACTGTCAGATTGCTTTGTTATTTTTTTAATTTATAATTTAAAATATTATTTGCAATAGTATGTATTTGGTAAACTACTCTAGGAATAAAATGACTTCACCAATCAGTTTATTACTTTTAAGTACTTAAAATAACCTAAAACTGTGTTATCCATACAATATTTATAAATATACAGATAATATCAACTCACAATATTGCTATTTTTTTTGAAAAAATGATATGACTATTCTGCTTGTTCTCACACTTCCTTTTTCTATCTGTTCTTCAATTTCCATGTATTTCTTTAAGTCCATCTTCAATTCAATAAAGATATGAATGGGTCAAAATCTGGCAAATGGAAAAAATCTGACCTAGCCCTAGATTTTTCTCTCCATGCATGGATATGCTAGTTAAAAAAAAACAATCTTTGGGATGCATTTACATGTGTTTCAGGCACAGCACCAAAAATTCAAATTTATTCTTCTCCAAGCAGACCTATGAGATGGTTTTTTTGCCCTTATCCATGAGAAAACTGAGACCAAAACAATGAAGAAATAACTATATTTTGACTTCAGTAACTAGGAAAGTATGCTGGAGAGTATCAGACAAGCGGTAAAATCCCTGTGGAGCAAGAACACCCAGGATAGCACCATAGAGAGAAGAATGAGGCATCCTGCCTCTGTCACAGTCTCCCTTGCCCAGTCAGGAAAGACTTCTTACAGAGAAAGAATGTAGACCCCCAGTGATCCTCATTACCACCACAGATGCCAGAAGTCCTTGCTACAGAGAGTCCCCTAGTCCTCACAGACCACAAATCCAGTTTGCAGAGTTACCAGGAGTTTGCATGGCTAAATGGCATCAGAGCCGAAGCCCAAATTGAACACCCCTATACCCCTGACTTAAGCTGCTACAGCATAGTGCCATATTGAAACTGAACCCATTGTAAGAGTGTGTCCTGCACTGGAGGCCAGTAGCCACTGGCTGCATTCATTCCTGAATGCCTGCCATTATTTCATCACTTCCACATGGGTACCTACAGCATCATGACCCCACCTGCCTGGAGCCTAGGTCCAAATGAATGACCAAGAGCCTGGCATGTGAAACCATGCAGCACCCAGCCCCCTTGGGAAAAAGGTGAACCTGCACAGTGGGGAAGCCACTACACATCTAGCCAGTTCACAATGTCAGCTCATGCCAGCATCTGTGCCTTTCTTGACATCCAGTTCAACAGGCCTGCCTCCCTATAAAATCACCATACAGTTGCTCATCTTGCCATGCATGGGCCTATATGTGCCTAGCCTGACAAACACCCCAGCAACCCCACCTTCAGCAAAATCACACCATCATTGTCACAAATTCTTGCAGTCTAAGCTACTGAGGCAATCACAGACATTGCTGGTGATTATTAATGCTGAAGAAACTGTACAAAGACCATGCTACTGTGTCCATCCAGTACCACAGTCAATGCACCATACCCAACCAATATTCTCCATCCACATAAATAAGTCTATATTTACATACATTATCATCATTTCTTTACAGTTGTATTACAGCATTAAGCATTTCTTGTAAGGCTGAGGTAGTGATGACCAGTTCCCTCTGCTTTTGTTTGTCGGGGAATGTCGTTGTGTCTGCATTATTTCTGAAATATTACTTTGCTGGATGAAGTATTCTTGGCTGAACTATTCCATTAAATTGGAAAAAGTGACAGTTTCACTAGATTGCATATATCAATGTAGAGACACAAGAAATATGAAAAAGCAAGAAAATGAACCCTCCAAAGCAACACAATAAGTCTCCAGTAACAGATCCCAAAGAAAAAGTTATTTACAAAGTGCCTAAAAAGATCAAAATAATGATCTTAAGGAAACTCAGAGAGATACAAGTATATATAGACAAACCATTCAATAAAAGGAGGAAACCTATCATGAGCTGAATGAGAAATGCAACAAAGAGATAGATATCATAAAAAGAATCTAACAGAAATCTTGCAGCTGAAAAATTTAATGAGAAAAATAAAATAACACAACTGAAATATTGACTAACAGACTAGATCAAAAAGAAGAAAGAATTTCTGAATGTGAGCTAATAAAAGAAAGAAGAATGAAGAAAGCCTACAGGGCTTATGGAATACCATTAAATGAAAAAACATTGACATTAAAGGAGTGGCAAAAAGAGAAAATATGGAGAAATGCATGGAAAACCTATTTAACAAAATAACAACTGAAAACTTTGCAAGTCTGGAAGGATATAGAAACATCTAGATCCAGGAAACTCAAAAGCCCCCAATTGGATTCAAACAAAAAAGATTATCTCCAAGGCACATTATAAGCAAACTGTAAAGGGTCAAAGACAGAGACAATTCTAAAAATTACAAGATAAAAGCATCAAGCCATATATAATAAAATCTCCATTAGACTATCAGAAATTTCTCAGCAGAAAATTTGCAGGCCAGAAAAGAAAGGGTTGAAATATTCAATGTGGACAGAACAAAAAAAACTGTCAGCCAAGAACACTTTATCCAGCAAAGTAATATTTCAGAAATAATGCAAACATAACGACATTCCCAGACAAACAAAAGCAGAGGGAACTCATCATCACTACACCAGCCTTACAAGAAATGCTTAACGCTGTAATACAACTGTAATGAAAAGATAATTACTATCATGAAAACGTGAAAGTGTAAAACTTACCAGTATAGGTAAATTCATAATGAATCTCAGAATACCCCAGGGATATAATGGTGCTATGTAAGTGTTTCAATTGTATGAAGTATGTAGTATGAAGGTTTAAAGTCAAAATGGTTCAAAACAAAAAAAAAAAGGAAAAAAGAAAAAAAGCACAGCACCACAGAAAACCACAAATGTAAAAAACAACAGAGGAAGAAAGGAACAAAGGATCTACCAAACAACTAAAAAATAATTAATAAAGTGGTAGAAATGAGTACTTATCTATCAGTAATACCTTGAAGGTAAATGGATTAAATTCTCCAATTAAAAGATAAATAAAGATGGCTGAACAAGAACAGCTCCAGTCTGCAGCTTCCAGCATGATCAACGGAGAAGATGGGTGATTTCTGCATTTCCAGTTGAAGCATTTGGTTCAACTTACTGGGATTGGTTGGACAGTGGATGCAGCCCATGGAGGGCAAGCCGAAGCAGGGCAGGGTGTCGCCTCACCCAGGAAGTGCAAGGAGTCGGGGGATTTCCCTTTCCTAGCCAAGGGAAGCCATGACAGGCTGTACCCGGAAAAACGGGACACTTCCGCCCAAATACTGTGCTTTTCCTATGGTCTTAGCAACCAATAGACCAGGAGATTCTCTCCTGTGCCTGGCTCGGGAGGTCCTATGCCCACAGAGCCTTGCTCACTGCTGGCGCAGCAGTCTGAGATCAACCTGTGAGGCTGCAGCCGGGCCGGGGGAGGGGCGTCTGACATTGCTGAGGCTTGAGTAGGTAAACAAAGTGGCCGAGAAGCTCAAACTGGATGGAGGCCACTGTAGCTCAGCAAGGCTACTGCCTCTATAGACTCCACCTCTGTGGGCAGGGCATAGCTGAACAAAAGGTAGCAGAAATTGCTGCAGACTTAAACGTCCCTGTCTGACAGTTCTGAAGAGAGCAGTGGTTCTCCCAGCATGGCATTTGAGCTCTGAGAACGGACAAACTACCTCCTCAAGTGGGTCCCTGACCCCTGTGTAGCCTGACTGGGAGACACTTACCAGCAGGGGCCAACAGACACCTTATACAGGCAGGTGTCCCCCTGGGACGAAGCTCCCAGAGAAAGGATCAGGCAGCAATATTTGCTGTTCTGCAGCCTCTGCTGGTGACACCCAAGCCAACAGGGTCTGGAGTGGACCTCCAGCAAACTCCAACAGACCTGCAGCTGAGGGACCTGACTATTAGAAGGAAAACTAACAAACAGAAAGGAATAGCATCAACATCAACAAAAAGGACATCCACACCATAACCCTATCTGTAGGTTACCAATGTCAAAGACCAAAGGTAGATAAAAACCACAAAGATGGGGAGAAACCAGAGCAGAAAAGCTGAAAATACTAAAAATGAGAGTGCCTCTTCTCCTCCAAAGGATCGCAATTCCTCACCAGTAAGGGAACAAAGCTGGACGGAGAATGAGTTTGACGAGTTGACAGAAGTAGGCTTCAGAAAGTTGGTAATAACAAACTTCTCCGAGCTAAAGGAGCATGTTCTGACCGATCACAAGGAAGCTAAAAACCTTGAAAAAAGGTTAGACAAATGGCTAACTAGAATAAACAGTGTAGAGACAACCTAAAATGACCTGATGGAGCTGAAAAACATGGCACGAGAAATTCGTGAATCATGCACAAGCTTCAATAGCCAATTCAATCAAGTGGAAGAAAGGATATCAGTAATTGAAGATCAAATTCATGAAATAAAGCGAGAAGACAAGTTCAGAGAAAAAAGAGTAAAAAGAAACAAACAAAGCCTCCAAGAAATATGAGACTATGTGAAAAGACCAAATCTACATTTGATTGGTGTACCTGTAAGTGACGGGGAGAATGGAACCAAGTTGGAAAACACTCTTCAGGGTATTATCCAGGAGAACTTCCCCAATCTATCAAGGCAGGCCAACATTCAAATTCAGGAAATACGGAGAACACCACAAAGATACTCCTCGAGAAGAGCAACCCTAAGACACATAATTGTCAGATTCACCAAGGTTGAAATGAAGAAAAAAATGTTAAGGGCAGTCAGAGAGAAAGGTCAGGTTACCCACAAAGGAAAGGCCATCAGACTAACAGTGGATCTCTTGGCAGAAACCTTACAAGCCAAAAGAGGGTGGGGGCCAATATTCAACATTCTTAAAGAAAAGAATTTTCAATCCAGAATTTCATATCCAGCAAAACTAAGCTTCCTAAGTGAAGGAGAAATAAAATCCTTTACAGACAAGCAAATGCTGAGAGATTTTGTCACCACTAGGCCTGCCTTACAAGAGCTCCTGAAGGAAGCACTAAACATGGAAAGGAACAACTGGTACCAACCACTGCAAAAACATGCCAAATTGTAAAGACCATCAATGCTATGAAGAAACTGCATCAACTAAGGGGCAAAATACCCAGCTAACATCATAATGAAGGGATCAAATTTACACATAACAATATTAACCTTAAATGTAAATGGGCTAAATGCCTCAATTAAAAGACACAGACTGGCAAATTGGATAAAGAGCCAAGTCCCATCAGTGTGCTGTATTCAGGAGACCCATCTCATGTGCAGAGACACACATAGGCTCAAAATAAAGGGATGGAGGAAGATGTACCAAGCAAATGGAAAGCAAAGAAAAAAAAAAGCAGGGATTGCCATCCTAATCTCTGAAAAAACAGACTATAAACCAACAAAGATCAAAAGAGACAAAGAAGGCCATTACATAATGTAAAGGCATCAATTCAACAAGAAGAGCTAACTATCCTAAATATGTATGCACCCAATACAGGAGCACCCATATTCATAAAGCAAGTTATTAGAGACCTACAAAGAGACTTAGACTCCCACACAATAATAATGGGAGACTTTAACACCCCACTGTCAATATTAGATCAATGAGACAATAGGTTAACAAGGATATCCAGGACTTGAATTCAGCTCTGCACCAAGCGGACCTAATAGACATCTACAGAACTCTTCACCCCAAAACAACAGAATATACATTCTTCTCAGCACCACATCTCACTTATTCTAAAATGACCATATAATTGGAAGTAAAGCACTCCTCAGCAAATGTAAAAGAACAGAAATCACAATAAACTGTATCTCAGATGACAGTGCAATCAAATTAGAACTCAGGATTAAGAACCTCACTCAAAACCGCACAAATACATGGAAACTAAACAAACTGCACCTGAATGACGACTAGGTAAATAATGAAATGAAGGCAGAAATAAAGATGTTCTTTGAAACCAATGAGACCAAAGACACAATATACCAGAATCTCTGGAACACATTTAAAGCAGTGTGTAGAGGGAAATTTCTAGCACTAAATGCCCACAAAAGAAAGCAGGAAAGATCTAAAATAGAACTAAAATCACAATTAAAAGACCTAGAGAAGCAAGAGCAAAGACATTCAAAAGCTAGCAGAAGGCAAGAAATAACTAAGATCAGAGCAGAACTAAAAGAGATAGAGACATAAAAATCCCTTCAAAAAATCAATGAATCCAGGAGCTGGTTTTCTGAAAAGATCAACAAAACTGATAGACCACTAGCAAGACTAATAAAGAAGAAAAGAGAGAAGAATCAAATAGATACAATAAAAAATAATAAAGGGGATATCACCACCGCGCTCACAGAAATACAAACTACCATCAGAGAATACTATAAACACTTCTCCGCAAATAAACTAGAAAATTTGGAAGAGATGGATAAATTCCTGGACACATACACCCTCCCAATACTAAATCAGGAAGAAGTTGAATCTTTGAATAGACCAATAACAGGCTCTGAAATTAAGGCAATAATTAATAGCCTACCAACCAAAAAAAGTCCAGGACCAGACAGATTCAGAGTGGAATTCCACCAGAGGTACAAAGAGGAGCTGGTACCATTCCTTCTGAAACTATTCCAATCAATAGAAAAAGAGGGAATGCTCTCTAACTCGTTTTATGAGGCCAGCATTATCCTGATACCAAAGCCCAGAAGAGACACAACAAAGAAAAGAGAATCTTAGGCCAATATTCCTGATGAATATTGATGCAAAAATCCTCAATAAAACACTGGCACACCGAATCCAGCAGCACATCAAAAAGCTTATCCACCACCATCAACTCGGCTTCACCCCTGGGATGCAAGGCCAGTTCAACACACGCAAATCCATAAATATAATCCATCACATAAACATAACCAATGACAAAAACCACATGATTATCTCAATAGATGCAGAAAAGGCCTTCAAGAAAATTCAACAGTGCTTCATGCTAAAAACTCTCAATAAACTAGGTATTGATGGAATGTATCTCAAAATAATAAGGGCTATTTAGGAGAAACCCACAGCCAATATCATACTAAACAGGCAAAAACTGGAAGCATTCCATTTGAAAACCGGCACAAGAGAAGGATGCCCTCTCTCCCCACTCCTATTCAACATAGTGTTGGAAGTAGTGGCCAGGGAAATCAGTCAAGAGAAAGAAATAAAGGTATTCAATTAGGAAAAGAGGAAGTCAAATTGTCCCTGTTTGCAGATGACATGATGGTATATTTAGAAAACCCCATCGTATCACCCCAAATCTCTTTAAGCTGATAAGCAACTTCGGCAAAGTCTCAGGATACAAAATCAATGTGCAAAAATCACAAGCATTCCTATACACCAATAACAGACAAACAGAGAGCCAAATCATGAGTGAACTCCCATTCACAATTGCTACAAAAAGAATAAAATACCTAGGAATACAACTTACAAAGGATGTGAAGGACCTCTTCAAGGAGAACTACAAACCACTGCTCAACGAAATAAAAGAGGACACAAACAAATGAAAGAACATTCCAAACTCATGGATAGAAAGAATCAATATCATGAAAATGGCCATACTACCCAAAGTAATTTATAGATTCGATGCCATCCCCATCAAGCCACCAATGACTTTCTTTACAGAATTGGAAAGAAAACTACTTTAAAGTTCATATGGAACCAAAAAGAGCACGCATTGCCAAGACAATCCTAAGCAAAAAGAACAAAGCTGGAGGCATCATGCTACCTGACTTCAAGCTATTCTACAAGGCTACAGTAACCAAAACAGCATGATACTGGTACCAAAACAGATATACAGACCAATAGAACAGAACAGAGGCCTCAGAAATAAAACCACACATCTACAACCATCTGATCTTTGACAAACCTGACAAAAACAAGAAATGAGGAAAGGATCCCCTATTTAATAAATGGTGCTGGGAAAACTGGCTAGCCATATGTAGAAAGCTGAAACTGGATCTCTTCCTTACACCTTACACAAAAGTTAATTCAAGATGGATTAAAGACTTAGATGTTAGACCTAAAACCATAAAAACCCTAAAAGAAAACCTAGGCAATACCATTCAGGACATAGACATGGGCAAGGACTTCATGACTAAAATACCAAAAGCAATGGCAGCAAAAGCCAAAATGAACAAATGGGATCTAATTAAACTAAAGAGCTTCTGCACAGCAAAAGAAACTACCATCACAGTGAACAGGCAACCTACAGAATGGGAGAAAATTTTTGCAGTCTATCCATCTGGCAAAGGGCTAATACCCAGAATCTACAAAGAACTTAAACAAATGTACAAGAAAAAAAAACAAACAATCCCATCAAAAATTGGGCAAAGGATATGAACAGACACTTCTCAAAAGAAGAGATTTATGCAGCTAACAGACACATGAAATAATGCTCATCATCACTGGTCATCAGAGAAATGCAAATCAAAACCACAATGAGATATCATCTCATGCCAGTTAGAATGGCGATCATTAAAAAGTCAGGAAACAACAGATGCTGGAGAGGATGTGGAGAAATAGGAACACTTTTACACTGTTAGTGGGAGTGTAAATTAGTTCAACCATTGTGGAAGACAGTGTGGCAATTCCTCAAAGATCTAGAACTAGAAATACCCTTTGACCCAGTGATCCCATTACTGGGTATTTACCCAAAGGATTATAAATCATGCTACTATGAAGACACATGCACATGTATGTTTATTGTGGCACTATTCACAATAGCAAAGACTTGTAACCAACACAAATGTCCATTAATGATAGACTGGATTAAGAAAATGTGGCACATATACACCATGGAATACTGTGCAATCATAAAAAAGGATGAGTTCATGTCCTTTGCAGGGACATGGATGAAGCTGGAAACCATCATTCTCAGCAAACTATCACAGGGACTGAAAACCAAACACCGCATGTTCTCCCTCATAGGTGGTAATTGAACAATGAGAACACTTGGACACAGGGCAGGGAACATCACACACTGGGGCCTGTCGTGGGGTGTGGGGCTGGGGGAGGGATAGCATTAGGAGAAATACCTAATGTAAATGACAAGTTGATGGGTGCAGCAAACCAACATGGCACATGTATACCTGTGTAATAAACCTGCACGTTGTGCACATGTACCATAGAACTTCAAGTATAATAATAAAAAAAAAGATAAAGAATGGCTGAATGGATTAAACACACACACACACACACACACACCCCTACACACAACCCAACTATATGTTCCCTATAAGAGAGTCATCTCACCATTAAAGACAAACATAGCGTGAAAGTGAAGGAATGGAAAAAGATATTTCACGCAAATGAAAACCAAAAGCAAGCAGGCATAGCCATACTTACATAAGATAAAATAGACTTTAAGTCAAAAACTGTAAAAATGACAAAGAAGACTATTATATAATTTTAAAGGAATTAATTCAACAAGAGTATATTACAATTATAAATATATATGCACCTTATGCCAGAGCAGACAAATATATAAAGCAAATGTTATTAAATCTAAAAGTAGAGATAGATTGCAATACAATAATGGCAATAATAACAATACTCCCACTTTAAACAATGGATAGGTCAATTGGCAGAAAATCAACAAAGAAACATTGAACTTAAACTTCACCATAGATCAAATGCACCTAACAGACATTTAGAGAACATTCTATTCAATAGCTGCAGAATGTACATTTTTCTCAAAAGCGCATGGAACATTCTCCAGGATAGATCATATATTAGGCCATGAAACAACTCTTTAATAATATAGAAATCATATCCAGTATTTTTTCTCACCACAATGATATAAAACTAGAAATCAAAAACAAGAAAAATCTTGAAACCTTTCTACATACATGGAAATTAACAATATACATTTAAATTACCACTGGGTCAATAACAAAATTAAAAGAGAAATTTTAAAACTTTTTGAGACAAACAAGAAGAATGGAAACACATCATATGAAAGCCTCTTATACATGGCAAAACCGGTTCTAAGAGGGAAGTTTATAGCAATAAATGCTTATGTCACAAAAGAATAAAAAAAATTCTTATAAACAACACATTAGTGCACCTCAAGGAATTAGAAAAACAAGAAATAATTAAACACAAAAAAGTTGGATAGCCTAGAAGAAATAGATAAATTCTATGTCTTTTAAGTGGAGAACTTAAACCATTTGCATTCAAGGTTGTTATTGATATCTGTGGTTTTGTTCCTGTCATATTAATTATTTTCTGGTTGTTATACATATGTATATAGAGAGAGATAAAAAGATACAGATATAGATATTGATATATAAAAGATATAGAAATATATCTTTTCTTTTTCTCTTATTGATTGTTATTGTGGTTTGGTGGATTGCTGTAGTGGTACCGCTTGAGTCTGTTCTTCTCCTTTGTGTGATTGCTTCATCAGTGAGTTTTACAGTTTTGTATGTTTTCATGGTGGTAAATATCCTTTGTTTCCAGGTTTAGGACTCCCTTGAGCATTTCCTAAAGGGCCCATCTAGTGATAACAAATTTTCTCAGCATTTGCTTATCTGAGAAAGACTTTATTTCTCCTTCATTTATGTAGGATAATTTTGCTGAATGTAGTATTCTTGGCTAATAGTATTTTTCTTTCATCACTTTGACTGTATCACCCCATTCTCTTCTGATCTGTAAGGCTTCTGCTGAGAAATCTGCTCTTGGTCTGATGGGATTTCCTTTATAGGTGACTAGATGCTTTTCTTTTGCCGTTTTTAAGATTTTTCTCTTTATCTTTGACTTTACACAGGTTGACTATAATGTGCCATACAGAAGATCTTTTTGCACTGTATCTTCCTGGGAAATCACTGAGCCTTCTGTATCTGAGTGTCTAAATCTCTTATTAGACTTGTGAAGTTTTCATCTATTATTTCATTAAATGGATTGTCTAATCCTTTCTTTGTCTCTTTGCACTCAGGGATACCAATAATTTGAATATTTGACCACTTTATGTTGTCCCAAATGTGGCAATGGCTTTGCTTGGTCTTTATTATTATTATTTTTTTCTTTATTTTTCTCTGAATGGATTATTTCAAAAGACTTGTATTCAAGTTCTGAGATTCTTTCTTCTGCCTGATCCAGATTATTTTTGAATATTTAAATGTATTTTGTATTTCCTTCAATTAATTTTTTAGTTCCAGAATTTTCATTGCGTTATTTTAAAAAATATATGGTCAGGTGTGGTGGCTCATGCTTGTAATCCAGCACTTTGGGAGGCCAAGGTGGGCGAATCACTTGAGGTCAGAAGCTTGAGACCAGCCTCGCCAACATAACAAAACCCCATCTCTACTAAAAATACTAATAAATTTGAATATATGACCACTTTCTGTTGTCCCAAATGTGGCAATGGCTTTGCTTGGTCTTTTTTATTCTTTTTTTCTTTATTTTTCTCTGAATGGATTATTTCAAAAAACTTGTCTTCAAGTTCTGAGAGTCTTTCTTCTGCCTGATCTAGATTATTTCTGAAGATTTCAAATGTATTTTGTATTTCCTTCAATGATTTTTTTTAGTTCCAGAATTTTCACTGGGTTATTTTTAAAAATATATGACTGGGTGCGGTGGCTCATGCTTGTAATCCCAGCACTTTGGGAGGCCAAGGCAGGCGGATCACTTGAGGTCAGGAGTTTGAGACCAGCCTGGCCAGCATGACGAAACCCCATCTCTACTAAAAATTTAAAAAATTATCCAGGAGTGATGGCATGTGCCTGTAGTTCCAGCTACTCGGGAGGCTGAAACAGGAGAATCACTTGAATCCCGGTGGCAGAGGTTGCAATAAGCCAAGATTGCACCACTGCACTCCAGCCTGGGCAACAGACAACAGAGTGAGACTCTGTCTAAAATATATATATATATATATAATATCTTTTATACAATTTTTATTCAGTTCCTGAAATATTTTTCTGATGTATTTGGATTGTTTTTCAGAATTCTCTTGTATTTCACTGAGTTTCTTTAAAATAAGTATTTTGAATTCTTTACCTGGATTTCAAACATTTCTTTTTGATTAAGATGTGTCTATTCCCTAAGGATTATTGTGTTTCTTTAGAGGTGTCATATTTCCTTGCTTTTTTTTTTTTCTTTTTTTTTTTTTTTTTTTTTTTTGAGACGGAGTCTCGCTCTGTCATCCAGGCTGGAGTGCAATGGCACGATCTTGGCTCACTGCAAGCTCTGCCTCCCAGGTTCACGCCATTCTCCTGCCTCAGCCTCCTGAGTAGCTGGGACTACAGGCACCCGCCACCATGCCCGGCTAATTTTTTGCATTTTTAGTAGAGACAGGGTTTCACCATGTTAGCCAGGATGGTTTCGATCTCCTGACCTCATGATCCGCCCGCCTCGGCCTCCCAAAGTGTTGGGATTACGGGCGTGAGCCACCGCACCCGGCCTTTCCTTGCTTTTAAAATTTCCTGGGTCATTATGTTGATATCTGTGCATCTGGTGTAACAGTCACTTCTTCCTATTTTTGAATTAACTCTTGTAAAAGAGGACTTTTCCTGAAGATATATCTATGGTGTTGGTCTGATAGGGTACTTTGCCTTTGATTCTGTGTGTGTGTGTAGTAGTGTAGTCTCTGTATGATTTCTTTGGCTGTAAACAGCATTAATGGCATCTGTGATTTCCTCAGTATGCTAAAGTACAGTTATTAGAGGATGCTGTGGTGAAGTTGTGCTGGTGGCTGAGATGCCAGGTGGGCCAGTTTTCAGGCCCCAGTGGTGGCATCAGTGGCTGAGCATGCCTATTTTTGTGCCCCAGGGTGGTGTACACTGGTATTTCTGTTGGCAGTTAGCAGTGAGCAAATTCTTGGGACTCCAGGTGGCTTGCTCTGATGCTGGTAGTGGCAGCAGTGGACCAGGTGAATGAGTGAGTGGATTCTCAGGCCCCTGGGCAACTAGTGTGGTTTAGGCAATGACAATAAGAGTGGGAGAATAATTCTCTGGGTCAAGCAGTGTGCCTTGATATTGGTAGTGGCTGCGATGGACTAGACAGGCCAATATCCAAGCCTAAAGATGGCACTTGCAGGTAGGTGCCAGCTGAAGTGGTAGCAGCTGGGAGTTTAGGTCCAACCGCAGGCTCCACAAGGAGTGCTGAGATGCCCGAAGTGGTAGCTTGAATTGGGCAATCTCCAGGACCCCAAGCTATGTTCTCTGTCCTGAAGGGAGGGCTGAAACCAGGGTAGACAGGCCTGTGCTCAGGCCACCCAGTGGTGACAGCAGGCACCAGCTGTGGTGGGCAGGGGCATAACAATCTTCAGGTCCCAGGTGGAGTGCTAGGATGAGAGGCAGTAACAGCTATGCTGAGGAACGCCACTAGAGAGAGTGCGGCCATCGTTCGTGGCCACAGCCTGAACCAGCATGTGGGGAACACGCATCACTCTTACACTTGGTGCTTTCCCCCAGCCCTGGTAGCAGCAGCCCATGCCTAGCTCGCTCTTCCATCCCAGCTGCAGGAGCCCCCACCCAGCACACGACAACGTCCCAGCAGCAATTCATGCCCCACTTGTGTCCCAGTCTCAATCCTGGTAGTGCTTATTTCCTGGCATCAGGAGCTGCAGCCCACACTTTTCTTGCTTCTTAGCTCCAGCCCCAGGAGCACACTCAGCTCATTCTCTAGTTTTAGCAGCAGTAGCCTGAGTTTCCATAACATCTCAATTCTGGCACCACTGGGCCACAGGGCAGTGTGCAGTCTGCCAAAGGCTAGGTTTGATAATAGCACTTTGCTGTAACCACTTAAGTCTCAGATAGGGTGTGGAACCCGGTGCAAGCTCTCTCCCTAGTACAGTCCCATCCCACAGTCTCCTGGCAGCTACCTATGTTAATTTCAGGGGTTGGGAGGGTCAAAGGGTTCTCCCGTGACCAGGATTACATGATTCCACTATGGGAACGTTAGCTGCCAGAAGTCTCTCACTCATCCTTTCCTCGTGCTGGGAAATCACTTTTAGCACCCAGGCAATCCCTGCCAAGCAGGCTGCCTCTTTATTTTTTCCTTTCTTGCTTTCAATGTGTCCTGTCACCTCTCTGTTGAATTCAAGTTCTCTCTGGGATAACATATTCTAATATAGTTCAGATGTTTGTCCCCTCCAAATCTCATATTGAAATGTGATCCCCAGTGTTGGAGGTGGGATCTGGTGGGAAGTGTTTGAGTCATGGCAGCAGATCCCTCATGAATGGCTTAGTGCCCTCCTTCTGGTAATGAGTGAGTTCTTCCTCCGAGTTCACAAAAGATCTGATTGTTTAAAAGAGTCTGAGAACTTCTCCTCTCTTTCTTGCACCCTCTCTTGCCATGTGATATGCTGGCTCCCCTCTGTCTTCTGCCATGATTGTAAACTTCCTGAGGCCTCACTAGAAGCAGATGCCAGCACCATGCTTCCTGTACAGCCTGCAGAACTGTAAGCCAAAATAAACCTCTTCTCTTTATAAATTATCCAGCCTCAGATATTCCTTTATGGCAGCACAGACTAACACACTGTTCATGTACTATTTAGGTTCTTCTAAGTGGAGGAGGTGGTATGAAATGCTGCTAGTCAGCCATCTTGAAGCCCCCTCTTTGAAATTTAATTTTAGCCTTTTATTTTTACTTTTTTTTGGCATTGGGGGAAATATTTTATAACAGACTTGAATTCCTTTTTTACTTACTTAACTCTATGTAATGACCATTCACATGCATTATTGAATACCTGCAAAACATCACTAATCATTATTTGTAATATCACATTGTTGGGATATGCCCTAACTTATAAAACCATTTATCTATTTTTAAGATATTTATTTCCTTAAGAGAGATTACTAGAATTAGCAATATTGATTTAAGTAATATAAACATTTCTCACGGTCCCGAAGTGTAGCAATAAATAGCCTCCTTGAAATCGTTGGTACCTTCCAGCTGTGATTTTAAAATAATCCTGGAAAATGACCAAAAATTGCCTATTAACTTTGTTACCAGGGAAGCCTTGATGAAATAACTGGGAAAGTTCTTTTCCTTACTGTTTTTCTTTAGTCTCTTATTTATAGGCACAGCTGCTTGAAGAAACCATATGGACTTGGATGGCACCAGAGCTTTATGACCTATGACCAGATACCAGAGGGAGATATGACCCCCAAACTGGCACAAACTGAAACAGATTACCTTTAGCTGGCATAAGTCATTAATATATTATTATAATGCTAACATTACCTACCCCAAAAAGAAAGTCTCTGCTATTCTGTATTTTGTGTGTATGAGTTTATGTATGTTTGTGAGTTGAGCCTGTACGTCTGGAGTCCCACCCTGCACATACTAACATTTCTCTCTCACTTCTCACACAGTCCTTAAAAACCCCATTCCTTCTGTGATTTGAGGAAAAGGGATCTTTAGAGTGAGAGTGCACTGCTTCTCGATTTCTCGCCAGTGGCTTGCTGGTCTTTCCAACTGGGTGTTCTTTCTTTGCAACCAACATAAAGTAGAGAAAGAACTCAGTTTACCAGTGACACTTTCTGATAATCCAGTTATATTAGCAGCTCTACAACTTCTTTTATTTCTTGCACTTCCCATATAATTTTTCTTTTTCTCTTTTCTTCCTTGCATCCATGCAGCATATTGATGGATGCCAATAACATAACCAGTATGAGAAAAACAAAAAAATATGCTTTTTAGATGATCAAGGCTTACTCTTAGCTAATGCAATGGAGAAAAAACTGTCAGATTAATGTATGAATGGGCTGGACAATTAATGTTTATTTTAAGCTAATCAAATATTAATATTAGGTAAAAGCACTGAATCTAGAAAAAAAGCATTTTCCCAAATTAAACAAATTCTTCATGTCTTTTAGCAATGCTATTTGTCTTTGCTTTCCTAAATTTCATTTTAACTTAATGTTGACTATATAGCAAATATTAAAACATATATTCAGAATTCCTTTTAAACAATCTATAGCGTTCAAACTTTCAGACTTGCAATATTATGAAAAATCTGAAGATGGCTAAGAAACATAGCAAGGCCTGGTGGCAAGAGCTATAATCTCTGAGTCAGAAGCTGAACTTACTACCAAAAGCTGAATGACCTCAAAAAGGTCATTTAAGTCCACAGTGTTATAGTTTTACAGACTATAAAATGGGCATAATATTTATCCTGTATATTTAACATTAATATAATGAATATAATGTTTCAGTTAGATTCACAAATATTTATTTTCTTTTTTTGGACAGGGTCTCACTCTGTTGTTCAGGCTGGAGTGCAGTGGTGTGATCTCAGCTCACTACAACCTCTGCTTCCCAGGCTCAAGTGATCCTCCTACCTTAGCTTCCTGAGTAGCTAGGACTACAGGTACATGCCACCACACTCGGCTAATTTTTGTATTTTTTTAAAGACGGGGTTTCACCAAGTTGGCCAGGCTCGTCTCGAACTCCTGAGCTCCGGTGATCCACATGTCTCAGCCTCCCAAAGTGCTGGGATTACAGGCATCAGCCACTGTGCCCAGCCTAATACCCTTTTATATCCCAAGCATTCTTCTAGATATAATTTTTAAAAGATGTGCATAGTCTCTAACTTCATGGAATTTATAAGAGATTAATGACAATGATGACTCACAAAAGTATGATGAATGTTACAAAAGGAAATATAAAGGTAGCTGTGAGAGCTTTAGATCAAGGGGATTTAAATCTGTGGGGGAATCTCCTGAGAAGATGAAGGGCTAAGGCCTAGGAATAGGGGTATAACAGAGAAGATTAATATCTTAAGTTTTCAACTTGGTTGCATATACGAATAAAAATAGCAGCCGAACATGCTTTACTGACTTTTAGTGTGCTTAAGAAATTAGTTGCCGATATTGAAAAACTTTGAGATTACAGAAAAAAATCAAATTTCTAGTTTTCTTGAAAAATTAGAGGATCTAAGACATGGCAGCAATCAGTTGAACCAAGTAGCAGCTGCTTTTATGAGAGTATGTGTTCTCCATTTTGCCACAGGTACCAGCAATCCTGACCGTATTATACCTGATCTGCTTCACTTTAATCTGCCTCTGCTACATTTGGATTTTAATATCTGATCTAAAAAGAAGGTTGTACTATACACTGAAGAAGGGAAGTAAATCCTGTGTGTCTTGAGCAAGAGACAAAGAAGAATCAGAGTGGGAGCTGAAGCTGAAGTGGTATGTAGGTATCTGATACAGACAGGGAAAAAAAAGTGTTTTTCCTTCTCTAACACTCATTCAATACGGCACAGAATGCTTCTGTGACCAGATGTGAGGGAGGGGTTCCCCACACATCAAGAAAATCTCCAGCAGACACCAGAGGGGTGTCCTGGAATTCTATTCAATTCTCACATTATTTACCTGGAGATAACTTAGGGTAAGGGCTCAGTCCCACAAGACTGACACTCACTTCAGATGCCAATCACAAGCCACAGGTTGTTACCTTTTCTTCCGACTGACTGGCTATAAAGCAGGGGTTCCCATGACCTCTTCTTTGAGTTTAATTTGCTAGAAGAGCTCACAGAACTCAGGAAAACACTTCACTTATATTTACCCATTTATTATTAAGAATACTTCAAAGGATACAGATGAACAGCCAGATGGAAAAGATGCATAGGGCAAGAGATGTGAGAGCTTCCCTGCCCTGTTTGGGTGCCACCCTCCAGGAACCTCCACATGTTTAGATCCCCAGAAGCTCTTCAAATGCAGTCCTTTCAGGTTTTTATGGAAGATTCATTGCATAGGCATGACTGACTAAATCATTAGCCACTTGCGATCGACCCAAATTTCACTCACCCTGGTTGGAGAGTGAAGCTAAAAGTTCCAAATCTTAAATTGCAGGGTTGGTTCCCTTGGCAACAGTTCTCCATTCTGAGGCTATCTAGTAGCCCCCAGTTTTCCAGGAGTCCCCAGCCATCAGTCATCTTATCAGCTTACAAAAAGACATATCACTTAAGAGACTTCAAGAGTTTTAAGAGCTGTATGCCAGGAAAAGGGAAGGAAAACCAAATGTATTTAATATTTCACAATATCACAGTGCCAGATGCGGCAGGCCTGGTAAGCCTTAGGTCAATGGATGCCACTGAAGAGACTAAAACAGGGAAATAACATGCTCATATTTTAGTTTTAAAAATGCATTTCTAAGTGCAGTGTGGAAAGTGAATTTCAAAAAGCTGAAGATGAAAAAGTATTAATTTGCATTATATTGCAAAACTTCAGATGAAAACCAAGGATACATTTTAAATTTTGTGTGCAGTAGGTTCTATTGTGATAAAAGAAAGGTACTGTGACTCTTCAACTTTCTCTAAAGACGATAAAATAAAAATTAGTCATATCTTGAGAAAACATTGACCAAAATTATTCTAACATGAAGGGGAAAAAAATTTGCATAAAAAGTGAAAAACCAGACGATAAAACCTGAGTGATAAAAGTTTCCCGTATGTTACAGAGAGTCTTTCCCTTGCTCAATACAGTACATCTTAGTATTATTCAAATAAACTTAAACTAAAACAGACTCACTAAAAAGGACATAACTCAGAATGACCCATGGGGCTTATTTCCTGTTAGATTCTATCCCTGGTTCTGCTCTATAATTCTTTTTGAATACATTTCAGCAATGATTCATCTTGTCAGTCTGCCAACAGTCTTTCCTACTGAGAAAGTGGCATGTACTTCACGTACTTTAGCAGAAACACAATTGAAGACTTTGCTTAGATTGCCCCCAATTATCTTATTTACTTCTCAAAAATAAGTCATACTATTTTTATCAGTAATATGGCTCTCTAAAACTAAATATTATATGACAAACAGTGAAAGTTCATTTAAAACACCAAGAAAACACTATCAAGGGTGACGGACCTGCATTTTGGGGACCTAGCCTCCTTTAGCAAGGCTCACTGCCTGGGATCTGTGTGGACACTGCGTCTGATGTCCAGGGTAAGTCTCTGCCTTCCAGGCCCAGCCTAGAGCAGTGGGTACCATGGCACATCTGACAGCATTGCACACTCTTTTTTTTTTTTTTTTTTTGGTGATTCTTCTGCCCTAATATATTAGCAAGATTTTAGTCAAGAATATTACTTCATTATTATAGTCTCACTTTATTCCCTACTATCCTCATCTCCACCTCCAGATTGAGACCTGGAGTTCATGAAGAGCTGAGCTAAAGTAATAATACTTGGTTATTTTAAATGGCTAATATTAAATAATTAATATTTATTGAGTCATTATGTATCAGAGACTATTAAAAGTGCTTTGTATGTATTAGTTCCTTTTATCTTCACAATAACCGTATCAAATAATTAGGGAAGTTATCATTTTTAAAAATAAGAATACCCAGCCATATAGTGATTAAGTTAACAGCCTATGGCCAAATACAGCAGGTGGTGAAGGTGGAATTTAAAACCTTGCTATTAACCATCACTCTATAGCTCTAGAGCCCACACTTTGAAGCTCTACATGATAGACATTCTGCTGTACTTGGAGTCACATTTTTTCTGTAATATTTGACTTCATTAAATGTGCTGTTTTCTAGGTGACCTCTGGTCAGCCACGAAATTAGGCTCCTGGTGGATACATTCTATCAGTCATGAGTATGAGCAGACATAACTGGATATCAGTAACTGACATAAGTTCAAGCTGGGACCCCTATTTTTCTCAACTCCTGGAAACAGTGACCTCACAGTTCTCTCTTGTTTTTTCCTTCATCTTTATCAAGTCAGACCGAAACCTTGACTTTTTGCTTCTCCTACTTAATGCCTTTATTGTAGATGACATTCTTTCCTCAACTGGGCATGAGTAATGGCAGAGAGCAAATAAGGAATCCTCTCTCTCTTTCTGGGTCAGAAACAAAAAAGGGGGAAGGAAGCCTACTTCACGCAAATATGTTATGGAGGTTTTGCTGGCAGCAAGGATTTTCTGTGTTCCTAAGATCCAAATTTCCCAGCTGCAACTCAAGATCTAATTTTCCCCAACGGAGAAGTGATTAAGCCAAATCAGTCATAGACTCACCTCTTGAACCGTTCTCCTGAACTCTCATTTCCTTACAAGCAATACATCCTACCTTTAAATTGTTGAATCCATCAATTTCCCTCCATTGTTATCCCCAGTAACCTTGCAAAGATCACCATCATCACTTACCTAAATTACTGAAAACGCATCCTACCTGGTTTCCCAGGCTCCTATCCACCCCCATTCTCATTTCATTTTTCACACTGTAGCCAAAGAATCTTTGAAAAATGCATATCTAGTCAAATTACCTCTATGTATAAAATTCCTCAATGACTCTCCATTGTTCTTAGAGAAATCAAAATGTTTCAATATTGCTTTCAATGACCCCAATCTCATTTATATTTCCAGATTCATCATTCATCATCCTTCCCAAAAGTGGCTCTTCAGTCTTTTCCATTCTATCACCCATAACTCCTCTTTATTTCACTAAGGTAATATATATTTTTTCTTACCTATGGATATTTGCATGTCTTTTCTCCCAACCTCTCATTGTCCCTTCTCCTTTTCCAGGCTAACCCTTTCACATTTTGTATGCATCCATATCACCCTATTTTCCCATTGTTTTCATGGAAGGTTGCATTTTAATTGTTATTATTTGTATAGTTTGTACCTCAAGCTAAACTGTAAGCTACACAGGAACAGGAACTACTTTATTTTGATTACAATTGTATCTCCAGCACCTATTTCAGTGTCTGGCAAATAACAGGTATTCAGTAATAATTTATTGAATGAATGAACACATGAGTAATCTGCTGCATTATGAGTTAAATAAGTTCCCATGGGTCTATCTGAAAGCTAAACTTTCAAATGAAGTTCTGGAATAGTCAGTTAATAATTTGGGATTTTGCTCCACTTTGCCCATTTGTTTATTTAGAAATGGAATGCATTTTTACACAATCATCTGTTCCTTTCCTCCTTAAAGGCCGCTTCTAGATTTCTTATATTTGTTATTTAATCAAACAGGAATACAGAATAAAACCATGATCAGAGGTAGAGATGTCAGAAATAGCATTAGGAGAACTAGAAACAATAGAAAATAGAAAAAATAAATGTTATAAAGTGTTGACATATTACCTGGTGTTTATTGAGTGTTTAACAACTAGCACTTAGTAGGTCCCCCCAAAAATGTTAATTTTCTTTGTGAATGCAGCAAATTTTCAGAGTACTCTTATCTGAATGTCCCTGATAGAAGAAGATGTTGATAGCCATACAGATGCCTCTCTGTCTATAGAATCAAGTTTAATCATTGACTTTAAAATTTTAGTGTCCAGCACTGTAGTATAATAAGTTTATTGTGAGATCTTCCCCCTATAGAATTACGCATTGTGAATAGAATGGAGTCTTGGAGTCACTGTAAGTCTTACAAAAGGTTTGGAAGTTATGTTAGTATCTTTCTGAGTAGAGGAGTGGTGGTGGGTAGGTTTAACTGTGGCCAGTGCTGGCAGCTGGAAACAGTAGGCTGCCCAGAGGAGTTGGATTGCCCTGAGACAGATACTGGTAGTATAACACTATTGGGATTCTGAGCCTTAGACTAGCACTGAGGTGTCAGCTTGAGCCTTCACTTTCAGCTGATTTAAGATACTTACAGAGAATTTAAGTGGTCCTTGGCTATTAGAACCCTTTGGATCTCAGCACAAGCAATGCCTCTCTGTTGAAATTATTGCCTAATTTAGACCCACTTGAATGCCACATAGTAAAGTAAGAGTAGCTCACAATAAAAGCTTATAAAGAAAAGGCAAAGTTAACATTAGCTAAAGCTAGCAAAACCAATAAACAACAGATCTAGACCCCCTAGACTTTATGTATGGAGTCATAAGAAAGAATGCTGGAAGATGGCTGATTAGAAGCAGATGCAATCTGTGGCTCTCATGGAGAGAAATGAAAGGGGCGAGTGAACTCAATACCTTCAACTGAAATATCTGAGTTCTCGCACTGGTACTGACTAGGCAAACAACTCAACTCATGGAGAACAAAGAAAATAAGGGTGGGGGTGATGGTCCATCCTGGAGTGTCATGGAGCCGAAGGAACCCCTACCCCCAGCCAAGGAAAGTGGTGAGTGATGTACGACTCTGCCAGGGAAACTATGCTTCTCCCACAGATCTTTGCAACCCACAAGTCAGGAGCTCCTCTTCCGAGCCCATGCCACCATGGTCTTGGGTCCAATACACAGAGCTGTGTGGAGTCTCAGTAGAGTAGCTGTTCAGGCACACACAGAGACCTGGGAGTTTTACATACTTTAGCCCCAAGATCCCTAGCAAGGTGGGAGATCCATCTGCACATATGCCTAGGAAGAGGGCCGAATTCAGGGAGCCAAGCAGCATCATTCTATGGATTCCACTTCCATGGCACCTCACAACTTAAGACCCACTGGCTTGGAATTCCAGCCAGCCAATGACAACAGTCTGGAGTCTGTCTGAGATGGAACCAAGTTCCCAGGGGAAGAGGCAGACACCATCTCTGTGGTTTGGTTGACTCAGCCATTCCAGCCTGCCAGCTTTGGAGAGTCCAAACAGTTTGAATGAGGAAGGAACCCCCACAACACAGCACAGCTGTTTTGCCAGATAGTGGCCAGAATGCTTCTTTACGTGGGACCCCAATACATTCCTCCTCACTGGGCAGGACCTGCCTGCCAGGGCTTCAGCCACTCCAATCAGAGTTATGTGAACAGAGCTCCATCCCAGGGAGAGATCAGTTGACTCAGCTGTTCCAGCCTGCCTACTTAGGAGAATCCAAATGGTCTGGATGAGGAAGTGTTTCCTCCCACAATTCAGCACACCTTTTTTACCAAAAAGCAGCCTGACTAATTCCTTAAGCAGTTCCCTGATCCCATTCCTTCTGAATGAGTGAGACCTTCCAACAGGGGTCTACAGCCATCTCCTACAGGTGCATTTGGACTGGCAATAGGTCAGTGCCCCTCTGGGATGGAGCTCCCAGAGGAAGGAGCAGGCTGCCATCTTTCCTGTTTTGCAACCTTCACTGGTGATACCTCCAGGTACAGGAAAAAGTGAGGCAACTAGGGTCTGGAGCAGACCCTGAGCAAGCTGCAGCAGCCCTACAGAAGAGTGGCCTGACTGTTAAAAAAATAAAAAGCAAACAAATGGAAAACTACTACAACAACATCAACAAAAAAGACCCCACAAAAACCCCATTCAAAGGTCAGCAACCTCAAAGATCAAAGGTAGATAAGTTCACAAAGATGAGAAAAAAATCAGTGTAAAAACACTGAAAACTGAAAAAGCCAGAGTGTCTCTTTTCCTCCAAATAACTGCAACATCACTCCAGCAAGGGCACAGAACTGGGCTGAGGCTGAGATGGCCAAATTGTCAGAGGTAGGCTTCAGAAGGTAGATAATAATGAAATTCACTGAGCTAAAGGGGCATGTTGTAAGCCAATGCAAAGAAGCTAAAAATCATGATAAAACAATACAGGAACTGAGAGCCAGAATAGCCAGTTTAGAGAGGAACATAACTGACCTGATAGAGTTGAAAAACACAGTATGAGAACTTCACAATGTAATAACATGTATCCATAGCAGAATAGACCAAGCAGAGGAAAGAATCTCAGAGCTTGAAGACTCTGTCTTATCTTTCTGAAATAAAACAGGAGGACAAAAACAGAGAAAAAAGAATGAAAAGGAGCAAACAAAACCTCCAGGAAATATGGGATTATGTAAAGAGACCAAACCTGCGACTGATTGGAGTACCTGAAAGAGATGGGGAGAACGGAACCAAGCTAGGAAACATGTCAGGATATCATCCAGGAGAACTTCCCCAACATAGCAAAACAGGTCAACATTCAAATTCAGAAAATGCAGAGAACCCTGGTAAGATACTCCACAAAGATACCAACCCAAAGACACATAATCCTCAGATTTTCCAAGGTTGAAATGAAAGAAAAAAATGTTAAGTGCAGCCAAAGAGAAAGGTCAGATCACCTACAAAGGGAAGCCCATCAGACTAACAGCAGAACTCTCAGCAGAAACCCTACAAACCAGGAGAGATTGGGGGCTGTTATTCAACATTTTTAAAGAAGAATTTCCAACCCCAAATTTCATATCCAGCCAAACTAAACTTTATGAGCACAGCAAAAATAAGATCCTTTTCACACAAGCAAATGCTTAGGGAATTCGTCACCACCAGGCCTGTCTTGCAAGAGCTCCTGAAGGAAACACTAAATATGGAGAGGAAAACCCATTACTAGCTACTACAAAAACACACTGAAGTACACAGACCACTGACACTATGAAGCAATCACATAAATAAGTCTACAAAATAACCAGCTAGCATCATGAAAACAGGATCAAATTCACAATACTAAACTTAAATGTAAACGGGCTAAATGTCCCAATTAAAAGACACAGAATGGCAAACTGGATACAGAATCAAGACCCATCAGTATGCTGTATTCAAGAAACCCATCTCACCTGCAAAGACACACCTGCAAAAACACTCAAAATAAAGGGATGGAGGAAAATTGACCAAGCAAATAGTAAACGGAAAAAAGCAGGGTTGCAATTCTACTTTCTGACAAAACAGACTTTAAACCAATAAATATTTTTTAAAAAAACAAAGAGGGGCATTACATAATGGTAAAGAGTTCAATTCAATGAGAAGAGCTAACTAACCTAAATATATGTGTACAGGAGCATCCAGATTCATAAAGGAAGTCCTTGGAGACCTACAAAGAGGCTTAGCCTCCCACACAATAATAGTGGAAGACTTTAACACCCCATTGACAATAATAGATTATTGAGACAGAAAATTAACAAAGATATTCAGGACCTGAACTCAGCGGTGGATCCAGTGGACCTGATAGATATCTACAGAACTCTCCATCCAAAAAAGAAAAAAAAAAAACAGAATATACATTCTTCTCATAACCACACGGCACTTACTCTAAAATGGATCACATAATCGGAAGTAAAACCCTCCTCAGCAAATGCAAAGGAGCTGAAATCAGAACGAAAAGTCTGTTAGACCACAGTGCAATCAAATGAGAACTCAAGATTAAGGGATTCACTCAGAACCATACAACTACATGGAAACGAACAACCTGCTCCTGAATGACTCTTGGGTAAATAACAAAATTAAGGCAGAAATCAAGAAGTTCTTGGAAACTAATGAGAATAAAGAGGCCATGTACTAGAATCTCTGGAACATAACTAAAGCAGTGTTAAGAGGGAAATTTATAGCACTAAATGCCCATATCAAAAAATCTAGAAAGATCTCAAGTTAACAACCTAAAATCACAACTAAAAGAATTGCAGTACCAAGAACAAACAAGCCCCAAATCTAGCAGAAGACAAGAAATAACCAAGATCAGAGCTGAAGTGAAGGAGATAGAGACATGAAAAACCCTTCAAGAAATCAACAAATCCAGGAGCTGGTTTTTTGAAAATATTAATAAATAGATAGACTGCTAGCTAGACTAATAAAGAATAAAAGGGAGAAGAATCAAATAAACACAATCAGAAATTATAATGGGGATTACACCACTGACCCCACAGAAATACAAACAACCATCAGAGAATGCTATAAACACCTATGTGTAAATGAACTGGAAAATCTAGAAGAAATGGATAAATTCCTGGACACATACACTCTCCCAAGATTGAACCAGGAAGAAATTGAATCCCTGAATAGACTGATAACCAGGTCTGAAATTTAGGCAGTATAGCCTACCAACCAAAAAAGCTCAGGGCCAGATGGATTCACAGCTGAATTCTACCAGGGGTACAAAGAAGAGCTGGTACCATTTCTACTGAAACTATTCCAAACAATTGAAAAGGAGGCACTCTTCATACTATGACACCAGCAATATTCTGATACCAAAACCTGACAGAGGTAAAACAAAAAAAGAAAACTTCAGGTCAATATCCTTGATGAACATCAATGCCAAAAATCCTCAATAAAATACCAACAACCCAAATCCAGCAGCACATCAAAAAGCTTATCCATCACAATCAAGTTGGCTTCATCCCCGGGATGCAAGGTTAGTTCAACATATACAAATCAATAAGTGTAATTCGTCACATAAACAGAACTAAAGACAAAAATCACATGATTATCTCAATAGATGCAGAAAAGGCCTTTGACAAAATTCAACATTCCTTTATGTTAAAAACTCTCAATAAAGTAGATATTGAAGGAACAAACCTCAAAATAATAAGACATATATTACAAACCCACAGCTAATATACTGAATGGGCAAAAGCTGTAAGCATTCCGCTTGAAAACTGGCACAAGAGAAGGATGCCGTCTCTCACCACTCCTATTCAACATAGTATTGGAAGTTCTGGCCAGGGCAATCAGGCAAGAGAAAGAAATAAAATGTATTAAAGTAAGAAGAGAGGAAGTCAAATTATTTTTGTTTGCAGATGACATGATCCTGTATCTAGAAAACCCCATCATCTCAGCCCAAAAGATTCTTAAGCTAATTAAAAACTTCAGCAAAGTCTTGGGATACCAAATCAATGTGAAAAATCACTAGCATTCCTATACACCATCAACAGGCAAGCAGAGAGCAAAATCATGAATGAACTCCCATTCAAATTGCTACAAAAAAAATAAAATGCCTGAGAATACAGCTGTATTAGTCCATTCCCACACTGCTAATAAAGACATACTTGAGACTGGGTAATTTATACATAAAAAGAAGTTGAATGAACTCACAGTTCCACCTGGCTGGGGAGGCCTCACAATCATGGCAGAAGGAACATCTTATATAGCAGCAGGCAAGACAGCATATGCAGGGGAACTTCCCTTTATGAAACCATCAGATCTCTTGAAACTTATTCACTATCATGAGAACAGCAAGGGAAAGACCTGCCTCCATGATTCAATTACCTCCCAACAGGTTCCTCCCATGATGCATGGGAATTATGGTAGCTACAATTGAAAATAAGATTTGGGTGGGACACAACCAAACCACATCAACAGCTAACAAGTGAAGGACCTCTTCAAGAAGAACTATAAACCACTGCTCAAAGAAATCAGAGAGGAAACAAATGGAAAAAAAATTTCATGATCATGGATAGGAAGAATCAATACTGTGAAAATGGCCATACTGCCCAAAGTAATTTACAGATTCAATGCTATTCCCATTAAACTACCATTGACATTCTTCACAAAATTAGAAAAAACTATTTTAAAATTCATATGGAACCAAAAAAGAGCCCAAATAACCAAGACAATCCTAAGTAAAAAGAACACAGTTGGAGCCATCACATTACCTTACTACAAGGCTATAGTAACCAAAACAGCATGGTACTGGTACAAGAACAGACATACAGACCAACGGAACAGAATTGAGAACTCAGAAATAAGACTGCACACCAGCAACCATCTGATCTTCAACAAACCTGACAAAAACAAGCAATGGGGAAATTATTTTCTATTTAATAAATGGTGCTGGGAGAACTGGCTAGCCATATACAGAAAATCGAAACTGGGCCCCTTCCTTACATAATATACAAAAATCAACCCAAGATGGATTAATGACTTAAATGTAAAAGCCAAAACTATAAAACCTTAGGAGAAAATCTAGGCAATACCATTCAGGACATAGGCATTGGTAAATATTTCATGACAAAAATGCCAAAAGCAATGGCAAAAAAGCAAAAATTGACACATGGGATCTAATTAAACTAAAGGGCTTCTGCACAGCAAAAGAAACTATCATCAGAGTGAAAAGACAATCTGCAGAATAGGAGAAAATTTTTGCAATCTATTCATCTGACAAAGGTCTAATATCCAGAGTCTACATGGAACTTAAACAAATTTACAAGAAAAAAACAAACAACCCCATTAAAAAGTGGGCAAAGGACATAAACAGACACTTCTCAAAAGAAGACATACATGCAGCCAACAAACATAGGAAAAAAAGCTCAACATCACTGATCATTAGAGAAATGCAAATCAAAACCACAATGAGATACCATCTCATGCCAGTCAGAATGGCTATTATTAAAAAGTCAAGGAACAACAGATGCTGGTGAGGTTGCAGAGAAAAAGGAATGCTTTTACACTGTTAGTGGGGGTGTAAATCAGTTCAACCATTGTGGAAGACAGTGTGGCGATTTCTCACAAAAATCTAGAAGCAGAAATACCATTTGACCCAGCCATCTCATTACAGAGTGTATACCCAAATGAATATAAATCATTCTTTAATAAAGACACATGCATGCCTATGTTCACTGCAGCACTATTCACAATAGTAAAGACATGGAATCAACCCAAATGCCCATTAGTGATAGACTGGATAAAGAAAATGGAGTACATATACATCATGGAATACTATGCAGCCATAAAAAGTAATGACATATGTCCATTGCAGGGACATGGATGGAGCTGGAAGCCGTTATCCTTAGCAAACTAACACAGGAACAGAAAACCAAATGCTGCATGTTCTCACATATAGGTGGGAGCTGAACAATTAGAACACATGGACACATGTGGGGCAACAACACACACTGGGCCTGTGGGAGGAGCAGGGGAAGGGAAAGCATCAGGAAGAATAGCTAATGGATGCTGGGCTTAATACCCAGGTGATGGGTTGATCTGTGCAGCAAACCAACATGGCACTTATCTACCTACGTATCAAACCTATACATCCTGCACATGTACCCCGGAACTTAAAATAGAAGTTGAAAAAAATAAAAGAAAAAAATAAAAAGATGCTGCTTTTTTATTAAAATAAAACTAGAAAAGAAAATAGGTTAAAAAAGAAAAAATTCTGAGTAAATGTTTGAAGAAATAAAGGATTCTATTACAAAGATAGCAATTAAATCTATGAACCCATAGATTTGAGAAGGAAAAAGAAACATCTAAAAATGAAAATATAAGAGTTGAAATTAAAAACTCAACCAATAGGCTAACTAGTAAACACATCTAAAGGAAGAATTAATGATGATAGGTCTTGAGGAATTACACAGAATGCATTACAAAGAGATAAGAAAATTGAAAATTTTAAAGAGGTATAGAGGACAGAAAGAGAAGGTTAACATAGACTTAGCCAGAGTTCTAGAATAGTAGAATGACAGAAAGGTGAAGAGGCATAATTTAAAGACATATGTCACAATTTTTGAGATCCAATAAAAGCAGGAATCTTCACAGACAGAGAAATCAATATATTCCAAGTAGGTTAAATTGAAAAGAAAATCCAATCCTGGAAACATGAAGTTACAAAAAAAAAAAAAAAAAAAAAAAAAAAAAAACAGTTGGAATGACAACAGTAAAAATGAAAGTTAAGAGAAAGTGGGAAAATCTCTTCTAATTGTTGAGAGAAAAAAAACTGTCCACCTAGGATAATGTATTCAGCCAAGCTGCCGTTCAAGAGTGTGCAAAATAAAGATGTTTAGACAAACCCAAACTGAGAAGCTGTATCAATAATATATATTCAGTATATTAATAGATAGGAAGAAGAGAAATTACACCCAGAAGCATGATCTGAAATACAAGAATAAATGATGAGCTATGAGCAAATAAAGTGATAAATATTTTTGTGAATAGAAGCAAACATTGACTAAATAATGATTTTTAAATATGAATGCATTAGTCTGTTTGTATACTGCTATAAAGAACTGTCTGAGGCTGGGTAATTTATAAAGGAAAAAGGTTTAATTGACTCACAGTTCAGCATGGCTGTGGAGGCCTCAGGAAACTTACAATCATGGCAGAAGGCAAAGGGGAAGTAAGGCACCTCCTTCACAAGGCAGCAGGAAAGAGAATGCCAAACAAAGGGGAAGAGCCCCTTATAAAATCATCAGGTCTAATGAGAACTCACTCAGTATCCTGAGAACAGCATGAGGGAAACTGTCTCCATAATCCAATTACTTCACCTGATCTCTCCCTTGATACATGGGGATTATGGACAGTGTAATTCAAGATGGAGATTTGGGTGGGGAGAGAAAGCCTCACCATATTACTCTACCCTTGACCTCTCCAAAATCTCATGTCCCTGTCACATTTTAAAACCAATCATGCCTTCCCAACAGCTCCCAAAGTCTTAATTCATTCCAGAATTAACCCAAAGGTTCAAGTCCAAAGTCTCATCTGAGACAAGGCAAGTCCCTTTTGCCTATGAGCCTGTAAAATCAAAAGCAAGCTAGTTACTTCCTAGATACAATGGGGGTACAAGCATTGGGCAAATACAACCATTCCAACTGGGAGAAACTGGTCAAAACAAAGGAGCTACAGGCCCCATGCAAGTCCAAAATCCAGCAGGGCAGTCAAATCTTAAAGCTCTGAAATGATCTCCTTTGACTCCATGTCTCATATACAAATTACACTGATGCCAGAGGTGGGTTCCCACGGCCTTGAGCAGCTCTGCCATAATGGCCTTCCAGGGTACAGCTCTCCTCCTGGCTGCCTTCAAAGGCTGACATTGAGTGTCTGCGGCTTTTCTAGGCACATAGTGCAAGCTATCGGTGGATCTACTATTCTTGGCTCTGGAAAATGGTGGCCCTCTTCTCACAGCTCCACCAGGCAGTGCCCCAGTGGGGACTCTGTGTGGGTGCCCTGACCCCACATTTCTCTTCCACACCACCCTAGCAGAGGTCCTCCATGAGGGCTTCACCCATGTAGCAAACTTCTACCTGGACATATAGGTATTTTTATACATCCTCTGAAATCCAGGTTGAGGTTCCCAAACCTCAATTCTTAACTTCTGTGCACCAATAGGCCCAACACCATGTGTAAGCTGCCAAGGCTTGGGGCTTTTACCCTCTGAAGCAATGGCCTGAGCAGCATGGTGGCCTGTTTTAGCCAAGGCTGGGACCCAGGACACCAAGTCCCAAGACTGCACAAAGCAGCAAGGCCCTGGGCCTGGCCCATGAAACCATATTTTTCCTAGGTCTCTGGGCCTGTAATGGGAAGGGCTGTTTAGAAGACCTCTGACATGTCCTGGAGACATTTTCCCTCTTGTGTTGGCAATTAATATTTGGCTCCTCATTAGTTATGCAAATTTCTGCAGCTGGCTTTAATTTCTCCCCAGAAAATGGGTTTTTCCTTTCTACTGCATTGTCAGGCTACAAATTTCCAAATTTTCCAAATTTTATTTTCTGCTTCCCTTTTAAACATAAGTTCCAATTTCAAACTTTCTCTGTGGATGCATAAAACTGAATGCTTTTAAGAGCACCCAAGTCACTTCTTGAATGCTTTGCTGTTTAGAAATTTCTTCCTCCAGATGCCCTAAATCATCTCTCTTAAATTCAAAGTTCCACAGATCTCTAGGGCAGGGGCAAAAATGCTGCCAGTCTCTTTGCTAAGGCATAGCAAGAGTCACCTTTATTCCAGTTCCCAGCAAGTTTTGCATCTCCATCTGAGACCACCTCAGCCTGGACTTCATTGTCCATATCACTATCAGCATTTTTGTCAAAGCCAGTCAACAAGTCTCTAGGAAGTTCCAAACTTTCCTGCATTTTCCTGTCTTCTTCTGAGCCCTCCAAATTTTTCCAATCTCTGCCTGTTACCCAGTTCCAAAGTCGCTTCCACATTTTTGGGCATCTTTATAGCTGTACCCCACTCTCTACAATACCAATTTACTGTATTAGTCCCTTTTCACACTGCTATAAAGAAGTGCCAAGACTGCGTAATTTATAATGGAAGGAGGTTTAATTGGCTCACAGTTCAGCATGGCTGGGGAGGCCTCAGGAAACTTACAATCATGGAGGAAAGTGAAGGGGAAGCAAGGCACTTTTTCCACAAGGCAGCAGGAGGGAAAATGACAAAGGGAGAAGAGCTTCTTATAAGACTATCAAATCTCATGAGAACTCACTCACTATCCTGAGAAACCACCACCATGAGCCAATCACCTCCACCTGGTCTCTCCCTTGACATGTGGGGATTATGGGGATTATAATTCAAGATGAGATTTCATTGGAGACACAAAGCCTAACTATATTAAGTAATGTCAAAATTATGGAATTGAATAAAAGGATAGGATTAAAATTCTGGACAAAATTAGCACATATGTTTAGGGAGGATTAAAGTATCATAAAGTCTTTGTCTTTTTTTTTAGGAGAGGGGTAAGATAATGATAATTCTTAGAGTTAAAGTATTGTAGAGTCTTTGTATATTTTTTAGGAGAGGGCTAAAATAATGATAATTCTGACTCCTGGTAATGGTTTGCTAGGTTATTCTGATAATATTTGTTAACCCTAAAAAGGAAGAATGAACAGGCTAGAGGCAAATAAACATTTATTCAGGAACAGGGATTACAACCCAGTTAGCAGCCAGAGACTGCACCACCTGAAAGAGGAAAGAGGGCTTACATTGAGAAAAACTTATTTAGTTTACATATATTGTTTGTCAGATTATTTCATTAGTTGATTAAACGTGAATAAATTACATCAGTTTGTCAGAAAAGCTATATATATAAAGTTCTTAAAGATAGTGACCGGTTTCTTTATAGTGTGTACTGTTGAGAGTACAAATATTTGTGAAGGAAGTGTTACTTTGTAGATCTCAAAGTTCATCGGCAGTATTAATGTGAAGTCAGTAGACAAAGATGAAATTACTGATGGCAAGTGTGGAACATTGATAAGCTCACATTTCCCTCATTTGATCAAGATATTTCTCCCAGGAGAGAATATCTGTGATCACCACAGGTCCCTAGACACTGACGAAATCAATGCTGTATGAGCTCCATCTTGTCCTGCAAAAGCCAGGGTGAAGTAAGACTATCTGTTCTGGGTCCCTGGCTCACAGGGAAGTGAATTTACAAGCTATTTCATAGACTCAGTCAAGCTTATAATTCTAGGTGCTGTAAGTTCCTTCTGGATGTTCAGAACAGGCTACAGGAATCTGGGCCAACATCAAATCAGTGGGCAGCATTAGTGCTTGTTCTAAGCATTGAGACAAATACTTACAGATCAACAAAATTATCAGAAACAATAATGTTTTCCAAGAACTTAGTGAACAGTTTTAAAAAAGAAACAATAATGTTATAATGATACTAAGTTGTAACAGGGATCTAGTCAAGGAATGTATCCTTTCTGGTAACAACTAAATAAGTCAAAGGATGGCTTACCAATAGATGGCACTTGTCTTAGCCGACCTGCCTAAACTAATTTTATTGAGCTCCAGTTCAACTACTTCAGAGGCATTTTCCCAAGTATAACGTAAGTTGTTAACTATCCCACAAACATTTCCCTGTACTGCCAACAGATAATCTAGAGTAATTCTGTTATTTAATACAGTTGCTGCTAATGAATTTAAAGATTATTACTGAGTGGCAATAACTTTGACAGTTGAATAGGTTAGTGTATTAGTACATTTTCACACTGCTATAAAGAACTTCCAAAGACTGTGTAATTTATAAAGGAAGAAGGTTTAATTGACTCACAGTTCCACACATCTGGAGAAGCCTCAGGAAACTTACAATCATGGTGGAAGGTGAAGGGGAAGGAAGGACCTTCTTCACATGGTGGCAGGAGACAGAAGCGAGCACACAGGAAAAAATACCATTTATAAAACCATCAGATCTTATGAGAATTCACTCACTATCACAAGAACAGCATGAGGGAAACAGCCCCCATAATCCAATCACTCCCCTCCCTCAACATGTGGGGATTACAATTTGAGATGAGATTTGGGTGGGGACACAGAGATAAACCGTATCAGCTAGGTTGCCTAGGATTTGAGAGAAATCAGTAATCATGATCATATTTCTCCATGTTCTACTCCAGGCAAAGCAAACAAACAAACAAAAAAACACTAATTGGGCAGAAGATGACATATTTATGCCTCAGGTGCTCCAGGATTTTCCCTTTTGAAACAGGATAAATATAATCCTTCTGGCCAGAAGAAGGTGTTATTGGAGGGATAAATGAGGTATTTTAGTGACATGAGCACCCAAGTACACTGACTTGCTAATGACCAAGAGTCAAGGAATTTTCTTCCCCAGCATATAAAAGGATTTGGTCCCCATTCACAGACAAATATATAAACATAAGCACACAGGCTTTTAGTACTTTTGAAGGAGTCATTTTTAGGTTCAGTCTGATTTGCTGTTATCAGTCAGTTTTAAGAGTGGGAAAAATTGCATTGCATAAAGACCAACTTTGATTAGCATTTGCAAAACCAAAAATGACAAATAAACTGGTTTTCTTTTTGCATTTTCTCCTGAGAAACAAGAGTTTTAGTTGTTGAGTTATAGCAACAAGTATTCTTTTTCCATGCTTAAGAGAACAAGATCAAATTGAAACAGGGTAGGTTTTTGTCCTAGTTTCCCTTTATGTGCACCCTGATAATAAATAATGTTTGCATATACTAGTTCTACTGTGGCATTGGGAATTCCCAAGCAGTTTGTTATTGAAGTTACTCATGAGTCATAGTGGAAGGACAAAGTTTTATAGCAATCATGGCAGATCCAATTAGAAAAAGTAACATATGTGACATTATTGACTAATTTCCTTAAGGCATTTTCATTCCAAGCATTTATAACTGATATAACAGTTAAAAAATTAATAACACAATCATTGTTTATTATAATTTTGTTGAGCCTTTTCTAACAAATATGCAGCAAAAATCTCACATAAATGTCAACAGTTAACACAACCTCCATAGCAAATTTTCTGCTTGTTGTACTATACAACTAGTCACTTCAAAGATTTGGTAAGTTGAAGGGTCAGTTTTCCTGTTGAAGTTGATGCCCTTGGGGGTTGGAGTGCTTTCTTAAGGTGTGAAATATGGATCCAGGAGTTTATTTTCTGTAATTTGGAAATACAAAGATTAGTTAACAACACTTGATAAACTTCATCTCATCAAGTTTCCAGAGAAGGTTTGGATATAAAGTACTTCTTATAAACAAAGTCTCCTGATTAGATATGATGTAGTGTGTCATCATCTCCTAGAAGCTCTTTCATAAAGCATCATTTACAAGTTGATAGTTACAATTCACTTGGGTGATTAGTCCTTTGCATTACTGAAGTACTGGTTCTTTAATAAGGATGGAGTCAGAACGAACTAAGGGTGATGGCATAGGTATGCCTATAACTATCTCATAAGAGGCTAGGTGATGTTTTTTTAAGGGGATAGCTCTCAGATTCATCAATACTAATGGTAAACAGTTTGGCAAGGCAATTTAATCATACATATATTTTCCCAATTGGGTTTTTACTATTCCATTAGTTCTTTAAATGAATCCTGAAGATTGTATGCACAATGAAAGTACTAAAATGTAGGTTATGCCTTGCCTATAGTTGGAATTGGAGACTCTGTCTCATGAAATGTGTATGCTGGTTTCTGTGTAACTCTTTAGAAACACCTCAAAGAGGCGTTATTTTTTCTAGTAACACTTTCACTACTGCCATGGCAGTTGCTTGATGACAAGAGAAGGCTTCTGCCCAATTTGAATACATGCAGACCATAACCAAAACATATTTGTAATCTCAAAAGGGAGGTAACTGGATAAAATACAACGGAAATACTTCAAAGAGGGCTTCTAGTAGGTCAAATTTTCCCCTTGAAACTTTTATGGGTTTTCCCAGGTTAAACTTTGGACACGTTGTACATGTGTTACTTACCTGTTCTGCCTCAGAACAGAATTTTCCCCACCAATATTGTTTTGTTTATGCAAACATTTTATCATCTGTCCAGTGAGCTAAATCATGGAGTTTTTCTAACAAACACTTTGATAACGTTTTAGGTAATATAGGTTTTTTCACTGAGACCTTTCCAGAGATCCTTTTGTGTATTTAAATAGTAGTCTTGTTCTTTCATTTATTAATCTAACTGACAAATGCATGTTGTTGTGTATGTCTTGTTATAGTTTCCATGGATTCCTCAGGGGGCATAATGAGAGAGGATGCCAGGGAGGTCATGGGGCATACATTTACACTTAGTTTATAACAAAACCAGGAGTCATAGCTGCTCCTATGATCAGCTAATGCATTTCCTTTTGCCTCTTTAGTATCTTTAGTGCAGTGGGCTGGCACCTTATTTATAGCCATTTTCTTAGGTAATTGAATGGCATTTAGTAATTCATTAACTAGAGCACCATTTTTTATGTGATGTCTGGATGAAGTTAAAAACCTCTCTATTCAGACAAGACCATAAGAGACAGAGAGAGTGAGAGAGAGAGAGAGAGAGACCTCTCTGTTTCCAAAGCATTCCAAAATTATGGTCAACACCAAAAGTCTGTCAACTATCTGTGTGTGTATATGTATATGTATATATATATTTTTTTTTTTTACAGTGTGTTTTCTGGCCAGAGTGCAGGCCCAAATTATTGCCTATAATTTAGCTTGCTAAACACTCATATATGAAGGAAGAGTCCCACCATCAACTTCATGTTCTTTTGAGGCTATAGCATACCTGGTTTGTAAATCTCCATCCTTGTTTTTTAAGTCAGAAGCCATTTGTAAACCATCCAAAATCAGCATTTTTTAAACTGTAATTATTTTAAATCAGGTCTTGATATGGTTATGCGATGGTTAATATTGAGTGTCAACTTGATTGGATTGAAGGATGCAAAGTATTGTTCCTGGGTGTGTCTGTGAGGGTGTTGCCAAAGGAGATTAACATTTGAGTCAGTGGACTGGGAAAGGCAGACCCACCCTCAATCTGGGTGGGCACCATCTAATCAGCTGCCAGCATGATCAGAATAAAAGCAGGCAGAATAATGTGAAAAGACTAGGCTGGCTTAGTCTCCCACCCTACATCTTTCTCCCATGCTGGATGCTTCCTGCCCTCGAACATAGGACTTCAGCTTTGGAATTCCGACTGGCTTCCTTTTCCTTAGCTTGCAGATAGCTTATTATGGGACCTCACCTGGTGATCATGTGAGTCAATACTCCTTAATAAACTTCCCATTATATATGAATCTATCCTATTAGTTCTGTCCCTCTAGAGAACCCTAATACAGGTTATGTGATTGGTATAGGCTGCACAATCACATTCTAAAAGGCTTGTAATCCCAATGGTTAAACATCAGCAGTATTAAGACTGGTGGTTTTAAAGAATTTTATATTATGTGATGAGAGAAAAGTAAACTCATTGTGTGAGGGGGCTTGTAGATAGATTATGAGTATGTTGGGAATTTAAGAGAGTCTCAACAAAATGTGGAACATAAAGGTTTAAGACTTATGCAAAATGCTCTCTGATACTGCCTTGACCATAAGGTAAGTGGCAGAGATAGTATCAGAGAGAGGATAGAAAGGACTGAGCAAGTGGATCAAGTTTCTCAGAGAAATAGTCAAGAGGTCTCTGGCTATTGCCATGTTTCTAGGTTAGAATACCGAAAGCATGCCCCTACTTTTTATACACATATTAATTAAATTCTAAATCATAGTTAGGATATCCCAAAGTAGGGGGAAAGCAGAATGATGTTTTTAAAAAATTTTTAAAAACTTCCTCTATCTCTGTTATTCATTTTATTTATCAGGACTTCCCTTTAATGAAGGGATTTAGCTAAAACAGAAAACTCGGGTATCCGTTACCAGCAATATCCAACCAATCCCAAGAAATCTCGTAACAATTGAGAAGTTTTAGGTTTGCGGAATTGCTGGACCCCTTTTATTCTTTCTGGGTCTAATCACTTTCCTTTAGCAGATATTAAATCTCCTAGAAACTTAAATGATGGTTGTGTTATTTCTAGTATTTTCTTACTCACTTTATGTCCATGTTCAGCTAAAAAGATTAGTAATATAAAGGAGAACACACTAAAAGGGAGAACACACTAAAAGGTCATCTACATATTTTAGCAAAGAAAACCCATGTTTTAAAGATAGATCTCTAAGATCTTTGCTAAGGGGGTCTGAGAAAAGTATGTGGGACTGTCAGTATATCCCTGAGGCATTACAGTCCAGGTATATTGTTGATTTTTCCATGCAAAGACAAAAATTATCTGTCTTTATATACTGGCATGCTAAACAAAGCACTACACAGATTCACAACACAAAAGAAAATACTATCCTGAGGAATGAAAGAGAAAAGGGTATGGGGATTTGGCACAAGAGGGTGATGGGGAATTACTCTATTATTGATGCTCTAAGATCTTGGACAAAATACCAAAATACCACCTTCTATTTCCAGGCTTTTTTTTTTTTTTTTTTTTTTTTTTGAGACAGAGTCTCACTCTGCTGCCCAGGCTGGAGTGCAGTGGCACAATCTCAGCTCACTACAACATCTGCCTCCTAGGTTCAAGTGATTCTCCTGCCTCAGCCTCCCATGTAGTTAGGATTATAGGTGTGCATCACCACACCCGGCTAATTTTTGTATTTTTAATAGAGATGGAGTTTCACTATGTTGGCCAGGCTGGTCTCAAATTCCTGATCTCAAGTGATCCACCCACCTCAGCCTCCCAAAGTGCTGGGATTACAGGCATCAGCCACCATGCCCAGGCTCCAGGCTTTCTGAGTAGAATAATTGGGGTATTACAGGAGGGATTAGTACAGGGTCTAATCAATCCTCATTTTAAATGCCCTTTGATGATAAAGGTTATACCCTCTATGGCATATTGTGGAAGAGGATGTTGAGAAAGAGAGGGAAAAGGCCTTTTAAGATCTAACTGGACACCTATGGGCTCATCTGATTTAGTCAATATAATGTCTGCATTATCTGTTGCCCAGGGGACATCTGGGACTGAAGATAAGTACAGGGTCCAGTAGCTAACTTAGAAAGTTATGTAGTAATCATTTTATAGAAAGCTTCTGGTTCTTCTGGTAAGATTGAGAATTCTGAGTAAGACAGACTAAGTTCCTCCTCTTGAGAACAGGATAGCAGCTTTTATTTTAATTAGAAGTTCCCTACTCATCAGGTATGCTGGTGCATGGGGTACTAGTAAAAATAAATAATCAAGACATAAATTTTGTAGTTTCATGGGCAAAGGAATAGATAATGGTGTTTAACTGGTAGTATCTGAGACTTCTGCCATGGGAAGTTATTGCAGTCCAAGGCAACAGACAATTAATTGTGGTGGGGTTTAAGACTGATAGGGTTGCTCTAGTGTCAATAAGCATGAAAACTTTTTTATTATTTGCTAGTGGTGATACTTAGCCTTCAGAACTCAAAGGTATTACAGGGAAAGACTTTTTTTTTTTGGATCCCTGTCATTCCTAGTCTTCTTGGTCTTTTAATGGGGAATCTAAGGGTTTGGAAGTAATTTTAGATGTCAGTTTGGCCTTTAATATTTTGCAATCTTTAACCTAATGTCCAGACTTTTTGCAATAGTTTCAGACTCCTTTAGAAGAATTCTGAGAGCCTGTATTACTGGTTAATTATTGCAGCTATAAATTCATTATCCATTTAGCTTTTGATTGATGGGCCTTATTTAAGGTTTGAGATAATTGATTAGCCAAACTTACCAAGTATTTATGGTTTCTCAACTTAGCTATGCTCTTTTAGCCAATATGGCTAAATCTTCATCAACACTATTGACAAACATGGAGCTTACTTTAGTGGCATCACTCTTTTTTGTGAGACAAGAATTTTCTTTGAATATACCTCTAGTCTATTATAATAATCACGAGCTCATTTGCCCTCTCTGAGTGCCACCCTGAATTATATTCTAAACCACTGGCTTTAGTAAAGCTGTGGGAATAGCTTTAATTATTTCGTCAGCAAATTTTTAAGTTTTTTTTGTATCTTGGGGAAGATTTAAATTTAAATCATCAGAAGGATTTTTTCATCTTGCTATTTTTGCCCAATAGCTTGCTCATTGTAGCCCTACAAGCAAAGCTATTAGCCAGTATAAATCAGAAAATCCAGGGACATAAGTTATGCGCACCATTGTGAATTCCTCAGCAAATCTTAGGGTTTCCTCAGTCACCCTGGGAAATTATTTGGCTATCATGCCCAACTCGAAATAAAACTAGAAGGTGTAAGATACCACCTACCACCGGTAAATTCCCTTTGTTGTTTGAGCAGTATTTAAAAAGATATGCGAGAATTAGAGCAGGAGTAGGAAAGGCCACTGTGGGGGATGGTCAATTTAGGGGTTTGTAGAACAAGTTTAGGTTCAGCTGCTTAGGTAGCTGTAGAGGAGAGAGGGGAGAAATTTTTGAGTCTGCAAACAGGAGTCCTGCCAAAGAGGGCCATAAGAAGGATGTTGAAGGTGGACTTTCTTCTGAAGATTTTAATTTTAAATCTTTGTTTTCCTTTACCAATTTAAACAGTGTCTTGGAGAGAATGTGTTCATGATTTTTTCTTTGGTAGGTTCTGAATACCAATTAAAGTATATCTCACTTACTCTGGGAGGTGAGACCTTTTTTATTTTCAAGATGCTGTCTTTAAAAAAAATGTTTGAATAGCGACCAGCCTAGCCAACATGGTAAAACCCCATTTCTACTAAAAATACAAAAATTAGCTGGGCATGGTGGTGGGCACCTGTAATCTCAGCTACTCGGGAGGCTGAGGTAGGAGAATTTCTTGAACCTGGGAGGCGGAGGTTTCAGTGAGACAAGATCACACCACTGAACTCCAGCCTGGGTGACAGAGTGGGACGCTGTCTGAAAAAAAAAAAAAAAAAAAAAAGTTTGAATAGCAAGACAGCAAAATAGAAGGTAACCCACTTATATCCCCCAACAACAACAAGAATTCTGCACCAATCTATGGTCAAAAGTGTCTCTGCAGGAATCTTAGGCTTTGAGTAAAAGTCTATGAAACCCTGGTGGAGCCCAAGACTTAGGAGGGTGGTTTAGAGAATGCACACCAACACCCAGGTAGCTAATCTGGCAATCTTGCTCCAAAGTTCAAGCCTGGAATTGGCCCAGTCCTTTAAGGAGCTTAGCTACAGCCCCATTTGGCCTTAAGCCTGGAACCAAAACCAATCTGTTAAGGACTCCAGAACGAATCTTGCACACTGGTGCCTTGACGTAAAGGCTTGTCTGCCCTCTGACAGAGGTCTCAGCAGTGAACCTGAAAGTTAGCTCATGGCTCTGCTCTAATCCCACTAAGATGAGATCCCAGCTCAGAGCTGCTCACACAAGGATGCAGAGGGAGCCTGACAACGTCACCAACCTCCAGCCCACAGCTGATCCTGAAGTGGCCCATTCTCAGCTCCAGCCTGTCTTGCTGCAGTTGACGAACTATCTGGCCTCGTCAGGGTCCTCCTGGGAGATGTGTGTGCCCCTCTGAGCCAAGGAGACTGAGCTCTCCAGCCTCCATCTCACAACAAATCTGAAGAGGGCCCAGCCTCAGTTACAGCCCCTCTTACTGCAGTCTGGCAACTATCCTGTCTGTGCAGGGACCTGCTGAGAGGCAAAGACTTGTCTAAGACAATGTGATAGACAAGGCAGCCTCCATTCCACAATAGATCCCAAAGGGCCCAGTCTCAGCTCCAGCTCTTCCTACTGCACATGCTTGTGCAGGTATCTGCTGGGTGATGCACACTCATGTAAGCCAGTAAGACAGGCCAACTAGGCTCCTCCCCACAGCAGATCCTGAAGGGGCCAATCTCAACTCCAGCCCCTCTAGCTACAGCCTGAGACCCATCCTGCCAGTGCAGAGACCTGCTGAGAGGCATGCCTGCTGGGCCATTGGTATAGTTTTTGAGACTCAGGTCCGTGAACAGTATTCCCTTACAGGCCCAGTACATTCCTTGAGTCTTCCCCGGTCCATCTGTGCTGGAAAGCCATATCAACCACAGAGTCCTTGTGAGACTTGTGGCAAGCTAAGAGTGTTTCCTTTTGCTGAGACAGCTGCATTGGTCACAGGCTCAGGGAACACAACCATCAGTCTGCTTAGAACCATGGAAGGCCCTCTGAAAAGAAAAGCAGGCACAAAGCTGGATGGTGAAGACTAAAATAAATACCTAATCCCTCAATGTACAGACATTGTCACACATCCATAAGCATCAAAAACACTGAGGGAAAAACATCCTCCCCTAGCCAAGGGAAGCCATGAGGGACTGTGCCATGAGGAACGGTGCACCCGGGCCCAAATACTATGCTTTTCCCGTGGTCTTTGCAAACCGCAGACCAGGAGATTCCCTCAGGTGCCTATGCCAACAGGTCCCTGGGTTTCAAGCACAAAACCAGGCAGCCATTTGGGCAGACATAGAGCTAGTTTCAGGAGTTATTTTCACACCCCAGTGGTGCCTGGAACGCCAGCGAGACAGAAGTGACACTCCCCTGGAAAGGGGGCTGAAGCCAAGGAGCCAAGTGGTCTAGCTCAGCGGCTCACACCCCCACAGAGCCCAGCAAGAAACGATCTACTGGCTTGAAATTCTCGCTGGCAGCACCAGAATCTGAAGTCTACCTGGGACACTCGAGCTTGGTGGGGGAAGGGTGTCGCCATTACTGAGGCTTGAGTAAGTGGTTTTCCCCTCACAGTGTAAACAAACCCATGGGGAAGTTAAAACTGGGTGGAGCCCTCTGCAGCTCAGCAAAGCCGCTGTAGCCAGACTGCCTCTCTAGATTCCTCCTCTCTAGACAGGGCATCTTTGAAAAAAAGGCAGCAGCCCCAGTCAGGGGCTTCCAGATAAAATTCCCATCTCCCTGGGACACAGCACCCTGGGGGAAAGGGTGGCTGTGGGCAGAGCTTCAGCAGACTTAAGCATTCCTGCCTGCTGGCTCTGTGCAGTGGATCTCCCAGCACAGCGTTCGAGCTCTGCTAAGGGTCAGACTGCCTCCTCAAGTGGGTCCCTGACCACCTTGTCTCCTGACTGGGAGACATCTCCCAGCAGGGGTCAACAGACACCTCATATAGGAGAGCTCTGGCTGGCATCTGGTGGGTGCCCCTCTGGGATAAATCTTCCAGAGGAAGGAACAGGCAGCAATCTTTGCTGTTCTGGAGCCTTCACTGGTGATACCCAGGCAAACAGGGCCTGGAGTGGACCTCGAGGAAACTCCAGCAGACCCGCAACACAGGGGCCTGACTGATAGAAGGAAAACTAACAAACAGAAAGGAATAGCATCAACATTAACATCAATAAAAAGGACGTCCACTCAGAAACCATATATGAAGGTCACCAATATCAAAGACCAAAGGTATATAAATCCATGATGATGGGGAGAAATCAGTGCAAAAAGGCTGAAAATTCCAAAAACCAGAATGCCCCTTCTCCTCCAAAGGATCACAACTCCTCGCCAGCAAAGGAGCAAAACTAGATGGAGAATGAGCTTGATGAATTGGCAGAAGTAGGCTTCAGAAGGTGAGTAAACGCAAACTCCTCCAAGCTAAAGGTGCATGTTCTAAACCAATTCAAGGAAGCTAAGAACCTTGAATAACAGGTAGACAAATTGCTAACTAGAATAACCAGTTTAGAGAAGAATAAAAATGACCTGATGGAACTGAAAAATACAGCACAAGAACTTCATGAAGCATACGGAGGTATTAATAGCAAATCAATCAAGTGGAATAAAGGATATCAGAGATTGAAGATCAACTTAATGAAATAAAGTATGAAGAGAGATTGGAGAAAAATGAATGAAAAGGAACAAACGAAGCCTCCAAGAGATATGGGACTATGTGAAAAGACCAAACCTACATTTGATTGGTGCACCTGAAAGTGATGGGGAGAATAGAACCAAGTTGGAAAACACTCTTCAGGATATTTTCCAGGAGAACTTCTCTGACCTAGCAAGACAGACCAATACTCAAATTCAGGAAATAGCGAACACCACAAAGATACTCCTCGAGAAGAGCAACCCCAAGACACATAATCATCAGATTCACCAAGGTTGAAATGAAGGAAAAAATGTTAAGGGCAGCCAGAGAGAAAGTTCAGGTTACCCACAAAGGGAAACCCATCAGACTAACAATGGATCTCACTGAAGAAACCCTATAAAACAGAAGAGAGTGGTGCCAATATTCAACATTCTGAAAGAAAAGAATTTTCAACCCAGAATTTCATATCCAGACAAACTAAGCTTCCTAAGTGAAGGAGAAATAAAATCCTTTACAGACAAGCAAATGCTGAGAGATTTTGTCACCACCAAGCCTGCCTTACAGAGCTCCTTACAAGAGCTCCTGAAGGAAGCACAAAATATTGAAAGGAACAACTGGTACCAGCAACTGCAAAAACATACCAAACTGTAAAGACCATAGACACTATGGAGAAACTGCATCAACTAACAGACAAAATAACCAGCTAGCATCATAAAGACAGGATCAAAGTCACACATAACAATATTAACCTTAAATGTAAATGGGCTAAATGCCCCAATTAAAAGACACAGACTGGCAAATTGGATAAGGAGCCAAGTCCCATCAGTGTGCTGTATTCAGGAGACCCATCTCACATGCAAAAACACACATAGGCTCAAAATAAAGGGATGGAGGAATATTTACCAAGCAAATGGAAAGCAAAAAAAAAAAAAAAAAAAGCATGGGTTGCAATCCTAGTCTATGATAAAAAAGACATTAAACCAACACAGATCAAAAGAGACAAAGAAGGGCATTACATAATGGTAAAGGGATCAATGCAACAAGAAGAGCTAACTATCCTAATTATATATTCACCCAATACAGGAGAACCCAGATTCATAAAGCAAGTTCTTAGAGACTTACAAAGAGACTTAAACTCCCACACGATAATAGTGGGAGATATTAACACCCCACTGTCCATATTAGACAATCAATGAGACAGAATATAAACAAGGCTATTCAGGACTTGAGCCCAGCTCTGGACCAAGCAGACCTAAGAGATATCAACAGAACCCTCTGCCCAAAATCAATATAATATACATTCTTCTCAGCACCACATCACACTACTTCTAAAATTGACCACATAATTGGAAGTAAAAAACTCCTCAGCAAATGCAAAAGAACAGAAATCATAACAAACAGTCTCTCAGACCACAGTGCAATCAAATTAGGACTCAAGATTAAGAAACTCTCTCAAAACTGCACAATTACATGGAAACTGAACAACCTGCCCCTGAATGACTACTGGGTAAATAACTAAATTAAGGCAGAAATAAGTAAGTTCTTTGAAACCAATAAAGACAAAGACACAACATACCAGAATCTCTGAGACACAGCTAAAGCAGTGTTTAGAGGGAAATTTCTAGCACTAAATACCCACAAGAGAAAGCAAAAAAGATCTAAAGTCAACACCCTAACATCACAATTAAAAGAACTAGAGAAGCAAGAGCACACAAATTCAAAGGTTAGCAAAAGACAAGAAATAACTAAGATCAGAGCAGAACTGAAGGAGATAAAGACACAAAAAACCCTTCAAAAATCAAGAAATCCAGGAGCTGGTTCTTTGAAAAGATCCACAAAATAGACCACTAGACAGACTAAAAAAGAAGAAGGAGAAAAGAATCAAATAGATGCAATAAAAAATGATAAAGGGGACATCACCACTGATCCCACAGAAATACAAACTACCATCAGAGAATAATATAAACACCTCTATGCAAATAAAACCTGAAAATGTAGAAGAAATGGATAAATTCCTGGACACATACACCCTCTCAAGTCTAAACCAGGAAGAAGTCAAATCCCTCAATACGCCAATAACAAGTTCTGAAATTGAGGCACTAATTAATAGCCTACTGACCAAAGAAAGTCCAGGACCAGACAGATTCACAGTTGAATTCTACCAGAGGTACAAAGAGAAGCTGGTACCATTCCTTCTGAAACTATTCCAAACAATAGAAAAAGAGGGAATCCCCCATAATTCATTTTATGAGGCCAGTATCATCATGATATGAAAACCTAGCAGAAACACACACACGAAAAAAATTTCAGGCCAATATCCCTGATGAACAATGATGCAAAAATCCTCAATAAAATACTGGCAAACCCCATGCAACAGCACATCAAAAAGCTTATCCACCATGATCAAGTCAGCTTCATCCCTGAGATGCAAGGCTGGTTCAACATATACAAATCAATAAAGGTAATCCATCACATAAACATAACCAATGACCAAAACCACATATTATCTCCATAGATGCGGAGAAGGCCTCCAATAAAGTTCAGCACCCCTTCATGCTAAAAACTCTCAATAAACCCCTTCATGCTAAAAACTCTCAATAAACTGATGGGACGTATCTCAAAATAATAAAAGCTATTTATGAGAAACCCACAGCCAATATCATAGTGAATGGGCAAAAACTGGAAGCATTCCCTTTGAAAACCAGCACAAGACAAGGATGCCCTCTCTCACTACTCCTATTCAATATAGTGTTGGAAGTTCTGGCTAGGGCAGTCAGGCAAGAGAAAGAAATAAAGGGTATTCAAATAAAAAGAAAGGAAGTCAAATTGTCTCTGCAGATGACATGATTGTATATTTAGAAAACCCCATCGTCTCAGCCCAAAATCTCCTTAAGCTGATAAGCAACTTTAGCACAGTCTCAGGATACAAAATCAATGTGCAAAAATCACAAGCATTCCTATACACCAAAAATAGACAAACAGAGAGCCAAATCATGAGTGAACTCCCATTCACAATTGCTACAAAGACAATTAAATACCAAGGAATACAACTTTAAAGGGATGTGAAGGACCTCTTCAAGAAGAGCTACAAACCACTGCTCAATGAAATCAGAGAGAACACAAACAAATGGAAGAACATTCCATGCTCATGGATAGGAAGAATCAATATCGTGAAATGGTCATACTGCCCAAAGTAATTTATAGATTCAATGCTATCCCCATCAAGCTACCATTAACTTTCTTCACAGAATTAGGAAAAACTACTTTAAATTTCATATGGAACAAAAAAAGAGCCTGCATAGCCAAGACAATCCTAAGCAAAAAGAATAAAGCTGGAGGCATCATGCTACCTGACTTCAAAGTATACTACAAGGCTACAGTAACCAAAACAGCATGGTACTGGTACCAAAACAGAGAGAGACCAATGGAACAGAACAGAGGCCTCACAAATAAAACCACACATCTACAACCATCTGATCTTTGACAAACCTGACAAAAACAAGAAATGAGGAAAGGATTCCCTATTTAATAAATGGTGCTGGGAAAACAGGCTAGCCATATGCAGAAAGCTGAAACTGGAGCCCTTCCTACACCTTATACAAAAATTAATTCAAGATGGATTAAAGACTTAAATGTAAGACCTAAAACCATAAAAACCCTATAAGAAAACCTAGGCAATACCATTCAGGACATAGGCATGGGCAAAGACTTCATGACTAAAACACCAAAAGCAATGGCAACAAAAACCAAAATAGACAAATGGGATCTAATTAAACTAAAGAGCTTCTGCACAGCAAAAGAAACTATCATCAGAGTGAACAGGCAACCTACAGAATGGGAGAACATTTTTGCAATCAATCTGACAAAGGGCTAATATCCAGAATCTACAAAGAACTTAAATTTACAAGAAAAAAAACCAACCTCATCAAAAAGTAGGTAAAGGATATGAACAGACACTTCTCAAAAGAAGAAATTATGCAGCCAACAAACGTATGAAAAAAAGCTCATCATCACTGGTCATTAGAGAAATGCAAATCAAAACCACAGTGAGATACCATCTCATGCCAGTTAGAATGGTGATCATTAAAAAGTCAGGAAACAACAGATGCTGGAGAGGATGTGGAGAGATAGGAAAGTTTTTACACTGTAGGTGGGAGTGTAAATTAGTTCAACCATTGTGGAAGACAGTGTGGCAATTCCTCAAAGATCTAGAACTAGAAATACCATTTGACCCAGTGATCCCATTACTGGGTATATACCCAAAGGATTATAAATCATTCTACTATAAAGACACATGCACATGTATGTTTATTGTGGCACTGTTCACAATAGCAAAGACTTGAAACCAACCCAAATGCCCACCAATGATAGGCTGGATAAACCAAATGTGGCATGGAATATTATGTAGCCATAAAAAAGGATGAGTTATGTCCTTTGCAGGAAAATGGATGAAGCTGGAAACCATCACTCTCAGCAAACTAACACAGGATCAGAAAAACAAACACTGCATTTTCTCACTCATAAGTGGGAGGTGAACAATGAGAACACATGGACACAGGGAGTGGAACGTCACACAGTGGGGCATGTTGGGGGGTGGGGGGCTAGGGGAGGGATAGCATTAGGAGACATACCTAATGTAGATGATGGATTGATGGGTGCAGCAAAACACCATGGCACATATATACCTATGTATGAAACCTGCATGTTCTGCACATGTACCCCAGAACTTAAAGTATAATTATAATAAAAAAATACAAAAAGTAGCCACCAATGGTGCCTCATACCTGTAATCTCAGTTACTTGGGATGTTGAGGCATGGGAATCACTTGAACCCAGGAGGCAGAGGTTGCAGTGACCTGATATCTTGTCACTGCACTCCAGCCTGGGCAACAGAGTGAGATCCTGTCTCAAAAAAAAAAAAGAAAAGAAAAAGGGTGAGATGGAAGGATCACTTGAGCCCAGGAGTTCAAGGCTGCAGTGAGTTGTGATCACACTGTTGAATTCTAGCCTGGATGACAGAGCACAATCCTGTGTCTAAAAATAATAGTAATAATAATAGTAACTTTCCAAACCTAGAAAAAGATATAAATATTTAAGTACAGGAAGGTCAAAGGTCATCAATCAGAATACCCAATGAGAATACCCAAATAAGAATACCCAAAGGTATATTGTACTCAAACTCACACATCAGAGACAAAGAGGATTCTGAAAGCAGCAAGAAAAAATAAGCAAGTTAACATATAGGGAGATCCAATACACCTGACAGCAGACTATTCAGCAAAACCTGAGAAGCCAGGAGTGGGTGGGACAATATATTCAGAGTGCTGAAGGAAAACAAACAAACAAACAAAAAACCCTGCAAACCAAGAATACTGTAGCCAACAAAACTATCCATCCGGAATAAAAGTGAGATAAGGACTTTCTCAAAAAAAGCTAAGGGAATTTATTACTACCAGACTTGTTCTAAAATAAACAATAAAGGGAATTCTTCAAACCAAAATAAAAGGATGCTACCATGATTGTTACACTGATATTGTAATCATGATGTGTAAACCACTAATATTTTTACTAAGAAGACCAAAAGATAAAACTGTTAAAAATACTAATGACTACAATGATTTGTTAAGAGATTGGCAATATAAAATGTAAATTATGACATCAAAAATTCAAAATGTGAGGGGAGAAGGGAGTTGTTGTGTAAAGGAATTTTTATTGTCATTAGTTTGTAAAAGTAAACAGATGAAGATGTACTAGGCAAATGCTAATCACAAGAAAACTGAGTCATATTGATAAAATATAAAACAGGTTTATAATATAAGAAATATTGGTAGGGATAGACAATAAGAGTAACAATGGAACTTAAACTTGAGATAAATGGCCTCTTTCTTCTGCAAGTCTATGTAATAGTCCCAATATTTTCAGACTTTCTTCCCCTTTCTCAGTGCCCCCAATGAAAAAGCCACTGAATTTCTACTTCCTTTCCTCCTGTTTTGCTTGTGTCCTCTCTTCACTAGTCTCATGGTAGTTTTTAATCCTTCTTTCATTAAAATTTCATGAGTTTTTCATGATTATGATTCATCAGTCCAGAAATAAGTTACAGGAATCAATATTTTCATAAAGATTCAGAAGGAATTCTAATGTGCATCCAAGATTGAGAACTGCTGGCCTAGAGCAACTGAAGGGGAAGCACTGAAGTCTTCTGCTCTTGTGGGTCTCACCAAATGTACTTCCTAACTAAAAAATAATAGTCATAATAATAATAACAGAAAGATATAAATATTTAAGCACAGGAAGGTCAATCAATCAGAATCAACCCAAATAAGAATAAATGAAGGTATATTATAATCAGACTCACAAAGGTCAAAGACAAAGGGAGGATCCTGAAAGCAGCAAGAGAAAATAAGCAAACAACATATAGGGAGATCCTATCTGAAGCACTGCGTTTTGCTGCCTCCCAGTTCCTCATGACCCATCCTCACCCTCAATTCTGCCACTCTGAACTTGGAGAAATTTATAGGGCTCTGCAAGGGATTCCAACCTTTCCCAGGTGAGCTTTGCCTTGAAATTAAGTGGATTTAAGTTTGGTCAGTCTAAATGTTCTCCAAGCCTGTTCTACATATTGTAGCCAGAGCCTTCTTTCTGACCTCAATCTAGTATCCTTCTGCCCCACTACCTAACGTGTACCCTTCAATGGTCTTTCACAGCCTTTAAATAAGGTGCAAATTCTTTGACTTGGCTTATAAAGCCCTCCTTGATCTGGACCTTGCCTTCCTATCCAGACTCAGCTCCTACCACTAGTTCCCTCAAATGTGATGTGCCAGTAATATGGATCTTCATTCTTTCTTTACACTCATTGTGCTTTCTAGTCTTATGTCTTACATATGTTTCCTCTCCTTAAAACTCATTGGCCCTCCTCCCTCCACTGCCCTTGACTACCCCTCCCCTTCTACTCTTTACCTGCCTAAGTCTAACTCCCCATTCAGCTCTTAATATATATTTTACTCCCTGCAGATGGCCCTGAACTTCTAGGATAGATTCCACTGTTTCCAAGCAACCCAACATCTGTATTTTTGAACATTAATCTGACTTATAATTAAATTATTGTAAAGTACTATTTGTCTGACTTCCAGGAGGGCAGAGATGAGTGTGGCTTGTTCACTTCTGGCTGTCCAGCAATGAGCACAACACTGGAAATGAGGGGAATGCTCAATAAATATTGAATGAATGAATGAATGGTTACCTGATGGGTAAAGTTTCTAGTTTTGCCTACCTAGTTCCCTTTCCCCATTCTCAGACCCTGCAAATACTGAAGCTTAGGTGAGTTAAAAGGCAGAGAATTTACGATGTGAGTCAAATTTGAGTAGACAAACTTTTCTGAATAAAATGGCATGAGAAATGCTAACGAGGTTAATCTTCAGTGAGAAATCGTTGATTGTCTTAGATGCTCTGACGTGAAGCCAGTTCATACTGAAGGCTTCTGTTCCTCCCCCTTTCATCCTGAGGATTCAAATCCCTGTGCTTTGCTTATAGTCATTGTTTACATAGTCCATCTAGATATATTTTTCCTTTTTAAAATTATATAAATCCTTCTCTCTTGTGCCTTCCATGGCATCTTATGTATTGAAAGTAAACCTTTGCTAATGACAGTATACTATCTGCTGTCCACTTCATATGGCAAACCTGGTCATTTGTCTGGAATGAAAGTTTTGTCTCTACAAACTTATATGCCAAGCATGTCAATTACCCTTGATTCATTCCACACTCATTCATCGCCCTTCTCAAAATAGCTCTTAGAAACTCACTCTTCTCATAAGTAAATAGAAGAATTCCAAGAAGTGGAATGAAACAGGGAAGAGAATTCAAGTGAAGCATGATCATAAAACACCCACACATCAACAACATACTATTACTCCCTCCGATACACATGATCATTGTCTCTTAAAAGCAAAACAAACAAAAACAAAAAGTCCAGGTTAACTGTCCTTAAAATAATGTCTCAGAAATCCTACCATTGTTTTCCCAGAAATATTTCTGTCATAGAGTCTGATAAATTCGACATTACTTTTCATTGTAAATATGAATAAAATATCACTGCTATACATTGAGACAAAAATCTTTGTTACTTCTATTTTAATTAAAATGTCATTAATGTTTAATAAGAAAAATTATATATGCTACTTACATATCTTACATACCCTAAATAACAGGATAACCCATGTAACTTTTTTAAATGTTAAAGGGAATAATTCAATGCAAAAAAAAAAAAAAAACATTGTGACCAAAAAAGAGAATGGACATGAATGCCTAATGAGCCAAAAGTATATCCTATGGCTCAAAAAGTAACTAGAAAAACCCTAAATTAACAATGATACATCAGAAAAATACAAATAAACTCAGTAAAATCTCAAATATAGCTAAAACAATAACTAAACTGAACAGTTAAGAATTGTGAAACATTAAGCTAAAGGCATTTCTATGTGCACCACACTAGTGATCTATATTGAGAACGTAATATCCCAAGATAAAGGAATTTTTATACCTGAACATTCACACTTAGTAACAGAATTTACTAGCTGGAAACAGACAAGATGATAAGCTAAAACTTGTATGAAAGTTACATGGAATTGTGGGACTATTGAAAAGTTCAAACCACTATATTCAGCCTCTCCTTTTAATGGACTTTTCTATTTCAGAGTAGACAAATGGCTCTAATTCTCCATTCATCAGAAAAAAATTCAGGAATTAAGGTCATTATTCTTATGAACTCCCAATTTAGAGAACATGTGCTTCCAATCTTCTAATATGGGGAGATTTCTGCCAGTGTTTCCAGAAAAAAAAATTATATGCACATGTAATTGTTCATACTGTCTTACACTGTTTATAACCCACTCATTTCCTCTTTTCACTCTTAGCTCTGTTCTAGCCATGAGCATATGTTACTAATAGCTCAGTACCATGTTATGCTTTTTTTTGGCTAGGGCATCTTTTCTTGCCATGGGCCTCAATCAAAACCAGAAGTCTTTCCAGTCACCTGGCAAATGGCAAAAGCAGGATACACAGGTGGGTATATGCTCATTCCAAGGCATATCAAGTGTTGGGACTCTTTCTCAGTGGTACAAGGCCCAAAGTATTGTAAATTGTTTTTCCCTTTGGTGGGGATACCTTGACATCTTCCAGATGTTCTCTTAGTGTTACAGCAGAATCTAGTATCAAGGTTGTCTGGCCTTCCTTTCATTCAAGGGAATCTGATCCTGTAAACAAGTAATTTTAGGAATTGGCTAAGGGATCTGATCACGACTTTTTTCTTTTCATGGCTTAAGGCTTGTTTGTTAGACCTGGAGTTTTTGTTTCTTTTATGTTATGTGGTTGCTCTACTCCCAATTTTTTCCTAGGGAACTCATCCACAATCAATTAGAAGGAGGCAGATAGTTTTTCCAGGCAGGCCAGTCTGATGATCATGCCAAACCACTGCCTGTGATGTGAAGGTCTTGCCTGCTCTGTCCCACTCCCATGGTACTGCTCACTGTAAATTAAGTATTTCATAACAGAATTTCTGGACTAGAGAGAACAGTATTTTAAACAGATGTATTCAAACAGTTGTTTTAAAGATACTTGTGTTTTCTTCAATATGTATTTCAGGTGTTTGCTGAATAGGCTATCCTCTAGACCCTTTAGATTTGACTATGTCTATAATTTCTAAAGTTAAACATTTCTATTATTCTAACATGTCAACTTTCTTTGACACCTGAATGCATTTGCATGTTTCAATTTGTGTGTGTGTGTTAACTAAGACAAAAATAACTGTTACAATCAACTTAGCTAGTCTATTTTATACAGAATCTCTGGTACATTAACCACATTGACAAATTCAGTAAAACTAAAATCATGCTGCACTCTCCTTGGCCAAGCGTCCATAAAATCTATTCCCACATATATTTTCCACTTTAGGATTAACAAACATTGGCATTTTCCTGCTTGCCATTCTTTTGTTGTGCAAAATTTCATTTTCCAAGATTGATTTTGGACTCTGGGGCATGTCAGGGTATAATTCTAATTAATGATTTATGGATGAAAATATGTGGGGCATGAGCAAGACTGTTGACTTTTTTCTCAATGTGAACTCCCTCAGATGAAGCTACATGGGCATGTACCAGCATGAAAACAAACTAGCTTTCTGAATAACAAAGAAGTGTCATTTTCTGTCAAGAAAGGCTCAGTGGGGACTTAGAGGGGTTTGGGGGTTTGAATTACTCTGATGCCTCGGGTTTACTTTTTCCTAATTGATGCACTAACTTTCATGTAAGAAATATAGCAAATTCTGATAGTAGTCATTTTTGCTGTGCACCAAAAATTTTCAATTCTTATACCGGATGGAATTGTACATTCTTGCCCCCTTGAAATTACTAAAGTACATATGACTTGCTTTAGCCAAAGATATATGAGCAAATGTGACCTCTCTCACTTCCTTTAGATGCCTTAAGAGCCAGTGCACAATTCCTCACACTTCCTTTCTTTCCCTTTGCCACAATGACCAGCAATGCCCCAGATAGTCACTGCTGCACCAGGCTGGGTCCTGCAGTAAGGATGATGCAGAGCAGAACTGCCAACCAACCTGCAATGGATACGCAGTACAAGTGAGAAATAAATTCTTAAGTTTTAAGCCACTGACATCATGGAGTTATTTTGTTACTACAGTGTAACCCAGCTCATCCTGACTGATATGACTGTGAATTCAACTGGTGATTAAACACTGAGTTTAAATCTTGGCTCTCTCAGTTCAGTATGTACAAGATATAGGAGATATTTTCAACAACTTTACATAAAGTCCCTACGTTTACATCCATTTTTTAAAATGATATTTTAATATCTTGGGCTTATCATTTTTTTTGCTTTTATTCTTCCAATGCCATCAGAAGGAGCCTCCTTACACTGCTGTTTTTGAATTCCTCACAACCATTATGTTATTTCATGGTAGAACTAGTCTAAGCCTTCAAACTTTATCTTTTAGATATTTTTTCCCAAGTGACTGTAGGTGATAACTCGCCTAGCCTCATTATCACAGGGCATCATATTTGATATCTCACCCTTCCCTCAGGATCTTTGTCCTGAGATTCCTCATCACGATGTCCCTTGCTTAAAAGCAGCAGAAACTGACTTTACTGTAAACAAAAGAGAGTCTATTAGAAGGATATGGGCCTCTCAGAGAAGACAGGAAGTTAGGGGACCAGAATTGATATGGGAAAGAAACCAAGGGAACTCTGGAAGACAAGGGAAAAAGAAGCAGGAGATAATAACTATCTTAGAGCTGCAATAGCGGTTGCTTTCATGAAAGACTTTTGGCTGTTCTCTCTGTCCTTGTATCACTTGCTCAGACCTCAAAGCCTTGGGGAAAACTTTCCAATTAGTGGAGCTTAAATCACAAGCTTACCAACTAGCATTTCAAAGAAGTGGGAAAGAATTGTTCTGACCCATTAAAGTTACAGGCAGAGGTGGGCCTGAAATTCCCTCCTAACACAATTATACACAATGGGAGAAAGGTAAATCCTCAACTAAATCAGTTCTACTAGAAAGAAGAATAGATGCTAATCAACACCACCACCAAAAAAAGATAGTTGTTTGCTAGAAAGTGAGAAAAGGAGAGAGTAATATGGTCCTTAACAAAAGAGAGTTTTATAGCTTCCTTATGTTATTAGGTTATTATAAGAACACAGGAAGTATTCACTTATCAAATGCATTTCTTTCATGCAGGGTCATGTAGTTGAAGACACTTTAGAATAATACAAACCTTAATTCAAACCAGGGTCTGTCATTAAGTGGATGCTTTGGGGCAAGTTCCTTAACCTTTTTGCATCTGTTACCCCGAGAGTTGTCTAGGGGATTCTGAGTTAATATGTATAGAATGCCTGACACGTATCCTGCACTAAATAAACATTAGTTTTCATCCCCTGTGTATTATTAGTCAGGGTTTGTCAGAGGAACAGAACTAATAGAATGTGTGTGTGTGTGTGTGTGTGTGTGGTGTGTACCATAGATAGATAGATAGACAGATAGATAGATTTATTTTATATATAAAGAGATTTATTTTTAAGGAATTGGCTCACTGAGAATAGAGGCTAAAAGCCCAAAATCTACAGGGCGGGCCAGTAGAGACCCAGAGAAGGGCCAGTGCTACAATTCAAGTCCAAAGGCCATCAAGCTAAAGACTTAGGAGGGAGCCAGTATTGTAGTTCAAATATAAAAGTAGCTACTTGCAGAATTCCATCTTGCTCAGGGGAGGTGAGTCATATGTTCTATTCACGCCAACAACTGATTAGATATGGGCCACCTTTATCATGGAGGGCAATCTGCTTTACTCAAAGTTCACAAACTTAAACATTAATCTCATCCCAAAACACCCTTATAGAAATATCCAGAATAATTTGTGACTACATATCTGAGTACTGTGGCACAGCAAGTTGACATATAAAATAAGCCATCTCACCCTAAGAGATGTTATTATTCCACAAAATAGTCTGTCTTTTTCTGGATTCAGCAAAGCACTTCATATTCTGTTAAAACTAGTTGGGAAAAAGGTGCCTGAGACTGGACCTATTGTAGTGATAGGGGTGGCAGGCGTGAGATATGAAATAGCAGTTCCCAGAGGTCAAGTACTCAAGTTTTAGAAAAGGCTCACTCTCAAGGAGTCCTTTGCTATAGCAAGAAAAAGGTATGGCTAGACTCCAAAGAAAATGGTAATATCACCAACACCAACTTCTATCAGCAAATTTTTAACCTGATTTAAAAAAAAAATGAGCTCATTATCTGCAAGCTTGTGACTGAAGAAAACAAATGGCTTTAGGTAACATGGCACATACCAAGAGATGAACAAATATTTACAAACAAGATTCTCATGAAACACGTTCCCCAGGCTGAAAAAGCAGGTAGGGTTCACAAGAGGCTCCTGGATGACCGCTGTAGTTGGACTGTGTCTCCCAAATTTCATGTGTTGGAAACTTAATCCGCAATGTGACAGTGTTGAAAGGTACGACCTGTAAGAGGTTACTGGATCATGAGGGCTCTTTCCTCATGAATAGATTAATGCATTCATGGATTAATGAATTAGTGAGTTATCATGGGGGAGGAGCTGGAGGCTTTCAAAGAAAAGGAAGAGAGATCACAGCAAGCGCATTAGCACATGCCTCCCTATTGCCATGTGATGCTCGGGATTCTTCATGGTACCCACCAGAAAGAAGGCGCTCAACAGATGCACTCTCTCAACCTTGGACTTCTCAGGTTTCATAACTGTCAGAAATACATTTCTTTTCTTTATAAATTACCCAGTTTCAGGTCTGTTATAAACCACAGAAAATGGTCTCATAAAATGACTATGCTGAGGCCACTAGTGCTTTAAGAAGCAGCTACAGGCCAAGAAGGAAAAGATTATCCAGACCTTGTCCAAAAAGACAGAGATTAAGAAATAAATCTCCTCCTCTTTTATCTGTACCTAGTGGCTTCATCAACAACAGATGATATTTAGAAAAAAAAAAACCCAAGCTTTTATCGGGGGGAAATGATTAAGGCAAAGAAACAAAATATCTAAGAAATTTAATAATATAAGTGATCAAAATAATACCACTAAATGAAAATTAATGTAATATTTGAATTTAACCATATGAAATTGCTATTTTTTTTTTTACCAGTTTTAACTTATGAAAATGGCAATTTCTTATGCTTCTGTTTAATATAAGAATAAGAGGCCAGGTGCCATGGCTCGTACCTGTAATCCCAGCACTTTGGGAGGCCTAAGCAAGCGGATCCCCTGAGGTCAGGAGTTCAAGACCAGCCCGGCCAATGTGGCAAAACCCCGTCTCTAATAAAAATACAAAAATTAGCCAGTGTGGTGGCAGGCGCCTGTCATCCCAGCTACTCGGGAGCCTGAGGCATGAGAATCACTTGAAACCTGGAGGCGGAGGTTGCAGTGAGCTGAGATCCTGCCACTGCATTCCAGCCTGGGAGATAGAGTGAAACTCTCTCAAAAAATAAATAAATAAATAAATAAATAAATAAATAAATAAATAAATAAAAAGAGTCAACGCCGGCACAGTGGCTCACTCCTATAATCCCAGCACTTTGGGAGGCTGAAGCAGGCAGATCACTTGAGCCCAGGAGTTAGAGACCAGCCTGGCCAACATGGCAAAACCCTGTCTCTACTGAAAATACAAAAATTAGCTGGGCATGGTGGCACACACCTGTAATCTCAGCTACTCGGGAGGCTGAGGCACAAAAATCACTTGAACTTTGCAGGCGCAGGTTGCAGTGAGCCGAGATTGCACCACTGCACTCTAACCTGGTAAGAGTAAGACCCTGTCTCAAAAAAAAAAAAAAAAAAAAAGAAAAGGGTTAAGAGTCAAGATGAAGCAAACAGGCAAATCCTGTCCTGTAAGTTATATCATCATTCCAAGTCCAAGGGAATATAGTCGATAATTGTGAAAGGGAAGCAGAATTAAATATTTTAAATGCTGACAATTCAATAATATAAAATCATGGCCTTGAAATCTACTAGAGCTAGTAGAACAACTAAATATGATGCTGATGCAGAATGTAATGTGTATCAGACACATTTCTACAATAGAAAGAACTGCTCTCCTTTCTCTTATAAGCAGGGAAGATGGTTTGGCATGGCAAGAACAAGACTCTTTGTGGGCTTGGGGATTAGGGATTGGGGGAGAATAACATATGTTTGTGTATGTATATGTAGGTGTAAATGTGTGTGCATTTGTACATATAGATATAGGAGTATGTATATTTATGTGCATAGATGTGTATGTGTGTAGGTGTGTGTGAAGTAAAATTTTCCAGTCATAATGTGAACAAGATTCTAAAGAAGAGAAATCTTATGCCTCATTACCTCATTCCTGGAGGTCTACATGATATCCTAAGGTCTCCTAAGGACACAAAAGGCAGTTGCAGAATTTAGTTTCTTTCTTCCGAATAGGAAATAGCATGAAGTCTGAACCAAGTCCATTTTCCTCCTTTCACCTTCTCCTTGCCAGTTCTTCACTCCTTCTTTTCCTATCTCCCTTTCAAGAAATATGGGAGCAGGTAAAACCTCACATAAGGGAGGTTCTGGCTGCCCTGTTGCTCCTGATCCAGTCAATTAATGATTTTTGGATGTTCTCCATTGACCTATGACTTATTCTAAAAAGTGATGCACTGGTTTCCCATAGTTCATGGAACCAATTTAACTGTTTTGCTTGTCTAGCTTTGCTTTTAGTTTTTCTCAGTTAAATAAGGAGGCTTACTATGTAAGTTGTTATATTAATCAAGTGGATAAAATAATAATTAATTTACAAAGCCTAAAAGCTTGAATCTAAGGAATTCTTAAATGCCACATCTGTTTTATGATAGTAGAAGATAAAAAAAAATTTTTGAAAGAAAAAAACCCATCATGTTTCCCCAAAGCACTTATTATCTAGGCTTCTACTTCACAAAGATCTGTTAAGCTTTGCAGGTATCATTCACATACCTAAAGATTAGATTTGGGAAAGTAAAGGATGACCAAAGTCCAAGAAAAAATCCTTGATCTGGATAATTCTACAATGTTTTGGAAGCAGTACAAAGAAAAACGCATAATCCTGCTGTTGGACTACAATGCCCAGGAAATGAGTCCGATGACAGCTTTCATCACCTCATTTTCAATTCATGTTATTAGAGAATATTTTACAAAAATAATTTTGAATTAATTCAAGGTATAATAAATTCAAAAGAGGCAAATTTATATTTATTTCAACAAGTATTTAGCATCTACTAAATGCCAACTACTATCAGAGAAAGAAAATTAGTATAAGAGAGTAAAGCTTTAAGGAGTTAAAATGTTTTCTGGGAAGTAGAAACTCCAATTTTGGTAGCAGCCCTATAAAACCTTGGTTCACAAAGTTCCACCAAAGCTAGACATTCCAACATACTTAACTCATGGCTTTTGAGACTGCTTTAAAAATACCTATGCTAGAAACATGAACACACCTACAAAAGTAAGGAGGAAGTACCCATCAAAGAAACCTTGTGGGCCCTTACTTAGGTTTCACAAATATTGGAAAAAACAACCACCTTAAGTTCAGGGAGGACAGAAATGAGTGTTCTCTGAACTAGTTTGTCTCAACAAGCATGCATTTCAACCCCCAACTTGTGGGGGTTCCTGTGGTCATCATGACCCTGGATCCTAGATCAGGATCCTAGATCAGGATCCTGAGATCACTCAGCCCAACACTGCCTCCCCAGAAATCAGTCCCCTTTGGCATAACTACACTAGCCGTACTTGATTCTACTACTACTACTACTACCGGTTTCAGAACATGATGAGTTGTCCAGTAGATTCTTTTCCCCTCTCATTTCACAGATTTCTAACACAGCACGCCATTCTATTCTAATGGGCATGCATTGTTGGAAATTTAACACTGGAGGCTAGGCACTCCAGTTCATGCTTGTAATCCCAGCAGTTTGGGAGGCCAAGGTGGGTGGATCACCTGAGCTGGGGAGTTTGAGACCAGCCTGGGCAACATGTCGAGACCCCATCTCTACAAAAAATACAAAAAATTAGCTGGGGATGGCGGCATGTACCTGTGGTGCCAGCTACTTGGGAGGCTGAGGTGGGAGGATTGCTTGAGCCAGGGAGGTGGAGGTTGCAGTGAGCTGAGATCACACCATTGCGCTCCAACCTGGGTGAAAGAGTGAGACCCTGTCTCAAAAAAAAAAAAAAAGAAAAAAGAAGAAAAAGAAAATTTGACACTGGATGTAAAGAAATAGAGATGGCTTGCTTCTCTTATCAGCGAAACTATGTTTTTATCCCCTGAATAAATAGAACAAATGAAACCAAAGATTTGGCTTTTATCCTTGGTAGCACTACATATAAGGGAGAATATATGCATGTGTGTGTATTTATATACATTTATATGCATATTTATATACATATAAATACAAATATATATTTCATAGATATTTGTTTCATACACATACACACACACACACACACACACACACACATAAATAACAACTCAAGGAAAATTAGAGGACCAAAAAATAATAACATCGTGTTGAATAAAAAGTCCTATGGGAAAGAAGGCAAAAGAATGGCCAAAATTCTATGAAATGAATATAAGAAGCCTTCCTGAAGGAAGGGAAGTACATTCACGATAGAGAACATGGGATGTGCAAGAAGGCATGGAAATAGCATTTATTAAGTTTTAGGTCACCTTAATTTTTACATTCTTAACAATATAGCAGTTCCATAATAATATAATAAATTCTGGGAAAGGGTATTTATTTACCTACATTTTATTATGATTTGATAGAGAAGGAAAATAGGTATCATACAGATACGGAAAAAAAATTTCTGTAGTAGTCTGGATTATGAAAGCTAGATTTTAAATGAAATCAATATTGTCAACATGTAAGTCTAAACTCGCATAAATGTCACTTAAACTTATAGCATTGGCACAACCTTAATTTGAGAAAAATGTTTGGAGTTTCCCTTTTGACTTAAAAGTAATATTTCACTCCTCTTCCTTCCTTCTTAATACTTTAGAAATCTAGAAACAGTTATGTTTTATGCTTTAGAAAAAATAGATGATTGTGAGACACAAATTTGATCTTACTCTATGGATGAACATTGTAATGGTTAGAACAGTGCAAAGTGAGGTTGGCCGGCCATAGGGCAGAATCAACTTCCATTACTAGAAATGTTCAAAAATAAACTAGCCAACAATTTAGAAGGGTCAAGTGGATTTTTAAGGACCCTTCTAACTTCGACCCCATGGTTCAATTACTTTCGGGGAAAGCTTTCCATATTTATGCAGCGTCTTCAGTAGAGGTAAAATTTTCACTTTCTTCCAGCAATGAACTTTGTCCTTCCCAAGACCATAGCCAGGGCTTCATTCACTTGCTTGGTATTTTGCAAAGTTTGGCTCTGGAGGCATCCACCTCACAAGCTCTGCAATGTTTACTAAACTCTCAGATTCCTGGACCACACCTCAGAACTACCAAAAAAAAGAATCTTTATGGGTGAGCCCAGAAATCTGCATATTTAACAAGCTTTCCAAGTGACTGATGTACTCACTGCAATTTGTGAGCCATTGCTCTAATCCTTGACATTCCTACTGAAAAGATAGACCAGTAAGGATTACTTGGAGTTATGATTGCTCTTATATAGTTATTTGTTCCTTAAGGAGTGAGTTAAGCTCACAAGCGTTTCACACACTATTTAAGCATCCGACCACGTTTGGAGAATAAACTTGCAGCACGTAAAATCTTCTTTCACCTTTTCATTGCAACAGACAATTTTTTGTTTTCATGAGCATTCCAATTACTAAAAATAATCTTTCCCAAATCCTTTGTCTCACCAAAGAACATCAAGTGAACAAAGCCTCACTTATCAGCAATGTTTGCTTAAGATATGAATCTATGAGTACTTTAGCTGCTTTAGTTTCTATTTGATATTTAAAAAGAACACAGTATTCGGATCACATTGGCAACCTAAACCACAGAGCGCAAGTTAAGAAATCCAAGGGAATCATCTGAATTTTACTGTAAAAATAGTAACTATTTGGTTGTATAGCAACCGATAACTACTCTGTCATTTGTCCTATGGTGTAAAATCACATAAGCAAATTTGAAGATTTAAAAATCTCACCTTCCATTTCTTCCATCACAGTGTTCTTTAAAAGATCAGGAAAAGGATTTAATTGTAGCATATTAAAAATACAGAATTAATTAATAGTAAAACTCTGGCCAAATTGTGCTAATTCAGGGAAAGGTAGTTCAAATTTTATAAAAAGAATGGATGGTTAATAAGGCTTTAAAAAACATTATTTTCTGTGAAATATCTGCACTCCCACATTTATTGCTGCACTATTCACAAGAACCAAGATTTGGGATTAATTTACAAGTACATTAATGGATGAACGGATAAAGAAAATGTGGTGCATATACACAACGGAATATTATTCAGCCATAAAAAAGAATAAAATCCTCTCATTTGCAACAACATGGATAGAAGTGGAGGACACTATGTTAAGTAAAATAAGCCAGGCACACACACACAAAACAAATTTTGCATGTTCTCACTCATATGTGAGAACTAAAAATTAAAACAATTGAACTTATTGAGATAGAGAGTAGAATGATGGTTACCAAAGACTGGGAAGGGTAGCAGGAATGGTGGCATGAAGTGGAATGGTTACTGGAATGAACCATTAGTTAGAATGAATAAGATCTAGTATGTGGTAGCATTTGGTAGCACAACAGGGTGACTACAGTCAGCAATAATTTATTTTATATTTTAAAATAACTATAAAAGTGGAATCAAAATATTTCAATTTTTTTTGTTGTTTTTTGTGGTTTTTTTTTTGAGATGGAGTCTCACTCTTGCCCAGGCTAGAGTGCAGTGGCGCAGTGGTGCAATCTTTGCTCAGTGCAACTTCCATCTCCTGGGCTCAAGCGATTCTCCTGCCTCAGCCTCTCAAGTAGCTGGGATTCCACACCCAGCTAATTTTTTTGTATTTTTAGTAAAGACTGGGTTTCACTATGTTGCCCAGGCTGGTCTGGAACTCCTGACCTCAAATGATCTCCCTGTCTTGGGCTCCCAAAGTGCTAGGATTACAGACATAAGGAATTGAAATGGAATTTCACTGCCCCTGGCCCTGGAATTGGAATGTTTCTAACACACACAAAAAAATGATAAATATTTGAAATGATAGATATACCAATTACTCCAATGTAATCATTATACACTGTATGTCTGTATTAAAACATCACATGTACTCCATAAATATATATACATCTATTATCTACCCATAACAATTTAAAATAAAAAAATCTTAAATATTTTCAATAATATATAGGATACCAAATTTCAAATGTGAAATGATGGTTATGAGCATATATAACCTTTTTAATAGCAAAAAAGCAAAGAAAAATAATTAATATTACTCAATTAAGTTTTTGCAATTTATTCTATAAATAGACCAGGTCCAAATCCTGCCTGAATTATAAAAAATTCCAAATCAAGGGATTTTGAACTTTACTATTTATCTGTTGTTTGGATTTGAATAGTCAAATCACCACGTAGATTAGTTATCTTTCATGCCTGCCTCAGTTATATTCTAAGGGCATTGTTTTAATTGGGATAAGAGTAACAAAATACTCTCAGCCAGGTGGTGGCTCAGGCCTGTAATCTCAGCACTTTGGGAGGCCAAGGCAGGAGGATTGCTTGAGCCCAGGAGTTCGAGACCAGCCTAAGCAGCATAGTGAGACCCCTCGTCTCCATTTAATTTTTTAAAAAGTTTAAAACGGAAGAAAATGTAATTTCATTTTTATAATTCCCCTTGGGTACCAACTGAACATAAAGAAAATGTTAACATTAGAAGGTTACAAAAACTCCTATCAGGAATATTTGAAAAGGTTACTTCAATTCATGACAACACATTTTGTCTTAAGTTAAGAACCTCTTAAAATTTATAGATTTTATATTTTACTTGGCTTGGTGAGTTTTGCTTATTTTAGAAAAGAAGTTTTGCTTTGTGGCCCTAAACAAGTTCAGAAGAGAAAATAATTTTTCCTAGAATATTATTAGAACCCCATTTTAGAGAGAACAGAGAAGTAAAACGTTCTGCAAAGAGTATATGTTTTAAGAATAATGTGTTACAATATGTTGTAAGTAAACAAGTAGTGTGTGTCTTTAGTTATGAACCTTGATTTAACTCTTCAGATAACCACAGAACTGATACAGGGACAGAGTTAGTAAGGTGGTGGAGTAGAGCATGACAGACAAAGTGCAAACCCTAGCTGCAGAACGTCCTTGTTTGTAAGACCACTCTGAATCACCCTGAATAATTTACATAATCTTTCTAAGCCTCAGTTTCTTCCTTTGTACATGGGAATGGATGATATCTACTTTCCAGGGTTTTACGGAGACTAAAGGAAATAATAACTGTAATGCATTTAGCATCATATCTACTGTATATAAAGCCTCCAGTACATATTAACCATTATATACATACCTATAGATATATGTACATGTGCATATATAGACACATATACAGATGTTTGTATCTATGTACCTATATACATATATGGGTACATATATGTGTATATGCCTATACAAATATATATACATATGTATATATGTACATGTGTGTAAATTTATGTATATGCATATATATGTATATGCATATATTTACACACATGTACATATATATGTGTATAAATAATATGTATATGTGTGTAAATATATGCATACACATATATGTATATGCATATACATATATGCATGTAACCATATATTTTATGTTTATATACATATATAAATATATATACATATATAAACGTATATACGTATATATTTTATGTTTATATATGTATATGTATATAAACATATATTTTATATGTATGTATGTGTATATGTATATAAACATATATTTTAGCAATATTTGTATTCAAAAATATTCAACAATGTTTTTGATATTTATGTATATATACATTTATGCATATATGTATATATACATACATAGATATATATGTGTATACATGTTCCTGTGCATGAAAACTCCAGAAAATTTTAAAAGTACACACAATAAATTGTTAGTAAGTTCTAAGAAATAAAAAGTGGATCCTAAATAATCCACGTAATAGAACATGTCATTAAAAATCATATTTTCAAAGAATAAATGGTGAAATAGTAATGATATAATGTCAAGTAAAAATAAGGACATAAAACCATAGTTTCTATGAAAAAAAATGAATGCACAGAAAAGAAACTGGAAATACTGGAAGAAAATTCCTCAAAATGTACGCAGTGGTGCTTTCTGTTTGGGGGCATTACAGATGGTATTGCACATGGTCTGATATCTACCATCATGGTCCCTCTCCTATACTCCTGTTCGTTAATATCCTTTTAAATATACAGATATTGGAGCAGCTAACTAAGCATACTATTCCACATGTGTTCTAATACAATAGGATGATCACTGTCATTTGAATGCTTTTTATACAACCAAGGATGCACATATTTATTGAGCATTTACTCTGTGCCAAGCACTGAGTACACAAAGACATTGATGCTGCCTTAAGGATCGTACAGTCTAGAAAAGAAAATAGAAAAGGTAAATAAGAGAAAAAGTATGCTGAATAGTCTGAGAGTATACAAGGTACTACAGAGACAGAAATGAGGGCAGTCCATTTTCTTCTTAGGTTTGGGGTACTTTAGCTGAATCTTAAAATATGAATAAGAATTGCTTTGATTTCACACCTAAGTGTCATGCATGTGAGACATTCTTGTGGAATTGTTCAGTAATCAGTGAAACACATGAGTGTAGAAATCAAGAAAGAGTTCCAAGATGAAATGAGGATTCGAGAGCCTCCAACACATAGGTGGACAGTTTAAGCCAGAATGGATGAAGTTGGTAAAAGTAACCATGAAAAAGGAAACAGGAATATGATCTAGAATCAGAAAAAGGACAAGGCCCTCAAAAACACCATTAGTTAAGGGATATACATAGCAAGAGAACCCACAAATGAAGGCTGAGAAGAAATGGTCAGAGACATAAAATAAGAACCAAAACAGAGCTGGTGAGGAAGCACTGGATTGAGAATTTTTAAACAAGGGAGCAGACTGATAGTACTAGAAGATGCCTAATTAAGTGAGATATGAAACTAATTCATTAAATTTAGCAGTCAGGTTCTTTTGGATACATTTACCAGAGCAAACGTGTGTGTCTATGTGAGTGTGCACATAGATGTATGTACACACTCATACATAAGATGGGAAGATAGGGGCTGAAGGCATTAAATGGGATGAGAAGGTAGGAGGCGAGGGCGCACACTCATACAGGGATGGAAAGGTAGGGGGTGAGGGCATTACATATTAAAATGATGAGGCTAAAGGGCATAAACACAATTCAGAAAGAAGGAAATACAAATGTAAAATAAATATGTATTTTAAAATTGACATCTCTAGCTCATAAATGCAAACTAAAACTAGATACCAATTTTATTTTAAATGGTAACACTTCATGCTGGCCAGGGTACAGTGAGACAGCACACACTGCTGATAGAAGTATGACATAATTCCACATTTTTCCTAGTATCTACCTTGTGTAACTAATCCCCTCTTTCTCTGTGGCCCCACTGTATACTATTTACAACATTTAGTTGTACTTATATTCTTTGTATATAGCTCTTCCTCTATTTGGCTTATAAGGTTTGACTACTCTCTATTCTCATTAGTTTCTAGCATCTATCACAGTGTCTGACTCACAGTAATTACTTAAGTAGGTACTTAAGAGGTGTTTGTTAAATGAATTCATAAAGTCCAGAGTTCCTGTTTCGATATATGTTATTCTAGCTAAAATGCAAAATTCATCCCGAGTTCATGTTATAATTTAAAGAAATTAAGCCAGAAAAAAATGATTTCCTGTATTAAATTCTGATAGCATCTGTGAAATCAGTGACAAAGGTAGGGACATATCTTATCATTTCATGCATATCCACAAGTATTTATGATGTCCTGATCCACCTTCCATTTTGTTATTTTATTTCTCCCAAGGTAAGTATTTTCTTTTGTTGAAGTTTCCATTCATCACCTCATAATTCTTTGAATATAAACTTTAAAAGCTATGCAAAGCTGCCTAGTCAATGAAGACAGTCATACCCCCTGCTGTTCAGCTGGCCATATGACTAAACCTATGCCTAACAAGTTTATTGAAATCAATGAAAATGGAAAATGTATAAATTCACTTGGTATTTGAGGTGGGAAAGTAAAACATGAGTAGGCTTTAAAATATATTTTATGTGCTTCATATTACTAAGCTGTAATTTTAATGAATCATCAGAAATTATTGCGTCTGTATATATCATTCAGGGAATCTCAGGAAAAGTAGTCATCACTGAGCCCTCAGGAATATGGACGTAACATTCTGATATCTGTTCTATGAGAGCCAAAGTCCCCCACCATCAGCATTACCTAGTGTTATTCTTCTAGGATTTATCAACACCACCTGGAGTGTGAGCCAAGTCAACTCCTTCAAAGAACTTGGCAATTTTTTTTAACCATGCCAAAACTGAACTACTATTCCTTTGCTTGCTTGTGAAGATATTGAAATAATGACAGTTTCTCTAACTATACATTACTATCCCTTTGTGCTAAATCAGTGTTACTCAACCAGGGACAATTTTGCCCCTAGGGGACTTAGACAATGTCTAGAGACAAGTTTGGTTGTCACAACTGGGGGTGGGGAGGGGGTTTGCTACTGGCATCTAGTTGATAAAGGCCAGGGATGCTGCTAAACATCTCACAATGCACAGGAAAGAACCCACAACAAACATTATCCTATCCAAAATGTCAATAGTGCCAAGATTGAAAACCCTGTGCTAAATCATAGACTAAATGCAGCTTTCAGGGAATCATATCCATCTTCTGAGGTCCAACTAAGGCTATGATCTTTTTCATGAGGTTTTTCTCAGATCAACCAATGATGGCATCTTCACAAGTTGGACTTTTTATGTATAATTTAGATTTGATGGTAACTCATCTTAGAGATGTGTTGAAGAATCAAATGTTCATATTCATATTCACTGCTGACACTTCTGTCTTCCCTTTTTGTAATTTGTGTTCTATGATAAAACTATTAGATAACTTTATATTCAGAAACTATGTATATTACTTTCTCTTTCTAAATTTCTTTAACTTCTCTAGAATCTTATCTACTATAACACTGGTTTCATAGAAAATAAGTTTTGAAGTGGGAAAGAATAACAAACTACTCTACTATTTTTCCAGCTAAAATGTTTGGGCAATATTTCTAGTAATTCACATTGCCAATCTCCATTGTTTGGCCATTCTACTAAGAATAAAAACAAACAAAAAGGCTATGATTTTTGGCCTCTGATCAATTATGTAATTCTCCTTTTATTTAAAGTTTAAAGATTCAGCCTGTTACTTTTAATGCCAGGAATTCACATGCCATTAAGCCAGTAGTGGTGGGAATGAGAGGCATGAAAAAAAAAATTTAAGCTCCGAATTAAACTCAATAGTTGAATAGAGTTCATTAGCAACACTCTTATGAAACAAGTGGTTTTCTTGAATAAGAAAAGTCTTTTAATAAGTCACTGTCATATTCTTTGATTGTGTTTCAGATTCTTGAGAGTCCTTCAATATATTGGTTATACACAAACATAGAGTCTACAAGTACATATGGAAGTTTGTCAAGAAATGAATTGTTATACAAAATGATATGAAGGCTTATGAGAGCTATTTCCATACGACCTACCCAATTAAAAAAAAATCCAGCTAGGCAGGTTTACTTGGTTGTACATTTCCAAAAAAGAAAGGGCCATTATGGAAAATTCTGAATTCTGCCTAAGATTGAAGGGCGTGATGAGGTGGTGGAAAAGTCACTGGCAGAGGTCAACTAGAAGATGTTAGTTCCCATGCCAAACTGAAACCTGCCTTCCTGTAACTTCCACACTGCTCTCATCTGAAGCAACACAAACCAAGTCCAATCTGTCTTCCACAGAAAATCCCTTCACATACTGAAGACAGCTGCCCTATTCTCCCTCAGTCTTCCCTTTGAACTCATTTTAAGATACATGAAATATCTAGCCTAACCAAAGATGAGAAAACGATATAATTCTGACACTTGAGTGTAACTGAAGAGTGAGCAGTCTATCTTTGGAGATTTAAATACAATTTGACTTAAACTCCAATCCCCAAAAGTTGGAGCATGCCCCCAGTTGTCTTCAGGGATTCTTGGATGAGAAGAGTTGAGACCTCACTTTTCTCCTGGTTCCCCCAAGCTCAGAACCTGTGTTTTCCCAGAATATTTCATCTGATTTGATTCTCACTTTCTGCAGATGTTCTCTTTTTTCTTCTGTCTTTAGTACTAACTCAAATATTAAACACAATCCCTGTTCTAGATTTTCCCAAAACCAATCACACAAGGCATTTGTGTTTGTATCAAATTTACTGTAGTTTGGGGGCAACAGAGGAAACTTACATTGTAGGAATGAAAATGACTTAAAATTATATAGTAGGCATCATTGTAAAATTATATAGCAGGCAACCCTGTTCTTAGAAGTCCTTCAGCAATCTTGTTTGATCTTTTGCACTTTTTAAAACTCTCCCATAGATTCCACTCATTCTCTTAGCTCCAGCATCAACATGGAATTCTTAGCCATGAACTCCAGCCTGTCTCACCTAAGTATTCTTCTTCCTCCAACTTCTCTCCAAATCCTAATCAATATTGAAGGGCATATTTAAATCCTACTTTGAATTATACCTCCTAATCATTCTACCTTGCCTTTCCTTCTTCCTCCTCTAAACTGTATCCCGTTCACTTTGGCACTTGATAGTTTCACCTTCCTGGGTGCAGGTCTTCTAGCTCCAGAAAGTTTAAGCTCTTTTAAGCACTCTAGGTTCTTTCTAACTGCTTTACTGCATATGAATTAAAAGCTGAACAAGGCTGAGTCCAACTTCCAGTTGCAGGTCTGGCATGTGAAAAACCTGAAGTCATCACTCTGTCCTAACAAGTAAAAACCTGAACAAACTGAAAACAGATGATTTTCCTAAACCTGAATTTTCTCCTTTTAAAAATATCTCTTCAGGGTCTTATTTACCATGATATTGCTTTCCTGAATAATAATTAAATTCCTAAGTAGGAAAGAATCATCAACCCATTACCAACTAAAAAGTAAAGGTTCAAGTCTTTAAGAAGAAAAAATTCTTTCATAAAAGCACATGTGAGGCCAGGTGCAGCAGCTCACACCTGTAATCCCAGCATTTTGGGAGGCCGAGGTGGGTGGATCACCTGAGGTCAGGAGTTCAAGACCAGCCTGGCCAACATGGTGAAACACTATCTCTACTAAAAATATAAAAACTAGTTGGGCATGGTGGTGGGCGCCTGTAATCCCAGCTACTTGGGAGGCTGAGGCAGGAGAATTGCTTGAACCCAGGAGATGGGAGTTGCAGTGAGCCGACACGGTGCCACTGCACTCCAGCCTCAGTGACAGAGTGAGACTCCGTCTCAAAAAAACAAACAAACAAACAAACAAAAAGCATATGTGAAATCTCTACTGTAATTTGCACTAAATCTTAAGCTTTCTATTTGTACTTCCCCCTCCTCATCTCTTCAGTAGCTCCTTCAAACATGTTTTTTTCCAGAATATTTGTGACAAAATACCAGAAAATACAGTCTAAGAATCTTACTCAATTCTGTCTTGTGCATTGGTCTCTGATAGTTTCCTAGTTCCACATGGAAGAAGGTGTTTTTCAAAATCTATACTTTAAAAATTCAGTATTTGAATATTCATGTGTCCCTTAACAATGAAGATATGTTCTGGGAAATGTGTCATTAGGCAATTTTGTCACTGTGCCAACATCAAACGGTGGATTTACCACAAACCTAGATGTACATACTGTGCGGGTACTAGCCTACTACACACCTATGCTATATGGTATAGCCTACTGCCTCTAGGCAACAAACCTGTACAGCATATTACCCTACTGAATACTGTAGGCAACTGTAACACAATAGAAAGTAGGTGTGTATCTAAACATATCTAAATATAGAAAAGGTAATGTGTTACACTAAGATGTTATGGTGGCTACAATGCTACTGTGTGATAGGAGTTTTCACCTCCATTACAATCTTAGGGGACTATTGTTATATTTGCAATCCGTTGTTGACTGAACCATCATTATGCAGTGTATGACAATATAATACAAACTATTTATAGTGCACTTATGTGTAGAGTATATTTAAATTGGTCTACCTGCATTATCTCATTTAATCCTTAACAATCCTATGAATGCAAACTATGATTACTCCCATGTAGTTGAGGAAACTAAGGCATAGAAATGTTAACTTGCCCAAAATATCATGGTGAGTGAAGCATAAAAAGCCTAACAACAGTGTTCAAATGCTATGTATTGTTCCATCCACAAAAAACAGGAAAGAGAGTCTCTCACTCTCTGGGTGTGTTTGTGTCTGTGTTCCTTTTAAAACACAATTTTTAAAAGTCATAATTGCAAATTATTTTTCTAATGCAAATCACACATATCCTTTTGATAAGGATATTCAATCACAGAAAATGTTTAAAAGTATTTTTCTCCCTAATATTTCATATTGTATTTTAATCAGTTGAGCAATGTGTATAAAAGGAAAAAAATGACTGCATTTACATGTTACTATGTGATTTCCTTTGGAATCAGTTCTTCTGACTTAAGGTCAAACCAGACAGCTGGCCTGTATGTGATTATGCTGCCCTCACGTGACAGACGTTGTGAACTGCAAGTAGAGTGGGATCCTAGCAAAGACCACCAAGCCCGAAAACTCAGAGGAGCCGAGACTAGCTACTCCCCCAACTGTTCACTGACCATTTTCAAATCAACTTTTACCTGTGACCTCAAAACATCAATGTGATTTTCACATGTCCTTAGCTTACTTCTATTCAATGAGTACAGGTATCTACAATACTGTGTATTTACAGGTCTTACATGCATTTACAATTTAGTAGTAGGCAGTATCAGAAATGTTCTATTTCCTCTGGAACTTAATATGCTAATAGAGAATGGTGGCATATAATAATATTTACAAATAACCAAAAAGGTCTTGAAATTTCTCCAGTGGCATATATAATTTACCTATTTGGTCATACAACCTGACAAGTGCTACCATTTTTAAATCCTTCTAGAAACATGGCATTTAAGACTAAATTTAAAGACCTCTATTAATAATTATGAATGTGGCTGGGCGCGGTGGCTCATGCCTGTAATCCAGCACTCTGGGAGGCCGAGGCAGGCAGATCACCTGAGGTCGGGAGTTTGAGACCAGCCTGACCAACATGGAGAAACCCCGTCTCTACTAAAAACACAAAATTAGCCGGGCATGGTGGCGCAAGCCTGTTATCCCAGCTACTTGGGAGGCTGAGGCAGGAGAATTGCTTGAACCCGAGAGGTGAAGGTTGAGGTGAGCCGAGATCATGCCATTGCACTCCAGCCTGGGCAACAAGAGTGAAACTCCGTATCAAAAAAAAAAAAGAAGAAGAAGATAAATAAAATAAAAATAAAAATAATTATTAATGTGAATACAGCCTGTTTTGGTAAGATAAAATGTGTCATACAACAAAAATCCAGGCGAATCTCTAGTATGGTCCTTCTCTCCTTGATAAACAGTTCTTTGGCTCACAAAAGAAATGGGAATGGCTAAAATTCTCCTTTGACCATAAATTTTTATGATAGTTTCATTGACTATGGAGTTAAAAACTAAAAACAGAGCATCAAAATTCCACCCTAGATGATGTAGGAAATTGCCTAGAATATGTGATCCAAAGCCACCAAAAGACCTCTCAGTGGCTCCAAATGATCTTTCAAACTCGCTTGCCCTAGAGCCTAGGATTCCTGCCATTAATACATTTTTTCCTACTTACAGTATGTCGTCTCTGGTAGTTTGATTTTGAAATATCAAAATACAGCATTATCTGGAGAGATAAGACACTATAAATCACAAGTTCCTTAGCACAGATTAATTAATCAGGATACTTAATGTCAAAAGGAAAGCAGTAAATAAGACCTTGAGGTCAAGCTACAGGTAGTAATTTATGGACAGGAGGATAGAGGTGTGGTCCAAAGGATACAGCACTGCTGAGAAGAGTTCCCAGCCTGGGCAAGAAAAGATCATTTAGCAAGAGAAGCCAAACATGGACAGGGAAAGTGGAAAGAAGTTGAAGATAAACTTGGGCTGCTGAAGAACTGCATGTAAGACTGGCTCTTTAACTGAAACTAAAATATAAAAAATATCCAATAAAGAGGAAACATTTTATCAGACTTTATAGATTAAATAAAGCAAATATCAGAATGACCAAGTTTGTTTTCAAAGGACTTTAACATTTATGACTTTACCACAAAAACTCTCACTTTTTTAAATAAAAAATTCTGCACATAGAAATATCAAATAGTATTAAAATACTAATGCGTCTGCTAAATATTAAATAGAGTGCTCTATCTCTTTGTGGCCAGGATGAGGAAAGGGCCATATTCTGTTTCTAATGATCTTACTGATTGTGTGTCTTGAAATGTTTAGAATACACTAAATAAATGTAAAAGCAAGAAACATAACCAAAATAATGTGCTCCCAGATAAGGAAGAGATTTTTACAACTCTCAAAAATCTAAGTCCAACCTTCCCAAACTGTAAAAACAAACATTAGAAAGTTTACCAAGTAAGTGATCATATAAATTTTTTTTCCTTATCTCTGAGAAAGCAATTGTTAGTTGGTTCTTTTCTGGTGAACTCTTTTTCAGGTTCATGCTTATTTGTAATGTAATAGCTCTTCTTTCCACAGGAGACATCTTTCAGTATCTACACTCAAATCTCCTGTGGAATCACTTGTTTCTGTCAGTGATTACAAACATATAAAACAAACATTCTGAGATCCCTTTGAATACCTCCTAAGTAGGTAGAATTTAAAAATTTAAGTAAATTTTTCTCTTTTTGTAACGAGGAAAGACCTCAAGGAACAGCAGGAATACAAATTTAGACATGGAGGGAAATGGTATTCGATTCCTTAAACGGCTCTAGTGTCTGAACCAGGGTAAAGAAAGCAGCCACAGCTGGTGGAGCTGCTCCTTCCAGTAAAGGCCAGTGCAGAGTCCTAAACTGGGTTCTCTTTTAGTCTTTGACCTTTTTTTCCCACTCAGAAGACAACATACTTTAGGTGAAGGATCAATTTTTAGTTTTCAATCCCTAAGGATGATATTCAAAATATTTTCTTAAAAAAAATAGGGCAACATGGTGCTCTGTCTTCAGAACAGATTCAGGATATAAGCAACAGTATTTACTTACCATATTGTTTCCTCTACCTCTAGCTCCATTTCAGTGTCATTTTTCATTCTTCTTAGTTTTCTATTTTAGTAAAATTTAAATACCATAACTTAAAGTAATCCCAATATTTTTTAAATAAAGCCAAAATATGTGTTGTTTATAACTATGGCAAAGAACATAATTTAGTTTAAGCTTCACATAGTCATGTAGCTACATAGAATATTTTAAAAAGAAAATCAAACAAGAATCTTACAAGCTTGACACCATCAACATGGTGAGTTAACATACAAATTTCCTGAGGTGCTGATCACATTTGAATTGCACATTTAACATATTGAAAGATATTAAGAATTTTAAGGTGGAAAACAAGAAAATATATAGTCCATATGTAAGGAGGAATACTATATCTCAGATGTAGCAATATTACTAGAAAAATAGCTATATATAAGTAATAGGAATAAAAACCCATGTGGAATCAAATTAATGTCCACATCTTGGTCCCAACTTTTATTGGCTCTGGGATCTTGAGCAAGTTACTCAACCTCTCTTAATCTGTTTCTTCATCAATTAAATTATAATAATAATGCTCCCTCCAATCAGTTTATTGTGACAATCACAATGAAATCATGTCAGTGAAAGTATTTTGTAAATTATTAAAAGTAATCCAAATATTACCTAATTAAGCATTAAAATAACAATAATATTATTAAGCTAAATCCTAAGACAGTTTCAGATTCCCTCTAAGAAAAGTTTTCTTTATGAACTATTCTTTAAGGTACTAGATGTGTGATAACAATGTAAAACTTGACAAATGGTTTAGGGACTAACACTGGATTAAAAAGGCAGGTGGGCTCAACAATCTCTCATCACCATGACTGCAGCTTTGCACTTCATCCTTGAAAATTAATGTTATTTATAGATAAAGCTGCCCAGTTAAATCTCACAAGAGGATTACAAGACTGCCAATTAAGACGAAGCCCCAGCAGGTGGGGTTTATGTGAGCTGATAAAACAGGTTCTGGCAAAGCACTTGCAAAAGTGAATTCCACAATCACTGACCCTCCCATACCGTATTCTTTATTTAAAAAAAAAAAAGAACAAAAAATAAGAGCTGATATTAAATAGACAGATTTAGGTTAGAAGAAAAAATAAGAGCCTGGTATTAAAGGATAGATTCCACCTAAAATGCTCTGTGGGTTATACAGAGAATATATGTGTTCTATATACCTAGATTTTGAAAATTGCTAATACTAAGAATTCAAAAGGCAATCTGAGGTTTTCAAGGGTATCTCGATGTAAATTATATTTGTCAATTATAATAATATTCTTTTACATACAATATTAGATTCTTCATTTATGCTTCAGGCCCAAATTTCCATTTGTATTTAGGGCATCTCTCCCTGGGCTACCCAAATGTACTTCATATCATTATGTTCAGAATCCTCTTTGTTCCCGAACCTCCCTCATGAGGGTTTGATCTCAGTGAATAGTATCACTCAGTGATGCTCAGTGACTAATATCATCATCTTTGACTCCTTCCTCACCCCTCTCCCACCACTGTCATTAATTAATTCATCCCTTTGGCTTCTATCTCTGAAGTGTCTTTTGTATTCATTCATTCCTCTGTTCCATTGCTTTTGCCACTACCCTTGTCCAGGGATTCATCATATTTCAACTAAACTATCTGTACAATGTCTTAACTGTTTTCACTGACTCTTTCACCTTTCCAAATGTACTTTCCACATTCCTGACATAGAAATCTTCTAAACAATAAGGCAGTAAGATTAAAACTCTTTAGCAAGGTAGTTAACAAACTAGGGTATATCTTTTAGTCTTATTTCTAAATTGATGTCTCCACAAATTCTATTCCCTAGTTCCACCACACACTATAATAGTCACCCTTCCCTGAATACTGTACTTCATAGTTCTGGGCTTTTAGTTATATCATTCCCTGCATCTAGAAAATCCTCACTCCCTTCTCTAAATACTAGCATGCATTTATTTTTAAAAATCCAGTTCAGGTACTATTTTCTCCACCTCTTTTCATTCAAGCTGCACCCCAAACTAAAAATTCATCACTGCTTCCTACACTCTTACAAAGCCCTGTTTATATCCCTAAAAGAGGACCCTTCTCACACATGCATATTGTTTTCTTACTAAATTGTAAGTCCAAACACTGTAAGCATGTCATTTTTAGCTTGGTATCCCCTATGATTTTTGGGTGTGTGTGTGTGTGTATGTGTGTTTTATCCATAAGTAGCTCATTGCATGTTCACTAAAAATAACGACTACCCTTAAATGAGTGCTTATTAAATATCAGACTCTATCTCCCACCTTTTACACTATGTTAATTGAGTCATTTAATCCCCAAAATAAATCTATGAAGTAGCTAAATTTTACATGTAAAGTAGCAAATGCCCTACGAAGTTAAGCAACTTACCCAAGGCCAACACTAGTCTGGTGTCAGGACAGGAATCAAGGTCTTTCATAATTAATACCTTCTGCCCTCAACCAATTCATTACGTAGCCTTAAACGTCTATCTCTGGGTAGTCAAATACAAAAAAACTATAGTGGATTAAAAGGCTATATATGAACACTGACTGAAAACATAGAGAAGCTTTACTCTAGAGCATTGGTGCCTAAAGGTATTATGGCTAGAATTCATAAATGTAAACTCTGTTTAAAGAATACTATTTCCTACCTCATAAGACTATTTTGGAGAATAAGTGAAATGCAGCATGTAAAAGGCCTAGCACAGTACCTGAAACACAGTAGGAGCTGAAATATTAGGTTGGTGCAAAAGTAATTGCAGTTTTTGACATTAAAAGTAACATGTTCATATTATTTTCTCAGTTGTGAATAGTATAGAAATTATACCCAGACTTATTTCCTATATCACAAAATCCCAGGGCAAGGAGATGTGCTTTCAATGCATAGTGGCCTGAGTGTCAGACAAAAGGAAGTGTTGTTTTAAATTTACACATAAATTTAATAAATTTATAAAACATTTCAGCATATCTGATATAGATAGAAAAAATGAATGGATTAATAACTGTTTGGACGAAGTTATGAATGATGGCCTTTTAGATCAAGACTTCTTAGCTTTTAAGGCCGATGGCAGGAAAAAACATCATATCCCACAATACATTCCTCTCCTTCTCTGCTGGAAATAGAGCACTGGACTATGTGACACCTGGACCATGAAATTGATCCAATAGCAATAATCATTCCTTGAGCAATGTGCTAGACACTGGGCAATGCTGTTCATATGTTTCAACACATTTACTTCTCACAAATCACCTATTAGGTTGGCGCTGTTATTGTTGTTATTATTATTATTTCTCAAATGAGGAAACCAGGGTGTGGAGGTTAGGTAATTTGCTCCAAATTGTACTGCTGTGAGTAGCATAGCCAGGATTCAAGTACACATCTGTCTGACTCTGGAGTCTGACCTCTTTACCACTCAGGCTGTTTTTGCTCAGTCTGTAATCTACTGTTGTTTTGGAATTTTCTTTTACAAAGGGACATTTTTTGTGATTCATTACATTATAAATACTAGCTTCTTTTAAAAAATTTCATTCAAGCAAAACACTCATTGTCTAGGCAATCCAACTTCTTTTAATTTAACTAAAACAGCAGACATAGACAAATTACAATTTATGTAGTCTGAATTTCACTACCATAAAACCAGAAGGCACAGTGTACATTTATCAATCCACAGTCTTTTCCTAGAATTGTCTGAAAACCAACAATGACATCATTGGGGGGTAGACTAACTTCATACCATATGACTGTATGGTGATGTGTTCTGCGTATGTTATTATCTTGTTTTTTAATAAAGGTCATACGGGTAACACAATAAATATTTTAAAACTTCAGCTTTTCCCAAGTCAGCCACATCGTCCAGTCTTTACATCTACATATTTGCACTGTCATTTCCTGGGGAATTCTCTTTGTCTAATTTGACACCACTGTCTCCTATATAGTCGGGTCCTTACTTTAAAAAAAAAAGTCCCTGTAAATAATTGTTCACTTGATAATTTCATCCTCTATAGGATAATTTAAGTTTTAAATATTTATGTTGGATCTGTGCAATGAAATAAAAATGTGTACAATGAAAGCAAGTACTTAGGCTTTACCATAACTAGCTGTGACATCCCTTTCCTCCACCACATAAAGAAGCAGAAATATGAACACAGAATTCAGAGGTTTAATTTAACATGATTGTGGTTTGGGGGCTCCAGCACCTGATGATAGTAATTATAGGCATCTCTTGCCAAATTTAGTATTTTTGAAGTTGAGTCAAAGTTTTTATTTAAACCTAAATTTCAACTATTCATAAAGTTATTTTTATTATTTAGTCAGACACCTCAAATGCTGTTTCTCAGTGATTATCTTGAAACTCCAGAGATACCCATTAAAAAATGCTTTTCTCCTTACATGCTTTGAACTGTTAGGTTTTTGTGTCACTACTCTTTCATCTTTTTTAGCTTTGTATTTCTGATTTTTTGGCCAGTCCTAGCATAATTAAAGTCTAAAGCTATTCTAAAAGAGAATTAAGATCCTCAGCAAATCACTCTACAAGGTATTTTTACATATTCTGTCCTAAAATATTTTATTTGGATGAAATATTTAACATTTAAATTGAAAAGTTGCAAAATGACAAACCTGTTCAGAAGAGTGTATGTGGAAGAGAAAAAAATAGGATATGTTGAACTCTAAGTGTATAAATAGGAGTTCCCCACTAATTTTTTTTAACCAGCTGAAGAAATACAAACTTAACCAACCATCAAAATCTGTGTGTGTCAATTTACACTAAGTCCTCACTTAACATCATTGATAGGTTTTCGGAAACTGGGACTTAAAGCAAAACAAAACAATGTATAACAAAACTGATTTTACCATAGGCTAATTGATATAAACATGAGTTATATGGCATATTTCTGGTCACAAAAACATCACCAACCTCTAAAAAAAGACCAAAATACTTCCCATATTAAATATTTAAATAAGTGTGAGGTATATATGCATTTAAGAAGATTAATAAAAACAAGATAATTATTTACCTAATTATTCCTGTTCAGGGTGGCTGCTGGCTGGAGCCTCTCCCAGCAGTTCAGGGCACAAGGCGGGAACCATCCCTGGACAGGACACTATCCCATGGCAGGGCACACTTACACACACACACACTCAGACTGGGACCTTGTAGACAGGTTAATTCACTTAACTTGCACATCTTTGTGATGTGGAAGGAAACAGGAGTAATTGGAGAAAACCCACGCAGATGGAGAACATGCAAGCTCCACACAGACAGTGACCCTGGCTGGGGATTATTACTTTTTTATCTCATCAATATTGTTACGAAATGACATTGAATGGAATGAAGTTATTTGAGGTCCTGCTATATTTTCTTGTTGTTAGAATCAAGCCTTTAGTTTAATTTAAACCATCATTTTGGTCAGTCAGGAAGGTATAGCGATGTATTTCCTCCCACCCACTATGTGGCCCTTCTAAAGTTATTCTTGCACAATTCTCCAATGTGTAATTATTGCACATTTTGAAACAGACTTACTCTGTCTTGAAATGAAATCCAGTGCCATCAATTCATAAAAACTGCTCAAACTACATTTAATAATAGAAACAGGAGATAATACCTTTCCAAAACACATTCATGGTAGGCTGAATAATGACCGTCAGAGAGATTCAGATCCTAATCCCTGTAGCCTGTGAATATTGCTTTATTTGGCAAAAAGAGACTTTGCTGATTTAATTAAATTAAGAATTTTGAGATGGAGAGATTCTCCTAGACAATCTGGGTATCCCTAAATGTCATTTTAAGTATGAAGAAAGACAGAGCCCTAACTAGAGAAAGGAAGAAGGCCATCTTAACACTGACGTAAAGATTGGAGTGATGTGACCAAGAGATGAGGAATGCCAGCAGCCTCTAGAAACCAGAAGAGGCCAGGAATGCACTTTCACCTGGAAACTCCAGACGGAACTAGCCCTCTGACAACACTGACTTTAGTCCAGTAAGACTCATCTTGGAATTCATGCCCCCAGATGTGTAAGAGAATAAATTTCTATTGTTAAGACAATAGAAATTAAAAGCCAGTACATTTGGGGTAATTTATTACAGCACCAATAGAAAACTGAGATAACATTTTACATATATGGCTGCATTTTATAAATAGGAGAATTGTTGCCAAATATGTTAAAGTCAATTTACTAATCTTTCAAAACCAGCATTCTCAAAGTTCAGTAATGAAGCGAGAGAACTTCTGGTTTCCAGTTCAGTATGTAAGGAGTTTAAAAGTTGCTCCGGTGTCCTAACAAGTTTTTAAAAACTCAACAAACTGAAAACATCAATTCTTCTTTAATCTGCCATAGAAATGAGGTCATAGGCACTTACCATTTGTAAATTTGTTTACATGGATTAACTCATTTACATGGATTAATACAACTGTTAATTGTGAGACACAGGATTTAGGGATATTTTACAGACACAGAAATGTTAAGCAATTTGCCTAAACCCTGTCCTCCAGTGCACTCTGAGAAGGCACCACAGTGCTTTTCTTCCTTGAATAGGTAAATCCTTTCCATGTAAGCTGGCTATTTTTTGAGGTACCAGTTTGAAGTATCATTTCAAACAATTATCATTATTTAGACTTATAAAATATAAAATAATACCTAATCATCAATTCTAAGTTCCCCATTATAGTGAGATTTAATTGATATTGCATTCTTTAAAATGTACTGATTTATCCAATACAAATAAAGAACCTTCTACGTACATGACACCACTGCAGTAGAGTTGGCCATTGAGGAGCTAACAATCCACCAAAGAAATGCCATGAGTAAGTATAACAAAGAGATGGTCAGATAAATCATTTCCAAGCAAATGCTTTCTTAATTCACTGAGTTTAGATATTTTTAAACATCAAATGTATTTGTTTTCCTAAGTTTGGTCACTCTTGGCTGGGGTCAAAAATAAATGTCTATTTCCTTATTTAACGTTTTCTTTACCAACTGCTCACCACCAGGTGGTTGTTTCAATTAACCAACTGTTACATAATATAGCTTAAAAGAAGGGCCAGGCCTGGTGGCTCAGACCTGTAATCCAAGCACTTTAGGAGGTAGAGGCAAGATGATCGCTTGAGCCCAGTGGTTTGAGAGCAGCCTGGGCAACGTGGTAAAACTTCATCTCTACAAAAAATACTAAAATTAACCAGGCATGGGGGCATGCACCTGTAGTCCGGGCTACTTGGGAGGCTGAGGTGGGAAGATCACCTGAACTCTGGGAGGTCGAGGCTACAGTGAGCTGAGATCATGCCACTGCACTCCAGCCTGGGTGACAGGGATTGTAAAGGAGAAAAACCACTGAACAATTTAATCCAAGGACTATTAATGGTTTTACTATTATAAGTTGAATGAATGAATAACTATGGTAAAACTGACTGAATTATAGACTCAGCATCTGCTCAGTTCCAGAGAGTTGAGCCACAAAATACTTTCAACTTCATGAGTAATATTTTTACTAATACATAGAATTCACTTTTTCTGAGTGAAGGATTTCACGTAATACAATATCTGTAATAGCACTGACTAGCCCTTTTCTGACAAAAGTTTTCTCAGCAGCAATTTGAAGTTTAAGAAACTGTAAACCCTGGTAAGCCAACAATGTATTGCAATGGTAGTAAGAAATAAATATTCACTTAATTCAATAAAGTAACTCTTCAATGTTATTTTTATATTAGCCAAAATTTAAGACAGAAAAAGCATAAACAAATAACTAAAGGAAATATAATCCAACCCAATAAAATAAATAGTATACTTTCTATTTATTTTTCAATACTTGACAAGTTTTATAAATGTTCAGGTCCTATACTAATAAAAAATTTTAATAATAGGTTCCAAACTATAGACTCAAAATGCAAAGCAAAAAATCAGATAAAAAAAAACCCCAAAGAGAAATAATACAAATACGTTCATTATAAAGGTATGTATTTCTAATATTCAAAGGCAAGATATACAGATGTTTGAGCATGCTAAACTGTAGTCTCCCATAAAAGAAATGAGTCCTGAACATCCCAGAGTTAAAGAAAAGGATGAGGTTTTTAAAGTAGGCACTAAAATTATTTGAATTAAGACACATGAAAAGATACATAGAAATGAGGGAAGCAGAGGAAGCAAAAATAAAAATACTGATAATAAAATTATTAGCTGCTCACTATATGCTAGTTATTATATTAAGTAATTTACATTTATTAGATTCTCACATCCATGAAATAAAGTCAATATTCTTATCATTTTATAGATTAGGAATCAGAGGCCCAGAGAAGGATATCACTACAACAATGAGCAAAAGAACTGGGACTTGAGCGTGGGCATTTCTTACTCTAAAAATAATGTTCTTAACCACTGTCATGTGCTAACCTACTTAGCAAGCAAAAATAAATAGGAAAAAATGACTCTTGTAATTTTGTGTGGTTTTCTACTTTGAAATAATTTCAAGCACACCTAGAGGTAAGAATACTACAAAAGAGAGAATTTTAAACAAATGTGATAAAATGTTAACAATTGAAGGATCTGAGAGAAGAATATTATGGAGTTCCATGTATTATCCTTGTAACTTTTTGGTACGTTTAAAATTATTTCTAATTTAAAAGTCACAAAAAAATTTAAATGTGTATTTTTACACATTTTTTTCCTTAGCCAGAATCATTAGAGAGTAAATTTGTAGATGTGGTGCCCCATTATCTCTAAATACTTTAGTGTGTATTTCCTAAGAGTAAGAACATTCACTAATTGTCTTAATAATGTCCTTAAAACCCAAGAACTATTGTAATCCAGAATCCTGTAATCCAGGATCATATATTGCATTTAGCTGCCATGTCTCTTTAATCTCCTTAATCTGAAATAGTTCTTTTTCTGTCTTTCACAACCTTCCCCATAGAAGGCCAGTTACTTTGTAGAATGCCCCTCAATTTTGTTTTTGTCTGATATTTCCTCATGATTAAATTCAGACTACATATTTTTGGTAAGAATATCACAGAAGCTGTGCTGTGCCTTTTTCAGAATCAGAATGCACATGATGTCAGTTCATCTCATTGTTGGTGATTTTTAACTGATCATGTCATTAGATGGTTTCTATCAGGTTTTTCCACTGTAAATTTGATTTTTTTCCCTTTGTAATTTATACATAATTTGTGGGGAAATAACTTGAGGCTATATAAATATCCTGCTCCTCATCAAACTGCCACACAATAGGTTTAGCATCCATTAATAATTCTTACCTGAATGAAATATTACCATGATGGTTACCTAATAGTCATCTTTTAACTCTTTATTCCTTCTACATCTTGGTTGGCATTTTACTATAAAGATAGGATTTTCCTTTTCCCCCATTTATTTATATCAGTATATACTCATAAGTCCTTACTTTATTCTATAGATTAAATCCATTATTATTATAATTTTGATGCTCAAATTTTTCCAGATTTGACCAGTGGAGCCATTTCAAGCTGGTTCCTGTATCCTTCTGATACATCTCCATGTTTTTTTTAGCATGCTTTAATTTTTGGCATAAGATTGTATCTTAGGCTCATTTTGTACTTTTCTGTTCCAGCCCTAGCTAGTTTCTTTCCCAACATGGCTTGATTTATTTTAGTGAAGACATTGTTTAGAAATCAAGATTTCTAAGTATATTCACTACTACTGGAGTATCATTGTTTTGGGCCCTCTTAGTGCACAGAGCTGGGAAATGTACACACATACATAGGTAGATGACAGGGATAGATAGGTGGGTGGATAGATAGGTTCAATAGATGATAGATAGACAGATAGATGATAGATAAACAGAGAGATAGTCAGATAGCTGACAGGCAGGTAGATAGAACAAGCTGTGAATTCATACCGGTATCTTCAATCCCAATCCAACATCACAGGATTCACTCTAATCTTTTCCCAATCCATGGCTGTCTTCCTGTCAGCAATGAGGAATCAGACTTCTTTTACACTCGATTTATTTGTTGCCCAATCCTTAAAAACATGTAAAGCAGTAACATATTACTAACTTACAACATCAAAAACAACAGTGCTACTTATTAAAGTTCAGTACTTGTGTATAGTTCTTTTGGTCTTTATTCGTAGGTTAAGTTTCCAAAATACTATATCAAAAAATAACCTGGGTCCATTGCTCCCATCTTCAATGTGGTTGTATTTTTGTTTGAAATAGTTTCACTTGTTTCTGTTTGTATTCCATTTTAGATTCCTCTGATTTTTATTAGATTTATTTTGTGGGTTTAGTTTGAGTATGTAAAATATTAGCAAGATTACAAAAGTTAAAACTCTATGAAAAATTATACCTGGGGAGGCATCACTACCTCATTCTCAACTCTTGATTCTCACTCACTTCTAGTAGGTAACCAATCTTATTGGTTTCTGGGTTTTTCATTCCTGCTTTTCTTTTTGCAAAAATAAACAGATATATGTATATTTTCTTGTATCTCCTTCTCTCTCTTACCCAAAAGATAGCATGCTATATATACTTCATACAATTTAACTTTGCTTTTCCAACTTAACAACATATTCTGCAAATCACTTCATATCAGCCTTAGAGATCTTTTTCTTTTAAACTTCCATAGTACTTCATTCTATGGATGTACCATAGTTAATTTAACCAACCTCCTATGGATGGACATTTAGGTTGTTCCCAATATTGTAAAATTATAAACAATGCTTCAATAAATAAATATGTGCATATACATTTTCATATAGTTAGAGATATATTTTCAGGGTAAATACTCAGAAGTGGAATTGTTAGGTCAAAAGGTAATAACATATGTAATTTTGTTAGATAATGTCAAATTTTCCTCTATAAGTTTTATACCAATTTTTATTCCTACCAGGAGTGTACGAAAGTGCTATCTCACATCTTGCCAGCAGAATATGTTGTCAAGATTTTTGAATTTTTGCTTATCTGATAAGCCAGGAATAGTATCAGTATAATTTTACTTTCTCATATTCTCATTTCTCATATTATGAGTAAAACTGAACATATTTCCTTATGTTTAAGAAGTATCTATGTATGTAGATATGTTTTATATATAATATACATATTATAGACTATATGGTGTTAGAAGTTAGAATAATGATTACTCTCAAAGACAAATGGTGACTGGCAGTGAAATATGAAAATTCAATGAGCTTATGATATGTGCACTTTTTGAATATATTTCATTGAAAGATATTTTTTAATAATGAATGTCTTCCAAATAGAAGAAGGAATGTAAAGGGATTAAAGAAAATATAATCAATCAAAAGGAAGTTTGGTAATAAGAGAGGAAGGCAAAAATTCAATCATATAAATGTCATTAAAAAATTAAAACAAAATAAAATGATAGGTGTTAAATCTATCAGACATCAAAACAAATGTACATGGACTAAATTATCCAATTAAAAGAGAGACATTAGCAATTTGTATAGAATAGACAGTACACACCTGTATGGTATTTACAAGAGACATTGGTTTTTTTTTTTATAATGGCCATCCTAACAGATATAAGGTGATATCTTAAAGTGGTTTTGATTTGCACTTCCCAGATAATGTTCAGCATCTTTTCATATACTTATTGGCCATTTGTATGTCTTCTTTGAAGAAATGTCTGTTCAAATCCTTTGTCCAGTTTTTATTTTTTATTTTTTCAATTTACTACTGCTCTGCAAAGGTTTCAACTTTTTAATAAGGTTATGTGCTTTTTGCTATTGAGTTGAAGGAGTTCCTTATATATTTTAGATATTGACCCCTAATTAGATAAGTGGCCTGCAAATATTTTCTTCCACTTCATGGGTTGGCTTTTCATTACGTTAAATGTTTCCTTTGCTTGCAGAAACTTTTTAGTTTGATGTAGTATCATTTGTCTATTTTCACTTTTGTTGCCTGTGCTTTTGGTGACATATCCAAGAAATCATTGCCAAGACTAATGTTACAAAGTTTTCCCCTGTTTTCTTCTAGGATTTTTACAGTTTCAGGTTTTATATTTAAGTCTTTAATCCATTTTGAGTTGATTTTGTATACGGTGTAAGATAAAGGTCTCATTTCATTCTTTTACATGTGGAATCCACTTTCCCAACACCATTTTGTTGAAAAAAACTGTTCTTTCCCCATCATGTGTTCTTGGCACCCTTGTTATAAATCAGTTGACCATATATGTGTGGGATTATTTCTGGACACTTTATTCTGTTGCATTGCTATATGTGTCTGTCTTTATGTGGGTACCATACTACGTTAATTACTGTAGCTTTGCAATCAACTTTGAAATCAGGAAGTGTTATGCCTACAGTTTTGTTCTTTCTAAAGACAGTTTAGGGTATTTGGGGTCCTTTGTGAATTTTAGGATTGTTTTTCCTATTTATATAAAAAATTGGATTATTGATAAGGATTAAATACAACCTGTAGATTGGTTTAGGTGGTATTAAAATTTTAACATTATTAAATCTTCCACTCTAGGAAAATGGGATGTCTTTACAATTTATTTTCAGCAATGTCTTGTAGTTTTCAGGATCTGAGTCTTTTATCTATTTAGTTGTTAAGTATTTTATTCTTTTTGATGCAATTGTAAATGAGATTGTTTTCTCTAATTCCCTTTCACATAGTTCACTGTTAGTGTATAGAGACACAACTTATTTTTGTATGTTGATTTTTATCCTGCAATACCATTAAATATATTTGTTAGCTCTAACAGTTGGGTTTTTTATTTTTTATTGATACAGAATAATTATACATATTTATGAGGTACATGTGATATTTCAATACATGCATACAATGTTTAATGATCAAATCATGGTATTTAGGATATGCATCTACTTGAATATTTATCATTTCTTTCTGTTGGGAACATTTCACATCTCTTCTAGACAATCTATCATTATTAACAGTAGTCACCCCACAGTGCTATCAAAACTTATTCCTTCTGTCTAACTCTAGTTTTGAATTCATTAACCAATTTCTCTTCATATCCTACCCCTTCCCAGCCTCTGTGAACTAGCATTCCATTCTCTACCGCCATGAGATAAACTTTTTTAGTTCCTATTTATGGGTAAGAATATGCAATATTTGTCTTTCTGTACCCGGCTTGTTTCACTTAAGATAATGTCCTATCTCTATCTCTTTATTTCTTTAAAAAAAAAAAAAGTAGAAAATGTAAGTGAAACAAATTAAGCAATAGTTAAGCAATGGAGCATTAATTATTTCCTTAGACAATTTTATGGTCATGTGATGTACTGCATACCAGTCAAAATAATAGTTACGAGATTTTAAATATCTGGTGCCATACACGTCATAGAAAATTTCGCTAAGTTGTCTATACCTCTGATTAGATGTTTGAACTCATACAAATTAAAAGGTAAATTTGGCAAAATCAACCCCTCCTTTTTTTTTATTTTTTATTTTTTATTTTTATTTTTTTATTTGAGATGGAGTCTCACTCTGTCACCCGGGCTGGACTGCAGTGGCGTAATCTCAGCTCACTGCAACCTCCGCCTCCCGGGTTCAGGCAATTCTCCCGCTTCAGCTTCCCGAGTACCTGGGACTACAGGCGCCCGCCACCGCACCCGGCTAATTTTTTGTATTTTTAGTAGAGACGGGTTTTCACCGTGTTAGCCAGGATGGTCTCGATCTCCTGACCTCGTGATCTGCCCGCCTCAGCCTCTCAAAGTGCTGGGATTACAGGCGTAAGCAACCGCGCCCGGCCTGTTTTATTCTTTTATTACCGTTTTTCCCTGAGTTTTGAATCATTCATATCTTTATTTAAAACCACTTCCCAGTTATTTCAAACTTTCTTAATTCCCGTGAATCTTTACCACTGCTCTTCTTCTGGCTTGGTTTCTGATGTCTTTCAAGGAATCATCTTTTCATATCTTACTGTATTTTTTTCCATTTACCTTTTATTCCACTTTAAATCTTCATTGCTTTGATTGGAAAGTCTCCAGAAAAACACCTTTCTTGATCTTGTTTCCATGCCCTGAAAGCCCATAAAAGATGTGTTTTTTAAAAAATCAAATCTCATTATTGAACATCTTTAGTGGAGTCAGCCTTTCACTTCTGGTATTTTGTTTTCTCATGTTACATCGTGGTCTTTAAAAGAGGAAAATGAAAATACCACTTGCATTTGTAATTTCTCGGTTTTCTGCCAGAGACTTCATAGAAATCCTTTTTGAGTTCTCTTCTGAGAATAACATTCATTTTCTGCAAAAATATGCATAATGGAATGTGAAAAGCATATTATTTGTTGCATTTGGGATGCATTCCCTGTGAAGATAGAAAAATATGTGGAGTAAAATTGAAACATGCTCAGATTTTTTAAAAAGAATATGTGGGCCAGGTGCGATGGCTCATGCCTATAATCCCAGCACTTTGGGAGGCCAAGGTGGGAAGATTACTTGAGGTCAGGAGTTTGAGAACAGCCTGGTCAAAAAGGTGAAACCTCATCTCTACTAAAAATGCAAAAATTAGCCAGGCATGGTGGTGCAGGTCTGTAATCCCAGCTACTTGGGAGGCTTAGGCAGAAGAATTGCTTGAATCTGGGAGGCAGAGTTTGCAGTGAGCTGGGATTGCACCACTGCACTCCACCCTAGATGACAGAGCAAGAGTCTGTCAAAAAAAAAAAAAAAAAAAGAAAGAAAGAAAAAGAAAGAAAGAAAGAAAAGAAAAGAAAAAGAAAGAAATATGATCCCCAAAGTTGGAGGTGGGGCCTTACTGGGAGGTGTTTAGGTCATGGGAGCAGATCCCTCCTGAATGGCTTGGTGCCCTCCCAGCAGTAAGGAGTTCACATGAGATCTGGTTGTTAAAAAGTCTGGGACCTCCCTCCTGTCTCTCTTGCCCCACTTTCACCATGTGACACACAAGCTCCCCTTTGCCTTCTGACATTAATAAAAGCTTCCTGAGGCCTCACCAGAAGCAGTTACTGATGCCATGCTTCTTGTGCAGTTTGCAGAACCATGAGCCAAATAAACCTCTTTTCTTTATAAATTGCCCAGCCTCAGGTATTCCTTTGTATCTAGTGAAACCAAATGGACTATCATGGAAGCTTCCTTCAGTACAAATAAAAATTTCTTGACGATGGAGGATAATGTTCTATCCTCCATCTTTTGACAATATTTTTCAAAAGATGGAGGATAAAACATTAAATTGCTACTCCAGAGTTAATTCTGTCCAGCAAAAAAATAACCAGCCGGTAACAAGGATGTGTTGTAAACCTTCAAAAGGAAACAACTAAGGGACTTAAGCTACGAAAATAAAAGAAAAGGAAGGCTGACTACAGAAGAATAAGTGCTACAGATATATAGAAGGCAATAAGCATTACAGAAGGCAGGTGCCTGTAATCCCAGCCACTTGGGAGGCTGAGGCAGGAGAGTTACTTGACCCCAGCAGTTCAAGGCCAGCCTGGGTAACATAATGAGACCCCTTCTCTTAAAAAAAAAAGTTATATATTCTTTTGCCAAAGACTCTCTAAAATAAATAACATCAGGAGATAATAAAATTCTGACAATAACTATCTCCACATATTTTTAGGAAAGGAGAAAGATAAAGTGGCTGATGGTGTAACATCTCAGTGAATGCCCATATGATTTGTTAAAGGATACTATAAAAAGGTAGAAAAAAGGGTATGCAATCAAATATGATAAAATAAAATTAAGAATACTATAATCCAAAGTAAAATAGGTTTCAAAAATATGTTTGAAAAGATTTAAAATTATGCATATAGTAAGAAGACAATGAAGGAAGATATGTCTCCTCTTTACATGAGTAATAAATTGCTAAGAGAAAGAGAAACTGGAATTCTTACCTTGCTTTCCTCTTCTCAACCAAGAAGAATAAAATTCAGACAAGAAAGAGTAGAACGCATATTGGAAAAGGGAAATAAAATCCTAAACAGAAGAAATTACAGGACTATCTCATTCTGGTAAGTCTTTTCAGCAGTATGGTCTTGTTTCCAAACATGCCCTTCCAGCTCTAAATTTAATTCTGCTATTTGAAGACTGAGGGACATGTTTTCAAGTTCAAAGTAAGGAAAGGTTTATTTTTAGTAAAAACGATGTCTGCCACAGCGCCTGCTTCATTTACACCCTTTATTACTAAAAGTTCCCCAGCCCCTACTGAAAGGGAGCCCTATGTAGATCACATAACCTTGCCATCTGGCTAAAGCTGATTAGACCAAGGGTGTGACCTTGGCCAAATTATGCCAATGGCATAATGAAGCAAAATGGTTTCGGCTAAACAAATCATATTCTCCCAGAATACTCATTTGGAAACATGGAAATAGCCAAGCTGTTATCAATAGATGGGAGGCTTAAAAAACTTCTATAGATAGGTGTCTTGAGTAGAGTCAAGGCCATGAGGGGGGTTATGGAAAACAGAACAAATAAGAAAATATATATTGAGGAAGCACAGGCTGTAAAGTAAAGGTGATATGGAAGGCCTTAGGAAGAGTATTAACTAGTGACAGAAGATCAGCCACGGCGGGAGGAGCAGGGTTGGGGGCAGGCAGTGCATGCGGTTAGTGGGATGGAAAGCCGCAATCTTGGTATTTGAGCCCTACTGGGAAGATCAACAGACCCCTCCCAGCTGCTAAGGTGTTTACTCCAGCATTGTATCCTCCAAGATTTTGAGCTGACATTCCATTCTCCTAGGACTAGAGTGTATAGCTGTCCTTGAACTCCTAAGGAATTCATGGTTTTCTTTCAATTCTGTCCTTACAATTAACTTTCTCACGCTCAAAAAGAAAAAAAAAAAGAGCAAGTAGATATATATGACAGCCTTGGAACCAGAAGAATCTACACTGAAGGCTGTTTAGGATTTAAAGAAAATTCTGTAATTTCATCTTTTTAGAGCAGGTAATTTAATCTGCCCTAAACAGGAGACTTTACTGGTTAACAGTGTGGACCATGGAATTAAGTCATACCTGAATTCGAACGCTGGGGTCTGCATGGACATAATGTCAACATTTGAAACATAAAAACTGTTTTCTTGCTGCTGTATATAGAAGTACCTTGTCCACAGAAGAGTGCTTTCACACAGTAGGCATTCCACTAATATTGGGGAATAAATGCATCAGTTAGATAAGTTATAAAACTTATCCAAGCCTGTCTCCTCATCTATAAAATTATACTTGACCTACCTCAGGGGATTGTTGTAAAGATTATGCGAAGTAAACAATTAGTACCTGACCTGGCATGATGAGCACTCAGAAAGTGTCCTAATTATTAATATTTTTATTTCTGTTTTCTAAGATTATTTTCAGCTGGTTTATAATGTTTGTGCCTTGTAAAGTATTTAGTATTCTTAAAATTGGATGTAAAATCATATATAAAAATCTAAACACTATATCAACATATAATTCTAATACTTTTAAATGTTTTTACATCAATCAAGAATCATATGTGTGAAATAATGACCTTTTGGGCTTTGACTCTTGACAAGTTTTCATGATCTACAAAAATTACTCAATTCATAATTGAAGCAATTAGATCAGATATGCTTGTCCAAATTGTAGGCAAGTGTGTGATGTCCGTAATGACCCCAAATCCCTCCAGTGAACAGGTGCCAGAGATAGCACAAAATAAAAAGCAAATTATGGAAATATCTGTGTTGGGAAGGTGGGGGTAGGATAGGAATTGCTATAGTAATTTTTTTTTTACCGTTAAGTCTCTATGCTTGTGCCTATATTACATATTTGAACATATGAGTACCAAGCTATATTTGACAGTAACTTAAAACATATTTTTTGAATGTTAAAACCACTATGACATTTTTTATCATCAAACTGAAATATTAAATTTCTTCACATTTGCCATCAGAAGGCATCTTTTAAGTTACATTTGTATTGCACCTGACTACATTCTAGATTCTTTAGCTAGAGAGAAAACACTCAGTTCATAAAAACTGAAAGTGAATTGCCCTGAGAAACTCTGTTGAAAAGCATATGTATAGCACACAAACTGGAACATGAAACCTGCTAAATGGGAGGTAAAAATTTGATTTAAGGATGAAAATGAAAGTTAATTTAGAAAATACTTTGATTTCTGGAAGAATCTCTTTGAAAATATTTATGGTTGTGACTCTCTTAAATATTGTAAATTTTATGTACTCTTCTCTATTCTTGAAATCAAATTCTACAATAAAAAATATATAAGCAAACAAAGTTCTGAAATGTGACAGGTTTCCCTCTTACTAACAAAGAGTAAATAAATGACAAATTAATTTAGTATAATAAAACATAACTATTAAAATTTATTTAGACACTATCACTGTTTAAATTGCATTAAGATCCACTTAAAGTTTCTGGGTGAAGCTACATATGACTAAACCTTATAATTTAAAAATCTAAATGTGTTCATTTTAATTGCCATTAATATTAAAAATTTTGTCCTCTTGCTAATTAAAAATTTCCAGTTTTAAGCTTAGAGTAAATTAAATCTCCTACTTTGGCAAAGTTAGATGAGAATTTGGCTGTGAGGATGAAAGATGTTAGGAAAAGATGGAAGATTAAACACATGCATCTACTTCCCCTACATCTCAAAACTCCATTAAAAAACAGCAGGAAAGGAATTTTTAATGGTAAAAACCAGAAACAATAAGGAGAAGTGAAAAGGAGAAAATGCCAATAAAACTAGAATCCAGAAAGCAAGTAGATCTGTAAAGACAGCCCATCTGAAAAAATTGTATTAAAAGCCTGTAGTAAGAGAAGATGAAAATCATAGTATCTCTCTTATTCCTCCCAATGTTGTAGTAATCATAGCACTTCATTGTGATTATCTTTTTACTTACCTGTCTCCCCCACTAGACTGCAAGCCTCACGATATAGGAAATAGGGTTTATTTGTCTTTGTACCCTAGTGCCTAGCTACTGCTTGTTTCACACAAAGTAGGTGCTCAGTAGATGATTATGGGACTAATGAATACAACTCATGTTATTGCGATAAATAGTACTAATAATGACCTCTGTCTCTCATCTATTCAATGTGTTCTGTAAAATATAAACTGACTACTCTTTGTTTGGTTTTGCCTTATTATTAATGAACTGGCCTTGCTAATTCTGTCAATCCTATTACTTGTTCAGAGCTATTTCTGCAAGGGTCATCAATATCTGGAGATTTTAAATCTGAGCTTAAACCTATTGAAGTTCAAGACGAGTTCAGTAGACAGGGATTCTCACCCACTCAACAAGGACACCAGGCACAGAGATCCAAACTGTGAGTCCACAAGTAGTCCTTTTGATAATATAATTTTAAAAATTTTACCTTAGGGGAAAGAATGGTGATTCACTGTTTATGTATTATTGTGTTAATGTAAAATAGTTCAAAGTACATAAGGTTTTGAATTATCTACTATAAAGACAATTAAATACAGCGTATCCTTCTCTCTTTCAGTGATTTCCACCAGTCATCTTCACTAATACAGATTCAGAGTAAACACGCAATTTTGAGCCTGATATTCTAGACTGTTAAAATAAGACCATGAATGGAGAACTCATTTTGCAATTTTAAATTTCCTTTGAGTGAAGGGAGAACTAAAGAGAATAAATGATGAGTCCTTGCACTTTATGTTTGAAGATCTGGCTCCCAAGTTGGAAAAGGAGTGCGGTAGTTGCCCCTTATCCAAGGGGGATATGTTCCAGGACCCCCACTGGATGCCTAAAACCATAGATAAAACTGAACCTTGTGTGTATACTATGTTGTTTTCCTGAACATACATACCTGTGATAAAGTTTAATTTATAAATTAGACACAGTCAGAGGTTAACCATAATCACTAATAATAAAATAGAACCTTTATAACAATATGCTACCATCACAACACTTGCGCTTTGGGACCTTATTAAGTAAATAAGGGTTACTTGAACACAAGCACTGCAATAGTCAATCTGATAACCAAGACAGTAATGCATATGGTGTGGATATGGTATACAAAGAGATGTTTCATGTTCCAGGCCAGAGAGAGCAGGATAGTGTGAGATTTCATCAAGCTACTCAGTACACTGCAAATCTAAAACTTGCAAATTGTTTATCTCTGGAATTTTTCATCTAATATTTTTGGACCAAGGTTGACCAAGGGTAACTGTAATCACAGAAAGAAAAACCTCAGATAAGTGAGGACTGCTGTATTCATCCGGCGCTAAGGCATGTTTTGAGGCTTTTCCTTAGTAGTATGTTGTTGTGGCGGTGGTTTGTTGGTGGTTTTTAATTTTTAAAGTAGAAATAATGTTTGTTTTGAAAGGTTACTTTAGAAATTTAATGAAACAGAAATAATGTTTTTAAAAGAAAAGAACACAGAGTTTGTTGATATTTCTTAAATTCAGTGAAAATTTTCTTTCAATTGGTTTTTTTTTTTCTATTTTGTTTCCATGGAGGTTATTATTATTACTAATAAACCTTACAGTTTGCATCATGAAAATGAGTGCAGTAATTGATTTGCAATGGAGTATTTTTATTAACTGCAAAAATAGCTTCTAACTATAGAGTCCATTTTAAATATATATATATATATATATATATATATACACACACACACATATTGTCCATTGTACCTGCTACTTAGAATCACCTCATATTAAAGCTAGAAAAAACTTTAGAGATCATCTAATTCATCATGACAATTTCTGCCCAAATACTATGTTTATAAGTGGATTTGATATTATATAAGTCATTATCAAAATATATATGAACCATTCATAATAATGTCTGTAATGGAATTCAAACAATATGTACAGGAATATGTATATTTACAAGATAAACAGATACTTTAAAAAAGATGGCTGTTATGAATTTCTAAAATTCTATTTTCTCCAGAACAAGTAAAAGAATATCTGTATGTCTGCAATCCCGGCACCTCGGGAGGCCAAGGCTGGCGGATCACTCGCGGTTAGGGGCTGGAGACCCGGCCAACACAGCGAAACCCCGTCTCCACCAAAACCAGTCAGGCGTGGCGGCGCGTGCCTGCAATCGCAGGCACTCGGCAGGCTTAGAGCTTGTTAAAGATTCCTGGGTCCCACTTCAGATCTGCAAAGCAGGATCTTAGAATCTAGGGCCTGAAAAGGAGGAAGGGTCCTGGTAAATATCCCCAGGCTTTCTTTTTCTTTTTTTCTTTTTTTGAGTTGGAGTCTCATTCTGTCCCCCAGGCTGGAGTGCAGTGGCGAGATGTCGGCTCACTGCAACCTGCGCCTCCCAGGTTCAAGCGATTCTCCTGCGTCAGCCTCCGGAGTATCTGGGACTACAGGCACCCACCACCACGCCCGGTTAATTTTTGTACTTTTTGTAGAGATGGGGTTTTGCCATGTTGCCCAGGCTGGTCTTGAATTCCTGCGCTCAAGTGATCCACCTGCCTTGGCCTCTCAAAGCGTTGGGATTACAGGCGTGAGCCACCGCGCGCAGCCTCTCCAGGCTTTCAGCTGGGACCATGAAGGGCTCCACTCTTTGTGGTGATGATCAGAGGGGCGTATGCCCTCCATAACACTCCCATTCTTCATCTTTTCTCATATTCCAGGAGACTGGCCCAAACAGGACTGTTGAGTGGCTCTAAGGCTTTTAGACGTCAAAAGGGTTTATAAGAATAATCATCATAATATAGTTATGAATCAGAAACATGCATACATTTTCTTAAATGACCCTGTGGGGACTGGAGTTAAAAAGGGAGGAGTACCCAGATGCAGGCGTCTAGCAGAATGGACTTGCTTGAGAATATCAAGCAAGACAGCCAAAGAGGACTCCTAGGATTGTCTCACCAGGACTTCTGAGGCGACTCTAATGAAATGACTTAAAAGTGTGGTGGAGTGGCTTCTGTGGCTCCCACACCTGCCTAATCCTGGTTGATATTGCACAACCAGCGTGCACTGACAATCTCTGGGAAAAAAGCAAGGTCTAATATTCAAAGCTTGGCAAACATGACCAAGACTTTTTCTCTTTCCTTTGAATTATTTTAGTTCCCTAATTTTTTGTCCCAGATGCCACTTAATTCTTTTTATTTTGTATTAAAAGTTGTGCTCTTGTCTCAACCTTCTTTCTAAAAAAAAAAAAAAAAAAAAAAAAAGAATATCTGTATGTCATAATAGCAAACTTGGATAGGTGGATGTCTTTTCACTAGGAACAAGAATTCAGTTATGACTTTTAAAGCTCATATTTCCAGAGTAAATTTTTTTTTACTGATGATACAGGATAACAGATAGGAAATTGATATTTGCTATGCATTCCTGACATACTAATTGTTTAAAAGGCTCCCTACAACTCCCCTGCCCAGTCCCATTTGTTGAAAAAGCAAAACTATTTGAGTAGGGTAGAAACAGAAAATATTACATCAGTTCTATAGTGTCTTATATCAAAATTTCTATCATAGTTTTTCTATCAAAGTTCTTATGAACTTTATCTAGATACTGGGAGTGGGGGGAAGTCAGGCATAAAGTAAGGAAAATTTTCAACAGCATCAGGATGAATGTTTTGTATTTAAAAGAAAGAAAACAAACATTTGCTGACTGCCAACAATTTTCTAATTTGTTATAGCCATTTTGAGGACCATGTGTCCTGTATTCCACTCATGCGTCCCAAAATTTAATTTTAAAGAAAACTCTTATTATGATACCACCAAATGTAAAAATTGACCTATCCCAAAATTAACAACTAACATAACTGAAGGTGGCAACAAAAATCCTAAGTATTGTCTTACTCCATTAGAGAACTGAAATTCAGAAAAGATATATAAAGCATTACAACATAAATGCAAAAGGGAAAATCAAACAGAAAATCACTTATGATCCGCAAAATCATGGGTAGGGAAGACAATTCATTGGAAAACAAGTATGCTACATTCAAATTAAATAATCATTCCCATTTTCCAATTCCAATTAATTCAAGAAATTAATTGTTATGAGGCATAAAATCCCCTGTGTGTCTCTTGTGGAGACACTGAAAGTCTCCACAAGCCCAGTAATACTTTCATGATCTGACATGGTGTTGTCAAACCTATCTGATATGAAATTCTCACCACTGATAATTTATTTTAACAAGAAAGGAAAGGCACAACTGCTTTCTATAGAGTCCAATATGACATTGGGGAAGATATTCTTGGAAGGGGTTAAAACACTTCATATTAATGTGTCTGTATTGGTGAGCATATTAGCTTAGCTTAGTTGATCAGATTAGCTCACAGTCACCTTAGAAAACAGGAAAGCAGAGACCTAAGGAGATGTATGGTTAGAGGTAGAGAAAAGTAGGACGTAAAGCCCTGCAAGGGTGACTAGAACACAGTGTGACACTCCGTGGGGCACAGATCAAGATACCAAATGTAGATTTCTAGCAATAGAATGAAGTAGAATGTCTGTCAATTTTGCCCACTTAGCAGTTTTTCTTAGTTTTAGCCATCTCAAAGCATAGTATGTGCCAGGTAGTGCCTTCAAGATAGATAACTTACTAAATTTCACTTCAGTTGATTTAAGAGGCATTTCACTTCCGTACTTGATTTCCAGTCTGCTATTTTTATCCCATGTTTAATCATGTTCAGTCATTACAATGCCTTTTTAGTGCAGCACCTTCTCTGAAACAGTTTCTTATTCTATGTGTTTCCAAAAGGGAATATGAATATATGCTCTCATGTAAACGAAAGAAAAAATATTGTTTATTTTAAATTTAACAAAACAAAAAACAATCTTACTCTGAAAATTTTACACTGGAGCTACTTCAATGCTCTATGTTTTCTGCATTTTGTACATCCATGGAAAGATGTCAGGTATGCTATAGGTAAATAGATAATTTAATGTTTGGCTGTTTAATTTCTTTACTTTGTACTTGGGGAGACCAGTATGAGAATAAGACTGCGAAAGCCTTTCATCATAATTTGCAAAAAGAAAAAAGGAATAAGGATACATTTACTTGAACCTCAACCCTTCTAAATAAAATCTATTGTTTCTACTGAGCATCAACCTTTTAGTTTGCTAGGGATAGTAACAGTTATTGAAATGCTAAAAATATTTTTTCTCTGTGTGGAAAACATTGCATGTGATATATTTTTTAGATGTTCTACTAGTTACTTGATCTGACCTGGACTAAAGTGAGTATATATGCTGTATACTAAATCTGTGTACCACTTTTCTGATTTACTTTTTTAGAGCAATACCCTTAATTTTACTGCAGTTAGTATAGAATACTATTATTTTCCTTAACATCAAAACAAGCCAGTAACTGGCCAAATAAGTAACTGGCATTTGTATTGCCTAACATGCAGAGGAATACTGGCATGCATATATATATATATATATATATATATATATATTTTTTTTTTTTTTTTTTTTTTTTGAGACGGAGTCGCGCTCTGTTGCCCAGGCTGGAGTGCAGTGGCGCAATCTCGGCTCACTGCAAACTCCGCCTCCCAGGTCTACGCCATTCTCCTGCCTCAGCCTCCCGAGTAGCTGGAACTACAGGCACCCGCCACCACGCCCGGCTAATTTTTTTTTTTTTTTTTTTTTTTTTAGTAGAGACGGGGTTTCACCGTGTTAGCCAGGACGGTCTCGATCTCCTGACCTCGTGATCCGCCCGCCTCGGCCTCCCAAAGGGCTGGGACTACAGGAGTGAGCCACTGCGCCCGGCCACTGGCCTATATTTTTGTGGGCTCTTCTGTGGCATCCCAGGATTGGGGGTCCACAGGCATGGAAAGAACTAGTGAATAGTCAAAAAAAATGAAAGAGTTAATTTTAGGTATGCCTCATTTCCCTAACTGCAATTTTAAAGGGTAGGTGGGGAACCCTGAAAAATCCAGAGGCTCAAAGCTTTAGAAATTAAAGAAAAGGCAGGCTATGGAGATAGAGAAATAGTGGACAGCATCAGTGTAAAGTCATTCTTTGCAAAAGTCAGAACCAGGAGCTATGAACTGAATTATATTCCCTCAAAATTCATACATTGAGCCCCTAACCCCCAATATGACAGTATTTAGAAATAGGGGCTTTGTAGAAGAAATTAAAGTTAAATGAGGTCAAAGGGTATGGCTCTGATCCCATAGAATTACAAGAAAAGACACCGGGGAGCTAACCCACTCTCTGTCATGTGAGGTCACAGTGAGAAGGCAGCCATCTGCAAGCCAGGAAGAAGGCCGGCACCAGAAACCAGCCTTACTAGATCTTGATTAGAGACTTTTAGCCTCTGGAACTATGAGAAAATTAACTTCTGTTTTTTAAGCCACACAGTCTATATTTCGTTATAGCAGCCCTAGCAGACAAAGGTACCTAGCAACTGTGTTTATTTATGACTTCTGACAAATAGAAGAGTGGCAGAAAGTTTGAGAGAATGAAGTGTTAGTTTTCAAACATAAGCCACACACTGAGATTTTATACAAAACTTGGGCTAGATCATAAAAAGCTTAAGAAACAAATAGACTTATTTTAGAAATTGATCTTAAAAATCCCTGAATCTGTAGAATTGTAACTTCAAATACATTTTAAAAATCAAATACTATTGTTTGGAATATAGGATTAATTTTTTTATTGGTTGATATGAATCCATGAGTGAAATATCTCACTTTACAATATAAATCTCCACACAAAGCTCACAGTGTAATGGTTCCATAATTTGGCCACATGTAAGAGTAGTTCTATAAAGAACATTTCCTAGCTTTACTTTTATGTATAATTGATGCATACTGCATATTACACTTGCTTTTACAAATGACCTAGAGATGCAGGACTGATGATAAGTTCTCAGTGAATTCATATGATTGTCAAAAACCAACAGTATGTCTTTTATACTGACCTTCCAGAGTCGTTATTAGTCAGTTAAAATTAATTCCATTAACATGAAATAGGCCAGGTGCGGTGGCTCACGACTGTAATCCCAGCCACTTTGGGAGGCTGAGGGTGGATCGCAAGGTCAGGAGTTCAAGACCAGCCTGGCCAACATGGTGAAACCCCGTGTCTACTAAAAATACAAAAATTAGCTGGGCATAGTGGCGTGTGCCTGTAATCCCAGCTACTTGGGAGGCTGAGGCAGGAGAATTGCTTGAACAGGGACCCGGGAGGCAGAAGTAGCAGTGAGTAAGATCGCACCACTGTACTCCAGCCTGGGCTACGGAGCAAGACTCTGTCTCAAAAAAAAAAAAAAAAAAAAAAAGAAAGAAAAGAAAGAAATAAACAGACTCTTCTATTACATTCAGTATAAACTAATGAGGTTTAATCCAAAGCGAAAATATATCATTCAAATAAGTACTGTCTCAAGGAATTTAGAGACATGGTGATTTATTGCTTTCCATTTCCTCATCTTGGTTTTAATGCATATACAAAAAAATTAGGTCGGCTTCTTTGGTTAACACATTCATTCATTAAGCATTTTATTGAAGTGGAATGGCGTAATGGAAAAAATAGAAATTTTGGAGATTTGAGAGTCAGAGATTTGAAACCTGGCTCTATACTACCTTTGTGAGCTCTGGCAAGTCACTCAATCTCTCAGAGTCTACAATTCACCTCTGAAAAACAAGGATAATAGTTTTGTGTGGATTAAAAATAGTATCTAGAGTACCCCGCACATAGTAGGTTCTTTAAAATTTGCCACTGTCATTTATGAAGTATTTACAATGTATGAAACGATTATAAGAGGTACAACAAGAAGTAAAAAATTGCCTCCATCCTCAAAGAATTTACAATAGTGGAGCAAAACATGTAAAAATAAATGCTATAAGTTGTTGTGGATGCTAGGAGAGAAGTCAGTCTATATCATACAGTGATTAGATAATCCCAACTATTTGAAAATCTACCAATAAACTACAATAGCTAGTCTTGAAAGCTAAGCTCTTCTTAAGCAATACTGAGAATATACAAGTTAATTTAAAACTAGATATTCTGATTAAACAGGTTTGAAGTGACTAACAATTGTCATGTGACCAATGATAATGACGATAATGAAATGTTTAGGGGTAGATTTGTTTTTTTAAAAGAGTCTTTTAAAACTAATGCGTAAAAATTTTACTCACTTCCTTTGTATTCCAGATCATCGCTATCATAAATGAAACAGGAACAACATGCAGGACCATTTATATTTGAATCATTTTATTTCTTGGTAATTACTAAACCATAGTTGGGAGGTGTTAGAATTTTGAGGACAAGATTTGAGAAGTGTTATCCTATATAAAGTACTATTTAAAATTATTAAAAACCTAAATTAAGAGGAAAATAAAACCCTAACTTGGTAAAATTCTATTTTAAGCTGTATTTCTCACCAATATTAGCTTTTACTATTACTTTCGAAGAGGGTGATAAAATTCTTTTAAATGCACATTATTCTGTCAAAGGATCCATATACAATTTTTACTTAACACAGGTTTTCATTGAAACAGTATTATAACTATTTAAAATAAAAAAGTACAAAATCACAGATTTTCATAATTATGTGATGTGGAAAATAATTCATTTGAACCAAAGTAAATCTTGGTGAAGGCAAGATTTTTACCTTCTGCCTTCTTGCCTTACTTTATTACCAATTTCCAATCACACAAAGATGTGCTTACCCAAAGACCTGTAATAATCCTATTGTCATTTTAAATGTTTCAGCCTAAAGTAGACATGAAATCTTTTAACCATGAAATAATAGCATTGTAAATGAAATGTTTATATTTTTTAAATGACTGATATATTGCATACACATATGTAAAAGATGTATTTTTATTTTATCTAACAGACTCATAGAGCAGTTATTATGTGCCGAAATTGAAGCACCTTGCAAATATTTCAATTAAATTACTTGTACCAGCTGGGCACGGTGCCTTATGCCTGTAATCCCAGCACTTTTGGGAGGCCAAGGCAGGCGGTTCACTTGTGGTCAGGCGATCGAGACCAGCCTGGACAACATGGTGAAACCCCATCTCTACTAAAAATACAAAAATTAGCCAGGTGTGGTGGCCCATGCCTGTAATCCCAGCTAGTTGGAAGGCTGAGGCACAAGAATTCTTGAACCTGGGAGGCAGAGGTTGCAGTGAGGGGAGATTATGCCACTGCACTCCAGCCTGGGCAACAGAGTGAGATTCTGTCTAAAAAAGACAAAAAAAAATTAATTGTATGATGCTAATGTGTACATTTTGAAAAAGATAAGATTTTTGGGATAATCAGAAAACCCCAGAGTGAGTTGGTGACAGGATAAATTAATAGGAAGGTAGATGAAATCTATTAATGGCTCATAATATTCTACTTGTGTCTTCCTCTAGGTGCTTTAAGCAGTGCAAACAAACACACTCATGTCTTAATATTTTTCTTTCAATCTGTTCATTGCTTCCCTGGCAGTAAACAGTAGCAATTTTTGCCAATCCTTGTACTCTAACTCAAATGGAGGCATTAGATAAGGATGGACTCTGTCCTTTACTTAAACAGGCAACCCAGTTGATTTAAGTCTTAGTATTAGTGAGCACCATACTGGAAGAGTTTTGTTCTTCATGTAATTCAGAGCCCAGGAAAATGCCTAGCATATAGTCTATTCTCAACATATATTAATCCAATCAACAAATACATTTTGTCCTAAGTAACTGGATTATCTTTTCATTAAAGGATTCCTTGAAATTGGTGAAAACCTTTTCTGGAAAAGGAATTTCTTTTTCCCAGTAGATTGTCAACTAGGTAAACAACAAGCAATTCAAGAAGGAAGCTGTGCCCTGTATCTTCAGCATCTGAAATAAAATTATTTTTAGATTTTCTTGAACTTATGTATATTTACTGAGAATAGTAGCTACCCCAAATTAACAATCCAGTCTTAAAAAGTAAAGAGACTGGATTGAGTCTCTATTTTTCTGGGAACTGAAAAGCTATTGAAATTATCAAATAAATTTCCATTTCTTTGTTTTGTAGTTTTCTTTCGAAGTAAAAATTTTCATGTCTTTTGAGATGCAAAATTTATTCATAAATAATTACACTAAGTAATAAGATGGCTTTTCTGTACAGCAGTTTTTACTTTCCATTTTCCATTATGCTTTTTAATTACTAAATCCATTCAAATGTAATATTCTTTATTACATTTATACTTACCTAAACATTGTGAAATTGATTGGCTTTCCCTTGACAGTCTTTTCTTGTTCAAGTGGAAAAACTCAAATTGGCAAAGACATTTGACCTCCAGTGATTCTGGATAGGGATTGCAAAAAGAGAAACAAAATTACAGGACCAGTCCAAGTGTTGAGACCAAAGGTAAAGGCAAAAGAGAAATCAAGAAAGAGTTCTGTGTTACCACCCTGCGCCTTGGGAAAGCACCACACAGACCAAATGCAGGATTGAAGTGTAAATCAATAGAAAACTAAGATGAGTTTCAAAGTATAAACTGTGCGATATAGTGCCTAAAACTGACTTCGAAAGAAGGAGGCAAAGCAAAAAAAGTGAAAGAATAAAGTATAAAAATAAGATAGTTTATCTACGATTAGTATATCCTCCCTGACTTGAAAACTTCAGGAAAATCACAACTATATGGACCCCTGAGGGAATATGTTAGTATGTATAATAATTGAGTTTTCTGGATAGTCCAAAGCTAAAAAAGGAAATAGATTTGATATGAGTGTGAACCAGATAGAATGAAAGAATAGATTCTACATGCGGGCACCAAGGAGTTTCGTATGAATAAAAATCCAAGTGCTTTTAGTGATTTTCTATTTTAGCCTGTCAAAAATACTATAAACCGGCAGGGTGTGGTGGCTGAATCCTATAATCCCAGCATTTTGAGAGGCCAAGATGGGAGGATCACTTGAGGCCAGAAGTTCAACACTAGCCTGGGCAACATACCAAAAAATAAAAAAAAACATTAGCAGGGCGTGGTGGCGCAAACACACACCTGTAGTCCCCGCCGCTCAGGAGACTGACGTGGTAAGGTCACTTGAGCCCAGAAGTTTGAGGCTGCAGTGAGCTAAATAAAACAGCACCATCGCACTTAATGAAGCCTGGGAGACAGAGTTAGACCCTCTCTCAAAAAACTTAAAAAAAAAAATACTATAGGCTTACCTACTGGCTATTTCCATTTGCTTGGTGGCTACTGTTGTCATGAAAACTTGTCCCATGGTATGGAGAGATGCTATTGAATAGTGTTCCTTAGACCATCATTTTTTAATGCCAATTCAAAGATTTGATTTGCCAAATCATACTGAGAAAAATGACTCTATTATAGAATGTTAATTTCCATAATAGTGTAATGATTAAGAGTTGGCTCCAAAGTCAGAAAATGTAGGTTCAAATCTTTGCTCCACCACTTATTGTATGATCTTGGGCAAGTAACTTAAACTCTCTGCCCTTCAGCTTCCTCGGTTACAACATGTCATTAACAATTGTTCCTACCACATATAGCTATGTGAGAATTAAATGAGTTTTGACACATAAAATAATTTAAACAATGCCTGACACATAGTGTTCATAGCAAGTATATAATTATTAATTTAATTTTTATTATATGAAATAAGTAACATATATTACGTCATATATTCAAATTTCACATAATATTAGGAAATTAGGAAAATCAGTAATAAATAATGTTCACTAACCACATAGACTTAACTGGAAGGCTTGAGTTAAGAAAAGACAAATGATGAATTATATAAAATCCTTAAGTCCAGACATCTTTAATAACACATGTTAAATTAATGTCCTTTTACATTGCGGACAGAAACATTCTAAATACTTTACCACTTACTTTACCACTGAGTGATTATCCTTAGCCTACTTATGGAATCTGGCAGCAGGAGACTATAAATATGCATGTACCTATATATTTATCTCTATATATATGTATGTACATCCTGGAATTCTTGTGTCATTATTATTTCTTTGTTCCTCCTATAGATTATATCAAATCCAGTCCCTAAAATGGAAGAAGCCAAAAGCCAAAGTTTGGAGGAAGACTTTGAAGGACAGGCCACACATACAGGCAAGCAAAGCTAGAAGAAAAAATAATTATTAAATTAAAATTAAATATGGCAATATCTAATGTTCTTATTGACACTATTCAGTATGTACTTTAAGTAATATCTTTATATAAATTGTTATGCTAATCTAAAAAATATTTGAGCGGGCAAATTAATTTTTGAAATCAAATAATTCCTAACAGTTTTATTTAGATGTCAAAGAGTAAAAAAACAAAAACACCAATTACTGGTAATTTCTTGCTGCCCAGCTATCACAAGACCTCTTATCTACACTATAATTAAGCCACTTTCCTCTCTCCTGATTGTACCCCACCCTCAGTATGAACTTTCATTGTAAACAAGATTAGACCAAAAGGTTAATAAATGGCCTTTAATTTCATTTTTTTCATCTAATAAAGGGAATGATAAGATATTCCCTTTATTTTTTTGAATAAATAAATTTCAGTATTCCTCCAGAAAACTTAACACTTCATTTCATCCAGAGTCTGTTTTCTTAATCTGTTAAATTATGTTTGGCTATCTATATGCCACTCCTAAGAGCTTAAAACTTAAATTTAAAAATTCACATTTAACTCTACTAAATCTTATTTGAATGGTAATTTCCTCTCTCTTTTAATTTGGATTGAGCCATTAAATTTAGCCAGAAGTTTGAAAGAATTCACAAGAGTACCAGCCAAAATGTGTGGAGATTTATTTTATAATAGCAATGTGAGGAATACCTTCCTAATTATGACAAAAACAAAAACAACAACAAAAAGACCATTGAAGAAAAGGTTGGTAAATTCATTTATAAAAAGGAAGGAAGGATGGATGGATGAAGGGATGGAGGGAAAGTAGGAGACAGGGAAAAAAAGGAAGGAAATATCTGCTGTCTGGTAAAGGTCACCAGGAACAAAAGTCAAAAAGCATTTAACAAATTGGGGAAAAACATTTGCAACTCAGTTGACAGTGTCAGTTTCCTAATATATATTAAGAGCTTCTACAAATCGATAAGAAAAGAAACTAATTACCAAATAGAACAATGAGCAAAAGATAGGACAGACTATTCATGGGGAAAAAAAGAAACAGAAAAAAGTAACACAGAAAACTATAGTGAAAGCAAGTAAGTTTAATAACACATTTTTGGCACCCTCATACATTGCTGATAGCAGTGTAAATTGGTACAATCTCTGTACAGGCAACCTAGCAATATCAAAATTAGTAATGTATATGCCCTTTGACCAGGGAATTTTACTTATATAACCATAACTATACCTGCACAGAGTGTTAAAAATGTATGCACAAGATTCTTCACTCAGCATCATATGTCATAGAAAAAACTGGAAACAACAATGTAGATCACGATTAAACAGTTTAAGTCAATTATGTATATCTACACAATGGAACACCATGCCTCAATTTTCTAAATAAGGAAGAACCTTTTCATGTGTGTATACTGAAAAAATCTCCAAGATATAGTATGAAACAGAAAAAACAAGGTAAGGAAAAATGCAGATAATACACCACCATCTGTAGAAAACACGAACAAAATGGATTCTCTTTTTTAAACAAACATACACACATGTATATTTTGCATATGCATAAAACATATCTAAAATATTGATATGAACACTGTATGTGAAAACAAAAAGCTTTGATTGCCTGCATATAATATAAACACATTCATAACAAATTTATATTAAATATATATCATATATAAAACAAAAATTATTAGGCAATATAGAGGAGAAAGAAGGAATACATCCACATATAGAATATGATATAGAATATGGACATTAAAGGTGTAGATATAGCTAAGCTTTAGTGAAGGATAGTCAGTTTAATATTCCTTGTTTTAAAGAATTTAAGACTTTCTTAAATGAATAACGTTGTTAGTCATCAGGTCAACTGAATATCAGAATTCCAGTTGAATCATCCTTCATTTAATTAGTTTTACTTAAATCTGCCAATCTGGCCGGGCACAGTGGCTCACACTTGTAATCCCAGCACTCTGGGAGGCTGAGGTGGGCAGATTACTTGAGGTCAGCAGTTCAAGACCAGCCTGGCCAACATAGTGAAATCCCATCTCTACTAAAAATACAAAAATCAGCCAGGCGTGGTGGTATGCGCCTGTAGTCCCAGCTACTCGGGAGACTGAGGCAGGAGAATCACTTGAACCCAGGAAGTGGAGGTTGCGGTGAGCCAAAATCACGCCCCTACACTTCAGCCTGGGCAACAGAGCAAGGCTCCATCTCAAAAAAAAAAATAATCTGCCAATCCTATTCTTTCTATGTTTGCAAAATATGCCTAGAATCTTAGAAGAATGGGATGTTCTCGTAATAATTTTCCTAAAGCCATTTTAGTTTTGTTGAGGTCAGGCCCCCTGCTCACCAGTTGTTTTTTATATACTATTGTTATTTTGTTTCCCCAACATTCCCAGTTTCCTTTATTAATACTGTAATGCCAATTTTAGTTTGTTGCTGAAGTTTTTTTCTTAGGTAATAAAAGTGCTATTTTTTCCAAAATTCTAGTATCCTATCAGGACTCTAATTTTTAAATATATTAACCCCAACCTTTTGCCAGTAGTTCAAAGTGCATAATTTATATTTTCATTAGTACAAATGTTTCCGAAATATCCTTTACCAAAACCCATTTAACAAGATTAATGTGGGAGCATATTTTTATGAGCAGGGCAGTCAGAAATTTCTAGTCCAAACAAGATGTTTGTTTCTGATGCAGGAGACAATAAGTTTATTCCATGACAATACTTACACAAATTTCAATTATGCCAACAGTCCTTTTGAAAATAAAAAGGAAAACAATTTATTTTTAATTTCATTCCAGGACCCAAAGGAGTAATAAATGATTGGAGAAAGTTTAAATTAGAGAGTCAAGACAGTGATTCAATTCCACCTAGCAAGAAGGAGATTCTCAGGCAAATGTCTTCTCCTCAGAGTAGGAATGGCAAAGATTCAAAGGAACGAGTCAGCAGAAAGGTAAGATAATACAAAAAGCAGTAATAAATAATTTACAATGTGTTTTCTAATCTAAATCAATCTAGAGAATCACTTTAGACTATTACAAAATATATTCATTACAATATTGCTTACGCTGGCAAAAAAAAATGGAAATGAAGTGAACACCTATTGTGGCATTCTATACTAAGAACAGGTACAGTTATGAAAAGAATTCGTTACGAATACATGAGCTGACCTAGAGATAGTTTCACAATATGAGAAAGCAACATACAGAGAATTCCATCTGGGGAATTGTAACAAACCTGCTCCACTTGTTTTGAAAACATGTAAAGAAAAAATAAATGTAAAACTATTTTGAAACATGTAAAATACTACACAAATGTAACACATAATCACTATTAAAAATTTTATGCTAAGGTTAAACTTTGGAAATGTATCTGAATGCCTACATATCCATATGCCTGAATATGTGAATGAAACAAGTTTTCATATAAATGCTCAAATACATCTTCAAGTCAAATTTGTGTGGTTTGATCTGTTAAATTAACAGAACTATAGCAACAACTTAAAAATTATATGAAACATTGGAAATTTTTAGGATTAAAACTAAATTGGGACAATATTATTATTATTATTACTATTATCATTTTGAGACAGAGTCTCATTCTGTCACCCCAGCTGGAGTGCAGTGGCGCAATCTTGGCTCACTGCAACCCCTACCTCCTGGGTTCAAGCGATTCTCCTGCCACAGCCTCCCAAGTAGCTGGGACTACAGGCATGTGCCACCATTTTTTGTAGAGATGGAGTTTCACTATGTTGCCCAGTCTGTTCTCCTGGGCTCAAACAATCCACCTTCCTTGGCCTGCCAAAGTGCTGGGATTACAGGCATGAGCTCCCATACCCATCCCGGGACAGTAATCTTAAAACAGAAAAAAATATGATAAGGAAAAGAATGAGGACATTAGGGAAACAAATATAAGAAACAGAAGCAAAAGAAAGAAGTAATGAAAGCATCATAAACTTTTACTTAACTTAAATCTCAGTGTCTTCTGTAAAATGACACTAATAGTACCTACCTCAGAGGTTATCTGTAAGGATTAGATAACATAATCTACGTGAAGTACCCAACACCTGGTATGTTTTTCATAAACATTAGTTTCACGTGTTCTCAATTCTCCTCTACTTTAAAAATCCATGGTTCTGAGCTGCTCCACATCTATTAATCACACTATGCCCCATTGTTCCTTTATACCTTTTTTTCTTTTTTGGTTGGGGGAATAGGTGCTTAATATTCTGTTAAATACATTAATAATGGAGTAGCTATTATGGAAGGCCCTGCAGGTGACTTTTTATTCCAACTGCAATGAAAAGTAGCTATCTTAGAAAATGGAATTTGGGCCTTTTCTTACTTCAGCCCAAACTAGTGAATAATAATACCCTGGAGGGCTTGTTAAAATATGGATTACTTAGCCTCACTCTTATAGGTTCTAATTCAGTAAACCTAGGGTGGTGCCCAAATATTTGCATTTCCTAGAAGTTCCCAAGTGATGCTGATGCTGCTGGTCCAAAAATTAACCTCTTGGATGATCTGATGAACTCCAAATAGTAGGAAAAGCTGTCTTACTTGAATTTTTTGGATATTCAAAAAAATCAGTAAGTTATAAGATATAATAGTGTTTGTTGCTATAAAGAAAATAAACCAGCATAAAGATGGAGAGTGTGAGATGGGGACCTTTTTAGGTAAAGTAATCAAGGAAGGTGACATTTAAACAAAAGCTTCAATGAGGTGAAAGAGAAAGGCACATCAGGAGTGAAAGGTAGGTGGTCCAGGCAGAAAAAAAAGAGCAAAAGTACACTCCTTCGGTTGAGAATGGGCTTGGTATATCTAAGGAATAAAACTTCTGACTTAATAATTTCTATCATTTCTTTATTCTCAGATGAGCATTCAAGAATATGAACTAATCCATAAAGAGAAAGAGGATGAAAACTGCCTTCGTAAATACCGTAGACAGTGTATGCAGGATATGCACCAGAAGCTGAGTTTTGGGCCTAGATATGGGTTTGTGTATGAGCTGGAAACTGGAAAGCAATTCCTAGAAACAATTGAAAAGGAACTGAAGATCACCACAATTGTTGTTCACATTTATGAAGATGGTATTAAGGGTTGTGATGCTCTAAACAGTAGTTTAACATGCCTTGCAGCAGAATACCCTATAGTTAAGTTTTGTAAAATAAAAGCTTCGAATACAGGTGCTGGGGACCGCTTTTCCTTAGATGTACTTCCTACACTGCTCATCTATAAAGGTGGGGAACTCATAAGCAATTTTATTAGTGTTGCTGAACAGTTTGCTGAAGAATTTTTTGCTGGGGATGTGGAGTCTTTCCTAAATGAATATGGGTTACTACCTGAAAGAGAGGTACATGTCCTAGAGCATACCAAAATAGAAGAAGAAGATGTTGAATGAAGATTCACTATGTCAATATCTCATGTTTATCCTTTAGGTATTGGATGATGGTTTTGGTAGTATCTATATTGCTTTAGTGAACACAGAGTATGGGCACGGCTATGCTAACTTGACAAAAATGACTGATGCAACAATCGAGTTATTAGCATTTCTTAGTATTAGTTACTCAAATTGATACAATGCTTGACTACAAAACAGAGCTGTCTTCAGCAACATTATTAGTAGACAAAGAGGATGTGGATAATATTATGACATTTTTCAAAAATCCCTTTCAAGTTATGTTTTGTCTTTTTTACTCCATTTTCCCTCATCACTGTTATTATTTGGACTTTTCAAATTACATTATTCATTATAATTTTCTTTGTGTAATAAAAATGAAATCTCATGAGAAAATAAATTTTCTATTTGAAGTCTATTCTTTCTCAAGCATTACATTACCAAGACCCTAAAAACATTATAAAGCCCAAAATACAAAATATCATTCAGTAAAATATCTTATATTCCAACCAAATTAATGCATAAGAAACTTAGAAACACTGTGCCAAGTTAAAGTTGTATTTAAAAAAGGAAGCAATATGTTTTTATTCTCTGGGTGTAAGAATAATATTTAGTGGTAATAAAATTACAATATTCATTTGTTGATTGCCTATTATGGGCCAGTATTTTATACATATCATCTCTAATTCTTAACCACAAATCTGTACATAGATAGTATTACTCCCATTTTATAAATAGTAAAACAGAGAATCAGAGAAGTGAAGTGTAAGTTCTACTTTTATTTCCCTTGAAAACATTTGGAAGTCTCTCCTCCAACACAAAAACGTGGAAGTGAAAAATAAAATATGTTTAAATGTCTTTAAATGAACAATGAGATGAAGAGCAAGATAAAAGAAATTCCTAGGTGTCTGAATCACAGTAGAGAAATAATGGTGCTGACATAATATGGCCTGCAATTAAAGATATGGTACTTGATAAGTACCCAAAAAGGGGCTCCCTGTGAGAAATCTGTTTAAAGCAGGTTTGCACAATTTCCTGTGGCAGCCTAATGTTGAAATCAGACATTTGCCACAAAGTCTACTTTTCACTCTCCTAAATGACTATTGTTATAGCTTGTCTCCTTTCCATAAGCCTTTTATATCACTTTCCTCCACTTCAAACATTTCATCTTACTCATACTTCATTGAGAAAACAAAAGATATCAGATGAGACCTACTTCATCTTTCCATCACCAGATCTAAAGTGGACAGCTGAAGTAAACACTGTTTCTGCTGATGTCATGATGGAAGAAGTGTCCATTCTATCTAATGCCAACTGATCAAACTGTGCTGTGAATCCTACTCTTTTTATCCACGTAGTAATTATTTCTCCTGCAATTATGACTCCCCTCTCTGCATCATCTCTTTCTTCCTTCTCTATGTTGTATTATTTATATTGGCTTACATGTGAATTTTTAAATAGCCCACTGTTTAAAATACGCCCACCTATAACTTAAATTTTCCAGCTATCACTCACTTCTCTTTCCTTTACAATTGTGTCTCTCAAAAGAGATATCTAAAGTCACCATCTTTATTCCTCACTTCCAATTTTTTTTTTCATCTCACTCCAAGCAGGCCTTTGTTCCAAGTACTTAGAGTCAAACTTAATAGCCAATTCTCATTCCTTATTTTTTTTCTCCCTCTTAAAAACACGTGTCATAGTTGACTATTTTCTACACCACAACCCACCCTGTTTTTTTTTTTTTTCTTTTTCTTTTTCTTTTTTTTTTTTTTTTGAGATGGAGTCTCACTCTGTAGCCCAGGCTGGAGTGCAATGGTGCAATCTTGGTTCACTGCAACCTCCGCCTCCCAGGTTTGAGTGATTTGCCTGGGAGTAGCTGGGACTATTGGCATGCGCTACCACCCCTGGCTAATTTTTGCATTTTTAGTAGAGACGGGGTTTCACCATGTTGGCCAGGGTGGTTTCGAACCCGTGACCTCAAGTGATCCACCTGTCTCAGCCTCCCAAAGTGCTGGGATTACAGGCGTGAGCCATGGCACCTGGCCTCTTACCCTTTTTAAGTCACTTCTTTGGCTGATTTGAAAACTCACTGCTTGTTTGCTTTCTATTCCACTGACTATTCCTTCCAAGTTTCCTTTGCTGATTTATCCTCTAAACACCCCAGGTAACGTCCTCCAGTTCATAATCTTAATTACCATTTATATTAAGGCCACTCTCAAATTCACATCTCCAGTTTTATCTCTGTCCTAGACTCTAAAATCCTATGTCTCAATTGCAGGAAGGGAAGAAAGGAGGAAGCAAATGGTGTGGCAGTGGAGGGGAAGAAGGTCTGCGATTGTACTAGATTTTGGTGAAACAAAAGTGGGTGAGATAGAACTCCTGACTGTGACTACTCCCTAACATATGGTCACTTCAATAGGTACTGAGTGTTTTTGCTCATGAATCTAAAATTCCATCCTCTATTCTTCTTTATCAACTGGGAAAGTAATTTTAATTGCCCCATGGACTATTTCTAACTTGATGAACAACAGGCATATCACATGGAGAAAAAGTGCTAGAAAGGAGACATTCAGGGTAATTATATATAAAATAAGTAGCTTTAAAGTAATAGTTCAACATGTTTTCTCCTATCAAGTAATTGCTAACAAATGTATTAATCCCATACAGAGTTCTTTGCTAAGGAATTACTGGACCTAAAAAACTGTAGCAAAAAACAGGATCCTTGCATAATATATTTATAATTCAAAAACTCCTCAGTGGAACAACTCTTTATAAATTGACATTAATTCCATGGACTGAAAGTAAATACTTAGAAGAATGGTAGCAAGGCAGTAACGAAGAATAGTCAAATAAGCATCTTAAAAGAGAGCAATATTTTAAGAATAAAATATGTTATTTTTAATCATTAGCCATTGTTAACTGCGATGTAATGCAGTTTTGTCAGCCAGGCACAGTAAAGCAAGGCTGAACAGTGAAAGACTCATCTACAGAAAACAAGAATCAAAATGAGTAAAAATGAGTAATTTGAAAGATTCCTACTTAAAGAAACCTTTACTCTTGAAAGAAATAACCTACCGTGCCTTAATTTAAAATAGAGAACTAGCAAGCTTAAGCAGGACTAGGCTCAGGAATGTATTTAACCCATAATTGCCAAAACAAAAGTAACTAGGTGGCACCTGTTTATAGAGTAAATGATGATAGCAACCATTCTCAAAGTAAGCACTCGATGACTAATGGATGCCAAGGTGAAGCTTTAATCACAACACTCATCAGGAAGAGTTGAACAAAAAGCAGGATTTGCCTAGAATATTTGAAGCCTGCTGCTGCAGAAATACTGGATTACAAACTGCCCTCGTGTAAACACTTAATCTGCAATTCTTTTGGCAGGAGGAGGAGGAGAAGAAGAGATCATTATTGTCTCAGCAAAAGGATGATGTTTTAAATGTAAAGGCTTAAAATGTCATAACATGTCTCATAACAAATCACCCAAATAATAACTGGAATGGACTTGAAGGAAAAGCCAAGAGTGTTAGCTGTAAACTAATAGGAAACTTTGGAGGAAATAGCAAAATTATCCTGTAAAGTCAGAAGCTCATTCATTTATTTGTTCACAACATACTTATTGATAAGATGCCATTTAACAGCCAGTGTCCTTGATCTCAGAGATCTTAAGGTAAAGAAAACAAACATCAAACAAGCAATCAAAGATAAACGCATCGGCATTTGTATCCATGTGTCTATACTGTAATGGTGGTTAGTATCTTGAACACCAGATCTCCTAAGTTTTAATTCATTCACTGATTTCATGACTTTGGGCAAATTAGTTAACCTCTCTACTGTTTCCTCATCTGTAAAATAAGAAAAATAATAGCACATGTTCATTGGGTTGTTGTGAGGGGAAAAATGAGTAAATTATGTAAACTAGAGCAGTACCTGACACTGACATTACTCAAATGTTAGTTTTCATTATTATTAATAGATATACATGAAGTAAAATGGTGCATACAGTACACAGATATACGATTTTAGGGATCTGCTTATGTAAATAAAAGTTAATTTATTAAGAAGTTGGGATTCAATTAATCTATGCTAAACACACCACTCACATTTCTCTGTATTAGAAACTTATTCAAACTTTCATGTATGTGAATTGAAAGAGAGAAGTCCCAAAAAACTGCCATTTCAGAATGACTGTAGATACCACAATAAGCAAATTAAATTAAGTCTGAAAACAAAATAAAGTTTAGCACATAAATAAGAAATTCATTTTGAAGTTTTATACTGAATGTATTATAGAATAAAATTTAATCGTATACTTATCTATTCAAATATATCTAATACATTATCTCATGATACAAATTTTATATATTTTTGTTCCCTTTCAAACATTCTACAAATGTCTGAGTGTCTAATACATACAAGGAATTATGTTAAATAATAGAAGAGATGATGAAAATGTATAATATAATCATTCTTTCTTTTCAACAGATTTACAGTCTAAGAGGGGAGCACACATTTCTTAAATTAAAAGATATAGTGACATTTTAATTTTACTTATTTATTAATGTTGAGATCTTATATTCTGGAACCCAGCTTATACTGGATTTCCGTGAAGAAACTGTCATCCACTCATGCCCCTCTGATTAACTAACATATTCTGGCATGCAGTTCTTCTTTTTACTTTTACTGCCAACTTCCCTTCAATTTCAATATACCATTCTCTGATGATAGTCATCTACCCTTCCAGTTCTCTCAATTCATTTTTTTCTTTTCTTTTTTCTTTTTTTTTTTGAGACGGAGTCTCACATTGTCATCTGGGCTGGAGTGCAATGATGGTATGATCTCAGCTCACTGCAACCTCCGCCTCCCAAGTTCAAGCGATTCTCCTGCCTCAGCCTCCCGAGTAGCTGGGGTACAGGCGCCTGCCACCAAGCCTGGCTAACTTTTTTAGTAGAGATGGAGTTTCACCATGTTGGCCAGGCTGGTCTCGAACTCCTGACCTCAAGTGATCCACCCGCCTCAGCCTCCCAAAGTGCTGAGATAACAAGCTTGAGCCACCGCACCCGGCCCTCTCAATTCTTTTCTACCAAACCACACGTTGTTTAAGACCTGCAATTTCTCAGCCTTGCCTGTTTGACACTGCCTTTCTCCACTTTCCCTGTTTCTATCCTTCCTGTGCAGCCTAAACACTTGACAGATGTCATCAATCACCTTCCTGCTGGCACTTCCCCCATTTTTATCCCTTTATTCTTCCAAAGCACTTATCGTTTAAATCCCCAAACTTCCAATCATTTCAACCATCTGATCTCTCTTTTCCTAACTACTAGCTGGTAAGTCCTACTCAACAAAATTGTATCTTCCTCAAAATTTCATACATATATCAACCAATCAGTGCTCTTCAACTGGGGTCCATAGCTTGTTCTGCAAACAGATCCCTCTTCCGTTTCCCACAGCAGCTATTCCAAACCTTCATTATTCTCCTCAGTCTCCCTCTCCTACATCCTTAAACGACCTTCTTTCAACATCCCAGTAGACACTGAGCCCACCAGGCATGAACTTCCCTAATTTCTTACCCCACATCTATTAACTCAGCTATTTTCCATTTTATTGTTCTCAAAGATGTGTTTCTATGTGAGACTAATATTGTCATCTGTGCTTTTAATTGGATTATAATACATTCAAATTTCTTTTTTATTCATATTACAGTTCTATCCCCTCCATGTTTTTTATTCACAACCTAAAAACAACTTTCTATCTCTTATTTAAAAACTTGTCTTGGTTCTTCCAAATTATTACTACCTATTGTCTCCAGTATTTTCCTTCTCTTCTTCATTCCCAAAACTCCTTGCAAAAACAAACAAACAAAAATTCAATTTTTCTTATTTAATCTTCTTCCTTTCTTTCCATTTATTTTTCCACCTATCTGCCTCAACTATTCCACTGAAAGTGGTTCTGATACAGATCAGCAATGACCTCTGTGTCAGGCACGTCCCTGGAAGGAAACAACACAAACAGAAAAGGTATGATTGAAGGGAGTTTAAAGAAGACTATTTGCACATGTATGTTTATTGCAGCACTATTCACAATAGCAAAGACTTGGAACCAACCCAAATGTCCAACAATGATAGACTGGATTAAGAAAATGTGGCACATATACACTATGGAATACTATGCAACCATAAAAAATGATGAGTTCATGTCCTTTGTAGGGACATGGATGAAGCTGGAAACCATCATTCTCAGGAAACTATCTCAAGGACAAAAAAACCAAACACCACATATTCTCACTCATAGGTGGGAATTGAACAATGAGAACACATGGACACAGTAATGGGAACATCACACACCAGGGCCTGTTGTGGGGTGGCGGGAGGGGGAAGGGATAGCATTAGGAGATATACCTAATGTTAAATGGCCAGTTAATGGGTGCAGCACACCAACATGGCACATGTATACATATGTGACTAACGTGCAGATTGTGCACATGTACCCTAAAACTTAAAGTATAATAAAAAAAAAAGACTGTTTACAAGGGTCTAGGCAGGAAACTAACAAAAGATAGTGAAGCACCACCTATTAACAGGTGAAAGTGACTCCTACCCACAGGCCTGGAGGGGGCAAGAAACCAGTGAGACCTGCAGCTATAGGAAAAAGCTGCCCAACAGGAGCTTTTGCTTTTGGAAGAGAAACACTGCCCCTGTCACTCTGTGGCCCAGGAGGGACAGAGCTTCAGGGAAAAACAACTTGCACTCTCTCCTCGTGCTCTTCTATCTCTTTTCAGAACCTTTCATTGTCAGAATCCAGCTGAAAGCCAGAGGACAAGAGAACCCTGTTGATGAAGTCTGTTAAGTCAACCTTCTCTAGGGATAAAACAGGATGGAGAAAGATAGAACGTGAATTTTAAGAAGCAAATGGAGAATATCCAATACACCACCTAACCACCAAGCCTGTTAGACTCAACAGTCCTCATCTTACTTAACTTTCGGCTACATTGAATGCTGATTACCAATCCCAAATTGAAATTCTTTCCTCACTTTGGTTTTCATAATACCACTCTACAGATTCTTCTCTGCTTCTGTGACCGGGGGCATGCATGCTCCTTGTCTATTGGTGTTTTTCTGGATTAGTCTCCTCCCTCACACTTCAGATGCTGTTATTCCCTCTGACGACTTCAGGTACCATCTACACCGAGGCTTCTGAAAATCACCACTGTTTACATTTTGGACCAGATAATTATTTGCTGTGGGGAGTTGTCTTGTGCATTATAGTATGTTTAGCAGCATTCCTGGCCTCTAACCAGTAGATACTATTAGCATCCCTCCCTCAGTTGCAACAACTAAAACTATCCTCAGACATTGCCGACTGTCCTCTGGAAGGTAAAAATCATCCCCAGGAAAGAACTGCTTACCTCTACATACAGAATATGTATCTTCTGTCCTGAGTTCCAGGCTGATGGAAACTTAATTACCATCATCTGTCTCCTGGACAATTGCAATCATTTCCTAAGTGGGCTCCACAACTCCCAGTTTTCATGCTCACATCAGACTGATCCAAAAAAGACTGTGAATGTGTGAGGGAATCCCAAGGCTGTCAAGCCATGCAGCTGAAAATATTCTTAAAACATCTACGAGACACATGAAAAGAAGTGGAATTGTAAGAGTTTTTGACTTACACTCTGAAACATTTGGGGATGTAGATGCTCTTCTTGATGACCTATGACTTGTGGGAGTGAAGTAGCTCTGTACAGAAATATTGTACCTCCCATTACAGGAAAAGATATTCTTTCAGAAGAAAGTAAACTCAACAGCAGCATTTCTCTAGTCAATTTTCAAAAGTTTGGTCTCTAACTGGAAGTTTAAAACGTGAAAAGAGTATAATGACTAAAATGGTACGAACATATATTTAGATAAAAATATGCAGGCTCTATGACAAAACAGTTATCTTTTACAACAATTGGATTTGAAAAAATTACACACACAATACACACACACACACACATATATTATATACACAAACAATAATCATTTTAACTTGACTTTTCAAGATAGGTGCTACTGCAGTAACTCCTGTGCTTTTAATAACAAAAATTTGAAAAATCATTTAAGAACAAATACATTTGTCATAGGTAGTTGTTTATATGCCTTGCTATGAAAATAAAGTACCTCATGAATAAGTTAGATATTGCATTCCTGAAACATATATAAAAGTCAAATACTATGTATGTTCATAATTACTAAAGAATTGATGTAAAGACAGTATAATCCATGCTGTGGAATAGCTTTGTTGCACCAAAGATAGCCAACATTTTTATGATGTGTTATGTTACATAATTATTTCACATACATTATCTCACTGGAAGAACTACGAGACACAATTGCTCTATGAGGTAGGTAGAACAATGTTTTCAATATGTCCTCCTCAAGGATGACAAAATTGAAGTGTTTGTGGTTAGCTGACTAGTCCAGGTTATGCAACCAGGAAGATATAGAGGTTGAATTTAACCTTGGGCCTCCCATCCCTGGTTCCTGTGCTTTTCATATCACAGCATACTTCATACTGGCAATCATCAATGCAAAGAATGCATTAACAAAAAAATTCAGGATTATCTAAGATTAGAAGATCTACCTTAATATATTTCAGGCCCATATATCGATTCTGCAGGAAAAAAACAAAAACAAAAGAACAAAGTTACCTGGAATCCAGAGAAAGCTTCGGTTAAGTTCCACAACTCTAACAACTAATACAGTGGGTAGGACTCTGGCAGAGAGAACAAAGCAAAGTATAAGGTAATCTCAGTTTTCAATTATGGATATTCATTATTTGGGCAATAGCATTTAAGGAAAACATTTAATTTTATCTTTACTTGAGGCTCTCACCTATAACAGCTGTCAAAGTCTGTTCATCTTTCAGGGATTTTTTTACATAGTATAAAAGAAAATGCTCCTAAAAATTAGTTTTTCATAAAATAAGGTGTTTCACCCTAGGTTATTTTATTTCTTAGAGCGTTCACTCCCTGCTTCCAATAATTGAACACAGACTAGCTTGAATTAAACATGCTATATCAAAAACATTAATTCATTTTTAAAGGTTTACATATATTCATTGCTAACAACATACAATTATTTCCCCTACAGGGTTCCTGTTATAACAAATCAGATGCACTTTCAATAGGCAATAATAATCACACATGAAATTGAACTTTCCGGGTAACTTGAATTACAGAGACTTACATAATAAACTGTGTAAGTCCCACAGAAGTTTAGAAGAATAAGGCCATGGCTCTACATTACATTTATCTTTTATTAAAAATAAATAAAGATGTCATTTTTGCCAATCATTGTATCTCCAATTTATTTTTTCCCTTCTTCAAGCATTTCCAGAGAATGAGGATTTTTAATTTTCTTTTTTGTTGCTTTTGTTTTGGTAGGGAAATGGAAAGGACTTTTAAACCTCCATTTGGCTTTCTCTGAAGGAGCAGCAAGGAGTTTCTATTTGAAACCAGAGTTATTTTACCATTCTTTCCAGTTCCAGAGTAAGAATTTAAAGAGGCAATCATTCCAAACATAATAATAGTAACAAAAACCATAAATGATTTCAATTTAACAGTTATGAGGTATATATTGTCTAATTAGACATTTTTTAAACCCAGGTATTGGCTATTCAAAAGAGATACATTCAAAACATAAGGATACAGAAAAGCAAGATGTAAAATGATGGAAAAACTATATCTAGCAAATACAATTCTTTAAGCAAGTATCAATTAATATCAGACAAATACATTTAAAGAGAAAAAGCATTATTAGATATAGAAATATATCTTATATACATAATATTACTTACATTATTACATAACTATAAAATGGTACAGTACCACTAGGATGATCTAAAAATTTTAAACATATATATGGCTAATAAAATGTCACAGAATATACATAGTAAAAACTGACAGACTACAGGAAAAAAGTGGCAATCCACCATCAGAAATTTCAGTGCAGTTCTTTGAACCTTTGCTAGATCGCGTAACAAAAAATTAGTATCTATGTAGATATTAACCACAGAATTAACAAGTTTGATCTAAAGGACATATTAAAAACACTGCAACTGGCCAGGCGCGGTGGCTCATGCCTATAATCCCAGCACTTTGGGAGGCCGAGGTGGGTGGATCACCTGAGGTCAGGAGTTCAAGACCAGCCTGGCAACATGGCGAAACCCGTCTCTACTGAAAATACAAAAATTAGCCAGGTGTGGTGGCAGGCACCTGTAATCCCAGCTACTTGGAAGGCTGAGGCAAGAGAATCGCTTGAACCCAAGTGGCAGAGGTTGCAGTGAGCTGAGATCACACCAGTGCACTCCAGTCTGCGCCACAGAGTGAGACTCTGTCTCAAAATAATAATAATAAAATAATAAAAATAAAGCATTGTAACTAATAATTAGTAAAGTAGCCACTTTTCCACCTCCAACACACAAGGAACATTTTCAAAAGTTAATAATGAACTAGTATACTGTAAGACAAATTACTCTTTAGGACCACAATGCAATTAAGTAGAAATTAATTACAAATATGTATTTGCTATTAATAATAAATACACATACATCTAAATAACTTCTGTGTTCAAGGAATAAATTATACTGGAAATCTGAAATTCTTAAAACTTAAAAAAAAATAAGAGTATTTTATATCAAAACTTTGGAACATCAAGAAAATATTACTATTAAAAACATAAATTACAAAAGAAGACTTAAAACAAATGGCCTGAGTTTCCAACTAAGTTAAGAAAATAAAGCAAACCCACAAAGTACAAACATAAGGAAATAAGTACATGCATAAATTAATATAAATTTTATAGATAGAATTCACATGCCAAAAATTGGTTCTCTAATAAGATTTTTAAATATCTGGCCGGGTGCGGTAGCTCACACCTGTAATCCCAGCACTTTGGGAGGCTGAGGCGGATGGATCTTGAGGTCAGGAGTTCGAGACCAGCCTGACCAACATGGTGAAACCCCATCTCTACTAAAAATACAAAAATTAGCCTGGTGTGTTGCCATGCGCCTGTAGTCCCAGCTACTCAGGAGGCTGAGGCAGGAGAATTGCTTGAACCCAGGAAGTGGAGGTTGCAGTGAGCCGAGACCACACCATTGCACTCTAGCCTGGGTGACAGAGTGAGACTCCGTCTCAAGAAAAAAAAAAAAAAATCTGCCAGATTCACTGCAGGGGGTGTGGTGGCTATGAGAAAAGCATAAATAAACAACATTAAAAAAATTTTTTAAAACACATGCTTAGATAGAGCTGAGATAAAAATGATATAAAATATTATGAGCAACTTAATGCCAACAAATTTGAAAACAAAAAAAATAGATTTCTAGAAAAATATAATTTACCAGAATTGATTTAAGACAAATAGAAAGTCTGAATAGCCCTGTAACCAGCAAAGAAACCAGAACAGTAGTTAACAAAATATTACCCCCCAAAAAAACACAGGGCCTAGATGTATTTATAAGTTAATTCTATCAATCTGAAAAGAAACATTATTTTACACAGGCTTTTTCAGAGAACAGAAAAGGAGAATAATTATCAACTCATTTTATTAAACTCATATAATCTTTGTACCAAAACTGGACAAGGGCAGTATGAGAAGGGAAAATTACAGGCTAATATTTCCACAAGTATGGAAACAAAAAATTTAAATAAAATATTAGCAAGTCAAATCCAACAGTGTATGTAAAAGATAAAACATGATCAAGTTGGATTTCTACCTGGAATATAAGGTTGGATATATAAAGCTCACAGTTTGTAGCTATAGGTTATGTTCCTACTGTAGCCTTAATGTCTTTAGTTGCTGGCATCAATACCTAGGTCCCCTCCCACCTCCAAGCCATATATGAGAAGCTACCAAAACTTGTTCCCACTGAGGTAATTACTCACTTAGGCTGAATGAGACAAATTCTTTATTAGAACCAGAATCTAACATCCTCAAAAACTATGAAACTGAACCCACCATGATTCTTAATCTTGCATTAATCACAATCAGTATCTAAAACATAAGCCCCCTACCAACTTTTCCCACTCCCTACTTCCTGCCCACTCCCAGCTTGCCCTTCGCCTTAATACTCTACTACACCATCCCCATGAAAGTCTGTACTTCCTTGCTCTCTAAAATCAGAATTTCCCTCTATTTTCAACCTTTTATCCAAGAATTCCTTCCACATCTTTGCCATTACTGAAATCTGCCTCTTCAAAGAGGGTACACTTTCTCTTTAAGCTTGCAAATGGTGATTTTGTATTATTTCAGAATTCAAATATCATTAGTGACACTATCCCTTACCCCAGATTATTCTTCTCATTGGCTTCCATAAAAATACTACATATCTTTTAGGGTCATGCTATTTGTATGTATCACTTTTTTTCCATCCTTGCAACTGACAAATATTGACCTTCTAATTACTCTACCTTTCTGCTTAAGTTTTGTGGCCATCATTAAACTAAATTTCTATGACCTTTTTTAATTTCAACTCATCTGTCTATTAGATAAGCCTCCCAAATATTGCTCTTCATTTTTTTCTATTCTTGAATCCGAGAAGACAAAGATTGCTGGGGGAAAAATACACAACTTAATCATGTGATTACTAACCTCAGAAGGATTTTTACCACTCTCTGGCAATTCCACGATTTTTCTTTGGCCACTTGATATTCCATTCTTTGCAATACTTCTTACAAATCTTTATTTTCATCATCCTTCACTCTTGGAAGATGACCTTGACAATTTTATAGAAATCTGAAGCATCAGATGAGATTATCTTCAACTTTTCACCAGCACACCTACAAGTCCGTATATATTTACACCTATTTTCTTCCCCCTCTGAGCTATTATGCTAGAAGAGGTGTTCCTTCTCTAAAGGCCAAGAGCCACCTGTGCTTTAAAGTGTATCCTCTCCAACATTCCAAAAATCTTATGTTTATGTTTTCTTAGTTGTGTACAGTCATCTATCTTGTTTCTACACGCTTAATTATTCCCTTTCATCAGTATGTTTCCCCTTAATCTGTATATGCACAGTAATATTTAGGCTTAGAAAATGACTTTCCTGAACCTGTTTCTGAATTATTAAAACAAAAAAAAAAAAAGGGAGGGAGGGTGACATAGAAATGAAAATACTTTGTAAACTGTAAAGCACTATTTATTGAGAGTTAGTGTAATGTTAGAATTTGTTCCCACTTAAAGATCAAAGGAATTAACTGACTTCACAAGGTTTTATTATTTTTCTTTTGGCAGATCTAGGAATATAACTCAATTCTCCATAATTATTAACTACTTATAATTAAAAACTAGAAAATATTTTAATAGTGCTAACTTGAAAGCACAGAAAAAAATATTAAAATTATGTTGGTTATTTTTGTTAAACACAGAAATTGCAGTCTAACATCTTAGCTTATTGACATTCAGAATTTTAATCATGGGGGTAGGCATCTGGTGTTTCTACAACTAAATTGGATTTGCCTAAAATAGAATCTAAGACCTGATTAAACTACCTTCATCTCTATCATTAAGTTCCTCTTCACCATTCTGTAAACAAAAAATCTCCTCAACAAATTGAGCAAGTTGAATAAAGGATAGTTTTCTAAAATACCAAGCCTTTTTAATTAAGGATTTTTGTACAGTGCTCTTCTGGGATCAGAAGTTCCATAGTACAGTACAAAATCTAGCTTCATTTAATGGTGTTAAGTAAATAAAATACCTATATTTTTACAAAGATGAAAAAAGAAGAAATAATCTACTTCTGATTATTAAGACAAAGATAATAGTTATTTACCCAAATATCTACTCTATGTGTCCTTATGAATAATAATCAAAGTCTATTTCTATTATATTAATACAATTTGAATCTAACAAATCTTTTCCCTACATACAATACAAAACTGTTATAAAAATCCAATGAAATAATGAAACTGAAACACTTTCAAAATGGCAAAAACAAACAACTGTAACTTCTAACTCTACTTTCATCCTTTGTTCTTAACAACTAACAAATCAATACCTATTAACATATTAATTTACCTTTTAATAAAATGTTATAAATTTTATGAGACCTCATTGACCACCTTTGATTAATATTCATTAACAGACTTGATATTTCCAACATAATTATTTATTAGGTTAAAATCAGAAATCAAGAACAACTTACCAGGTATTTATTATGCATTGGTTAATTTATATTTAGACAAATCTTTTAGGTAAGAGTCAGCAAACATAATGACATTATATTATAATAGGGCTTGATTATTCCTAGCTATGTTGGTGATATAGTCATGAACCTATTGACTATTGAGGATTGTAGGGGTAGGTAAAAGAAAAGACATTTTATTTGTCCCCAGAATTGTCACAGTGAAAAAGAGGAAGACAGAGGCACTGTAGTAAAAGACAGACTGCGATTAAGGGTCATATGTGGATTTTTTTTTGTAGTAACTATTTCTTTAGGGAACTCTTTTGTCTGTTCTTTCTCCTAAACATGCATATCTTATTTTATTGTAGTTGGCTTTATTGCATTTCACATATACCTCATTTTTTACAAGTAGAAAGTTTTTACAACCCTGCATCAAGCAAGTCTATCGTAATTTTTCCAACAGTATATGCTCATTTTCTGTCTATGTATCACATATTGGTAACTCTTGTAATATTTCAAACTTCTTCATTTTCATTGTCTTTTTTTTTTCTTGAGACAGAGTCTCAGTGTGTCACCCAGGCTCAGTGTGTGCACTCAGGCTGGAATGCAGTTGCACAATCATGGCTCACTGCAGCCTCGGCCTCCCAGGCTTAGGTGGTCTTCCCACCTCAGTCTCCCAAGTAGCTGGGACTACAGGCATGTGCCAACCACAACCAGTTAATTTTTGTTTGGTGTTGTTGTTTTTCTTTTTGTAGAGACAAGATTTCATCACGTTGCCTAGAGTGGTCTTGAACTCCCAGGCTCAAGTGATTTACTCGCCAAAGTGCTCGGATTATAGGAATGAGCCACCATGCCCAGCCTTATTATATCTGTTACAGTGATCTGTAATCAGTGACTTTGATGTCACTATTATAATTGTTTTGGGGTTCCATGAACCATGCCCATATAAGATGGCAAACTTAATTGATAAAATTGTGTGTGTTCTGATTACTCAACCAATCAGTCATTTCCCTGTCTTTCTCCCTATCCCTATTCTCTGAAACACAATATTATTATTATTAGGCCAGTTGATAACCCTACAATGGCCTGTAAGTGTCCAAGTGAAAGAAAGAGGTATATGTCTCTCACTTTAAACCAAAAGCTAGAAATGATTAAGCTAAATGAGGAAGGCATGTCGAAAGACAAGACGGGCTGAAAGCTAAGCCTCTTGCAACAAACAGCCAAGTTGTGAGTGCAAAGGAAAAGTTCTTGAAAGAAATTAAAAGTGCTACTCCAGTGAACATATGAATAAGTGAAATAGCCTTATTGCTTATATGGAGAAAGTCTGAGTGGTTTAGATAGATCAAACCAGCCACAACATTCCCTTAAGACAAAGCCTAGTCCAGAGCAAGGCCCTAACTCTCTTCAATTCTGTGAAGACTAAGAGAGGTGAGGAAGCAGAAGAAGTCTGAAGCTAGCAGAGGTTGGTTCATGGGGTTTAAGGAGAGAAGCTATCTCAATAACATAAAAGTACAAGGTGAAACAGCAAGTACTGATGTAGAAGCTGCAGCAAGTTATCCAGAAGATCTATGTAAGATAACCAATGAAGGTGGCTAAACAATAGATTTTCAATGTAGATTAAACAGTCTTCTATTGGAAGAAGATCCCATCTACTTTCATAGCTAGAGAGGAGAAGTCAATGCCTGACTTCAAAGCTTCAAAGGACAGACGGACTCTTGTTTTAGGGGCCAATGCACCTGGTGACTTTAAGTTGAAGCCAAAGCTCCTTTGCCATTCCAAAAATCCTAGGGCGCTTAAGGATTATGCAAAATCTACTTTGTCCATGCTCTACCAATGAAAAGTAAAGCTTGGATGACAGCACGTCTACTTTCCTCATGTTTTACTGAATATTTTAAGCCCACTGTTGAAACTTAATGCTCAGAAAACGATTCCTTTCAAAATATTATTCCAAGAGCTCTTATGGAGATATGCAGAGATTAACGTTTGTTTCATACCTACAAATACAACATCTATTCTTCAGACCATGGATCAAGAAGTAGTTCTGACTTTCAACTTTTATTATTTAAGAAATACATTTTGTAAGGTGATAGCTGCCAAAGATAGTGATTCCTCTGATGGATCTGGACAAACTAAATTGAAAATACTTTGGAAAAGCTTAATCATTCTACATGTCATTAAGAACATTTGTGACTCATGGAAGCAGGTGAAAATATCAACATTAACAGGAGTTTGGAAGAATTTTATTCCAACCCTCATGAATGACTGAGGGGGCTCAAGACTTCAGTGGAAGAAGTAATTACAGATGTGATAGAATTAGCAAAAGAACTAGAATTAGAAGTGGAGCCTAAAGATGTGACTAAATTGGTGCGATATCATGATAAAACTTGAATGAATGAGGAGTTGTTTCTTAAGGATGAGCAAATAAAGTGGCTTCTGGAGATAGAACCTACTCCTGGCAAAGATGCTGTGAACACTGTTGAAATGACAACAAAGGATTCAGAATGTCACACAAACTTAGTTGAAAAAGAAGCCATAGGGTTTGAGGGGACTGACTCCAATTCTGAAAGTTTTACTGTGGGTAAAATGCTATCAAATGGCATCACCTGCTACAGAAAAATCTTTCATGAAAAGAAGAGTCAATTGATGTGGCAAATGTCATTGTCTTTCAAGAAATTGCCATGGCCACCCCAACCTTCAGCAACCACCACCCTAATCAGTCAACAGCCATCAACATCAAGACAAAAACCTTCCACCATCAAAAAGATTATGACTGAAGGTTATGAAGATTATGACTGAAGGTCAAAAAGATTATGGCTGAAAGGTCAGAGGATTGCCACTTTTATTTTTAGCAGCAAAGTATTTTTAAATTAAGGTATATACATTGTTATTTAGACATACTGCTATTGTGCACTTACTAGACTACAGTATAAAAATAATTTTATATGCACTGGGAAAACAAAAAAAAATTGTGACTTGATTATGATATTAGCTTAGTTTTGGTTGTCTGGGACCCAGCCCACAATATCTCTGAGGTATGATTATATTTTCAATCTTCTTTTTTTGACATATACTAAAAATGTGTAGTTACAAATCTCCAGTAATGACTGCCATCAATTCTTTCTCTCTCTACAAGCATATGCCACTTCCCCAATGAGATATGGGCTTCTTTTTCCTCTCCTGTGGAAACTGGACTGGATCTGTGTTTGCTTTGACCAGTAGAATGCAAAGAGTGACATTCTGGAACTTCTGAGAAGACCAGGCCTTGAGAGGATGAACAGTTTCCACATCTTTCATCTCTGAACACTGAATCTTGGAACACTCCCTTTTGGAATTCAATCACCATGCTGTGGGAAGCCAAACTCTTTGGAAAAGTCACGTGAAGGAAAACCAGATAAACTGTCAACCATGTGGATGAACTGTCTTGGATATCACAGCCTTTAGATAATTGAATACCCCACACAGCATCACGTGGAGCAGGGCCACCCAACTGAGTCAGCTAAGTTCCTTCTATACAAAGAGTCATGAGTTAACAAAATGGTTGCTTTAAGCCACTAAGTTTTGAGGTTGTTTGTTGTGGAGCAAAAGATAACTGCAATAGAAACTGGTATCTAGAAATAGGGTGCCACTTGGTCAAACCCAAAACTTACGTAGCCTCAACTTTGGAATTAAACAGGAAATACAGACAGTGGTGGCTAGAAGATCAATGAGAAAACAGAAAGGCAACACTTTCATTTGCAGTAACGTGAAAGGTAGAACTAATAAGCTCATGGCAATTGCTAAAGGGAAAACATAACCTAATAAATTTGTGAATCTATCCAAGGAGACTTCCAGGCAAACATGGAAAATGCCACCTGACTACTTCTAGCTGCCTATCATCAAACAGGAGAAGAGAGAAATAAACTAAGAAACTGTTCAGTTTTGGAGCAAAATTTATAGAATATTTAAAGTGTGTAGAACATCTTTTCCAGCCAGCAAGAGGTTCTCAAGGAAGAAATCACCTTATGGCAAAGATCAAATCAAGAATTGTTAGTAAACCATAGAATTAGGATAATTTAGGATCAACGGTGCATCTGTAATATCCTTTAAGGTTTCAGAAATATTTAAGCCAGTGCCTCATAGACCTCTTAGCTAGACAAAAAGACTTCTAAGAATCTTATGAGCACATTTTGTAGATTACTTTGCTCGATAATGAGTATCTAAGGTAGTTAAGGGTGCTGTTCCTCAACATCCTCTGAGTTCAAATTAGAGACAGGCCTGTCTTGAAGAGATGAGTATGGATTTTCTAATGGAAAAGTCATGGAAAAGAATGACTCAGAGCAAAGTCAAGATCTTACAGGGAAGAGCCAAGAGTTGAGAACCACTCTCAGGTAGAATTAGGCCCTAATTGACATACATTCTGTGCTCCCAGAATCATAAGGAATTAGACGTGCCCAATTGGAGTTCAGAATTGCTATGAACCATTCACTGCTATGTACCTCTCATTTTTCCTCTTTTTTAAACAAGAGTGTATATTGCCTGACTCACCATCGTAGGCTGGGTGAATATGGGAAAGAAAACTTGTCTTTAGTTTCACACATCTTCGGATTGAGGGAAACTGTAGTAAAGGTGCCTCATATGTTACTGAAACTGGTTTAGATCATGAGATTCTGGGTCTTGAGCTTGAACTTGATGTCATATTGAGATGAGACTTTAAGGTTTCCTAGGAGGTAGTGAAATAATTTTCCATCAGGAACACAAATTACTATGACCAGGGGGTACATTGTAACTACCAAAGATTTCTGCCATCAATTTCTTTCTTGCTCGTGTATGCATGACCCCTTCCCATCAAAAAGGGGTTTTTTTTTTTTTTCTTTAATCTAGGCTGACCCTGTAGATTACTTTGACCAATACAATGTGGTGAAAATAATGTTCTGGGATTTCCAAGCTAAGGCCCCAAAAGGACTTAGCTTCTACTTTCCTCTTCTTGAAATGCTTATACTTGGGATGCTGCTTCTTGGATCCCAGCCATAAATGATAGCAAGCCCAGCCACCACGACTGGAAGAACTCCAAGTCCCATGGAGAAGCCACATAAACTGAGATGTGGCAGCTGAATTCCCAGCTGATAGCCACCATTAACTGCCAATCATGTGCATGAGTATCTCAGATGTTTCAAGCCCAATCCAGCCCCTAGATAACTGCAGCTAAAGTCACCATCATGTGGCGCAAAACCACCCAGCTGATTCCTATCAACTCACAGCATTGAGGCAAGTGAAATGGTTGTTATTTTAAGCTAATTAAGTTTGAGGGTAGTTTGTTAGTAACAGACAACCCCACCCAAAATTTATGTTAGTGCCATTAAGTAAATGAAATGAAGATCAAGAAACCCATTACTCAAGAACGAAAGTATCACTAATATTGTTTTATGTATTCATGTGTTACACCTTGCCACTATCCTGAGTTTTATGACTCCTTTAAAAGAAAAAGTTTTATCACAAATATACATATTCCTACATAATACAGTTTAGGTTTCTTTTATAGCTTTATAAAAACTGTAGCATACTGTATGTAGACTTCTGAGACTTGCTTTATCATTTTTAAGATTACTCTGGGTTGTTGTATGTAGGTCATTCTCCCTGCTGAATAAAATTACAAAACCCGTAATTTGTTTTTTGTTGTCAACGGACATTTGAGTAATTAAAAACAGGGCTGCCACAAGCATTCTCACATGTGTACTCTTGAGGTACACATATCCAAGAATTTCTCTAAGGCATTTATGTAGAGGTAGAATGGTTAGTGTACGTGAATTCTTAACTCTAAGAGATAGTGCCAAATTGCTTTCTGAGCTCAGAGTCTATCAGTTCAAAATCCTATCTGCAGTGTGAAAGACTGAGGCACATCATCTTTATTGGTATTGTTGTATTCCTTAATTTTTCAATCTATTGAATGTAAAATGTTATTAATTATGGTTTTAATTAGCCAATCACTTACAAGGTAAAACTTCTTTTCATGTGTTCAGTCATATCCTCTGAAAATACCTGGTTTGTCATTTGCTTATTTTTCTACAGGACAATGATAAATAGAAGTGGTGGCCGGGTGCAGTGGCTCACACCTGTAATCCCAGCACTTTAGGAGGCCGAGGCAGGCAGATCACCTCAGGTCAGGAGTTTAAGACCAGCCTGGACATCTTGGTGAAACCCTGTCTGTACTAAAAATATAAAAATTAGCCGGGCGTGGTGGTGGGCACCTGTAATCCCAGCTACTCGGGAGGTTGAGGCAAGAGAATTGCTTGAACCTGGGAGATGGAGACCGCAGTGAGCCGAGATCACGCAACTGCACTCCAACCTGGGTGACAGAGCGAGACTCCATCTTAAAAAAAAAAAAAAAAAAAAAAAAAAAAAGCACAAGTAGTGGTGATAATAGCCACCCTTGTGTTCCTGATTTTTAAAGTATACAACTTAGTCATGATGCACTGTTTTGTCAAAGTTTATTAATAGTGCTTTTGACTTTACAAGTGTTAGTAAGTGCTATCAGCCTGTAATTTTCTTTTCTCCTACTGAATGTCTCTGATTTAATATCAGTAAGTTATATCAACCTCACACAATATGCTGGCAAGTATTCCCTCATTAGCTATTTTTGAAAGAGCTTGTATAAAATGTTAGAATTTTACCCCCCTTGAAAGACCTGTGCCAGGTCTTGTCAAAAAGTTAATTATTGTTTACTATTCAACCTATGAATAAGTATATTCAGCTTTTCTATTTCTTCCTGAGCCAATTTAAGTAAATTGCAGTTTTCTAGAGTTTGGTCTATTTTGTCTAAGTTTTCAAATACATTAGCATTAAGATGTTCCTGGTAGTCACCTTTTCATCCCTGCTTTATCAATGGATTTGGACCCCTTTTTCAATCTTTGTGTCCCGTTTCATCTTGTTCAATTATGCGTTTTACTGTTTGTCATGATAACAACTTTAACATATAATTCTTTATCAGTTTCTAATTCATTGATTTATTCCCTTTCCTGTATTTCCTTGCTTCTACATTGCTTTCGCTATTGTTTTTCTAAGTTGCACATTTAGTCTTTTCCCTTAAGCATTTAAAGCCATTTCCCTCAAAGTGCTGTTTCAGCTACAATACCCAATTTAAAAATATATATTACTTGTAACTAGGCTTTAAGTATTTCTTTTTCTCCTCTGTGAAGATCTAAACATGTAAATGTAATATTTAAAAAAAATTAACCTTTATTACTGACCTCTACTTGCTTCTGATTATCCATTTAATACCAATTATTTGATGTTTTGTGACTTGCCTCATGCTTAAAATACAGGGTCCAGTTTTGCTAATATACAATGCTTAAGAAAAATATTCTTTAATTGTTTAATACATTATTCTAAATGTTTATTGAATCAGTATTAATTACATTAAAATGCTTTCACTAATTCTTTATCATTAATTAGTTGTTGAAATCTCCCATTATTGCTCATTTTGTTGCTTCAGCCCTATTGTTGCTTCAGTTCATACATTTTGGGGCCATTTCATATGGTGAATGCACACTGAAAATTATTATATAGACCTAGTAAATTGATCCTTTATTTTTAATGGCCTTCTCAATCTTTAATATCATAAATCTAATTATTGTGATTTAATATCACTAAAGCTACACAAGTTTTTAGTATTTACCTACTTCATTTAAAAAAAATTTTTTTTTTACTTTCAACCTCCCCATGTCTAATATTTTAGGTGTTTTATTTTAAACAGCCTAGTTGGGTTTTTAAAAAAATCTGACCAATGCTATCATTTAATTGGGTAATTGTCTATTCATATTCATTTTAATATTAGACTTGTTATTATCTTACTTTCTAACTTCACCCCCCACCCGCCTCCATAATTTCTTTCTTTATTTGTACTAGGTTATTGCATACCTATTCTGTATTTTAAATAAATTTCTTTTCCTTTGGAATGATTCATCATTTTTTTTTTTTTTTTTTTGAGATAGAGTCTCACTCTGTCACCCAGGCTGGAGTGCAGTGGTGCAATCTCCTCACTGCAACCTTCGCCTCCCTGGTTCAAGTGATTCTCCCACCTCAGCCTCCAGAGTAGCTAGGATTACAGGCGCATGCCATCACACGCAGCTGATTTTTGTGTATTTTGGTAGAACGGGATTTCACCATGTTGGCCAGGCTGGTCTGGAACTCCTGACCCCAAGTGATCTGCCTGCCTCAGCCTCCAAAAGTGCTGATTATAAGTGTGAGCCACCGTGCCTGGCCGATCCCCTATCTATTGTTGTGGCAGTTACCCTTGAACTCTTGACTACACATATTTATTATAACATAGTCAATTTTAAGGTTAAACAGTATCTTAACCAGTTTTCTGAATAAAAGAACCTCAGACCACTCTAATTCCAATCACCCTTCTGCCAGCCAGCAGCTATTATCCAATTTTACAATTATATCCTTATTTAAAAATTCCACATTATTAATGTTGCATAACAATGTTTATTTAGTTTTACATTTGTTTACAATTTCTTATAAACACTTCATTATAATTGTTTTATACAAACAACAGTTTAAATTTACTTATGTTTATCATTTATTTGCTTACTAGTTTTTCAATTTCAGATAATCCTTTTAGAATCATTTCCCTTCTTGAAGATCATCCTTTTGTAGTCTCTTTACTGAATTTGTGCTGAGGATAACATCTGTTTTTCATCTGAGCATCTGTTTGTTTCAGTTTCGCTTGTTGCAAATTCTAAGCTAATAGTTTTTCTCAGAATTCTACCCTCTTTTGGGTACATTGTTGCTGTTAGGAAGCCTACTAAGTATTTGACTGTCTTGCTTTCACTGATCTTTTTCTCCCCATGGTTGCTTTTAAAATCTTGTATTTGGTATCTTGTCATTTACAATACCTTGAGTCTAGGCCTGGATTTTATTTAAATATATGTTTGGTATATATTGTGCTTCCTGAATTTATGAATTCATGTTTTTCCAACAAATTTGTAAAATTGTGTTATCTTTCAAGTACTGCCTCTCCTTTATTCTCTAAATTTTCTCTTTCTAGGACTCCTAGTCTTTATAATTCTTCCCTCGAACTCTCTTAACTTTCCAATGTTTTCTAGCTCCTTGTTTCTCCTCACTGCTCACTGGGTAATTTCTTTAGATCCAGCTTATAGTTTAGTTCACTTGTCTCTTCAGCTGAGTCTAATAAAATATTCAACATGTCTGAGGGCTTTTTTCTTATTTCAATAAATATTTCTCATTTTTAGGAGCTCTATTTGGTTCTTTTTCAGATCTGCCTGTGGTTCCAACTTCATTCCTTATGTTGGTGATGAAACCTTGAAGAACTGAGTTCAATGTTTATTTTTTCTATAGCTTTCTTGTCATGTTAGTTTGTTTCAACTTGTGCCTGTGATCTCTAGTCATAAAATACTACTACTTGATAATAATCTGTAGGAATCTTGGAACTAAATTAGGAATGTTTCCCTCTTGCTTCTGCCAGGAGCTAGAGCACTGCAAACTGAGGACCACTGAACCTTCTTTAACTGTCCTCTCTAGGGCAGCATCTCAGATTCCGATGTCTTCTTGTTTCTGATTTGAGGCAAACTGCATATGACAATGTTGCTATTGGTATCTGCCATCCAGACAACCATAATCCACTTGTATGGTCAATACAGTATTCATGACTCCTAACTTAAAATGCGTTCATTTTTTGTGGCAGAGGAAATGTCGAAGTATGGTTCTTGAAAATTCTCCTACTTCCAGTGAACCTATTAAAAGCAGATTTTATTCAGGATCTAGTTGTTTTATAATATCTAGTCTAACATACTTGCTGGAAGCAAAAGTCTTAATTTTATATATTAAATATATTATAACAGTTATACAGTAACCTGAGAAAGCACGTATTTTATGTCATTTCTTACTAATGGGACTTCTCTGGAAAGGTTCCCTACCCCTTGATCAGAACAAAACACACAGTATACAGGAACTGAGTGCACATTAGAAAGCTCCTAGAGGATGAACTTATCCTAAAGTTGTTGTCTCATTTGGTAGAAATTTTTCTGGTGCTCTATTATTAAGATGTTACATCAACATTCACTGTTCAAATTATTATTCTTTTTTTTTTAAATTTACTTATGTATTTTAGAGACAATGTCTCATTTTGTCACCCAGGCTGGAGTACAGTGATGTGATCATAGCTCGCTGCAGCCTCAAACTCCTGGGCTCACGTGATCTTCCTGCTTCAGCCTCCAAGTAGTTGGGACTAGAGCTGATTGCCACCATGTCCAGCTAATTTTTTTTTTTTCCAGTAGAGACAGAATCTCATTATGTCATCCAGGCTGGTCTCCAACTCCCTCCCAGCCCCAGGTGATGCTCCTACCTCAGCCTCTCAAAGCATTAGGATTATACGTGTGAGCCATCATGCCTCTGTTAAAGTTTTTAATGTCCTGATTAATATGTGATTCAGATTAGTAAGACTAAAATCTATGATCATATCCCATCATTTTGAAGCTTTTAAAAATAGATAATAATGATTTGTTACATGCAGCTTCCATCTAGATGCATAACGTTATTTCTGGAAATGCGGGCCACCTACAATGTAAAGCAGGCTAAACAAGGCAGCTTGTGATTTCATTTTAATCAGAAACACACCAAATAGGCATCATGGCAGCAGATCTGGCTGCTAGTGTTTTAAATACAGATGGATTGTTAACATCTTTATTATTCATAATTGTCTGTCAATGTTCTCTGGATGATCAAGAAACTCTTTGTGCCTCACCCTAATCACTGAAGTAATGAAAGGAGATACCCGCAGCAAGGACTGCAACTGTAAATGCTGCAATCACACCTAAAAGTAAAACAAACACAGAACAAATGAAAATGGAATGAGCAAAAGAAAGGCCAAACTAATCCTAGGCTCTGAAATGTGGGTAACTGATGGGCCTAAAAAACAATACACAAACACACAATCATACATAGACATACATATGTATATACTAAAAGGCAGCAACATCTTAGAGAAAAATACAGCAATTAGTTGAAAAACTAGATTTCAAATGTTGGACAAAGTATCTCTCTTGCACACATGTGCACTGAGACGTATCTAAGAGAAAAAATAACAAACACTTTAAAGGGCTTATATAAATATTTATATTGGCATACCAGCTGTCTTATGCTACGTAGGTTAAAAGAAAACGGCAGCTCCAGTAGGCAGTAGTTCTCAATCATTATAATATAAAGCCACCTGTGTAACTTGTGTAGCTACTGAAAACTGCAGAAGTCCATGTTCGACCATTATAAAATCTAATAATTAGTACATCTAAGTTGTAACTTTTATTTTTTCCTGATTATAGTAAGCTAAAGAAAGAAAATCCCCATCTCTACTAAAAATACAAAAAATTAGCCGGGCGCGGTGGCGGGCGCCTGTAGTCCCAGCTACTCGGGAGGCTGAGGCAGGAGAATGGCGTGAACCCGGGAAGCGGAGCTTGCAGTGAGCCGAGATTGCGCCACTGCACTCCAGCCTGGGCGACAGAGCGAGACTCCGTCTCAAAAAAAAAAAAAAAAAAAGAAAGAAAGAAAATGACCATAGTAGTCCAGACAGACAGACAGACACACACACATGTACAAAAAAATTAATTAAATTTATCTAATGAATGACAAGAACTACAATTAAATCTTCTGGCTCCTAACTCTCAGTCAGAAGTCTTAAAACTTAGTATTTCTCAAATTGTTACTCCACTAAACAATAGTCTGCATGTTCCTTGTTCAAAAATTCTGAAAACTGTTAAAGTAATTCTTAGAGCCTTTAAAATATAAAAATACATTATAAAATTCCTGACTTGAATTTAACGTTGTTTGTCATAGAACACCTATCAAAATCTCCTGCAATAGTAATTCTAAGAACACCCGTTTGTAAAACATTAGCCCTACTATATTAACTGATTCCCAAAACTCTGCAGCTTTTTCTTTTAAGAACGTTTTAAAAATTAATAGGATGTGTCATCTTTGAGGGCACTTAGATGACAATGTATGAATTATAAATCTTCCTATCTCTAGGGCCTGGTACTTTCCATAATACCCAATAAATACTGTTAAGTCTAGCAATCTTAAGAAAGAGAAATGAAATACAAAGATCTTAAAGTAACAAGAAAACTCAAATCTAAATATGTTTTCAGTGTTATAAAAGAAGTAAAATTAAATACCTATGTTTTGCTGAATTTTCAATAACATTGTAGTTTTAATTGGTTGTTTTGGTTGTTCATCATCTGTGTTGTCCAATGAAGCTTGACTATTCATAGAAGAACTCATACAAGCTGAAAGGGTATAATAATAATAAATTCCACATAAAATAAGGATTAACACATGAAACTGAGCTTTAAAGAACATTATAAAAAACTATACGATCATCACCATTTTCTTTCTACTTGTTTTTTATATAACATACTGAATTTGTTCATTATCAATTGTAGGTGAATTAAATTTAATAGAATATACGTCAAATTAACAGTTTTCAAAACAATGTAGCTTTATCATTGAACTAAACCAGAGGGCCACACAGCCAGTTCTGAATGACTTTCAAAAATTGTGATTTGTTGGCCAGGCATGGTGGCTGACGCCTGTAATCCCAGCACTTTGGGAGGCTGAGGCAGGCAGAGTGCCTGAGCTCAGGAGTTCAAGACCAGCCTGGGCAACACAGTGAAACCCCGTCTCTACTAAAATACAAAAAATTAGACGGGCATGGTGGTGTGCACCTGTAGTCCCAGCTACTTGGGAGGCTGAGGCAGGAGAACTGCTTGAACCCGGGAGACGGAGGTTACAGTGAGCCGAGATTGCACCACTGCACTCCAGCCTGGGTGAAAGAGCGAGACTCTGTCTCAAAAAAAAGTAACAATAATAATAATTTGTTTACTATATAGTAGTAGAGATAAATTTATACCAAAATTCATAGCAGAGTAAACTTCGCTCTTGAGATTAATTTACTTTTTTTTTTTTTTTTTTTTTGAGACAGAATCCTACTCTGTCACCCAGGCTGGAGTGCGGTGGCATGATCTCAGCTCACTGCAACCTCTGCCTCCCAGGTTCAAGTGATTCTCCTGCCTCAACCTCCTGAGTAGCTGGGATTACAGCCGCCTGCCACCACACCTGGCTAATTTTTGCATTTAAATTTAATTTAATTTATTTATTTGAGACAGAGTCTTGCTCTGTTGCCTAGGCTGGAGTGCAATGGCGTGGTCTCAGCTCACTGCAACCTCCACCTTCCAGGTTCAAGCAATTCTCCTGCCTCAGCCTCCCGAGTAGCTGGGACTACAGGGGTGCACCACTATGCCCGACTAACTTTTGTATTTTTAGTAAAGATGGGGTTTTGCCATGTTGGCCAGGCTGGTCCCCAACTCCTGACATCAGGTAATCTGCCCACCTTGGCCTCCCAAAGTGCTGGGATTATAGCCATGAGCCATCACACCTGGCCTAATTTTTGTATTTTTAGTTGAGATGGGATTTCACCATGTTGGCCAGGCTGGTCTCGGACTCCTGACTATAAGTGATCTGCCTGTCTCGGCCTCCCAAAGTGCTGGGATTACAGGTGTGAGCCACCATGCCCAGTCTAATTTATATCATTATTGGTGGTTTTAGCAATTAATAATTTCAAATAATTAGATATTAATAATAAAACCACTGACCAGCACGTTGCAGTACATGGGCCTCTGGCTCATGACCTATTTTTGTAAAAGCTCTTAAACTAAAAATCTGTTTTTCATATTTTTAAAAGACTGTAAAAAAAAAATGTGAAAAAGACCTTATGCGGCTCACAAAGCCTAAAATATTTATTTGTACAAAAAAAAGTTTGCTGACTCTGGATCCAACTTGAAATTGAAACTATGATCAAAAATTTGACCTTGAAACAACTCAGAATGGTAAGCAAGGCAAGGACATCATCGCATTTTACAAATGGAAAACATAACCTGGGAGGTTAAAGTGCATTTCGACCATCACAGGCATTTGACTGATGATTTGGACACAAGTTCTCTTTCTACTTCATTATGCTGACAGCAATTTATGCAGGTTGGCCTATCCGAATTTATTTAATGCTGAATGAAAGTGTGTGAACTGATAGCATCCTCAGAGACCACACAGGCTAATAGTTTTCTGTTTTTTTCCCCTAGGACTGAAGAATCCTATGAAAACAAAGAAAATCTGACAGAAATTCCCAGTGTGTAAAAAAGATGAAAGTATGCTACCCAGGCTGAAGCTGGGAGGGAGGACTCCTGGAGTCAGACCAGCTTCTTTCTTCCATCCTAGAGGTGACATTAGAATGCTACTCTATAGAACTCCAGGGAACTAGATTATGAAAGCAACTACTTTAGATTTATCTGTTTATTTACCCTCACCCCCACAAAAAAGAGAGAGAGAACTCAAGAGAGATAGTAAATATTACTGTTTAAATTTAAAGTAAAATAGCCTATTGTTGAATTTACAATGTTCTTATAGACATCTTTGCACCCCAATATGGGAGCACAAGCTCAAAAGAATGACATATAAACTTACTGAAATAGGTATATATGATACTAAAATGGATGAAAAAGAAAAAAAATTACCTACTTCTCATTAATTTCTCACAAAGAAAAGTTTATGATTTTCATAAACAATTCCTAGTAACTATCTTATTAGAAATAAGGGCACCACTATTCTTTTTTCTTTTTCTTCTTCTAGCATTTAACTAAAATACTTTAAAAACAAAAAACAAAAAAACCCTCCCCCCTTTTTTTTTCTATTCTCATATCAAACCAGTCACAAAGAAAAACAAATTCTTATGAACTGTCTCTAGGAATATCTAGTCTTCTATATTTCCAGTTTGTAGTTTTCTCAAGGGCTATAATACTTCAGTTCTAGACTATATTAGCTCAGTAATTTAAAATTTCTTCCAACTTCAGTCCATAGGTCTAAAAATTGAATGGCTCATACAATTTTACATCAAATAAAAACAAAAACAAACTTCGGCTCTTCTATGAGCAAATATCTCTGTTAAAAAGGTATTTTTTGGCCGGACGTAGTGGCTCACGCTTGTAATCCCAGCACTTTGGGAGGCCGAGGCGGGCAGGTCACGAGGTCAGGAGATCGAGATCATCCTGGCTAACATGGTGAAACCCCGTCTCTACTAAAAATACAAAAAAATTAGCCAGGTATGGTGGCAGGCACCTGTAGTCCCAGCTACTCAGGAGGCTGACGCAGGAGAATGGCGTGAACCCAGGAGGCAGAGCTTGCAGTGAGCCAAGATAGTGCCAGTGCACTCCAGCCTGGGCAACAGAGCAAGACTGTCTCAAAAAAAAAAAAAAAGGTTTTTGTTTTTTTCCCCCATATTTGGGCCAATAAAATCCTTATATCAGATAACAAACAAAAATAATGGATGGTATGAATTATACCTGTTTGCTATAGGAAATTTATTACTTGAATACTTGCATATAAAAAAACAAAATTGTTTTAGTTGTCATAATATATTACTTATATATTTAATATTGAATTATTACATATGAAGATCATGCTCTAGAAGATCGTACTCTGAGCAAATAATTTACTTTCATAAAAGACATTTCATTGCCCTATTTCCATTTTTAAATCTGTCATACAAAATCATGAGGTTTGATACAAATTTGAGATAATTTTACCGAAGCAGAATGTTTTTCAATAATGAATAAGGCCTTATCACAGCAATTTATTTGTCTGTTTATTTTTGGTGGGGGCTTGTAGGATTTTTAAACCAAATCTCAGGCACTGTGTTATTTCACCAATATTTTAATATATTACAAGAAATTTAAATGCAAATAACACAGTGATTCAATAGAACACTAGATCTCAACCATTCCTTAAAACCAAGTCATTTCAAATTCAGACAAATCGAAAACTGATCATGTTAAGAGTATTCTTGAGCAGCTGTCAAAAAGAGAGAGAAAACAAGGGCTGTGAATGCATGCAAAAGTTGCAGACGTGTTCAGATTTCATTCCAAGCTGCTGATAGGTAGGCAGAACTATTTAGAAGCTTAAAATGAAATGTTAAGACTTGAACTCCTTAGTAGCCTGTGTTCTTCCTATCCCTAATTCCTAAATTACTGTATCATTATAGTCAGCGATGTAGCCATAAAATTATATCTTCAGTATTACTCATTTTTCCTTTATAATTGTCAATGTTTAACCAAATGACAAAAATTAATCTCAGCTCTGATATTGGCAAAGATGAGGTTCACCAGATTTTAAAGGTATGACTTCAAATTTTTTTAGATGGTACTGTTGATAAAAGTACATTGAAATTATCAAGTTAACATCTACTAGGAGATGACTAACACAGCTAAGAAATTTTAAAGCCATAGTTATCCCTCACCTCAAGCGAGTCATTTTGACAAACAAATTGTTCTTCATCTCTTAAGTCATTTAAAAGTATGTTATTTTAAGATACTTACTTGGCAAATATGTATTTTAAACATAGCAACTACTTGGGCAACTATACTATAGAACAGAAATAAGTAATAATCAGGTAAATCATACAAGTTGAGCATCCTTTACCTGAAATGATTTTTTTTTTCAAATTTTGGATTATTTGCATTATACTTACTTGTTGAGCATCCCTAATCTGAAATCCAAAACCCAAAATGTTCTAATGAGTATATTTCCTTTGAGCATCATGTTGGTGCTCAAAAAGTTTCTAATTTTGGAGCATTTTGTATTTCAGACTTTCAGATTAGGGATATTCAACCTCTAATGTTAAATACTTAGAAGACAAAGCAATATGTTTATAGCAAATTTAATGTTCCTAAATGCGTAGTAATTGATTCCAATTTTTGAATTTGAACATTTGAGCTCCACTTTCTTATGGTTTATTTTATATGGAAACTCTAATTTCAAATATTTAGGAAAACTTATACATATTATAAGACATTTTCATACTTTAACATTAATATTTTTCATTACAAGTCAGAGGTTCAGTATTTAAAAGCCTAATAATGTGTTAATATCATCCTCCATTTATATATCTCTTTCTGTTTAGAAAGCATTTTCCCTAACAGTTTTACCAAATTCTCACATCAACCCCAAGAGAATCTAGGACTCAGAGGGGACTTCTTTAAGGTTAGTTTTAAGTGGCAGGCCTGGACTCCTGGACATTATCTTTGTAAAATTATGGCATCTACTATCTTTGAGTAAATGAATAAATGAGTAAATGAGTGAATAAGCGCATATAATTCTAAAAAAAATAGGATGTTTATGTAAAAGCACTTAATTTTTCTATTAAAATGTATGTTTTTATTCTATTATTTGGGAATGTGTTCTTTATAATAAATATGCAGAATTACTATATCATTCCTTCCAATTTAACAAATGCTTGATGAAACTTATACTTCTAGGTAAGTCATATTCTTGGTTGTAATACATCTCATACCAGTGTTCAATTCCTAAAAAGCTACTTTTATTTGTATTCATCCTTCAAAACGAACTCAAATGTCACCTGCTCTAAGCTTTCCCTGAATCCCTTACAGAGACAGTGCCTCTGCTAAGAGTTCTGACTCTTCTCTGTTCATTCTTGTTATAGAATTATTAGTGGTTTCAGCAATTAATAATTTCAAATAATTAGATATTAATAATAAAACCAGGGATCAGCATATTACAGCACATGGGCCACCTTGTTTTGAAATAACTCATTTCTTTGTATTTCCCATTGCACTGTGGGCTTCTTGAGAGTCAGGACTACATATTTTATCTGTAGAATCCTAATACATAATAGGCAGCCAAGAACAGACATCACTCACTCACTCAGTCACTCACTTGAGATCCATGTAAGTTTCAAAAACAGGGCAGAGTCCTGAAAGGATCATACCTACCATACTGAAGTATCTTCAATACATTATACAATATTAGAAAAATGTGTAATATCATCTAGAAACCATGAGTTTAATATGGCATACATGTAAGTATACACACCTAAACTTTCCAAATTGCTGTTTTGCTTCCTTTGTTCTTGTAATATTAAACTCTTCCTACTGTTAATCCATCTCTATACTAGACTGTCAGCATAAAAAAGAGAAATATAGACAGTAAATAATTTTTAAATACAGTGTGAAACATATAACTAAGTTTTAATATTAAAAGTTTATGAAAGTTAAAATCCACAAATCAGACATATGTATTAATATTTATATATTATCTAAGATTTTTACGTTATTTTAAGGTATTTCATATTTACTGGTTCATGCTAATATTTCACAAGGTACAAATAATGCTAATGATAAAGCTTACTGAGGGAACCCAAGAAAGAGGATTAAAATATATTTACTATATATATAAATAAAAACAATTCATTAGAGAATAGCATTTATATCTGACAATAATGGATAAAGTATATTGTTTTGAGGCTAAAATTAAAACTTTTATTTATTTGCAAAAGCAAACATCATTCAAAACTATGAAACTTTCAATACAAGTAGGATCATACACTGTATATTACAGAGCATCAATTTATAAAACTGGTGTGTGCTTTCAGTGACCTTTCAGTTGAAGTGAAACATAGAAGTAGTACAGGTTGAGTATTCCTCATCCAAAATGCTTGGGATCGTAAGTGTTTCAGATTTCAGATTTTTTTAAATTCTGAAATACTTGCAGTACACCAGCTTAGCATTCCTAACCCAAGAATCCAAAATCTGAAATGCTCTAATGAACATTTCCTTTGAGCATCATATCGGTGCTCAAAAAGGTTCAAATTTTGGAGCATTTCAGATTTTAGATTTTCAGATTAGGGATACTCAACATTATAATAAAGAATAAAAAAAGGGAAATAATTTACTAACTCTTTTTTTTTTTTTGAGACAGAGTTTTGCTCTTGTTGCCCAGGCTGGAGTGCAATGGCACGATCTTGGCTCACCACAACCTCCGCCTTCCGGGTTCAAGTGATTCACCTGCCTCCACCTCCTGAGTAGCTGGGTTTACAGGCATGCCTCACCACGCCTGGCTAACTTTGTATTTTTAGTAGAGACGGGGTTTCTCCATGTTGGTCAGGCTGGTCTTGAACTCCCGACCTCAGGTGATCCACCCGCCTTGGCCTCCCAAAGTGCTGGGACTACAGGCGTGAGCCACCGCACCCAGCCCACTAAAATTTTAATACAGGAATGCCAAAACTTCGTTACTGTATATTATAGATTACTGCTAATGCCTATAATAGAGACTTTTTTCTGATTAAATTATTAACCAAATCACTGGAGACCCTAAAATTCTGATCACTAATCTTGATGGAGTTCTTAGGTACTCTTAGGACCTTACTACATTCTCTGCATAACTAATCACGCATATACATTCTATCTTTCCTCTAGGCTTCTAAAGGAAAGGAATCAAGTTATTGATTCATATCTATTATATTGTCTTGAACAGAGCATAAGCTTAATAAACATCTGATAAAGAGACATACTAAATGCTGTAAACTAGATTAAAATTTCTGGGGCAACAACTAGTGCTACATATTTTCATATAAAAGACATAATTTCATGTCTTAAATGTTCAAAACTCCTGAAAATGTTCTGAACTACTGAGCCATACAGCTATGAATATTATAGACTTTTTAAACCCTCAACATGTTCAATATACTATACTACACAAATCTTAAAAACCTTGTCTGTACAGGCATAAGCTAATAATTTCTCAAGTATGAAATAAATGTGAAAACAAGAAGTGCTGTAGTTTCCTAAGAATCACTTATTCAGTATTTATGAATCAGTAACAAATAATTAGGAACACCTACCATGTTTTAGGTACAGATAAATACTCTACTTACTCTCAAAAATCTTATAGTCTAATGTGAAAGATCAACATTAAATATGCAATTGATGATTTAAATAATTACAAGTATGTAAAGTATTATAGAAGAACAGCATAGAAGAGGGAACTACAAGAAAGTTTAGTGAAGGAGTTTACCTAGTCTGAACAAGTCTGAAGTTAGTAAAAACATAGTATCTACACAGACATTTTTTTAAAAAACTCTATTGGCTGGCCTTGGTGACTAACACCTGTAATCCCAGCACTTTGGGAGGCTGAGGCAGGCGGATCACAAGGTCAGGAGTTAGAGAACAGCCTGACCAACATGCTGAAACCCCATCTCTATTAACAATACAAAAATTAGCTGGGCTTGGTGGCACGCACCTGTAATCCCAGCTACTCAGGAGGCTGAGGCAGGAGAATCGCTTGAACCCGGGAGGCAGAGGTTGCAGTGAGCTGAGAATGCAACATTGCAATCCAGCTTGGGAGACAGAGCGAGACTCCGTCTCAAAAAACAAACAAACAAAAATCTACTTAGCTCCTTGAAGACAGAATCAGCATTTTGTTGTTCTTTGGACTCTAATCCATAGGACAAAATAAATAATTTATTCAGTCAACAAATATCTACTGAATACCTATGACATGCTAAGGCTAAGCTCTTAGTAAAGTGCTAGAAACACAACAGTAAGCAAGAGAGGCAAAGGCCCTTTTTGCTCTTTCAACAGATGTTTGCTGAAATGCACATGTAACGGTTTCATGAGAATTTGAATTTATTGGGTTTTAGTTTTGGTTTTGGGAGGCTGTCATGCCAGGTTGCCATAGTTACCTCTTAGGAATACATTACAGTGGTTGAAGCTACTTAATTTTTTTTTTTTTTTTTGAGACAGGGTCCTACTCTGTCACCCAGGCTGAACGGCAGTGGTGTAAACACGGCCCATTGAAACTTCTACAGCTAATTTTTGTATTTTTATTGTAGAGACAGGGTTTCACCATGTTGCCCAAGTTAATTTTTTTTAATGTCTTAGCAATGTAAAGAAAGAATATAAACCTCTGTTACTAACTGTTTGTTAAAATATTAACTTAAAAAGAACTGAATAAAACAGTCTTAAACTAGTCTATATACTTGTGTTTAACATACAACATGAAATTAAATGAGTTAAAAATACTTAAGACAGAAATATTTTTAAGAATTATTTAAAAAACCTAGATGAAATGACTCTCTCTTCCTATTCTTTTATATCTGACTTTTAAAGTAACTTGTGAATGGGGCAAGTTTTGCATACAGTGCTACCCTTAGTCATTCTTAGTTTAAGAATGTGAGATGCACAAGAATGTGACAAATAATTCAAAAAATTATATATAAACATGATATATTTTATATTTTTATAAGAAAACAATACATTTTTGTATATTGTTTATATTATATATTTTATAAACATATTCATATAAACATATAAACATGTTCACATATATAAACATTTTTGTTTACATACATACACAAATTGTTTATATTACATGTTTATGTATGTATATGTTTATATTATATATAAACATTATATATTGTTTATATGTTTATATAAACATAAATAATGAGATCCAAGATTCCAGCCAACAAATGAGAAATTATATTGACATAATCTAGATGAAATTAAACCAAGATAATGTAACATCATCCATTTACACTTGAAAATGTTTAAAGGGATGGAATGAAGAACGCCAGGCTAAAATATGTATCTATATCATGGAAAATAATCATACTATACTTCATTATTTAGCTCCTACACAAAGGCAGTAAAATAAAATTTTTAGAAAAGAAGCACAGACCCTAAAACCAAACTGCCTAAGTTTAAATTCCAGCTCCACCATTACGAGCAATGTAACTTTGAAAAGTTACCTGGCCTTTCTGAGCCTTAATTCTCTCATCTGGAAAATAGGATTAATAATGTTATTTACATCACAGGGTTGTTACAAGGAATGATAATTTAGTATTTGTAAGACTCTTAAAACTGTGCCTGGCAGATATATAAATAATGGCTATATTATTTTTAGAGCATTAGCTTCGTCAGGGTAACATATTTCAAGGAAGGCAAATCAGAGTATATTTAAGAAGTAATTTTTAAACTCTTTGAAAGCGATAGACCTTTTCTTCAGAAAAAAAATCATACAATTACTTTCAAGTGGTTTGTGGATCTTCTAAAAGTTCAGCTCTGACACCAGAGGTTTTGAACCCCACAGGTTAAAAATTCCTAATCTACCGGAAAGCAAACAAGGTGGTAAGAAAAAAATGTGGTCTGGAAACTGTAATAAAATGAACAGCTTAAGGTAGGTGAGAATATATGGCTTTGAAATGTTTAGAACATAATAGTTGCTCTCAAATTTAAAGCATGGTCTCAGTGAGGAAGTGGTACTCATGTTTTATTGCTGCATATTACTGAAAGAATAGGTTACAGGGAGGCAGATTGGTATTTAGAATAAAGAAGAATAGAATCTGAATCCCCATCTGCTAGGGATGTAGTTTTCAGTATTAAGAGGTTAAATTAGGTCAATTTGAATGATCCTACCAACATTATAAGATCTATTCAACAACAGAATGGCTCAAGAACTATTGCTAGGCCTTAACGATAGAGAAGTGAACAAAACAAACAAAAATCCCTGTCCTCATGATCCTAAGTTTCGTTGGCAGAGATAATGCAGTCACTAACCAAGGAAAATAAATTTTGGAAAGCAGTAAACATTTTTACCAGTCTACTTTCAAAAAGCAGATACTTTCCATCTGCTACAGTTATATCTTTAGAAATATTAGTTTTCATGGAACTATGCTAGAGTTGTATCTTTAAAAATATTAGTTTTCATGGGATTAGAAAGTAGCTCTTCTTTATTTTAACATCAGGCATTGGGCAATTTAGAAATTTTATTTTCCCCACTGAAACAAGCTTATTGCTCTACATCACGATCTGGTATTGCTGAAAAACTAAAGGGTGGTTTGCAACTAACTTGAGGCAGTTTACTATAGATTTGAAGTTCCCCAATCAAATACTTACTTGACTCACTATAATCTCAAGCACACTCTGAATCAAACACCCTATTCCTGAAGGGAGAATTAACTATGCAAAGAATAACTAAGAAATCAGAAAAGGAACTTACATATTTATTTATAGACATGTTTTCATACACTGAACTCACTAGAAACAAAAAGAAAGCAAAAAACCCAAACAGTCTTCCAAAGTATAAAGTCAAATGTGAAAGTGATGGCTAGGGAAAAAAAAATGTGTTACAAAACCTGGATAGTAAAGCAAATCTATGCTCTATAAAAGTCATCTAATTTCTGGAACTGCCCATTTTGGCTTAGTATCCCAATTACATGAAAGGTATATGAAAAAAAAAAGGCAAATAATATGGAGAAAATGTTTAATAAATTAGTGTTTTAAAACCTTCTGTTCTGACATGATGCTTTACCAAGTAAGATAATGAGTTTTGAGAAAACTTTTATATTGAAAGAAATACCTTAAAGCTTTGTAATTTTACCTACTTAATCCTGAACTTGTTTTATTAAGATCTACTTGCTAAGCTTGAAAAATACCTTAGTATCTTAAATTTTGGTACAATTTCCCAGGAAATACTCACTGTATGTCTAGACATGTAGAAATTAAACATGTATTTTAAAATGTCTCAGTTAATATTTCGAAGTGTCAAACAGAACTAGCTTTAAAAAAAATCTAAAGACATGATATTTAAACTAGACATCTCATAGGTAAAATCTTAGCTGTAATCTAACCAGGTTCTTAAATAGCATCATATAATGACCTGTGTTTGTTTCCTCTGCAATTTCCAAATCTTCTATTTGAATTGTGTGATCCAACATCTCCATAAAATGGTCCCTGATTTCTTCAGCTGACTCATCGTCAAATTTATAATCACACAACATTACAGTGGATCCAGGAAGGGGAACAAAGACTCGATAAGGGAGGACGTGGAACTCTTTTTCAGAATCTAAAAGGAAAAGAAATATTATCAATATTTAGATAGGTTTGTCACTGGTATCAGTGATACATATTTTAGAAGTACATACAAAAACTAATAGAAATAAAGCTTAAAAGGTCAATATTTTTTCATTTTCTGGTTGATCTGGCACAAAATTGCTCTTACCAAATTCTGCTTTACCTCAAAACCCCTGGTCTTTGCAAGGAACCTAAATGATACTCCTATGAAAAATAAACTTATCTCCAGGCGCGGTGGCTCATGCCTGTAATCCCAGCACTTTGGGAGGCTGAGGTGGGCAGATCACTTGAGGTCAGGAGTTGGAGACCAACGTGGCCAACATGGTGAAACCCCGTTTCTACTAAAAATACAAAAATTAGTCAGGCGTGGTGGCAGGTGCCTGTAATCCCAGCTACTCAGGAGGCTGAGGCAGGAGGATTTCTTGAACCGGGAGGTGGAGGTTGCGGTGAGCCAAGATCGCACCACTGCACTCCAGCCTGGGCAACAGAGCGAGACTCCATCTCAAAATAAAAATAAAAATAAAATAAACTTATCATTGCCTTCAATGTAAAGCTGTTGATTACACATTCTTATACGACCCACTGTCCTATGAAGAACACTCAAGAGACAATTTTGTCCTTGATGTCAGAAACTATTGTCCTTCTTGTCTGTTTTAGCCTCATAGGCACTGTACATTTTATAGTTGGTTTTTCTCTTCTTCATCCAAGTTTGGAGCCAAATTACTGGCCACCTTACATCTAGTGCACAGGATCTGATAGAATACATTTTTGTATTAATCTCCCCATGAATTTCATCTTACTAGATGTAGCCCCCTTCCTATATATCAAGCATGTTTAGGACATCTAGTCATACATACAGTTTTGTGTACCTATCTCACTACCAACTCCATTTTGCTTTCTTTTTTTACCTTCCCTTTGACTCTTTATTACTAATATTTATTTTCACTTGTTTACTTATGCTTCTTTGTAAAAAGCCTTAAATCATTTTTAGAAAAAAATAAATCTAAATAAATAACAAATATCTCATTCTTCTGTGAATACTTACAAACTGGAATATATTATTTCCCCTAATTTCTAACATAGTCACTGTTGCATGTAAATATATAATTACTTTTTAGTTAAATGCTACGATCCTTATGAACTATCAGAAAGATAGAAATTTTGTGAAAAGAATGACCTCTTTCAGCAACAGATATGATTAAAAAGTTACTAATGTAAAGATCAAGTGGAAAACTAGGGCTTATTTTAATAGTAACCTAGACTTCGTTGTCAAGAAACTAGTGGTAACTTTACATAATTACAAACAGAAGATGACGAACAATGCCTTAAGTGTCACAGGAAATGCAATGGCTTAAACTACGTGTTCCTTCCAGATTCTGTGTATTATCTTGTTTGCACATGAGAACTGGGAGAGAAATTTTACTCTTTGACCAGACTGCCTCCTAGCTGTAGAAGAATATTACTGCAATTTGTACTGTAGCACGAAAATTGTCCACACATTGAAATTAGGACTATATTATTTTATTTTGAGCCACAGTTACTTGAAACAGATTAAGTAAAAACTCAAAAATGACTCTAATGTGCATGTGCAATTGGCATGCAAAATTTTAAAACCATTTCAAACTACATCAATTCTTGGTCTATCTGAAAAATAACAAGCTAAAAAAATCAAACGTTAAATAACTGGTTCCAATAAATTTAAATTACTCATTAAAAAGAAAAAGCACTACAACTTTCAAATTAAGAAGTTAAATTAGCAATTTAGTATCTAAGTAAGACTCGTTTTCTGTTGGTCTGAGGTTTAAATGGGAGGAGAAATCTTTTGGAAAAGACACATCTCAAAAAGCACTCCAAAGCAGAATCCTTTAGGAATATCCTCATGTCATAGTATCTAGTTCAACATTATCTGAATAAAGTCAAAACAAATAAAAAAATTTTAAAATTAAGCCAATATAATAAGAATTGGGTTTCTATTGGTTAAATGTCCTAGCTGGTATCAGAGTAGTACTGAAACTTTTAAGTTATTTATGTATTTTTCATAGAATTTTTTTTTAGAATAGGTGATAGCACAGTTGAAGCTTAAAGGATAAGAGGACATCTGCATAAAGGGATAGGAGAAGTGCCATTCAGAGAGTGGAATCATAGGCACAGACAAACAGGATTACAAATGTTCTGGGAAGACAGTGGAGTGGTACAGAGGATACTGATGTGGGGATGGGCAAAGGTAAGAGGTTTCATAACTGATGACCTCCATTTTCACAATGAGTAGGTCATCTATGAGAATAAGTTGAGCAGGATCAAATGAAGACTTATAACAGTGAAGAAGGCTTAGGCTGTATCTTAAGAGGAATCAAAGAGGAAGATCACAACAAGTGCAAGGATTAATTGGAGTTTTTTTTTTTTTTTAAACTGACAATGAAATACTAAGTTCTTTTATCTGGATAGCCAAAATTAAAAGCCTAGGTTTAGTTTAGAGATCAGATATATAAAGTTATTATGTCCTTAACAGACTTCCTCATGCATGCAAAAATACTCTAATTCAGGTTAATTTTATGGCATACATTCTACATTTTACTATATTACAGCATCTATAAGATCTTACCAGTATATAAGAAAATAAGCAAAGTAAAATGAGGATAAAATCTAAAATCTAACAATTTGGTGTATAAATTCAACATCAGAATTTACATTTATTTATGCTTCAGGGGATGGATAACTCATTCTCCATGATGATTATTTTATATCACATGATTGTAACAAAACATCTCATATACCTCATAAATATATATATATACCTACTATGTATCCACAAAAGTTAAAAATTAAAAAAATTTTTTTAAAGAATTTACATTTATTTATATTATCACACTTACAATGTATTCTTTTATCTTGATACCTAAGATCAACTAATATGTTGTTGGAATAATTATCCTGTTACTAAAGTGTTGAATATATATTTACATCTTATTTCTGTTTGAAATATGCTAAATTTCCCAAAAATTGAAGTTAAGGCATTTTAAAGACAATTAACATAAGTTGTTCTCCTCCATCATCTCCAACATGGTATCAATACCACTTGATGAGGGCTTGGCTTACACCAATTTTATTAGGGGCCTTACAAACATCATCTCATTTAATCTTGCAGCCTCAAAAAGTAGGTACCATAATTCCTATTTTATATATAAGAAAATGGGGCCATTCATAGTGGCTCATGCCTATAATTCCCAGTGCTTTGGGAGGACTGCTTGGGGCCAGAAGTTTGAGACAACCTGGACAACATAACAAAGCCCCATCTCTACAAAAAGGTAAAAATTAAAAGATTACTCAGGCATACTGCTGTGCGCTTGTAGTCCCAGCTACCTGGGAGGCTGAGGGAGGAAGATCCCTTACAGCCAGGAGTTCAAAGCTGTATTTAGCTATGATCATACCTGTGCACAGCCACAGGACTACAGCCTGGACAACATAGCAAAGACTCTTGTCTCTACAAAAAAGTTAAAAAAAAAAAAAATTAGCCAGGCGTGGTGGCCCTTGCCTGTAGTCCCAGCTACTCAGGAGGCTGAGGCAGGAGGATCACTTAGGACCAAGAGTTCAAGGCTGCAGTGAGCTACAACTGCATTATTGCATTCCAGGCTGGGTGACAGAGAGAGACCCTGTCTCTCATTAAAAAAAAGAAGGAAGAAAGGAAGAAAGGAAGGAAGGAAGGAGAGAGAAAAGGAAAAGGAAAAGGAAAGGAGAGGAAGTAGAGGAAGAGGAGAGGAGAAAAGAGGAGAGGAGAGAAGGAAAGAAACAAAGGAAGAAAGGAAGGGAAGGAGGGAGGGAAAAGAAGAGAAAGAAAGAAAGGAAAGAAAGAAAGAAAGAAAGAAAGAAAGAAAGAAAGAAAGAAAGAATAGGATGCCTATAAAGTTATTTGTCTGAGGTTACTCTGCTAGCAGCAGAATAGACACAGAACCAGAGAACTTGTCTTCGTAGAAAGAAAGGAAGAAGAAAAAGAGAGAGAGAGAAAAGAAGACAGAAAACAAGAAGAAATAGAAAACCTGAACAGACTGATAAAAAATCACGATTGAATCAGTAATGAAAAATCTCCAAAGAAAACTCCAAGACTGGATGGTTTTACCAATGAATTCTACTGAACCTTTAAAAAAGAAATAATACCAATTATTCTCAAACTATTACAAAAAAATGAAGCACAGAGAACTCTTAACTCATTCTATGAGATCAGCATAACCTTAATACCAAAACCAAAGACACAAAAAAAGAAAACTACATGACAATATCCCTGATGAACATAGACACAAAAATCCTCAACAAAATACTAGCAAACCAAATGCAACAGTACATCAAAAAGATAATACATCATAATCAAGTGGGGTTTACTCCAGAGATTCAAGGATGATCCAACATACAAAAATTAATAATGTGATACATCACACCAAAAGAATGTCAAAAACTATGTGATCATAGAAAGAGAGGGAGGAAGGGAGGGAAGGGGAGGGAAGGGATGAGATGGGATGAAGAAGGAAGGAGAAAGAAAGAGAAAGAGAGGAAGGAAGGAAGGAAGGAGAGAGAGAGAGAGAGAAAGAAAGAAAGAGAGAAAGAAAGACAGACAGAAAGACGGACGATGCCTATAAAGTCATTTGCCTGAGGTCACTCTGCTAGGAGCAGAATACACACAGAATCCGAGAACTTCAAAGTCTTTGCTCTTTCCACCAAACTACAGTCTATGCTCTTCACACAGGTCCCAAGGCCACCCAATTGCCAGTAAAAACTTTTTCACCTTTTAAAAATTTAGGATTAGGCTTTAACATTAACTTCTAAATGTATCAAGTTTAACATACAAACAGTACAACTGCTGTTAGGGGCCATTAATTTTACTAATTGAACATCAGCAAAAATTTCAAAGTACTAACAATATGAAAGAATACCAGGATAGCCATATAATACCACTTTTATAAAGGATTTTTAAATAGAAGAGTATACTAATGTGTCTGCTAAGGTAAATCTTTAACAATAATGGTGGATACATCCCCATACCCTGCAAATCCTGAAACCTGCAATGCAGCTATAATATACACTGTTGCTCAGAACCTGAAGCAATGATTTACACCACAGGAGTTACCACAAACTCAAAGTCAAATTGCAAAAACAAAGCCACACTGAGATGGGGCTGCTAGACTGATGGACTATGTGAACAGGTCCCACATACTGCCCTCCCAAAACTCTCAATCCAATTGTTGCATGTAAGATTCAAATTCATGTTCCAGCAAAATTATAAATTATTAGTAAATGGAACTTTAGGGTTGTGAATTACGAGAAGGATAAATGTTAAATCTGCCAATCATAGAATCCAGCATACTAGGAATATAAAAAAAAGATTATAATTAGTCCATCAAACTTAACATACTAGCTATCAGTAGTACTAAAAGAAGTTGGTTATATAGAGGAGCTATGCTTTTTTTCCTATGAACATAAAAATATTCCCTTCAAAAGCTAATGTGGGCTGGGCATGGTGGCTCATGCCTATAATCCCAGCACTTTGGGAGGCCGAGGTGGGTGGATCATCTGAGGTCAGGAGTTCGAGCCCAGCCTGGCCAACATGGTGAAACCCTGTCTCTACTAAAAATACAAAAATTAGCCAGGCGTGGTGGTGGGCACCTGTAATCTCAGCTACTCGGGAGGCTGAGGCAGGAGAATTGCTGGAACCCGAAGCTAATATGAATGTTTCAATTATGTACATATCTAAATGTGAATTGCAAATCCACTAACATCAGAATAATAAGAATGGGGAGGCCGGGCGCGGTGGCTCATGCCTGTAATCCCAGCACTTTGGGAGGCCGAGACGGGCGGATCACGAGGTCAGGAGATCGAGACCATCCTGGCTAACACGGTGAAACCCCGTCTCTACTAAAAATACAAAAATTAGCCGGGCATGGTGGCGCGTGCCTGTAGTCCCAGCTACACAGGAGGCTGAGGCAGGAGAATGGCGTGAACCCGGGAGGCGGAGCTTGCAGTGAGTCGAGATCGCGCCACTGCACTCCAGCCTGGGCGACAGAGCGAAACTCCGTCTCAAAAAAAAAAAAAAAAAAAGAAAAAAAAAAAGAATGGGGAGATGATGATGTAGCTTTAAAAAGTGTACTCAATATTTTAACTTGCTTTTGATTAAAAAAATTTTTTAATACAGATTACTGCGATGGTATAAATTGTTATGTTTCCCAAAAGCTGCAATCGTTATTAATGGGTAAGATACTGTAACTCAGCCTTTTTTAAACGTAATGAAGTCTGTTAGAGTAATAGCTGAGAAGCATATAAACTAGTGTAGTTTATATAAATAGTACCTACTAAAGGAGCTATTATATAGTATTTAACACTAATAATATTTTGATTATGGCTAAATTATTTAAAATACTCATAGATATCAACAAAAAATACTAACTTTAAAATGTTAACAAAGTTTACTCATTCTGGCAGGAGAAGTTCACTTGGAATTAATTTTTTTAAAAATCCTCCCTGAAATTCTTAATTGTTGACAAATTTGCTAAATTTGATAGTGTTCTAAAACGTTTTTCTAGAGCCAAGCATGGTGGCTCACACCTGTAATCCCAGCACTTCGGGAAGCCAAAGACAGTGGATCACTTGAGTTCAGGAGTTTGAAACTAGCCTGGGCAACATGGCAAAACCCTGTCTCTAAAAAAACAATACCAAAAATTAGCAAGGCATCATGGCATGTGCCTGCAGGCCCACCTACTAGGGAGGCTGAGGTAGGAGGACTGCTTGAGCCCAAGAGGCTGAGGCTGCAGGTGAGCCATGACTGTGCCACTGCACCCCAGCCTGGGCAACACAGTGAGACTCTGTCTAAAAAAAAAAAAAAAAATCTGAGTAGCAACTGAAAAATTTTCATCCAATAATAAAAGATGATATACTGCTTGAAAATATAGATAGGTAGCTATAAAAGATGACGTATCTGCTATATCTTGATATCTTATTACTATATCAGTTGAAGATACGCAAAAAAGTACTTATTTTATACTCATAACTTTTTTTTCTGGAATTTCATTCAAAAGCAGATCCTCAAATAGCATTTCACAACGATCAGCAACTGTGTTCAATATATCCCTCTTTACTGCCTACAGGGAAAAACACACAAAAAACACAGTAAGAAATAAAATACTTTAGATTTACAATATTTAACTAACAAAAAAAATAATTTGCTTTCCAGTACAATCATGCCCACTAAATAACTGATACATCATTCAATGTTTTATTTCCACTTATTTAGCACACTTATTAACAAATTTATAGTTTAATGATAAATTTATCTAAATAGTTAAAAACAGATAAATGAATAAAATTTCACATCTAAAAAAATAATTGCAGTGTTCCAAATTAGATACTAATATGTATAACAGTGGAACACTTACTAAACTTGTATAGCCATCATTTTTAAAAAGGCACAAAATAGATACTCTACATATGAAAATCTTCACACCAATTATATGGTACATTTGGACTGCACAATAGGCCATTATCAGTTAAAATCGAATTAATAATTACAAAATATAAGATTAAAAAATGGTAAAATTTTAGGTTTTTGTTAATAGTTAACATGGTTCCATATGCTCGTTATTCCTTTTTGTACCTGCACAGCATCTTTAACTTTGGGTTTACTGCTGTGGATATAAGCTCTGCATTTCACAGCACCCTTAAGGTTTACAGAACCGCTACATATCTGGACTGTGGCTGTGGATCTGTGGTCTGAATTCAGGAGCTGAAAGACAAAATCTGTTTAAGTTCTAATAACCAACAATGATTAACTACAGGAAATATTTAAACATTATATTAGCGATTTTATGAAGAGAGAACAAAGTTTTGACTGAGCCAAGCATTTGAAATTATTCTCTGCAAATTATTTAAAGGCCTTCATATTTGTTTTTATAAGTTATATATTATTTTCCAGTCATTTTGAAGATATAATGAAATTAAACACAACTACATCTAAATTTTTCTAACATAACCATCTAAAATGGTTCAATATTCACTCGATATGCTCCTAAAAATATATTATTTGCAAATTATTCACATCAGTACTGTGATGATTAAAAGATATACAAAGAAGATATGATGTACTAGATATAAGTTGTGCAATGCAAAATAAGTTCACAATAACAAATACAAAGTGGGATGTGATAACTATGGTAAAACTACAAGCAATGCACAGACACATATATTTACACACTTTCAACCAAAAACTTTCATAGACTAGTCCCATCCTCTTTAGTCTAAGGAATGCCAGTGCTCTTGTTCGGTTTTCAGGTGTTTCACATATATTTTCAACCCCATCATCTTAATAAGTGCCAAAAACAAGGACAGTATCAAAATAGTTAAAGTACTACAGGTTGAGCATCCCTAATCTAAAAATCCTGAATGCTCCAAAATCCAAAACTTATTGAGCACCAATGTGATGTTCAAAGGAAAAGGTAATTGGAGCATATAAGATTTTAGATTTTTGGCTTAGAGATGCTCAACTGGTATGTATTCTGCAAATATTACAAAATCTAAAAAAAATCCCAAACCCAAAACACTTCTGGTCCTAAGCATTTCAAATAAGGCACACTCAACCTGTAATAGAGGCCTATAATAACAGTGGAAACAAAAAATAATGATTTACAAAAAATAACCAAAAAATGGAAATGGTAAGGAAGTAATTTATGTTCTAAGAACACTTGGAGTATAAGTCATTCAACAACCAAATCAATTCTGAAGAACAAAAGTCAAATCATACAACTTGTGAAAAGTGCTTTGTGCCTATGTGCTTATGCAATCAGGAATAAATGCGGAAAAATAATGAAGAGGAGAATACTGACATGCATAGCTATTGAAAGAGCATTATTGATGTCTAGTGTAATTCAAGCAATGTCTAAGGCAATGTAAATCTTCTAGGTGTTGTTAAACAATTTAAACTTTAAGATGGTCAAGGACTTGTTGACAAAAAATTTGCCACAGACCACACAGCTCCAAAGGTCCTGGGTCCATTCAAAAATGGCTATCATCAAACCAAGCAGCAGTGTGACGATGCTGATACAATGTCTGGAATAAGCTTCCATATGACACATGTAGAGTTCATTGATACATCAATAAGGTGGGGTTGGAGGAGGAGTAACAGGCTTCCCCTATCTACTCCATAACTTTTTATTGTAGACAAAACTACTCTAAAAAGAATGTCCTATTTTACATATTTAACATATAATTTATATATTTTTAACATATAACACATTTATATATTAGTATATGTAAATATATGTGTATGTGTGTATATACATATATCTATCTATCTATCTATCTATCTATCTATCTATCTATAATTATGGCATTGTTATCCAAAACAGACTAGACTATTAAAGACTATACACACACATATTAAAGAAAAGAGGTATTTTTTTGGTTGGTTGGTTAGTTTTATTTTGTTTTGTTTGAGGCAGGGTCTTGTTCTGTCATCCAGCCTAGAGTACAGTGATGCTATCAGAGCTCACTGCAGCCTCAAGCTCCTAGGCTCAATCGATCCTCCCACCTTCGCCTCCCAAGTAGCTGGGACTACAGGCACACACCATCACCCCCAGCTAATTTTTGTATTTTTTTGTAGAGACAGGGTTTCACTTGTTGCTCAGACTCATCTTGAACTCCTAGGCTCAAGCGATCACCCTGCCTAGGCCTCCCAAAGTGCTGGGATTACAGGCATGAGCTACCATGCTCAGCCAGGAAAAGTTTTAAAGAATGTAAGGTCTGACTCATTCCTTTTAGGTGGAAATGTAGACCAGTTGGGGTCTACAAATGTAAACTCCTCTTGGTTATTTGGACTTAGGAATAACCTGGCTGCCAAACAGCCTATAGGTGAGGGAACTTCTATGATGCTGACATGGCATTTGAAAAAGAGAAGATCCCCATTTCTATGGGAACCAAATGAAATCTTACACAAGTAGTGGCATTTGGGCTAGATCTTAATGTACAGATAGGATTTTGACAGTTTGGGTGACAGAGAAAAGAGCAAAGACATGATACATAGTTCAGGAAATACAGAGCTTTAAAGGTATGGCAAGCATACATCTAGAAAATAAGAGGTAGAAAATAAGAACAAAAAGGTATGCTGAGGCTATGAAGAACCCTGAGTTGGACTTCTCTAACTAGTCAGTACAGAACACTTAAGAAATTTTGAGCAAGGAGTACCATAATCAGTGTCCGGCTGTTGTACAAACTCAATAAATACTTCTTGAAAAAAATTAATAACTGAACATAAACTATGATTCAGAAATGATCATCTGAGTGTATAAACAGGATAGAGTAGATAAATGGAAAGTATTTCAAGAGATATACTAACAAAGGTAGAAGGGATTTAGAGAAACAATCACTTTGGACAAGAATGTATAGATGAAGAGAGACCAGTTAAGGGCTACTTGTGCTAGTTTAGGTAAAATAATACTGTTGTAAGGCTAATGACAGCAGGACTGTATGGAAAATAAAAGAAAAGCTTAATACTACAAATAAGGAATCAATAAGACTTAACTGGGAGAAAAGTGGCAATAAATACTTACTGACTACTTACTGTATATTAGTCACTTCAAAATTTCCAGTTAGGTGATCGGTGGAGTGACTACCAAAAATATATTATACTATATAATATTATTACTACACCTGGCCAGGCGCGGTGGCTCACGCCTGTAATCCCAGCACTTTGGGAGGCCGAGGCAGGCGGATCATATGGTCAGGAGATTGAGACCACCCTGGCTAACACAGTGAAACCCGTCTCTACTAAAAATACAAAAAATTAGCCAGGTGTGGTGGCAGGCGCCTGTAGTCCCAGCTACTCAGGAGGCTGAGGCAGGAGAATGGCGTGAACCCAGGAGGCAGAGCTTGCAGTGAGCCGAGATCGCACCACTGCACTCCAGCCTGGGAGACAGAGCGAGACTCCGTCTCAAAAATAACAATAATATTACTACTACAATAAATTATCTCATGAGATTATCTTCCACTCATCTCTCTATATTCCCACACTCTATACATCTCCCAACTACAATTTTATACTACTAATAAAATAATCTTAACCAAATTGTTTAATAAACCATGAAGTAAGCCTAACTAGTGAAAAGCACATAAGTAGTGGAATAGCCAGCCTCAAAACAAAGGACACTTCTAAAATCAAGACAAAGTAGAAAATCAGAGACTAAAATACCTCTAAGGTATTGAAAAATGAAATTGAGAACTCACATTGAGTGGCATAGGCCCAAAGACAATTTACTAATGCGCTATTGCTACACACAGAAAAAGAAGAAACTAAAACATCCTCAAATGCCAAATTGCTTTTAATTCTATTCTATTCAGTTCAAAAAAACACAAGTCCTGAGAGTATTTCTGTTTCAAAATCCAGTATAATATTGAAATAAAGTTTCCTACAAACACGCGTTTGCTATTTTATACCCTTGTCTGTTCTTTAGGATAATTTCAAGTAGGATTAAAATCAAAGGTATGTATTTTTAGGAATAATTAGTGGCTTTAACTTTTTATTCTTTAAGATATCCAACTTTTAAATTTTCGAAAAGACGTGTAAATTAAAGCAACCATACATAAATATAAAACTTGCTAATTAATACTTTGTGATTTTTATCAAATCAGGGGGTATAAATCTAATTAATCTACTTCAAAATAAGCATATGACAACTCTTTGCACCTCTGTGTACACATCTTTTAAGTTGTTAAAATTGCAACTTTAACTATAAAAGCTACAACCCAAAATATGTACACATACATACATGTATATGTATGCATGTATGTGTACATATTTTTTTAAACTGCTATCTATTGATGTTAAAATTTTAATATCCTTGAGGCAAAAAACCCAAACAGGTTTTATTAAAATGATGTTTCTTGGGAATAACCTTCCTATAACCAGCCATTTCATACAGTCTCTTACAGCTCTAAAATCCTTTTATTCTCTAATGAGAAAAATAAAAACAGAAACAGTTTCATTATGGTTATGCTAATAAATATTTTAAGTGTTATTTTAAAATATTTACCAACTGCGTTAGCACTCTGACATCAAAAGAATGACTAGTTGCTTGAGTATTTCCTCTAGAAGATTTTTTCTGAAAAAACACAAAAGTTAAAAAGCCAAACTGTGAAGCCTGTAAAACATAAAAGACAACTTATAAACTATTGTACATATACTAAGTAACTTAGAAAAAAACAAGTCTTTTAATTATTTTAATTTAGCTTTTTATATAGATATTACTTTATGTATTCTGTATCAATGTACACTCTTTAAAACAATTAATTCCATACTTTCATTCCTCTAAAGCAACAACTGGCAAACCACTGCCTGTGGGCAAATACCCACATTGCCACTCATCTTTGTAAATAAAGTTTTACCGGTATGCAACCAGGATCATTCACTTATGTATCTCCTGTAGCTGCTTTCATGCTACACAGTAGAGATAAAAATACAGCCTGTGAAATCTAAATATGTAGTATTTTTCTCTTCACATAAAGTTTGCTGATCCCTGCTTTAAAAAGTGAGAGATCACAAAAGTTCCGCTTCCTTCAGGTCAAAGCTATTTTAGAAGCCTCTATAAACCTCTTTTATAAAATGGCCATAGCTTTTGAACTGTCATCAGGGCAGAACAACATGTGGCCTTTGGTTGCAGGTCAGCAGTTTACAATTTGGAAATCAGATGAAATTCAGATGACACTCCTGTAAAGTTTCAGGATTCCAATTACATCATTTTCTTTTTTTTCCTGGACTTATTTTTTAACTTTTAAGTTCATGAGTACATGTGCAGATTTGTTACACAGATAAACTTCAGTCATGGGGGTTTGATATACGGATTATTTCATCACCCAGGTATTAAACCTAGTACCCATTATTTATTTTTCCTGATCCTCTCCTTCTCCCTCCTTTTAGTGTGTGTTTTTCCCCTCTATGTGTCCATGTGTTTTCATCATTTGGCTCCCACTTATAAGTCAGAACATACGGTATTTGGTTTTCTGTTCCTCTGTTAGTTTTCTTCTTTTCCTTTTCTTTTATTTTGAAATGGAGTCTTACTCTGTAGCCAAAGGCTGGAGTGCAGTGGCACGATCTCGGCTCAATGCAACCTCCACCTCCCAGGTTCAAGCCATTCTTCTGCCTCAGCACCCCGAGTAGCTTGTGCTTACAGGCACCTGCCACCACACCCGGCTAATTTTTGTTATTTTTAGTAGAGACAGGGTTTCACCATGCTGACCAGGCTGGTCTTGAACTCCTGACCTCAAGTGATCTGCCCACCTTGGCCCCTCAAAGTGCTGGGATTACAGGCATGAGCCACCACGCCTGGCCCCTGCCTCCCAAGTAGCTGCAATTACAGGCACCTGCCACCAATGCCCAGCTAACTTTTGTATTTTTAGTAGACACAGGGTTTCACCATGTTGACCAGGCTGGTCTCAAACTCCTGACCTCAAGTGACCCACCCACCTCGGCCCCCCAAAGTGCTGGGATTACAGACATGAGCCACCATGCCTGGCCCCTGCATTCGTTTTCTAAGGATAAAGGCCTCCAGCTCCATCCATGTTCCTGCAAAGGACATGATCTCGTTCTGTTTTAATGGCTGCACAGTATTCCATGGTGTATATGTACCACATTTTCATTATCTAGTCTGTCATTGATGGGCATTTAGGTTGATTCCATGTCTTTGCTATTGTGAATAGTGCTGCAATGAACATAATGCATGCATGTGTCTTTACAATAAAACAATTTATATTCCTTTGAGGGTATAGCCAGTAATAGGATTGCTGGGTCAAATGGTATCTCTGTTTTTAGGTCTTTGAGGAATCAACACACTGCCTTCCACAATGGTTGAACTTATTTATACTCCCACCAACGGTTTATAAGCATTCCTTTTTCTCTGCAGCCTTGCCAGCATCTGTTATTTTTTGACTTTTTAATAACAGCGATTCTGACTGGTGTGAGATGGTATCTCATTGTGGTTTTCATTTGTGTTTCTCTACCGATAGTAATGCTGAGTTTTTTTTCATACGATTCTTGGCTGCATGTATGTCTTCTTTTGAAAAGTGTCTGTTCATATCCTCTGCCTACTTTTTAATGAGGTTGTTTTTCTAAGAAAAACATTTGCCTTTTACTTTAAATCAGAAATCAGAAATGAGAGGTAGATGAAATCAGTTTTCTTGTAGGCAAGGACTAAAAATAAGTCATGTTTTATTTTTCCTTAAGCACTAACAATTTAATAAGATGATTTTCTCTTAACTTACCTGTCCTTCTAATAGGTCACAATCTTCATCTTTAACTTGTCCATTAATCAAATAAACACCATTTTCTATTTCCTTGGCCCAGCGTGTAAGTCCATTCTTAACAGAAACACAACATGGAAATCTTTCAGATACAATGCCATCTCAATTAAACTTCCTATAATCTACTTTGTTCCACCTAATAAATTGAAATATTAAAATCCCTAAATCTCATTACTGCAGCATTTAAATCTAGTTTCACAAATTAAAAAAAAGTATACCCCCATTCTTGATACCTTATTATATTTAATAATAGTTATTTTCTGATCTTTATCCCAGAATAACATTTATGTCACAGACTCAGGAGGTTATTAAGTACATGATCAGTTAAATAAAATTTAATGCCCACTACCTTAAAAAAAAAAGTGAGAAAAAAGCATCAAATAAGTCTAAAAAATAAAAAAAAAAAGCTCTATTTGACATCTTCAATGGGAAAAATGAAGAAAAATAAGATAAAAATAAAAGAATGGTATAGAAATACAAAAAAGAACTGGAAAAAGGAAGACAAAAAAACCTAAGTACTAAGAGAAAGCTAAAAGTCCAAACAGTATAGCTTCTTACATTAATTACATTTTACATGTTAATTAATGAATACTGTTATATTTAGTTTAATGACAAAGCACATAATAATACTTAATCAGCACATAATAAGTACTAGTATATTTAGTCTAACAACTAAATTATTAGTTATTATTAAACTGAATATACTAGTATTATGACATTGTTCCACTTCTAAAAATTTCTAAAAATTTCTAATTTGGCTGCGGTAATAAGTTACTCACATAACAACATTGTAAGCAGAATGTAATTTTTGAGGATTGTAAAATGAATGACACATGTAAGCAGAATAAAAGCAGATTGTTCACTCAGCAATCACTGAAGAAAATTCATTTTACCCTGGTACCTTTGTATTTTTCTCCAGAGTATAGCTGACAGAAGTAGCAGAAAGTGGGATGTGAATATTAATGTGAACTGTACACTCTAAAGAAAGCCATGAGGATGATAATCCACTTTGATACTTCCAATCTGCTGGTCTTGCTGAACTCTAGCAGTGGAGAAGGGAGAAAAATAACTATGATGTAGTCTAGATAAAATACATGGATCAACAAAACATTATTAAATATACAACCTAAATAACGCATACAAACTCATATCTAACATATATGGCTAAACCCTTGATCAAAAGACTATAGGTTGAACTAAACACAAAATAAAGCATGTGTTAAGTTCAGTACTCTTCAATACATCCTTGGCAATACTTCTCCTCCCAATGGTAGGCAGAAAAAGAATCAGAAATTTCCATGTTTAGAATTCTGAAAGGTCCTTTGATCCTCTAGCTTCAACAGTATCAATACTGAAGATTCTGATCTGAAGCAAATAATCACTGAGCAACTCCTAGGTGGCAGGCATTCTCCTTTCTGTCCCATCCTTGCTAATGACACTGCAAAGTTACTTTTTCACAACCCTTTTAGATGCATTAGCAAAGTGCTAATCTGGGTTTTGCTGAATACACATAGCTTGTTTAATAGGCAGTGCAGCTACCAAAAGTCCTCAGTCACTTTTACTACCAGCCTCTCAAATATAAAACTAAATACACAAACAAGGTAGGAGGAGATTAACAAAGATATTTTAACAATTTTTTAAAAAGTTGGCTGGCCGTGGTGGCTCAAGCCCGTAATCTCAGCACTTTGGGAGGCGAAGACAGGCAGATCACTTGAGCCCAGAAGTTCAAGACAAACATAACTAACATGGTGAAACCCTATCTCTATCAAAAAAAACAAAAAACAAAAAACAAAAATAATTAGCCAGGTGCAGTGGTGCACATCTATAGTCTCAGCTACTCAAGAGGCTGAGGTGGGAGGATCCCTCGAGCCCAAGAGGTGGAGGCTGCAGTGAGCTATGACTGCATCACTGCACTCTAGCTTGGGCAAGAGAGTGAGACCCTGTCACGCACAAAAAAGTTTTCCTTATCTGTAATAAAATTAATCATATTTCAAAATAAAAACTACAGTTGTTTGTAGGCATCAATAGGAAGTGATGGCAATGGAAATTATTAAAACTAAATAAAAGCTGAATTTTGATTGAAAATACTTTGTGACACAGAAAAATCTTTAAAGAGTAAATTTCTTACCTTTGGATCATGGATATCATAAGTTCGACAAAATATTCTTCACTAATTAAGGACAGAAATAACCAAAAAAGGCATTATTGGTAACTAAAAGAATATAAACTATCAAAAAATAAACTAAAAAATGCACGCATCCAAAAGTTCTTACAAAATCATAACACTTTAAAGATATGCGTACATATATGTACATGTGTGCATATATATACATATGTGTATATATAATCATACATACAAACTGCTATCACTATAGTACTTGCGGTGCTTGAAAATCATTTCCTACCTTTTATGAATCCCGCTAATTGCAATAAATAGAATCAAAGCACTCGTGAGATTCTTCTCAAATATACACTCTCCATAAGAAAAAGTACCACTGTTTTATATGAGGTCAAACCTGAGACTATTTATTGGATTAAAGGGCTTGTATATGAAACTTTGCAGTTAAATACTAAAGATTTTTTTTGTTGTTGTTAAAAAAAAAAAAAGCCCTGCTTCTGCAGGAATGGTCACTTTTAAAATTCTGTCTTTGGAAGTCCATGGATCGTGTCACTCCTTTGGTGAGGATGACCCTTGCTTGGGAGGTACTCTTGCCCTGGTAAGAGGCCGTGTAACTGGCTTTTAGTGTCATTTCATCTTAGCCAAAGACATAAGAATTTCTCCGATGTCCTATACCATCCAGCTCTGTGCACCTGTGCTTTGAATTGTACATCCTTATCTATAGAAACTGGAGGTGAAAACTTTAACATAATAAAAACATTACTTTGCCTAAGCCATCAGTTAGGCATTTATCTCTGTAGGGAATCTGCTGTGCTTGGATGTACAGGGCAGATAGCTGGTAAAAAATTCAGAATCCTGAGTCTTTCATATTACAGATCTCAAGCTTTTTATCACCTTGGGACATGATTAACAACCATTATTGCTATTATTATTATTGGTGGCTCTAATTCCATGTTATTTACAGAAAAATCTTACAAAACTATGCCTATTTTTTAAATGATGATTTAAATAAATAGCAAAAAAACCTTGCAAGAATATTATTTTGGTACTTTGTACTTTTAAACCATAAACTGAACAAAAGATACTTTTTTGTAGAAGCACAAATGTGAAGTGTCACTCGTTCTGAGACTTCCTCCTCTGTGAAATTCCACAATCTCTTTCTATTTATAGACTTTTCCACAGCAAACATTAGCTGAAAGAGAGAAAAATACACACTAATTGAATGTAAAATGAAAAAAAAAGATGAGTGTTGAAATAGGCAATTATAATGTCCCCAACTCTCATTTAGCTTTAAAATTCCATGATTCTTTATTTATTGGAGAAGGGGTCTCACTATGTTGCTCAAGCTGGCCTTGAACACCTGGGCTCAAGTGATTCTCTCACCTCAGCTTCCCAAGTAACTGGGACTACAGGTGTGTGCCACCATTAATTTTTCTTTTCTTCAAATTAAAGACTGGAGCTAATTACTAACATTTTTGAATTCCTTTTAGGAAATTACAGAAAAATTGGGTTTAAATAAAAAAATTTAATTCACTATCATTAGAGATTAACTGGACACAAAAAATTAATTTGGGGCAACTAGAATTTATATAAACTATAGAACAGAGACTTTAATTAGAATGAGAAATGATAAGTGATTTTAACTAAAGAAATCAAGCATGTCACCCATTTAGCATTTCTTATTTAAACGTCACACAAGACTTAAGGCAATATATAACAACATATAAAATATAGTAATAACAAATTGAAAGTTAAAGTAGAATAGTGAGATAAATTTGTGTCAGAAATAAGAATTATAAAAATGCATACTTGATGTAAGGGGTGGTAATACATTTCGGTCTAAGCTTTCTAACAATAATGTGCAGAGAGAAATCTAATCTGTAACCTAATTCACATGGTCTGTAAGCTAAAAACAATCATCAGAGGAGGCACAACCTTCTTCATAATATAAAAAGAAATTCTTCCGGAAACACAATATTAATGTAATATGATGAATAAAGTCCTTAACAATAATGGGTGACACTGACAAGTTTTATAAGGCTGTTTCTTGTAGTGTTTGTCAGTGTAGCCAGTGGAAACAATTAGATAATTGAAACTCAGTAATGTCAGAGATAAAGCATTTCTAAAGTTTTATATACTTTTTAGGAACAAAAGATACAAAAGCAAGGAAAGTGGGCCTGGCTGTATCTCTCTAGCACTGGGCCCACATTCAACCCCCTCAATTCAGCACCAGCCAAAAAAGGTTGCACAATGAATGCTATTAATATTAAATACGCATAGATTTCGGTTAAATTTCAAAATGCCAAAGAGAATGAACAATTGTAAACAAGGTAAATTTATTTAAGATGGAAAAGTTGGCAGAGGGTTAAACAATTTAGCAGGGAGGAGAATATCTCCATTTTCTTCCCTTACTCCCTTAGGTGCAAATATCAAAGGCTTGAGGCTGGGACATCTGACAGGACAGGTTACAAGACTGAAAAAATCTGTAACATCTGAAGTTCTCAGCTGTATATTTTTTACCTAAAAAATGTTTTTCTGGGATACTGTTGGGGTTGGGTTTTATATGTCTCAAGATTTTAAGGTTCCCCCTCTTTTGGGGTATGAAATACCCTTCAAAAAGTTCATGTGGATCCTGAATGCTAAAAGAGCTGGCTACACAGAATCTACCTTAGGTTTGGGTTTAAGGGAAAACAGCATGTGGACCTTCATATTTACTTTTACACTATGTTACCCAATTCTCTGGTGCAGCAATTAAGCAAAAAACACAGGAGATTTCTGATAGATACTGTGTCCAGGAATAATCTGATTGTTTATGTTTTACTCTCAGGATCTCCGGAGAATTGAGAAGAAGGTAAAGAATTTCAGCACCTATTAATTTCATGTTACAGTAATCACTAGGTACTAAATGGAAGGTGTGACAGAATACTGCTATTGCATAAGAAAAACTGTTTAAAGCATTATAATTTGTTTCCTAATAGTCAGAAATTACCTCTAAAATAAAGATTATTTTAAAATATGTAGTTTTTCTGTCAAAAAGAATTACTTCCACAAAGATGCCTTTTTTACAACAAATTATTAGATCCAAGTGACTTTGAGTTCTTAATATTATAATTAATCATTTGAATTTTTCAATATTTTACAATGAATTATTTGTTTGCATAATTTACATGGAATTACTGTCATTAGTCATGGTTATTATTGAGAAGTAAATAATTTAACTTTTTAACTTGAGGAAAGAATAGCTTTTTCAAATTTGTATGAAATGCCATATGGGCTGATGATAGCCCTGTTTTGGGTAGTGTACTAAATAAAGAATAAAATTACCCATGGAAAAAATAATAAATAAAATGTGTAGTTTTTAAAAATATAAACATTTTTTACACTCAAGATATCCAAGCAATTGAGTGACAAAAGCTTTTTCAATGTAACCCCAACAAAAAGAATTATGGAAAACAAATGTAAATATGCCTAGAATCATTACACATACTCATAATCAGTAAAAATAACATATAACTGATTTCATTAAGAATTTTCGATATATCAAACTTACTCTACGCAGGGCATTTTGAAAATCATTTGCCAGTTCTAAAGTAGTAATAATAAATACTCCAAGAACTAAAAGTCCCCCTGGTAGCATTCTGGATACCTAAAAATAGAAATATATTATTAGCTAACAAATTGGCATTATATGCAATCCTTTCTGTTTGAGAAACTGTCTGCTTAGCATGTCCTTAGCTTTTCACCTTAAAACTACTTTATAAATAAAACTATCTGATAACAACATCCTTTAGCTACATCAATAAATAAATCCTTTTCTCAGGAGATCAAAGACTGAAATATTTTTTCAATGGCGTCCCACCATCAGCTAAATAAAATGAAGTTTTATTTTAGATTGATATTTCAGACTTTCTAGGATCTGGTCAATGATGTTTATACCCTCATTTGACACTACTTTTCCTCAAGTAATTCAAATATTTGTCAAAAACTACTTGAAAAGTAGTGTCAAATGAGGCTATAAACTGTTTTCCATACACATCCTAGGCTTTCTAACTATGTGTCTTTACTCAGGGTGTTCCCTAGGCCGAAACTGACTTTTTCTTATACTTCTGCATGTCTCAACCCTACTGGATACTTCAAAGGCAGCTTGAGGAAGCTGCCTTCTCTGATCTTTTCATCTCTGAACTCCGACAGGGCTTTGGTGTAGTTTTCCCATGGATTTTATCACATAGTCTTATATCATAGTTATCTGTGAACCCTACTAGTTGGTCAGGGAGCTCCTTAAGGGAATAAGTAATTCTACCTCTGTATCCCTATTTTTAGCAGCATACTAGATCTGGAATTTGAACAGAGGGAGTCTGACTTGAAAATCCATTATTTTCTATTGCATAGATTAACCTCAAATTTTTAAGCCCACTTACTGATACTGGGCATCTTTGCTATATCTAATTTTACCTTAAAATAATATTGATTAAAAATCCTAGTACATCTTTCTGCATTCATAGAATTATTTGTTTAGGACAAATCCCTTGAGGTGGATAACTGGTTTAAGAAGTTATACATATTTTTAAGGTTTTTGATACATACTACCATGATATCTCCATATCTGTATTTCCCTTCACATGATTGTGGCTAGTTCTTAATACCACATGGATTTTTTTCTATCATCTACACTCAGAGATTAGAGTGTTTTGGTTAGCTTTTGATTACTTAATGTACAAGCAATCAATCAGAGTACAGTCTTAGAAAATTAGGTACCATGCTCTAATCCTTAATCTACTTGCACTATGTCTTTCGGTGTTTTCCTCTGATTTAATAAATTCTATTTACTATAGTAGCACAATTCTGACAAATAAAGTTTTCATATTTAGCATAAGGAGCCTGCATATCTTTTCAAAATCACCAACACAAAAAAGTAACCATTTTTTAGGAGATGGAGGTGAGAGCAAGAAAGGGGAAAAAGTAAAATTAACCTTTTCTTTCTAGAGGTAAAAGGTTAAGCTAATTTACTATATAAATTCATTAATATTCTGTGTGTGTGTGTGTGTGTGTGTGTGTGTGTGTCATATACAATTTTATGAGAGACCAAAAGCAAAATTAGAGTAGAAAGTTATTTACAAACCATTGGGAATTTAACTTTACATTACTTAATATTTTCTTTAGAAGATAGTTGCCATGTTTGTCCCCTTAAACACCATGTTGAAATGTGAACCCAAGTGGGGCCTAATGGAAGGTGTTTGGGTCATGGGGCAGATCCCTCATTAATGGCTTGGTTCCATCCTCAGAGCAGTGAATGAGTTCTCGCTATATTTGTTCCTACGAGAGCTGGTTGTTAAAAAAAAAAGCCTAGCACCTCCCAACCCCTTGCTTCCTCTCTGGCCCAGTGATCTTTACACACCAGCTCCAATCTGCCTTCTGACATGAACAGAAGCAGCCTGAGGCTTTGACCAGATGCTCAATCTTGCAGCCAGCAGAATCATGAGCCAAACAGGCCTTTTTTTCTTTATAAATTACTCAGTCTTAGGTATTCCTTAATAGCCACCCAAACAGACTAAAACAATAATAATTAAATACTGGATTTCTTCGTTTTGTTTTGTTGAGACAGAGTCTCGCTTTGTCGCCCAGTCTGGAGTGCAATGGTGTGATCTTGGCTCATTGCAACCTCCGCCTCCCAGGTTCAAGCAATTCTCCTGCCTCAGCCTCCCAAGTAGCTGGGATTACAGGCACCTGCCACCACACCTGGCTAGTTTTTCATATTTTTACTAGAGACGGGGTTTCACCATGTTGGCCAGGCTGGTCTTGAACTCCTGACCTCAGGTGATCCACCCACCTTGGCCTCCCAAAGTGCTGGGATTACAGGCAAGATTTTATTTTTTTTTTAAATATAACTACACACTGCTCCATAATCAAACACATACACAGACACAAATATATGTCCATATATATATATATATATATCTACATACACAGAAACACGTTTGAGTTTAAAAGATTTAAAGATTTAAAGTTGATTGGAAAAGGAAATAAATCTTTTATTTATTAAAGAAAATTCTTTTTCTTAAAACAAACAAACAAAAACGCAGAATGTGCAAGTCTGTCACATAGGTTTACGTGTGCCATGGTGGCTTGCTGCACCTATTGACCTGTCCTCTAAGTTCCCTCCCCTCACCCCCAACCCCAGAAAAGGAAATAATTCTATTTTTACCTTATTCTAACATTATTTATTTGATGATATATAATTCATTCAATAAATACTTGTAAGTGAATTAATTTAGTCATTATTCCCACTCACCCATCCCAAATCTGTTTCTTCCTCGTGTAATGCCAACAGTATCCTCCTAGACACCCAGACTAAAAATCTCAGTCATCTTTAGCTACTTTCTCCCTATGTCTCTTCTCTCTACTCATTCACTAAATCTTCTTGATTCTAGCTCTTTTTTGAAATAAAACTTAAACATATAAACAAAAAAATAAGATAACCTGGCAGGCATGTTCTGTGGCCCATTCTTCATCCAAGTTATCCAACTTAGCTTTGGGATGTTTGAGGTTCTCACTTTGCTCCTCTTTGGGTGGCGTTCTAGTGGCAAGAATCACATAATCCTTTTGTGACGAACACTTCAACAACAAATTAAAAAGCTTGTTAGAGTGATATCTGATTCCTCAATCTAATTAGAGTGATACCTAAATTCCTTAGCTTTTATGACATGCAAAAACTGAGTAATATTTGTAACAGGTTAAATCATTAATACCCACATTATAATGGAAGCTAAAGGGAAGCTAATTTTCAAGGATGGCCTTACAATCTTTCCCTCACATGTTGTTTATCTTTTAATGTATTTAATATCAGCTTCTTATTTATTTGGACAACTCAAATGTAAATCATGGAGTGGTCCCTAAAAATGGTTTACTGGATGAGTGAATGAATTACATTAACTAAAAAGTAATATGCTTATTCAGTTTTCTAGTTATATTTGTTTTATAAGTTATAAATGAACAGATCGGAAAATATTAGTAAAATGAAACAACAAGTGACCTTTTGTATCTTATTTTAATTGAAATGATGACAGTAGGGAACTTCCACATACATTTCCACAGAATAACAAAGGGGATTTGGGACACAATTTAAAGTGATACAGATTCTATGTTCCTCAAGTTTTTTGTTTTGTTTTGTTTTTTGTTCTTTGTGTGTGTGTGTATTTATTTATTTATTTAGAGACAGGGTCTTGCTCTAATGCCCAGGCTGGAGTGCAGTGGTGTGATCATAGCTCACTGCAACCTTGCACTCCTGGGCTCAAGCAATCCTCCCCCCAAGTAGTCTCCCAAGTAGCTAGGACTACAGGCTCAAACAATCAGCCATAATGCCTGGCTTTTTTTTTTTTTTTTTTTTACTTTTTTGTAGAGACAGAGTCTTGCTATGTTGCCCAGGCTAGGTCAAACTCTGACCTTCAAGCAATCCTCCCACCTCGGCCTCCCAAAGCATTGGGATTACAGGCATGAGCCACCACACCCAATCTGTTCTTCAGCTGTAATATCAGTTAAGTAGTAACCAAAGTTGGGAGATCTAAAAATAAATGTAGGGGAACATTCAATAGCTCAGTTTCACTACAGTGAAAGTTTCCTATAAAAAAAGAGTGAAAATAACACTGCTAATGCAAGTTAGCATTGTATCTTCCCCACACATGACCTGAAACTCTGATCATTAGTATCATCTTGGGATAGAAAATAAGAGTAACTATTCCTACAGGTTATTTTCAGGAAGTTACATTCAAATAAACACAGGAAAAGAAAGTAGGTCTCAGTTAAGAAGGCTCCTCTTTTCTTCATAAAATGTATAACTTTGAAAAGAAAAAGAAACTGACAGAGACCAGGAAACAGGCAAGCTTAAGAGGAAGGAGAGGAAAAAGTAATGAACTCTGGAAGAAAAAGCACGTAGAATACTGAAAGGAATGAATTGCTCTGTCCGTGAGCAATACATACTACAGCATAAAAAGAGATAGAAGGAAGGCCTTAGGCCGGGCGCGGTGGCTCACGCCTGTAATCCCAGCACTTTGGGAGGCCGAGGCAGGCGGATCACGAGATCAGGAGATCGAGACCATCCTGGCTAACACGGTGAAACCCCGTCTCTACTAAAAATACAAAAAATTAGCCGGGCGAGGTGGCGGGCGCCTGTAGTCCCAGCTACTCGGGAGGCTGAGGCAGGAGAATGGCGTGAACCCCAGGGGGCGGAGCCTGCAGTGAGCCGAGATTGCGCCACTGCACTCCAGCCTGGGCGACAGCGAGACTCCGTCTCAAAAAAAAAAAAAAGAAGGAAGGCCTTAAATTATGAGACACTCATTTGTAAGATGGCAGTTTGCCTGAGCTTTAGAAACAACCTTTATCCAGTTAAGACAAATTTAGAAGAGGGTCTTTCTCCCTGACTTTTTATCTCTACTGATCACATCTTTCTCTAAGACTCTTCTTCTCTTAAATGTTTTAAACAAAGAGAAAGAAAAAAACTTAAATAGAAAACTCCTAACAAAAAGAGCCCCACATTACAACTGAATTAAAAAGAAATTCACACTGTTCTCAAGAGAGGCAGTCTGGCTGTCTAATGAGAGGCCTCACAGAGTGGTGCTACCTGGTTGAACCATGTAGATCTGCCCTCTGTCTTGCAAATTAAGAAATCTGATTTGTAAAAATTCTGAAAATGAGCCTGTCTTTCATGGCTAGACTGACATTGATTAAGTTTATTCAGAATGATGTAGAAAACTAAAATGTCATGAAGGCATCTGAACACTTGAGTCCTCTGGACAGTGTATTCTTTATAAGTAGATAACATGGGGCATCAAATTATAAAAGAAAGTAGCTTGGGAATATGGGTAGAATCAGAATAAGGAAAGTTAATTATGTAATTTGAAGATTCTAAGGCATCAGGCTAAGATATCTAGAAAGAAAATTGTCCCAATAAGAGCTTTATTGGCTAGTAGGCCTCAAAATCAAGTCCTTGGGCCAAAGTGCACTCTCCTGTGTTTGGATGGACACAGTCAGCTTGCCTGTGTGACTCTCCTTTTTTTTTTTTTTTGGCTTTGTACTGCTGACCGGTCCCTCCTGCCGATTAACACGTTCTTCCTTCACTCATAAGAAATCAGTGGCATGGGTTTTAAAATAAGTATCTGAATCTCTGTTCCATTTTGTGTTTTTAAGACTCAGCTCTAAGAGGAAATTAGAATTTGTCTAATTTCCAAATTTTTCCCAATCCCTCTCCCTCCCTATTGATCCAACAACAACAACAAAAAATTCAGTAAGATGGGTACTATAGCTTACAACAAAAATATGACCACTGTTGCCATAAGTCTGATATAAGACAACACAAATTAGAACAGGAATAAAATTTTCAAAAGCTTCTTTTGTAAAGAACTGGACAACCAGATATTAAAAAGATTAGAAGGGAATACAAAACACTTTGGAAAGACAACAAAATGTGAAAAATCTGGTCAATAAACATTCTAATTCTGAAGTTTCCATATTATAAATTACGTTTACATGGTCAAAGGGGAAGGTGTCCTGACGAGCAAAATTGGGCTAGGTTTGTCTACTTCTCCATGTTTCCTCAAAGACCTACTTTAAAGTTACTTCTTCCACATTTCTTCTTCCATCCCCCAATCTTGAGTTTATTATTAAATAGCATCTTTTAACTTTAAATCAACAAGTAATTTTTAAAATAAATTACAGAGTAATTATTTAGTTATAAATGCAGAGTAAAAGATACATACCTGTCCTATTAAAAGGCCAGAGACAAAAGCCTTTCCTTGGAGATTTATGTTTGAAAGATACTGGCCAACAGTCTCTTCTACAATGTAGGTTCTTCCCATTTTTAGGAACTAAAATCTCCTATATCACAAGAAGAAAAGATACAGCATTTAGGTAAAATATCATTTGCAATGTCTTTATCATGGGAGTAGTTTAGCAAGAGAAGTGATACTATCCTGAGGCTATCTCATGCCTTGCAGCAAATACTTATTACATAGTGTATTCCTTCTTGCAAAGTTCAGATGCAGTTCCAGAGTTCTTCTCAATACAATGCAGCAGGAAACAACCACAAATCAACCAGAGTTGACATGAGAGATCAAACCTTTTACTCATACCTGGGATAAGGGAGAGGATACTAAACTAGTAAGCAACACACCAGATTTCTTTTTTTTTTTTTTTTTTTTGAGACGGAGTTTTGCTCTTGTCACCCAGGCTGGAGTGCAGTGGCGCAACCTCGGCACACTGTAACCTCTGCCTCCCAGGTTCAAGTGATTCTCCTGCCTCGGCCTCCTGAGTAGCTGGGGTTACAGGGGCTCACGACCATGCCCGGCTAATTTTTGTGTTTTTAGTAGAGACGGGGTTTCACCATGTTGGCCAGGCTGGTCTCGAACTCCTGACCTCAGGTGATCCGCCCGCCTCGGCCTCCAAAGTGCTGGGATTACAGGCGTGAGCCACCATGCCCAGCCAACACACCAGATTTCTTATTTTAGATCTACTCCCTAGTTGTATTATCTTTGATACTCTATTGCTAAGTCTTGGTGTTCTCATTGCTAAAATCGTAAACATGAATTTCTGAATAGTTCATTAGGAGGTAGAGTCAAATTCATTTACTTGATAAGCATATATGAAAGAACTATACTATTTGCTTAGAAACTATGCTAAGTGGGATAACACAAAGATGAGCAACACAATCTCTGTCCTTGAGCAATACATACTACAGTAAGAGTTATTTAAGTAGATAAATAGCAATACAATAACAACATATAGCTTCTACTTTGTACAACGCATTATTGTAAGTACTTTCCATGTAACATTAATAATTCATAAAACCCCAGGAAGTGGGTACCATTATTATAATCCTCATTTTATAGATGAAGAAACTGAAATGAGAAAAGTTGATTAAATAACTTGCCAAAGTGACAAAGCTGGGTAAGTGGCAAAGGAGGGACTTAAATTCAGACACTCTGGCTCTAGAATCCATGTTTTTCAACACCACGCTCATAATGAGGAATCGTAACCAGTCCTTCAATTAAATCATTACTACGGGTAGCTCTTACTCTGTTTTCCCTCTGGTCTGTGGATGGAAGTCAGTATATTCATTCCCTCTATTGGCTTATGCTCCTTTGATTTGCATTTCTATAGCTTAAAACCAAAGATATTGAATAAAAGAGCTAGGCAATATAATGAATGATTAAATCAAGGAGTTCATAATCAGTGAGGATGAAAATGTAAAAGAGATGATATCCAAAAGAGCTATAAAACAAACAGAGACTGCAGGAACACAGTTACAGTATTTTGAACACTGCAATTTAGGAATCATCATCATTTGGATTCTGTTAAAAATGTGAATCTTATTCAGTACCACAAAGTTAAGGCTACCAGAGATATGCTGGGGTGGTATATCTGATACCAGTAAACTGTCAGTCACAAAACGGTTTTGCATTTTAAAACTAAAGCCCAGAGAATGGATTCAAGTCTGAAATGTCCTACTGGAGGCTGTTTCCTTATTGTTTCAATGAGCTTGTTCAGTTTTGTCTCAAAATACATTAATTTCTTCCTGGCTCTTTTTTTTTTTTGTTTTTTGAGATGGAGTCTTGCTCTGTTGCCCAGGCTGGAGTGCAGTGGCGCGATCTCGGCTCAATGCAAGCTCCACCTCCCAGGTTCACGCCATTCTCCTGCCTCAGCCTCCCAAGTAGCTGGGACTACAGGCACCCGCCACCACACTCGGCTAATTTTTTGTATTTTTAGTAGAGACGGGGTTTCACCGTGTTAGCCAGGATAGTCTCGATCTCCTGACCGTGTGATCTGCCTGCCTTGGCCTCCCAAAGTGCTGGGATTACAGGTGTGAGTCACCATGCCTGGCCTTCCTAGCTCTTTTTTGACAACAATAGACGTGAATCAGATTTGCATATCATTTTTTAGAGACTAAGTCTAGGAATGCTTGTCTAAATATCACTGTTGCCTCTGTGAAGTTAAGGGCTTTTACCTTTTAGTAATGCCTTAAGGTATGCAATTCTATGTATCTACTTTCCTCTATATCATATTATACTCCTTTTCCTTCTGGTCTAATAATTCTTAATTCTTGCAACAAATACAAGTAATTCTAAAGTTATATTTAACCTTTTAACCTTATTTCTTCTAGGGTGTCACCTAGTAGCCATATTAATGTGTAAGAAACTGAATGTAATAGGGAGATGAAAATCTATTCAATTATGAAATCTGATTGAATGTCAGATAAATTTTTCTTTAGTGCTCTTTCAAAATTTTTAAATGTAGTCAACCATACTTTATAAAAGGCAGTACTAAAAATGTATATAGTCAGCTTTCCACATCTGTGGTTTCCACTTCCATGTATTCAACCAACCACAGATTGAAAAATTATTTTTTTAAAGCATGATTACATCTGTATCATTAAAGATGTTTTTTCTTGTCACTATTCCCTAAACAATATAATATAACAACTATAGCATTTACATTGTATTAGGTATTATAAGTAACTTAGAGATGATTTAAGATATGCAAATGCTACACCATTTAATATAAGGAACTGGAGCATCCATGGATTTCATATCCATGGGGTGGGCAGGTGAGAGGGTCCTGGAACCAATGCCCCACGGATACCAAGGGACAACTGTATTTTGCCTTATAGGGTCATAATTTTCCAGAAATGTTGTATATCAGCCAAAGCCTTTGTGGTCCAAGCACTGTGACTGACACAACTCAACCTTTCTGGGCTCTGGTTTCCTAATCTATAAAATAAAGCATTTGAATCCTAGCAGATCTGAAAACCTATCTAATTTTAGGATTCTGTGAATCTAAGTACAGAAAAATCTACATTTCCCAAATGACAGATCAACAGTATGATAATACTGTGGGCTTAGGACATAGCATAATACTTCATATACCAGCAACTTTAATTACAATGCTTATCTAAAAAATATTTTTGGGGAAAAATCAACCTTAAGCTCCGCTGTTGATTTATTTTTCCTTAGTTATTACAAAATATCATAAAATGCTTCCATTTATATTTCTTAGACGGCTTCACAACATGATTCAAAAGTAAGAACTAGAGAAAAAGAATAAATTTCATATAAGAACTAAATCACCAATTCACAGAAGGCCCACGACTGTGGGAACTGCAGAGAGACGACACTGGGAATGCATTATTTACAATGAATAATTTAACAAATTCTTTCATAAGAGTAAACACGAAACAATCTACGGATTGAGCTTTAAAACTACAGAATTATGATCTGGAACCATACAAGTTCTGTTACTGTAGAAATTAACAATGTGTTTAAAAACTTCAGTTACAACAGTTTTCAATTTTAAAAACAATATAATGTTAGGTAACCGTTTCTGCAACGAAAAATTTAAAACATAGGCTACACTCAAAGTGCTACCGGTTTCTTTTAATTCTCCTCCTGAAGAATTAACCCGGGTCCTTAAATTCCCGGGTACTGAATCACTCAGTGCCACCTCCCCACCACCAAAAACCATTTAGGTACGCCGTTTCACACAAGGTAAGTTCGTCAGAAGTGTGTGCCGGAGTGACTGTCCATATGGTTCCAACACTGTCCCTTCCTTTTTCTCTTGAAAAGAGAGCACACACACACACACACACACACACACACTACACTTAGGCTGACTTACCTGTTTTCAGAATGTGCACTCGTGGCAGACAATTACCTCGGACGGTCTCTCCGCCGGAGATGGGGGTTTCGGGCCCAAGTACCAGCCTCTAGGGGCCAGATTCCCTCCGGTCTCAATTCACTGCCACTGAATTCATCAGAAAGCGACCTACTTCCCACACCTCACTTCCCACTCCAAAGCCAGGGACTTGGGAGTCAGGTGGCGCAGATTGATGACGTAAAAGCCCCCCCTCCCTTCCCCGCAGAGCCTCAGCCAAAGCGACTGCGGTCGCCACCCCGCCCCCTTCTGGGCGCCATAGAGAGCGTGGCGGTATCCCGGAGCCTGCCGTCCGGCCCTACCGGGACCGATGCCCTCTAGTGGCTCAGTGTCCAGAAGCCGCCAACGAGGACGATCCATGGCATCCCGGGGCTTTGACGGTAAGGTCACCAGCTCTTCAGGGAGGGCCAAGGGGTGACGAGTACGTATGTGGCGCCACCGTGCGGACAGCGGTTACGGGGCCGAGATAGGAGAGCCAGGGGAGCGGGGAGAAAAACGGAAGCTGAGAGGGCGGTGCAGCATTGGGCTCCCGGAAAAGAATGAGAAAAACACTACATTTCCCAGAGCCCTACAAGGCCTGAAGTGGGTGGAGCTGGAAGCCGGAAAATTGGGTGCGCAAGAGGATCAGGGATAGCCTCTGAGCTCGGGTTCCCAGGGTTCGTAGCTTCCAACGGCTGCGCGCGCACTTCGGTCGCGGGCGGTGAGGTGCTGTTGCTGAAACGCTGCCGCTGAGGGTGGACTCGATTTCCCAGGGTCCCGCCGCGGGAGTCTCCGGCGGGCGGGCGCGCGCGAGCCACCGAGCGAGGTGATAGAGGCGGCGGCCCAGGCGTCTGGGTCCTGCTGGTCTTCGCCTTTCTTCTCCGCTTCTACCCCGTCGGCCGCTGCCACTGGGGTCCCTGGCCCCACCGACATGGCGGCGGTGTTGCAGCAAGTCCTGGAGCGCACGGAGCTGAACAAGCTGCCCAAGTCTGTCCAGAACAAACTTGAAAAGTTCCTTGCTGATCAGCAATCCGAGATCGATGGCCTGAAGGGGCGGCATGAGAAATTTAAGGTGGAGAGCGGTAAGTGAGATGCTCTTTCCGTCCTTGGTTTTGGGCTCGACTCCCGCCCTTTGGGTCTGGTCTTCCCCCATCAAGTTGGCACTGGGTACCGCTCTGTTAACCTCACTTCCTGGGCTCTGTGGATATCCTGAGCCTTCGCTTTCCTGCTCCTTACAGTTTGATAAGAAGCCTTTGAAAAAAAAATCTGAATCTAAGTTCAGTAGCATTTTCTTTGTAGTTAGGGTAGGCTCATACAGGGACGCTTATTTTCCTTCGTCCGGCAGACGGGAAACAGACTTGATAGAGTCTGCGAACCCATCTCTCTAAGCCTAGAGTACCTTATATGTTTTGTTGCACTTCAACTGATAGTGGCTCCGCCCTATTTTCTAGGCACCTGCATTCTAGGCCTTTGCCAAATTGACCACTCTGTGCACTTGTTCTTAGTGTGTGCGTCGTCCCGTGGCTCCAGAACGAATCAGATGTTTACAAAAATGAATATTAGGTGCATAAGAGCGCTGGAAACACAGTGAATGTGCAGTACATAAATTTAATATATCTTGATTTCTCTTAAAAAGTTGGAGTTTGATAGAAAACATTAAAATTTTCTTGTAATTACCTAAAGTAGGCCTTTAAGTAAGAAAGTTACTGACAATAATGGCTTGAACATCCTTGAAAAAAATATGAAGAATATAGTCATTACCATTAGTAAAATACAAACTTCCCGTTAATGTGTTTTGGTTTACCATTTGTTTGGGGAGGTTCATACTGTTCTTGCTAAGTTGACTGGAAATTCTGAACAAGTTTTTACTTCAAAAAAAGTGTAACTGTCAAGCAGAATTGACCTTGAAAATTAGTTCTCTGATCCCAGAGCTGAGTATAGTACATTGCATTCTATTTATTAATTTGCACCATAAATATTGAATGTCTTACATGTTCCTGATACTATGCTGAACATGATATTCAATCCCTTCCCTTGGAAAGTTTACACATTTACTTTTACATATATTTAGTAGTTTTATGCTTTCAGGTAATATCTTGACTACTATAAAAGAAGTCTTTTAAAACAAAGGAGTTTTTTTTTGTCTAAACAATTTTTTCTCGTGTAATAAATACTTTATTTATTAAGCAGTTTACTGATGTCTGGAGAAAATACTAAGATAAATGAGGTTACCTGCCTTGAAGACATTGATTTGTAAAGCCCCTTTTAGGCCTTATTTTTATTTTTTATTTTTTGTCATGTAAGTCGTTTGGAAATGCTTTAAGTCCTTTTCAGTGCTCAGTCTATTTATCTTTACTCAGATTCTCTTATGTGGAGCACAATTCTAATACTGTATCTTAAGTTTTAAAATCAAGGTTATTAGAAATAAATAACAGTATTCACAATGTATGTACATGTGTTTGATTTTGTTTTTTGTTTTTTGCTTGTCTGCTGTAGAACAACAGTATTTTGAAATAGAAAAGAGGTTGTCCCACAGTCAGGAGAGACTTGTGAATGAAACCCGAGAGTGTCAAAGCTTGCGGCTTGAGCTAGAGAAACTCAGTAAGTATTTAATTCATCTTTGTAAGTATTCTCGGAGTATCGAAATCTTCAGAGACTCCTTTATATACTTTGGAAACATTTGCTTACTAAACATGAAAATATTGATTAAGCATCATTGGTTTTTATTATGGTGATATTTTGATTTTTCACTTAGTGGTAAAGATTTTGTGAGAACACAGAATTTAATGGTCAGGAGGTCTGGATTCTTATTCTGATTTTGCTATTAAAATTGCTTTTGCCACATGTAAATCTTAACAGTATCTGATTATTGTTTATAAAATGGTTAGACCCACATGTCTGTCTACCTAGACAGCTTTGTAAATCAAATGAGATAAGAGTTCTTGAAATCTTTTTAAAAAGGTGAAAGCATTATGCAACTAAAGAAGTAGAGAGTGGCTTGTTTTTATGTTGAAGAATCGAAGCCTATTGATTTCATTATATTTATGTTTTAACTCCATTTTTTAATAATTTTTATAAATATCTATGAATCTCAGGATATTTCCCCTTTAAGGCCTAATTCCTATAAAAGATTGATAGCTAATCTCTTTCTTACTTTTCTTACATCATTAAGTTTTAGAAAGTTCACAAGATGTTAAAGATCCTGACATTTCTTAGGAGGATGATATGTCTTGTGCTTTGCTTTTCCCATCCAAGTTCTGACCAGGCCCCACCCTGCTTAGCTTCCGAGATCAGACGAGATGGGGTGCCTTCAGGGTGGTCTGGCTGTAGACTGCTTCTGCTTTAAGAAAGCAAACATCAGAACATTAGGAAAGATCTCTATAAAGGTGTAATTAATTTTTTTTTTCCTTTTTTTTTGGAGACAGAGTCTCACTGTGTTGCCCAGGCTGGAATGCAGTGGTGCAATCTTGGCTCTCTGCAACCTCTGCCTCTTGGGTTCAAGCGATTCTTGCGCCTCAGCCTCCTGAGTAGCTGGAATTACAGGCATGTACCACCAGGCCCAGCTAATTTTTGTATTTTTAGTAGATACAGTGGTTCGCCATGTTGGCCAGGCTGGTCTTGAACTCCTGGCCTCGAGCGATTCTCCCGCCTCGGCGTCCCAAAGTGCTGGGATTGCCACTGTGTCTGGCTGGTATAATTAATTGATACTTAATATAGTTCAATTTTAATTTGATTGATGGAGAAGGAACACAGGAAGTTCATAATCAAATGATTAAAATTGCAGCTTTCCTTCTTAATGGGTCCATGACCATCAACTATTTAGGTTATAACTTTTTTCAGCTACTTTTGGTACACCTCATTTTAAAAACGTAATGTATATGCATACATGTGTGATGGAGCATATATAGCTAGATCTGGTTCATTATCTATGTAGTTTTGCCTAGCCATAATAAAAAGATCTGTTTAGTAGTAGTGCCGAGGAATTTGAGAAAAATGACTGAATACAGCTTTTACGAGATCTGGGAGAAGAGAAAAAGGGATGAACCTACAGATACATCAGATACCTTCCTGTGGTATACAGTTAATGTGTGCGCGCGTGTGTGTGTATTTATATACTCTGGATCAGTAAGTCTGGAAAGCAGTAAATAATATTAAAACAAAATAGAAAATTTAGACACATTTAATGGGGATTTTTTTGCTTTAATGGTCCTCTTTAAATAGAAGTTAAGATTAGAATTAATTAAAATGTATTTGCTTATTAAATTGCCAACATATGTATTTTAGTGAAATACAGTTTCAAAATGTATATTTTTGGAAAAATTTTAAAAATTATATTTTTTCTAGTTAGCCTATGTTTAGAAGAGAAACTGCATGTAAGGGAAAAGAGCCCATTTTGAGTGGCAATTGAGAGATTGATAAGTGCGTTATCAAGCATAATGTTTTTTCTTTAAAGGCTCTATTTAGAGTGATAAATGATAGGAATTGCAAATATTCATTATTGTGATTTGCTGTATATACATGTTATATAGTTTAAATGCTTTTTCTCTCTTGATCCTGTCTTTTTAACTCCATTTTCTTACTGCTAAGTACAGTTCACTGTTTCTTATGATATATGTTGACTTAGAAGATGGCACTGAAAAATAAAGGAATTACTAATTGCATGTGACTTTCCCCATAAATGTTGGCTAGGATTATTATACATTTGATTTGGAGACAGGATAGCATATTTAAAATTTTGGTCTAGAACACAGTAAATTTTGAATGCATTCATGAATTTGGAATGTGATGTACAATGCAGTCTTTCTGGGCTTCTGTTTTTTCATTTATTAAAATATGTAAGGTTGGCAGTTGCATAAAAACACTCATTGCAAGTTTTAAGCAAATGTGTATGTATTCATAAAATTCCTTTTATCCAGACAATCAACTGAAGGCACTAACTGAGAAAAACAAAGAACTTGAAATTGCTCAGGATCGCAATATTGCCATTCAGGTAAGAGATATTTCTTAGAATAAGCTCATTGTAGACATTTTACTTGAAGGGACATTCTATTCTGATTGTTTATCAGTTATTAGTCAATGGGAAGATGTAACTGATGTCCTATTAGGGGAAGCTACCAACAAAAATATGTAAATATAAATTCCTTAATTGGATCTATGTTTTATTGATAGATTGGACATCTCTTTTATTCAACAGAAATTATCTATTGAATGCTGACTGTAGTCCAGGTATTATATCAAATGTGATACAGTTGGGAATTTGGGTGAATCCACATTGGTAGTCATTTCCTTAGGGTAGTTTTATAAGAATGACAGTTTGAATATGATCACAGGGATTGCTGACAAATTTGTTAATTAAAGTGGTTGCATGCAATTATTTTTTAACCAGATACAACTTTATACTTTTGCCATTGCTTTTTTAAAATTTGCATTTTATTTGGTGTTAAAAGATAATTTCTTCACATTTCTGAAGGGAAAAAAAAATTTACTTCCAGAATCTGAATAGGCGCAAAAAAGCCTCGTAGTATACCTAGAAAGGCTTTGTAAGAAATGTATTTATATGAAGAATGACTCAATACCCAAGAAAACTCAAATACTTCTCTGAAAACTGTGAGAATATACCTTTATAAATGAAGATATTGCAAATTTCTGGATGGAAATGTTTTCCAAATTAATGTGTTGGTAATACATTTTGACTCTTAAGTCCAAGTCAGATAGCCAGAAACTTGTTAATGTAGTTCTAAAGATGATTGGGGAAAAAAACATAGTAATAGCTAGGATGCTTCTAAAAAAAGGAAGTATCAATTTAAATTAAGTACTTGCATAGCCACATATTCAAGTTTTATAAAGCTATGGTTATTAAAATATTACAATGCTGATATAAAAATCAGTACAGAGAATAAAAGGCAGTCCAGAAATAAAACCCAATACGGAGGTTCTTAATCTTTTGGAAAGAAGCAGAGCTGTCACAAAATCTTTATAAATCTTGTAAAAACTATGGATCTGTAACCGAGGAAAATAGTGTGCACACAGTCACATAAAATTTTTCAGAAAAAAAAAACTATGAAGTGACTTAAAAAGTAATAGAATTTATTTAACTGCTTGGTGGCTGAAAGAAAGAAACTGAAAGCTTTTTCACTAAGATCCAATGCAAGGCTGGGATGCCCACTCACCACTTGTATTCAGTATAGTACTGGACGTACCAGCAAGAGCAATCAGACAAGAAAAGGAAATAAAATGCACCCAAATTGGAAAGGAAGAAATAAAATTATCTTTACTTATAGATTATATGATCCTATATGTAGAAAACCTGAAAGATTCCACAAAAACCTGTCAGAGCTAATAAGTGAATTTATACAATTGAAGGATACAAAATCAATATTAAAAAATCTAGTAGCATTTCTATACACAAACAATGACCTAGCTGAAAAAGAAATTAAGAAAAGATTTCATTAGAGTACCATCAAAAAACAACTTAGGAATAAATTTAACCTGGGAGGTGAAAGATTCATATACTGAAAATAATATAACATTGACGAAAGAAATTGAAGATGCAAATAATGGGAAAGATATACCATACTCATAGATAAGAAGAATTATATTGCTAAAATGTCCACACTATAAAGTGGTAAAAAGATTCAGGCCAATCCTGTCAGAATTCCAAAGGCATTCTTCGCAGAAATAGAAAAAAAAAATTCTGAAATTCTGATGGAATCAGTTTTAAAAATCCTGAATAATAACCAAAGCAGTACTGAGCAAGAAAAACAAAGTTGGAGGCATCATACTTCATGATTTAGAAAACTGTTATAAAACTATAGTAATCCAAATAGTACAGTACTGACATAAAAACAGAAAAGTGACCAATGGAATAGAATAGAGAGCCTAGAAATAAATCCAAACATATGGTCAACTAATTTCAACAAGGGTGCCAAGAAGACCCAATGGAGTTGTGATCGTCTCCTCATTAATGGTGTTGAGAAGACTGGATTTCCACATTTGAAGAAATGAATGTTGGATGTTTGTGTTGCTTACATCATATACCGAAATCAAGCCAAGATGGATGAAAGATCTAAATGTAAGACCTGAAGCCATAAAACTCAGAGAAGTGAACATAGGGGAAAGGTTCTTGACATTGGCCTTGGTAATGATTGTTTGGATCACATCAGTAGTTCAAGCTGCAAAAAGAAATAAACGGAACTACATCAAACTAAAAAGCTTCTACACAGGAAACAAGAATATTAAAAGGCAACCTACAGTTCTGACATAGGTAGCTTGAGATAGATATTTCTAACTCAAAAACATGTAGATTGCCATTGTTTTGCTGGGAAGCAGTTTGACAAGTTTTTTGTTTTTGAGACAGGGTCTCACTCTGTCACTCAGGCTAGAGTGCAGTGATGCAGTCTTGGCTCACTGCAACCTCTGCCTCCCGGGCTCAAATGATCATCCCACCTCAGCTTCCTGAGTAGGTGGGACCGCAGGCATGTGCCACCATGTCTGGCTGTTTTTTTCTACTTGTAGAGACTGGGTTTCGCTGTGTTGCCCAAGCTGGTCTTGAACTCCTAGACTCAAATGATCGGCCCAGCTTGATTTCCCAAAGTGCTGTGATTACAGGCATGAGCCACTGCACCTGGCTGACAAAATATATTAAAAGTTTTAAGTAATTCAATTTTTAGGAATCTTTCTTGAAAAATAATTTGAACTAAGGTGTAAATACAGTGATATTCTAAGTTATTAGGACATTTCCATGTGATTAAAAGAGATATGAGAAAAATTTTCATAAGCCTAGTAAAAATGTTTTAAAAATCCAAAATTTAAATAGAAACATTGGAATTACGGGTATTTTTTAACTTTGATGTGTAAGTTATAAGAGAAAGCCAGTCATTTACACTACAGCTGATGTTAACTAAAGTGACAATTCTATGTTCGCTTTCCTGTATTGCTCTACTTGATTTTCTTACTTATTACTTCTTTATATGACAGAGCCAATTTACAAGAACAAAGGAAGAATTAGAAGCTGAGAAAAGAGACTTAATTAGAACCAATGAGAGACTATCTCAAGAACTTGAATACTTAACAGGTATGAAGAAGTGCTTGTAGCTTTTAGCTCCATTCCTTTATTTTTCTTCTGTTAGTGCTAGGAGTTAGTGCTCAGCCCATTTCTGTTGCTGATATTTTTTTGTTATGGTTGAGTATAGAGTTGTCATATCCTATTATTTCTCCTACTCATTTATCTTTAAATCATTGTCAAGTGTTTAAAGAAGTGTCTAGAAAGTGCACAAGTGAAGAACATCTCAAAGAAGTAGTAATTTGGACCAGATTTTACATGCAAAGATTTTCACTACAATGCTGTACATAATGTCAAATTGGAAGCACTTTAAATATTTGCAAAGGCTGAACTACTGTTCTTTATTTCATATGGACATCCTTGCTATATAATAAGCATTCAATATAAGAACATATACTCAGCCTATATTTATAAACAGACTGAAGGAGGCAGAGACATAAAATACATAAACATAGACTGTAGTATATAATACAGCTGATGTAGTCAGGTGAACTTGACTCTGAAGCAGTTAATGGTAAGAAGTTTCCTTTGGTGCCCAGGCACGGTGGCTGACGCCTGTAATCCCAGCACTTTGGGAGGCTGAGGTGGGTGGATCATGAGGTCAGGAGTCCAAGAGCAGCCTGGCCAAGATGGTGAAACCCCGTCTCTACTAAAAATAACAGAAATTAGCCAGTCATGGTGGCACGCACCTGTAATCCCAGCTACTTTGTAGGCTGAGGCAGAGAATTGCTTAAACCCAGGAGCCGGAGGTTGTAGTGAGCCAAGATTGCGTCACTGCACTCCAGCCTGGGCGACAGAGCTAGACTCCGTATCAAAAAAAAAAAAAAAAAAAAAAAAGGTGTTTTGGGTTCTTTTTTTTTTAATGGTTTTTGAAATTTTTTTATTTCTATAAAAGAAAGGATTTTCAGATATTTATATCATTATACAATAATATTCCATTAGTTAAGTATACTTTCCCAGTCTCACAAGAGTTCCTTCAAAATACTTGAGTGTGTTGATCAACAAGTGGTAGTTACAACTAAACGAATTCATAAAATCTAGATATTTAATAGATAGTTTTTTAAAAATGTGTATTCCATATTGAGTAGGTTTTTATATTAGTGCTTTTTAGCTTAATGATTATTTATAAAATTTTAATAGGTCTTTGGATATATATCAGGAAAATTAAGGTTAACGTTGAATATTTAGCTTAACACACTGTATTTAAAATAAATTTGGATAATTCACAAGTTTGGATACACAAATTTCAATTTTTTGTCATATATTTGTAGAAATTGAATTTGTAATTAACTATGGCAGAAACAAGTTAAAATAAGAGAGTTGAGAACTACAGTTGACCCTTAAACAACACAGTGGTTAGGGTTGCTGATTCCCCCCACAGTTGAAAATTTATGTGTAACTTTTGACTCCCCAAAAACTTAACTACTGCTGTTAACTAGAAGCCCTACCAATAACATACACAGTAGATTGTCATACGTTTTGTCTGTGATCTGTATTATATACTGTGCTCCTTCAATAAAGTAAGCTAGAGAAAAAAATGTTAAGAAAATCATAAGGAAGAGAAAATACGTTTACTGTACATTAAATGGAAGTGGATCATCACAACCATCTTCATCCTCCTTGTCTTTACATTACCTAGGCTGAAGAAAAGGGGTTGGTCTTGCTGGGTCAGGTTGCAGAGGTAGAAGGGGAGGCAGAAGAGGGAGGCACACTCAATGTAACTTTACGAAATACAGCCTAATTTCTGTCTGACTTGCTTTTTCATTTCTCTAAAAATGTTTCTATACATTACCAATCTTCCTTCCACCGTTTGCTATAGTTTCAGTGCCCATGTAAGAGAAGGATCCATGTCATAAAAGAAATCAAAAGCAGTCTTGGGTAATCAGAACCCTTCCACCAGATAGTCTGTTACCAATATGTTTTCTGACACTGCTAGTTCTACATTCTTTTTCCACATCGTCTGGCACTGGTTTGGAAGCACTCATCTCCATCCAGTCATCTTCTGTTAATTTATCTGATATGGTGGCTATTAGCTCTTGGATTTCTCCAAGGTCCGTATCTTGAAACCCTTCATCCCACTTTTTTTGCCATATCCACAATCTCTTTCATGATTTCTTTGATTGGCTCTGTTACAAATTTTGTGACATCATGCACAACATCTGGAGAGTTTCCTCCAACAGGAATTTATTATTTCAGCCTTGATGGCTTTCATAACTTTTTCTGTAATGAAAAAGAAGGGATGGCCTCTTCAGTGTGTTATCCTTTAAAACTTTCATGATATTTTCTCTGTTGGGGTTCTCTTCCACAGTGTTGACATTTTCTTTTCACAAAGTATCATCTCTATTGAGCCGTAAAGGTCCTTATGACTCCTGATCTAAAGGCTGAATTAGAAACATGTTTGGGAGCAAGTAGACTGCTTTGACACCTTCCATGTTGAACTCCTGGGTTCTGGGTGGCCAGGGACAGTGTCTAAAGTCAAAAGAACTTTAAAGGCAGCCCCTTGGCCAGGTACGGTGGCTCATGCCTATAATCCCAGCACTTTGGGAGGCCGAGGCAGGTAGATCACCTGAGGTCAGGAGTTCGAGACTAGCCTGGTCAACATGGCAGAACCCCATCTCTACTAAAAATACAAAAATTAGCTGGGCGTGGTGGTAGGCGCCTGTAATCCCAGCTACTCAGGAGGCTGAGTCATGAGAATCACATGAACCAGGGAGGCAGAGGTTGCAGTGAGCCAAGATAATGCCACTACACTCCAGCTAGGGGGATAGAGCGAGACTGTCTCCAAAAAAAAAAAAGGGCAGCCCCTTTACTAGCAAGGTACTTTCTGACTTTAGGGACAAAGCATGAGTGGAACCAATTCAGAGAAGGGGGTCTGTCATTGTCCAGGTCTTCTTCTTGTGTAACCAGAAGACAGGCAGCTGGTGTTTATCTTTTTCCTTTGGGCCCTGGGGTTAAAAGCTTTATAAATAAGGGCAGTCCTTATCATAAACCTGACTGCATTTGCTCAGTACGGTAGAGTTAGCCTATCCCTTCCTGCCCTAATCCTGGTGCTCCCTTCTCTTTCTTACTAATAAATATCTTTTGTGGCATTGTTTTTTCCAGAATAGTACACTTCTATCTGCATTAAAAACCTGGTGCAGGCATATAACCTTTCTCAATGATTTTCTTAGCAGCATCTGCTGTTTCTTGGTTGACAGAACCTGCTTCTTCAGTTTTGTTGACATTTTTATAAGTCAAACCTTTCTAAAATTATCAAACCATCCTTTACTGGCATTAAATTCTCCAGCTTTAGATCTGTCACCTTCCTTTTGCTTTTAGTTGTCATATAATAACTTTGCTTTACCTCGTATCATATTAGAGTCTATAGGTATGTGATAGCAATCCTGCACCCCATAAAAGCTGCATTTTCAATGCGAGATAGGAAGGTATTTTGCAGAAATGCACTTTTTTATGCTTGCTGGCGTAGCTGCAGTGATGGCTTTACGAATTTTCTTTTTATTTCTTTTTTTTTTTTTAAACAACGGTCCATATACTGGATTCATTTGTCTTGAAATGGTGGGTAACCATCGCTGCAGTCCTCAATCTGTGGTACATATCAAGCAATTCAACTCTTTAAAATATTGTCGTGATATTTCCCTGCTTCTTAGAAGAAGTACTTCCAACATCACTAGTGGCAGTTCTTATGGATCCCATGTTGTTATTCAAGGTTTATGGTATTGTACTAAACACAATGACAAATATGCAAAAACTTCAAAAGATTTCAAGTTTTATGGTATTGCACTAAACACAATGACAAATATGCAAAAACTTCAAAAGATTACTATTTTCTGCATTATGCAATTTACTGAAGAGAGAAACTGCTCACAATAGAGTCACACAGCATTCTATACAGACACTCAAAACACTTGAGCTTACTGCAGTAGTATCAGGAGGTGGCTATGAAAGTATTCCAGTAATACAGTATGTATTACAGTTAATTTTATGCAGTTATGGTTTAATAAAGCATATTTATATTTGCTTATATTTCTCTTGATTGCAGATAGGGTTGTGTAGTGTTTGTGTGCATAAGTTTTGATAAATTTTTTAAGTTTGTATCATGGATTTGTGCATATTTTAATGGTAGTAAATGATAAAATACACTAATATCTACATATTAGTACATATTATGCACTTACAGTAGCTTTTTCTTAGTTTGTTCCCATTTCTGGGCTGCCTGGATTGGTCTGTGGTCTCTGAGTTTTTCAAATTGTAAGTTTTTGGGAAAAAATTCCAATATATTTATTGAAGAAAATATGAGTGGAAGTGAATCTGCATGGTTCCAATCTGTGTTATTCAAGGGCCAGCTGTGCATACTTTGTATTAAAGGTTTATATTCCTAGAAATATATTTTTGATATTTGGTTCCCCTGAGTGTTAATTAGTTATTATTTTTTAATTCTCTTCACCATTCTAGAGGATGTTAAACGTCTGAATGAAAAACTTAAAGAAAGCAATACAACAAAGGGTGAACTTCAGTTAAAATTGGATGAACTTCAAGCTTCTGATGTTTCTGTTAAGGCAAGTACCAGATGATTCCTAATGCATAAACTATAGCTTTTTATTAAAACTCACCTAAATTAAATTTCAAATATAGGCAATAAAGTAATTAAAAGCTGCATTTTGTTTTGTTTTTAATGTCAGAAAATTAAGCATTAGGACAATTCTAGTTCATCTGTTTTGCTTGTTTGAAATTTAAGTTTGTTACAGTTCTTAATGTTTTCTAGTTAAGAATCTATGCAAATACTTAATTTCTGTTTTGAAATAAAATTCTGCTTGTGTCCCTTAGCTACAGACAAAATCTTTTGAATAATCATATATCATCTTTAACTGTACGTGTTATTTTCTTGGATTTCTTTAGTATCGAGAAAAACGCTTGGAGCAAGAAAAGGAATTGCTACATAGTCAGAATACATGGCTGAATACAGAGTTGAAAACCAAAACTGATGAACTTCTGGCTCTTGGAAGAGAAAAAGGGAATGAGATTCTAGAGCTTAAATGTAATCTTGAAAATAAAAAAGAAGAGGTAAGTTAGTAAAATTGTGTTTTTCTTCATGTTGAGTATAACTTACATTTGTATGTCAGTTTATTAAATATGTATTCAGTAGTGTGTACCTGATTAGTTGTAAGATGAGTGGTTAAATGTGAATAATGCATTACATTTGGCGTAAAAAATCAACCAATTGCGTTTACATAAAGAATTTAAGATTCTTTGTCAAATCTGGTTAGTATCTACTGTCTTACGATATATCTTTCCTAAAATATGTGTTTGTTTAAGAAGTGGTGGTAAGTTTTTGTGAGCTAAATCTAAACATTGTTCTGTGAGCAGTTACTCTTAGTTTTCTTAAATATGCATATTTTAATTGCTTTTTCAGGTGGGGAGGGGGAGTTACTTAGCTTTTCCTTAGCAGCATAAACCTCATGTCAGAGTAATTTCAGTTAATATGACATCCTTTCCCCCTGCTCTATTTTTTGTTTTTAGGTTTCTAGACTGGAAGAACAAATGAATGGCTTAAAAACATCAAATGAACATCTTCAAAAGCATGTGGAGGATCTGTTGACCAAATTAAAAGAGGTATATATGACCATTAAAATGTCTTTTTTACAAAATACTAAAGCACTTACGAAGCTGTTATTTCACAAAATGATGTCATTTTTTAATCTGTCCTTGGCCCCATAAAACAGTGAGAGTCCTCCTTCCATATGCTGTAGCTAGGCTAAAATAGAATCAGAAATAGCAATTATATGTTATATTGAAAATACTATCTAAAAAATGAGTATGGGTTAATTTTATTGTTTAATTATTTTACTTTGAATTTAAAATATTAGTAATATTTTATCCTTAATTTATCTTTGTCATGAAGACTGATTTGAATTTGAGTGTTTTAGATTTAGCTCTTACTTTACAAAAATGGAATTTTTCATCTTGTCATTTGATAAGCATTCTAAATTTAGTTCAAAGTAGACTGCTATAATTGGGCTATTTTTTTCAGGCCAAGGAACAACAGGCCAGTATGGAAGAGAAATTCCACAATGAATTAAATGCCCACATAAAACTTTCTAATTTGTACAAGGTAAATATCCCACCACACATGTTAGTATCTAAATGTTGCATTGTTGACTGTTAGGTAACTTTTTAAGATTAACTTTTAGAGTGCCGCTGATGACTCAGAAGCAAAGAGCAATGAACTAACCCGGGCAGTAGAGGAACTACACAAACTTTTGAAAGAAGCTGGTGAAGGTAAGTGTTTTCAGTTATGGGAACATTATTTTTGTTATTGTACTCTTTTTTTTTTTTTACCCTTGTTTTGTATAGATGATTGGATTTAGGTGTTAGACTTTATTTGGGACAGAATTAGGTACAGAAGAAAGAACTTTGGATTAGGAAATTCAGAATTATATCTTAAGCAAATGTAAGTTTATATATTTTTGAAAATACAGACAGCAGGGGGTTTTGTTTGTTTTTTATCTAATAATCTTGTATAATTTGCTGATTTCTAATGAGAAAGTTTTCTTTTTTGAAACATTTACTCTGATAATGTTTGAATACTCTTACTTTATAAATAAGACATCCTCTTTATTTGCATTTTGTAAAGTCTTTTATTTCCTCAAATTTTTGCTTTTTTCAATGTATTATATTTATGGTCTTTTCCAATAATTTCCTTTACTTAGGATTAAAGATCAAAATCGAAATCAAAGATATACCTAGAACCACTTTTTACCCTTTGGGTTTCCTTATTTTCTTTGTGGGTAAGAGACATCAAAAGGAGAAACACCAGGCGAAGACAATTCCAAAATTATAAGTAGAGCAAGAACTTTCAATAGATACTGTCAGCTGAAGCCTCTCTAGAAATTTAATATTATCTGCTGAGGGGAGAAGTGACTGATCTGTTGCATTTTGTAAACTAAAATTTTAACTGTATGTTTGAATATTTGGTCTTTAAAATTGTTTTTTAGCCAACAAAGCAATACAAGATCATCTTCTAGAGGTGGAGCAATCCAAAGATCAAATGGAAAAAGAAATGCTTGAGAAAATAGGGAGATTGGAGAAGGAATTAGAGAATGCAAATGACCTTCTTTCTGCCACAAAACGTAAAGGTATGGCTAATAGATGCTTGTTAGTGAGTTGAAATACTACAGCTTTCCTACATAAAAGTCATTTAATTTCACTAATAGTATTTATCTGTCATGCTGTGATGTAGGAAACTCCATCGAGTTATATTAATAGAATTTGTTTTAAAATTAATACTCTTACCTGTATCTTTACAGAATCGGGCATATAAATACCATTTGATCACACACAGTCTTGTAAATTCCCAGGTTATTGCATGATTTTTTAGAATTAGATGTGTTACATGACTTTTTGATGTCATGTATTTAAAATTTTTATAGGAATTACTATATAATGTACAGTACATGTCACTTACCTTGAAAAATTATTAATGGCTTTTAGTTTGGAATTTTACAAATTATACTAGATGTGTATTTGTTGGCACAGGAGCCATATTGTCTGAAGAAGAGCTTGCCGCCATGTCTCCTACTGCAGCAGCTGTAGCTAAGATAGTGAAACCTGGGATGAAACTAACTGAGGTAAGAATGGTATTAAATGTTGTTAAATTCTTTTTCTTCAGCAAATGTATACAAATCTCTTCAAAATTTAATTCTCCCAAAACTTATTTTTAAAATCATCTTATAATTAGTGGATCATTCTAGGAAAGGCTTTCTTTGGTTCCTAGTGCTGTGTAACTAACATAGTAAACATTGCCATTTTGTGTTAGTGTTAAAGAATGTTTATTATGAAACTAGATCAACTAAATATTTGCGTTGTTATGGTTAGATTTGAAACAACCCTTTGTCTACTTTCAGCTCTATAATGCTTATGTGGAAACTCAGGATCAGTTGCTTTTGGAGAAACTAGAGAACAAAAGAATTAATAAGTACCTAGATGAAATAGTGAAAGAAGTGGAAGCCAAAGCACCAATTTTGAAACGCCAGCGTGAGGAATATGAACGTGCACAGAAAGCTGTAGCAAGTTTATCTGTTAAGCTTGAACAAGCTATGAAGGTTGGTTCCATTCCTAAAATTTAGCCGTGGTAACAATACAAATGAGAAATGATTTACTAGGTATTTTTTTTTCTTAAGGTGATTGAGTCAGAAAAATCTAAATACGATTTTCAATAAACACATTTTGAAACTTATTAAACACTGCTGATCTCAAAACGTCATACCTTTATTTAGCAATTTTTATGTATTTCAATTTTTATATAAAATTGTGAAAGCATTTTAACCTTTTTTTAATGCATTTACTATGTTTTCCTTAGGATTCTCAACTAGAGAATAATAGCCAAATCTCCTAAAACTGCTCTTCAAATTAAAATAATCTCTGTGTAATAAAACTCTCCTATTTGCCATAATCATTCTTTATCAGACAGTTGTAATAGCCTGCCTAGAAATAATAATATTGTTTGACCATAGGTAGAACTCCTTTTTTATACCATTTCACAATTTGGCGTGTCTCTATATGCATTATTTTGTTATTGCTCATTTGCTTATTAGAAGTGTTAATGAAATTCATAAAGATTTTTTCCTTTTAAGAGATACTGATGGAAAAAGAGGTTATACTCTGAATGTTTTGCCTTATGGTACAACTATTAACATTACTGAGGGAAATTGTCAAGATTTCTTGAACAAGTTTTATGGAGGAAATTCAGTTAAATGAATTTATATCTACTCTTCTAAACTGATAAATTGTTTCCCTTTTGTTGGAAAAGAATATAAATATATCCCTATTTCAAAATTAAATCTCTGTTGCTGTTATAATTTAGAAGTCAGTTTAAATCCAAGTACTTTATTATATCAGCTGGTTTTTTTCTTCTTCATCAAGTGAAGTCTAGCAGTCCCGCCTGCCTGAGAATATTGACTTTTTTACCAGCAGTGTAGTTTGCAAGAGAGCCCTTGGATCCAATTAGATCTTCCTTGAATTTTTCTCTCTGTTGAAAGTGAGGGTTTTACCTGAAGCTTGTTATTGTCTGAATGAGAAATAACATATTCAAATTTATACAAAACTTCTTTTTTAGTGGCTACAATATTATGTAGGATTTTATTTAGTGTATAAGTTGATTACTGGTGGTGTTTGAGTATTGTATGTCTTTATTACTTGTATAAATCCTAGAAGGAAGTACAAAATTTTCACTTGAATTTACATTTTAAAGGAGATTCAGCGATTGCAGGAGGACACTGATAAAGCCAACAAGCAATCATCTGTACTTGAGAGAGATAATCGAAGAATGGAAATACAAGTAAAAGATCTTTCACAACAGGTTAGAATTTTTTTGTTTGTTTTCCTACTTTTAAAAACCTGACTGCCCAGTAATCTTTGAATCTGTTTGAAGGTACCTAAGATAGAACTACCATGTATGAAATTCTAATTAATTAGGAATAGTACTCGAGCAGAGTTGCACCCCCATTGTTTCTTTTCATAGCCCCTCCCTTTTTTCAAATGTTTGATAAATTTTTAAATTATACGTGTTGGTTGTAATAAATGAAGAAATAATTCAAAGATAAATAAAAGCTTTCTCCAATTTCTACCCCTCTACCCTCTGAAGTCCCAAAGTGTAGCTAAGTTAACAGACAGTTGTGTATTTTTTTCACATCCTTCTCTGTATGTGTATATACATGAGCATATATAAACATATGTAAGAATTATTTGATTTTACTGAAGTAAGACTGGACTGTATGCATTACTCTGACACTTAACAAGCAAATCAATAAATTAATGTCTCATTCATATATTTTACCCTAATTTGTGTGTGTGTACATCCACGCAATGCACAAATGTAAAAATTTCACATGAATGGCATTATATATATGCTTTTTGTTTAAATGTCTATTTTTCATGCTCTGCCCTATCATATATACAAAAGCACACACAAAAAAATAGATATTTGTGGGTTTTATTTGATCACTGTTTTACAAAACTGGAGCCATGTTTTGGGAATTGTAATTTGGCTACTTTGTAATAAGTAATAGCCTTCAATACATACTTAAAAGTAATTTTATTCTATTAAAATTTGATTGTTTAGATTTTAATATCCAAGGATGCTTTATTTTTAAAGATAATTTGAGGCAGTACAAGTTGAAGGTTTTATAAGTAATGTTTTAATTTGAAAACTTTCATTCTAAACTTGTCCAGAATTGTAACTAATACTATTTTATAACATATTAAAACTTTGTTTTTAGATTAGAGTGCTTTTGATGGAACTTGAAGAAGCAAGGGGTAACCACGTAATTCGTGATGAGGAAGTAAGCTCTGCTGATATAAGTAGTTCATCTGAGGTAATATCACAGCATCTAGTATCTTACAGAAATATTGAAGAGCTTCAACAACAAAATCAACGTCTCTTAGTGGCCCTTAGAGAGCTTGGGGAAACCAGAGAAAGAGAAGAACAAGAAACAACTTCATCCAAGTAAGTAGTCACATACCTCAGCTTGTTGAGCAAACATTTATGAAAACCTCAGCTAGGCTCAGTGTCTCATGCCTGTAATCCCAACGTTTTGGGAGGCCTAAATGGGGTATCATTTGAGCCCAGGAGGTCGAGACCAGCCTGGACGACATAGTGAGACCATGTCTCAAAAAAAAGTAAAAAATTAGCTGGGTGTGGTGGCACATGTCTATAGTCCCAGCTACTCAGGAGACAGGCTGAGGTGGGAGGATCACTTGAGTCCAGGAGTTTGAGGCTGCAGTGAAGCATGATCATGCACCACACTCTAAGTGGGACGACAGGGTAAGACCCTGTTGCCCGCAAAAAAAATCTATGTGTTCCTAACAGTGCTAGATACTTGGGATATAGTGATATAGGGAGGAAAGAATTGAGCAACAATACCAAACAAAAAATTTCTACTCCAAGACCTCAGGTTATGGGTAAGACAGATGTAATAAATAGATAATAAAATAGGCAAGTAGACAATTTGCATTCACTGTGATTAGTGCCTATCTGTGGGATCATAGCGGTAGAGGACTTGTCCTAGATTTCAGGGAGCAGACCGGCTTCATGGAGAACCTGGAGAACCTATGTAAGAATTAGTCAGAGGTTTTTTCAAAATACATGTATAATGTCTTCTAGAAGAGGAAGAATGGCTAAGAAAGCAAGAAGACTAGAGTTTGGAGTGAGTGGAACTGATTTAATTTTTACAAACAAATTTTTCAGATTGCATTGGTAAGTATAAGTACCTGAGTCCTGTGTGGTGGGGATTTAAAAAGTAGTTCATAAAATACTCAGCATGAAAAAAAATAATGAGAGAGACAAAAATGGTATGATGAATGGTAGGCAAAGATGCTTGGTTAATTACAGTAGAAATTACAATCAGTTAACTCTCAGTTCAGTCCTGTGAATTAGGCCGACTTTTTCTACAGAATCACTGAGCTTCAGCTCAAACTTGAGAGTGCCCTTACTGAACTAGAACAACTCCGCAAATCACGACAGCATCAAATGCAGCTTGTTGATTCCATAGTTCGTCAGCGTGATATGTACCGTATTTTATTGTCACAAACAACAGGAGTTGCCATTCCATTACATGGTAGGTTTTTATAAAGTTATTTTAAGGAATAATTTAGAAATGTATATTAAGGGATTAATTTTGCAACATAAGCAATAGCCACTCTAATGATGGTAGCTTCAAATTTGACTACCATATATAATTGCTTATAACATCCCATCAACTGTAAAACATACCATTATTTTATGTATTGCTAAAAAGAAATGCTTTCTATTGTTGAAAAAGGTGCATTTCAGAATCAATGAATTACAGTATTTATTTTGGTTATGTTTTAATGACCAAAACAGATATGTTTTAATAAAACATAAATATGGATTATGTTTTAACCCATAAATACTGAATTATCTCTAATAACCATCAAAAAATCTTAATACATTGTTTAGTAGATTCCTTATTTAAAAACTCCTATAATCTTATTGTTTCATTTCAATAAGTTTAGCTTGTTTATTTGATAATAGTGTATTTGCAAAGAAGCATTAGATTAAAGCTGATTTATGAAAGCCAACAAAGCATTTTATTAGTCTTTACTTTCCTGAAGCTTCAAGCTTAGATGATGTTTCTCTTGCATCAACTCCAAAACGTCCAAGTACATCACAGACTGTTTCCACTCCTGCTCCAGTACCTGTTATTGAATCAACAGAGGCTATAGAGGCTAAGGCTGCCCTTAAACAGGTAAAGATCACACCTTTGTCCTGGGTTAGGTTTTTAGAGAACACAGTGTTACCTTCTCATAATCTCCAATATTTAGTTGCAGGAAATTTTTGAGAACTACAAAAAAGAAAAAGCAGAAAATGAAAAAATACAAAATGAGCAGCTTGAGAAACTTCAAGAACAAGTTACAGATTTGCGATCACAAAATACCAAAATTTCTACCCAGCTAGATTTTGCTTCTAAACGGTAAGTTTTCTTTTGTTTCAAATTAATTAAGTCTAAATGTTATACTTTACAATTCAAATCATTTAAATTCAAGAGCTAATTTGCAATAGTGTTGCTTTTTTTGTGAACTGTGTTCCAGAATGAGAACCTCTGGTAGTTCATTTTTTTCATATTGATTAATGATTCTCTAGGCAGTGCTAAGGGTTTAGCTTGTTTGATAAGTTGAAGCCAGGCGCAGCAGCTCACGCCTGTAATCCCAGCACTTTGGGAAGCCGAGGCAGGTGGGTCATTTGAGGGCAGGAATTCAAGACCAGCCTGGCCACCATGGTGAAACCCCATCTCTACTAAAAATACAAAAATTAGCTGAGCGGCAGTGTTGCATGCTTGTAATCCCAGCTACTCAGGAGGCTAAGGCAGGAGAATCACTTGAGCCCAGGAGGCAGTGGTTGCGGTGAGCCAAGATTGGGGCCACTGCACTCCAGTCTGGGCAAGAGAGTGAGATTCTGTCTCAAAAAAATAAAATAAAATAAAAATAAGTTGAAGTTCATGTGAGGAATGTTGGTAGTTTACCTTCCTAAGATTAAAGGACTTGTTTCGGTAGGACTTAATTCTTTTAAAAATGCACCAGATGATGAGAGAAATGAGAGCAAATTTTATTCCACCTTTTCTATTCTAGGTAGAAGAGAAGCAAGTGCTATGTAGTTTTAGGAGAATTAATTTTCTTGGTCACATCCAAAGAAATAATAAATATTTCATGATTATTTGTTATTAAATTCATTGAATGCTTGTTAGTTTAGTTTGTTAGGACAATATTTATTTTTATATAGTACATGATAAAACTGTTTCTGTTTTATAGCAGGCAGGATATATTGCAGGCAGTTACCCCTATACATCTAATAGTTCAGCAACCCCAATTAAAGCACTTCTTTTTTCTCTGTTGATACCTCTAGCCAGCCATTATGTCAGCTTTCAAGCACATAAGAAAATAAAACTGAGGATTATAGAAGAAAAAAGGATTAGCAAAAATCCATCACTAACCCTGTATAATAACTTAATTTGTATACTGCATTGTAGTGGGTGTCTGGTGTTATCAATATTGCATTGTCATTACTTTAAATATAATTGATTTTTTAAAAATAAGATTAAAAAGTTACTTAGCATGAAATACTTTGCTTACTTAGAACTTGAACCACTACATTTGGAATTGGGAAAAAAGAATGAAGGTTTTACCTTATTACACAAGCCACTTCTTCATAAATCATAAAATTAACCCCTTTCCCATTTAGAAAAAAAAAAGTGCAGCTTGCTGCCAGCGCTCATTTAATTTTACATAAGCATGCTGTTTGAGGTTGAGGCAAATCTGACAGATTTTCAGTGTGAAAATAAAATATAAAAACTGTTCCTGGAGTTATTTCTAAGCAGAATTCAACTTAACAGAAATATGTATGATGTTACATTAGGATTAGAGACAATATTCTCAGGGCATTTGGGGAAATGGGTTAAGCTATTGTGAAATTTCTTCAAGGGATTAAGCTAGGATATCATTTCAGTTACTTGTAGAATTACTTTTTTCATACCAGTTATGAAATGCTGCAAGATAATGTTGAAGGATATCGTCGAGAAATAACATCACTTCATGAGAGAAATCAGAAACTCACTGCCACAACTCAAAAGCAAGAACAGATTATCAATACGATGACTCAAGATTTGAGAGGAGCAAATGAGAAGCTAGCTGTCGCAGAAGTGAGTCCAATATCCCTTGTCCAACTTGCATTATAAGTTGCATTTGACATTTCTTTAGTTTTTACTTTGAATTTTACTCACTGATAGGACTTAGGTATTTAAGAAGTTTGGAGGTTACACCAAGTAATTAATACATAGTTTGCAAATAGCCAGTGTGCGTTAGTGGGGTGATTGTTTCTATTAAGATAGAAGAGGGAAAGGAATTTGTTTTTCTGCTGGGCTAAGATATACTCGCAAGTCTTGCATTTCAAAATAAATTTGTAGGTCAGTGTTTGGTTCTAACAAAGACGTTTTTTTTTTTGGTTTTTTTTTTCTTGAGACAGAGTCTCACTCTGTCGCCCAGGCTGGAGTGCAGTGGCACGATCTTGGCTCACTGCAAGCTCCGCCTCCCGGGTTTACGCCATTCTCCTGCCTCAACCTCCTGAGTAGCTGGGACTACAGGTGCCCGCCACCACACCTGGCTAATGTTTTGTATTTTTAGTAGAGATGGGGTTTCACTGTGTTAGCCAGGATGGTCTCGATCTACTGACCTCGTGATTTGCCCGCCTTAGCCTCCCAAAGTGCTGGGATTACAGGCATGAGCCACAGTGCCTGGCCAGACGAATATGTTATTCATTCTTGCTCATCTGTAATAAAAAGCAATATAAAAATTACATTGCATTGAATTTATATTTCTGAATTTTAACTTGAATATAAATGTCCATTTGAAATTATTACTTTTAACTAAATACTTAGTTTTGTGATGATAAATTTTTTATATAGTTTTCTTTGTTATTCAGTTATCTCTTCTGTCTTTGATCATTACTTGTAAGCTAGGTATAGTTGTCCCCCATTTTACCTGTGTAAAACAGACTCAAGAGCTAATGTATAATTTGCCTATTTTGGGACAGTCATGAGAGATGGGTTGGTTAGGACTTGAACCCATGTCTTATAATGCTCTTATAAGGCTGTATTCTTTATTTTTATCTTGCTCCAACTCCATTGTGAGGAGTGGGCAGCAGCACTTTTTCAAACTGGTAGAGTGAATTTTATCATTGATCATTTATATGAATCTGTGTGTAAATATGAGTACTTGTGTGTAAATATGAGTACTTTGAGCTTTCAAAACACTCTCCCTGGTCCCCTTGAGACTCAGACTCTTGGGGTTGAGGGGAGGGAGAAACTTTAAATAGATCAATCATCACTTTTAAACAGGTACTTTGAAACCGGCTTGGATTCTAAAAGTTACATAATTTAATAGTAGTCAGGTATGAATGATTACAGCAGTCATGCAATTCTGCTTTCTTCTTCTCACATATTAAATTTTTCTTGCTGTTATTTTTTAAACTGTGGATTGTTAGAGCAAGGAACCATAAGTATTTGTAATTGAAAGATTTTTTCATTGATGATCCCCAATAATTTTTGCTTCGTATTTTAGCACATGAAACTGTTTTGTATTTCCTTATACAATGAGGAGATATAGTCCCTAAGAGCATTAAAAAAAAGTAGTGATGTATGAATCATTTTAATTTTATAATCTTAATACACTTGACACCATGTTTTTCAGCATTTTTTATTTCATTTCTACTTATGTTTAGGTAAGAGCAGAAAATTTGAAGAAGGAAAAGGAAATGCTTAAATTGTCTGAAGTTCGTCTTTCTCAGCAAAGAGAGTCTTTGTTAGCTGAACAAAGGGGGCAAAACTTACTGCTAACTAATCTGCAAACAATTCAGGTAACCAAATAAAAAGCCTATGTAGAAAAAATGTATAAAAGTTAAATTTAGATTTTTTTTATCCTCTCAATTTCCTTAATTAGAAAATTTATCCATCACTTTTGTCATCCATTATGATCATTGAATTTTGCAGTTTATTAAGACATTTAAATATTTTAAATAAAATATTGAAAGAGAATTGATTGAAACCATACATTGGTAAGTCCTCAGGTATATTTACAGTGTCCTGTGCAGTTTTACTATTTATAAGATTAATTCTTTGGTTTTTATTTTCTTTAAAACTTTGGGAAATCTGAATGACGATTATAATACATTCCATCTCTTTCCTGTATAATAGATGTTTTAATATAAAAAATACCAGAATACTTTCTTGATAAATACTGTAGATTTTAGCTGCTTCATGTAGAAATGGGTTGTAATATTGTAATTCTTTCTTGCCTTCAATTTTTATTTTTTTGTATTGCCTTTTTCTTAAGCATAACCAAAAATCTTTTCTTTGCTTTAGGGAATACTGGAGCGATCTGAAACAGAAACCAAACAAAGGCTTAGTAGCCAGATAGAAAAACTGGAACATGAGATCTCTCATCTAAAGAAGAAGTTGGAAAATGAGGTGGAACAAAGGCATACACTTACTAGAAATCTAGATGTGAGTCCATCAGAGTTCTGAATTTCTGTAGGGTGTTTATGTTCAGTAATTAATCTGGTGTGTGGACAGTCTGCCATCCAAGATGAAGCATGATTTTGAAAAACTTTGTTACTAAGTTTTTCTTGCCTCACTCTATACCCAGTAATTTTTTTATTGGGTGCCATATATTGTGAGTTTTACCATGTTGGGTGCTGAGTATTTTTGTATTCCTTTAAATCTTCTTGAGCTTTATTCTGAGATGCAGTAAAGTTAATTTAAAATGATTTGATTCTTTTGACTTTTGCCTTTTATGATGTATTAGGTGGGCCCAGAGCAGTGTGCATTCTGGAACTGAGGCCAATACTTTCATGAGTATTAGTGCCAGTGTCCATTGCAATTGTGGGGTTTTTTTAGTCTGGCTGCAGAACAGGCATTATTCTTGACTTTCTTTGAGTAACAGGTATTCTTCACTCTTAATTCCTTTGGACAATTCTTCCCCTGTCTGGGGTAAGCTCCTTATATATTTGCAGCGATCGCTACTCTGATGAATATTTAAGGAGGACCCTCTGTAGAGCTCCAGGGTACTCTGTGTGTGCAACTCTCCTGTCTTATATTCTGTCTTACAAATTTGAGCTACTTTGGTCTCCCTGGACTCTCAGATCTGTGTTCTCAATTCAGAGAGTCTCCTGGGCTCTGCCTCATTTCCTCTTTCCTGTGTCATAGCCTGGAAACTTTTAAATCAGTAAACTAAGGCAATCTAAGGTTCACCTCTTTGGTTTTCTGTCTCAGGATCTCGGTTGTTTCATGTGTTTTGTCTGGTTTTTTTTGGCTGTTTCAGGTGTGACGGTAAATCTGTTTTCTGTTACTCTCTTGGCCGAGCTCCAAAGGTCTATAAAAAGATAGTTTGAACCTTTAGTTACTTAGGAACCTAAAGAATGTTATAAGATTAATGTATTTTATAGGTTCAACTTTTAGATACAAAGAGACAACTGGATACAGAGACAAATCTTCATCTTAACACAAAAGAACTATTAAAAAATGCTCAAAAAGAAATTGCCACATTGAAACAGCACCTCAGTAATATGGAAGTCCAAGTTGCTTCTCAGTCTTCACAGAGAACTGGTAAAGGTAAATAAAATAAGTAGACCAATATAATTGTAAATAAACAAGTACTTCTTGGGATTATAATATATCCTGTCAGTAAATAGCCTAATTCTTTGTGAATGCTAGTAAAATGAAACAAACACAAAAAAAAACCCAACTTTTTCTTTATATAGTGGTACTCAATTTTGGGCCTAAACTAGTAAATTTGCTGTCTTAAAAGATTCAGAATAGTTCAGCTTGGCATTTGATCAAGGTATGTACCCAGCTTTCTAATTCTTGAAACTATTTATTGATACTTTAAAAATTATTCTTTCTGAAGAGGGTTATTTGATTTTTTAACCCGGGCCCCTTGGAAATAAGGTTGCTTACCAAATCTGCAAGAATAAGTTTCTCTTAAAGAATGAGTTGATTTGTGATCTCCTTTAAAGCAGTATTCCCAATATTTGCTCGTTGGTAGCCTCAGGTAAAAGATTTGTTTCATAGATTTTGCTTCCCTTTTTAAATACATCTTTCAAGTTCGAAGCCTTTGTGTCTTGATAATCTTTCTATATGGTTTTATTTATTTATTTATTTTTTTTTTTTTTTTTGAGAGAGAGTCTCGCACTGTTGCCCAGGTTGGAGTGCAGTGGCGCGATCTCGGCTCACTGCAAGCTCCGCCTTCCAGGTTCACACCATTCTCCTGCCTCAGCCTCCCGAGTAGCTGGGACTACAGGCGGCCGCCACAACGCACAGCTCATTTTTTGTATTTTTTTTTTTTAGTAGAGATGGGGTTTCTCCATGTTAGCCAGGATGGTCTCGATCTCCTGACCTTGTGCTCTGCCCGCCGCGGCCTCCCAAAGTGCTGGGATTACAGGCGTAAGCCACAGCGCCCAGCCAGTTTTATTTCTTAACACAAGGGAAATAAATAACTAATAATTGTATGCAGACTTTCTGATTTACACAGTTTTTCAACCTGTGGTGCAAAAGCAGTACACATTCAGTAGAAACTACTTCAGTATAGTATTTGTTCAGTAAATTACATGCAATACTCAACACTTCATTATAAAATAGGCTTTGTGTTAGATGATTTTTCCCAACTGTAGGCTAATGTAAGTGTTCTGAGCACATTTAAGGTAGTCTAGGCTAAGCTATAAGCTAAGCTATGGTGTTCAGTGAGTTAGGTATATTAAATGCATTTTCAACTCATGATAGTTTCAAATTATGATGAGTTTATCGGGATGTGACCCCACTGGGAGTAGAGAAGCATCTCTCTGTATCTGTCCATATATACAGACCCATAAATATCTGATCCATATAAATAATGGGTGTATAATTATCTAGTAGATAATTATATACTTTCCTATTGATATCATGTGATAAAACATTCTTTCCAATTTACAGTTTTCTGCCTATTTTATGTACTTACAATAAAAATTGGGCTAAATTTTAGATTTAAGATTTAGTGTTTTAGAGTAAATAATGTTTAATTATTGGGAGAACACACCCCCAATCTTTCAGTGTAGGTTCTTTCTATTTTCTATGAGTGTCGGCTGGCTGAGAAATAGACAGTACAAAGAGAGGAATTTTACAGCTGGGCTGCCAGGGGTGACATCACATATCTAGGACCGTGATGCTGGCCTGAGTCTCAGACCAGCAAGTTTTTATTAAGGGTTTTAAAAGGGGAGGTAGTGTAAGAACAGAGAGTAGGTGCAAAGATCACATGCTTCAAAGAGCAAAAGCAGAACCACTGATAAGGATCTAACAAAGATCACAGGGCAAAGGGCAAAAGCAGAACCACTGATAAGGGTCTGTGTTCAGCCCTGCATGTATTGTCTTGATAAACATCTTAAACAACAGAAAACAGGGTTCCAGAGCAGAGAACCGGTCTGACCACAAATTTACCAGGGCTGAGTTTTCCCAACCCTAGTAAGCCTGAGGGTTCTGCAGGAGACCAGGGCTTATCTCAGTCCTTATCTCAACTGCACAAGACAGACATTCCCAGAGCGGCTGTTCATAGACCTCCCCCCAGGGACGCATTCTTTTCCCAGGGTATTAATATTCCTTGCTAGGAAAAGAATTTAGCGATATCTCTCCTACTTGCACGTCCGTTTATAGGCCCTCTGCAACAAGAAAAATATGGCTGTTTTTGCCCAACCCCACAAACAGTCAGACCTTATGGTTGTCTTCCCTTGTTCCATAAAAATTGCTATTATTCTGTTCTTTTTCAAGGTGCACTGATTTCATATTGTTCAAATACACATGTTTTACAACCAATTTGTACAGTTAGCAGTTATCACAGTGGTCTTGAGGTGACATACATCCTCAACTTAGGAAGATAATAGGATTAACAGATTAAAGACAGGCATAAGAAATTATAAAAGTATTATTTGAGAACTGATAAATGTCCATATTAAGATGAAATCGTCACAATTTATGTTCCTCTGCCACGGCTCCAGCTGCTCCCTCCATTCGGGGTCCCTGACTTCCCGTAACATTTAATAAATTAAGAATTCTGTCATTTCTTCATATAGCTAACTCAGTTTAGTGGAAATATTTGATTGTTCTCTTTTGAATATCCTTTTCTTAATTTTTGTAACAGATTTAAAATATTAATATTTGAATTTTTTTGTTTTTGAGGAAGTAACATAACAAAGTACCTGCTTTTATTTTGGTATTCGGCATGGATTGAAATATACTTTCTAAATATATCTGTATTTGAACCTTAATGCTAATTTCATAAGCTCTTTATAACAGTCATCTCTAATACTATTGAAAATGTTAATTTTAACAGAGCTGTTATGTCTTTTAGGTCAGCCTAGCAACAAAGAAGATGTGGATGATCTTGTGAGTCAGCTAAGACAGACAGAAGAGCAGGTGAATGACTTAAAGGAGAGACTCAAAACAAGTACGAGCAATGTGGAACAATATCAAGCAATGGTTACTAGTTTAGAAGAATCCCTGAACAAGGAAAAACAGGTATGTATAATTCTGAATTCAGAATTCAATCTCAACACATTTGTTAACTTTGTTTTTAGTAACTAGAGGACTGCTTTTTTAAGGCACTCGTATGAATTAGACCAGGGTCATTGCCTTTAACCTTGTGAAAGTACTTGAGTCTCATAAGCCAGATAAAACAAAAACACACAAAATTCATGAAGCAAGGAGGTTATCCTTGCTGTAGGAATGGTCCAGATAAAATGTTGAGGAGACTGAGAGGTAGGGATTGTTATTTGTCTACTGGGTATGCATGCCTTCACAAGAGAGATGGCATTTGTGCAGGCAAAGCCTTGAATGAAGGTATCTGTATAGGAAATAGAGTAGAAAGGTATTTTACGTGATGGGAACCCTCAGCCATGGTAGAAAGTCTTCAGAAGATGACAATTTGTAAAGTGAGTAGTGAGGGGATACAGTTATAAATGTAGTTGATAATCAAATGTGAAAGGTTTTGAATATCATGTTAAATTATATTCTGTAGGTTTATTAAGAGCCATTGATTTTTTTAACATGTCATAATCAGATTTTTTTTCTTTTTTCTGGTTAGAAAATTAATGTGGTAGATTGGAAGATACCGTGTTCATTTTGAAGGCTGTAGCAATAGTCTAGGGCTTCAATTTTAAAAGATCCTTTTGTGGTTGACATCATTGTAAATAAATCAAAATGTGTGAGGAAAATACCTTTCGATTGTAGAATAGATGGATTTGGCAAGTGGATATGAGGATTGAGGGAGAAATGAGAGATTGGAAATTTCATTTCAAAAGAGAAAAATGGCCAGTAGCCAAGATGAATGGTAAATGCTTGTAGATTTATATGGTGTTTTTGCTTGTTGTTGAATCTTCTAATCACCTTTGATGGATTCTTTTTTTAATATACAACAAACATTAATTTTATTACTTCTCAAATTAGTTTTGATTTGGAGAAAATAATTGTATGACTTTAAATGTGTGTAATTTTTATATCCTACTGTTTGTAATATGGTAAAGGTGACAGAAGAAGTGCGTAAGAATATTGAAGTTCGTTTAAAAGAGTCAGCTGAATTTCAGACACAGTTGGAAAAGAAGTTGATGGAAGTAGAGAAGGAAAAACAAGAACTTCAGGATGATAAAAGAAGAGCCATAGAGAGCATGGAACAACAGGTAAATAGGTTAACCGTATTAATTTTTTTTTTAACTTGTAAGGATTTGAATTCTTTCAACTAAGTCATTAGTTGCCATTTAGTTCATCTCAACAGAAATTTATTGAACACATAGGCAAAATTTTAGTTTTATGTTTTACTCTTTTCTGTACCTCTATATACATTTCCCGTTGAAATTTTTAGACTACTTTACAGAAATAGGTATCACTGGTTCTTTTTAAAAGCCCCTACCTGAGACTTGACTTATGCAAATGTTAGGGAATGGATATGGAGTTGCAAAACTGATTATATCAGGGTGTAAACATTTTAAATTTAGCAGCAGTTTTTTGGGCTAATTGGATCTTAAAAAATGAGACTTCAATTTAGTAACACTACAATACAGTATTTTCCAAGTAAGTTTGCAATTAATTTTGGTTTTAATCTTGTTCTTTCTGCTTAGTTATCTGAATTGAAGAAAACACTTTCTAGTGTTCAGAATGAAGTACAAGAAGCTCTTCAGAGAGCAAGCACAGCTTTAAGTAATGAGCAGCAAGCCAGACGTGACTGTCAGGAACAAGTAAGTATAGCCAATTATTGAGAAATGAGCTTCGATCCTAGAGAATGATTCTTGAAGTATATTTATGCATTATAAGAACTGGTGGACCTTACAAAAATTCAAGATAATTTCCACTTTTGTGGAACTTAGACAAGACAAATTGAAAAGTATAGATGGAAGGCTAAAAATAAATACATAGGGCAATATTCATTAACAAAGCAATCTTGACAATGGGAAAATAAAAACAGGACTAGGAGACTAAAATTTGTACTTGGCTCTCATTTGCAAAAATTATTTTACTATTGTCCTTCACTAGATCTGATTATAAAATTACAGATACAGTTGATTAGAGGCAACCTTTGCTAACAAAACAAGAACCTCTTGATAACATTGTTAATGCATTACCAAGTTTGCGCAGATATCTATATACTATTTATAAAATGTTAAAAAAGTATCATTATTTTGAGTGTATGTATGTATGTGCACACAGTATTGAAGCTTTTTATAATTTTTTTATGAACAGGAAATGATAAAACAATTCAGGATTCAGAGTTACTAAAATGGTAGGATGGGATAGCAGTACATTTGAGCATATTGGTAATGTTCTTATTTTAAGTTGGGTGTCATGTTAATAGCTATTCATTTGCTTACTATTCTTTATTGCCTATATATATGTGACGTGTATATTGCTATTTTAAAATGTAATACAGGGAAGAAATGCTTCAAAGTAAATTTCATTAAAATCAATGGATCTATAATTTAGTACTTAATATAGCTGAGTTATGTTTAGCTTCTTATATCAAAAAGTTTGTCCAAATTGCTGGTCTTCTAAGCTTCATTTCTGACAGTTTTATAATATTAAGTAACTAAAGCATTAACTTTTAATTATTTTCTTATTTTGCTACATTTAGATTGTCTTTACTTTTATTATTTAAAAAGTCCAATGTGTATCTTTGGACAAGTGCTAACTAGTTTTATGGATTTTTAATCTTTGGTATCAATTGGGTAATAATTTCTTATAGGCTAAAATAGCTGTGGAAGCTCAGAATAAGTATGAGAGAGAATTGATGCTGCATGCTGCTGATGTTGAAGCTCTACAAGCTGCGAAGGAGCAGGTTTCAAAAATGGCATCAGTCCGTCAGCATTTGGAAGAAACAACACAGAAAGCAGAATCACAGTTGTTGGAGTGTAAAGCATCTTGGGAGGAAAGAGAGAGAATGTTAAAGGTATTATTGTAAATCTGAATAGAATGTTCTGTTGAATTGAAAGAGTTGTTTTTTTCTTTATTTTATAATGTTTTGAGATGGAGCCTCGCTCTGTCACCCATGCTGGAGTGCAATGGCGTGATATTGGGGTCACTGCAATCTCCACCTGCTGGGTTCAAGCAATTCTCCTGCCTCAGCCTCCCAAGTAGTCGGGATTACAGGCGTTAGCCACCGCGCCTGGCCAAGTTGTTTTTTTTAAATATGCATTGGAAAATCTGTTATTCTGATAGACTCTTGGCTTGCAGGATGAAGTTTCCAAATGTGTATGTCGCTGTGAAGATCTGGAGAAACAAAACAGATTACTTCATGATCAGATCGAAAAATTAAGTGACAAGGTCGTTGCCTCTGTGAAGGAAGGTGTACAAGGTCCACTGAATGTATCTCTCAGTGAAGAAGGAAAATCTCAAGAACAAATTTTGGAAATTCTCAGGTAAATCATGTTCTTACTGCTTCATTTCTGTGGTATAACAACTATGAAATGAAACTACAAATATATAAATTAGAGAAGGAGATTATACACGATTTTGATATAAAGTTCATTCTTTTATTTGTCAAAGAACTCATAACTTTTAACATTTACACATATTAAACAAGTGACTTTAAAGTTGAATCTGATAGTAAGAACTAGAGCAGTTTTCTCTTGAAAAACTAAATGCCTTTCAGATCATTTTAGAGATAAACATTCTAAAGCCAGTGTCTATAAAAGAAAATAGAAATACATCTCCCATTATTATTTATTATTAATGAAAACGTGTAATAGTTATTAAAGTCAATGATTTTTGTCATCTTACCAAATTACCTACGTTTTGTAATGTTGGCTTTTTAAAATTCACATAAAATTTTAATATCTGTATTTTTGTAGATTTATACGACGAGAAAAAGAAATTGCTGAAACTAGGTTTGAGGTGGCTCAGGTTGAGAGTCTGCGTTATCGACAAAGGGTTGAACTTTTAGAAAGAGAGCTGCAGGAACTGCAAGATAGTCTAAATGCTGAAAGGGAGAAAGTCCAGGTAGGTATACTAAGCTTTAAGAAAGCACTTGTTAAATCAAAAGAGAAGCACTCATTTATATCTCTACCATTTAACGTAATGTAAAATTTAACTTGAAGTAAGCATTCTTCTAAACTTGTAAATTCATTAAGCATTTGTTAAACACTAATATAGTATAGTGCTTAAAAGTAAAGGCTCTGTAACCAAACTGCCTGGTTTCAGATTCTAGCTTCATACCATTAGCTGTGGCCTTGGGTACATTGTTTAACTTCCCTGCTCTTAGTTTCTTCATCTGTAATATTTGGATAATAATGAGGTTTAATTGAGTTTGTGCACATGAAGCATTTAGAAGCATGTCTGGTATGTAGTGGGTGCTTAATAAATTCCAGCTATCTTAATTTATTATAGTTATGGATTATACGTGTGGATAGTCATTCTAGGATAAAGTGATTTAAACTGCTACAGAATATCTTTCTCACCCAAGGAGCAAAAAGTAGTAAAAACTAACAACCAAAGGAAAAGAAGCTGTGGTAGTGAAATGGATGATAATAAGACAAGCTTGACTCCTTACCCCACACTACCACCCAAAGCTTATTGTTGAGTTACTTCATTCTTAGGAGCTACAGTAATATACCCCCACCTCTAGAAGGAAGGAAATTAAGATCTTAAAACATTTATCTTCTTTTAACTGATGAGTAGTCAAAATGACTGTTAAGAAGAAACCATTGGACAGGGAAAAGTAAATAATGAATTTTATGGGATTTATGTGTTCAGCAAAAGCTAAAGGTTCCAGAATTATATCCTGTTTAATTCAAATGTATCTCACCATGGAAATAATAGAGCCTCCAGTTCAATAGAGTTAATACTTGGAGGAAAAGGGACAGAATCAGAGTCTCTAACAAAGACTGCATATTGTTTCAGTCTTTTCCGCTTCATTTTTTATTCCTTTGGGCTATAGAAAGTAAATACTAGAAAATGCCCGCCTACGAATGAGTTCATAGGGGGAAACCAACCTTAAATACAGGAAGAAGAGAGTCAACAAGTAACATAGATTATATAAAAAATAATATAATGGGCCGGGCATGGTGGCTCATGCCTGTAATCCCAGCACTTTGGGAGGCCGAGGCGGGTGGATCACGAGGTTAGGAGATTGAGACCATCCTGGCTAACACGGTGAAACCCCGTCTCTACTAAAAATACAAAAAAATTAGCTGGGCATGGTGGTGGCAGGCACCTGTAGTCCCAGCTACTCGGGAGGCTGAGGCAGGAGAACGGCGTAAATCCGGGAGGCGGAGCTTGCAGTGAGCCGAGATCACACCACTGGACTCCAGTCTGGGCGACAGAGCGAGACTCCGTCTCAAAAAAAAAAAAAAATTATAATAGTAATGTAATGTCTGTCTAAGCATGAACAGTGTAGCATGGCAACCATGAAATATGCTATAGCTTTAAAAACAGTGGGGGAAGAAAGTAATACCAAGTGCAGAAGATGGATAATTATAACCTATGAGAAGGAAAAAATTCTTCACAGATAATTCAGTAAAATTTCTCATGGCCAAAGTGATGAAACAATGGATCAAAATGAGAGATTTCTGAACAAGAGGGAATAAACTGAGGATTAGAATAACATTTTAGAACTAATAAATTTAGTGCAGCAAGGAAAAAAAGATACAGAAAGGTAAATAGAGATTTGGATTAATGTTTTTACCTAATGTTAATACTTTGTTGGTGGGATTTGTAGCATCTTTTCACTTTTGTCTTTGTAATTCTTGTATTTGTTTAAAGTCTGCAGTTCGCATGCCTCACAGAAAAGTAAACGTGAACTTTCAAAAATTTTAGTTCTAAAAGTTGAAACTTAAATCCTCTTTATTTTGTCATAGGGAGGATTTGAGCTCATAGGAACAGGTAGACTTTCAACTATTGTTAGATGTTGGTATGTATATTTATTTGAAATGTTTAGGTAACTGCAAAAACAATGGCTCAGCATGAAGAACTGATGAAGAAAACTGAAACAATGAATGTAGTTATGGAGACCAATAAAATGCTAAGAGAAGAGAAGGAGAGACTAGAACAGGATCTACAGCAAATGCAAGCAAAGGTTTGTTGCTTAGTTATCAAGAGTGGAAGCATGTTGTTTTTAATAATAAATGAATTTTTACATTTGTTGTTAAATATTGGCATGATTTTCAGGTGAGGAAACTGGAGTTAGATATTTTACCCTTACAAGAAGCAAATGCTGAGCTGAGTGAGAAAAGCGGTATGTTGCAGGCAGAGAAGAAGCTCTTAGAAGAGGATGTCAAACGTTGGAAAGCACGTAACCAGGTAAATGCAGTTAAAACTCTTCCAAAACATGGAAACACGTGTTTTTAATAATAGGGGAAACTTAGGGGAATAAAAATATTTGAGGAACTAGTGAAAATTACTGTGTTTATTAGTGAAAGTCTATTATGTTATTAATACATGTAAATACGTGACAGATGTTAAACTTATAACCCAATTTATAAAAAATTTTGGTTATATTATATATATTTCTAAAAAGCAGTTATTTTCCATAATTTTAAAGTTTTAGCCTTTCATTTTATCTCTAAAATATTTTTATACATGAAAATAGAAATCTGAGGCCAGACACGGTGGCTCATGCCTGTAATCCCAGCACTTTCGGAAGCCAAGATGGGAGGATTGCTTGAGCCCAGAAGTTTGAGACCAGCCTGGGCAATGTAGTGAGACTCCAACTCTACAAAAAATTAAAAATTAGCTGGGCGTGGTGGTACATGCCTGTAGTCCCATCTACTTGGGAGGCTGAGGTCAGAGGATTACTTGAGCCCAGGAGGTCGAAGCTGCAGTGAGTTGTGATCATGCCACTGCATGCTAGCCTGGGTGAGAGAGGGAGACCCTGTCTCAAAAAAAAAAAGCAAAATAGGAATCTGTATAATTTATTGAATTTATTAAAGCACTTTAAAAAGACTTGTTCACTGGAACGTTTTTAGGGAGATGAAACCATGTAACATACTGTGGTTCGAAACTCCAGCCCTTTATTCAAACAAAAGGTTAGAAATCTGCCTTGCATGTATTATTTATATGACTTGGGAGAGTTTCTTAACCTCTTGGAGCTTTAGTTTTCCCTTATCACCTTTCGTGTGATAAAAATTTAACAAATGTGAAGCACATTACCTGGCATCTACAGAAGGTTTGTGTGTTTAACTTGTAATGCATTGTCTATATTTTTTTTCTTGTAAATGTCACTTCAATGAAATTAGGTACTTAATATTGAAAGTTTTGATTCTTCAGATCCCTTTATTTGGCTTCATTGTAACTAATATGAAATGTTTATTCACAAATATGAAAAAATAATGAACATTTAATGACATTTTATTTTTTTTTCCTCTTGTATTGTGGGTAGACTTCTTAGCCAAACAAGCCAAAGCTTAGTTTGATCTTAGTATCTTGTAGTTCCATGCTTGATTACTTTACATGCAGGACACCTAATATAAACATAATCAGATATTCTGCCATTTTATTATAGCACATTTGTTTCATAAAACCTAAAAAAATCAAGTATGCATTTTTGTTATTCTAGCATCTAGTAAGTCAACAGAAAGATCCAGATACAGAAGAATATCGGAAGCTCCTTTCTGAAAAGGAAGTTCATACTAAGCGTATTCAACAATTGACAGAAGAAATTGGTAGACTTAAAGCTGAAATTGCAAGGTATATGGAAAGAAGCCTTAAATCATATATAATATAAAAGAAGTTTATTTTACTTATTTACATGACTCCCCAAGTGCCTGCCTCCTGGTTTTAGAAAGAATGGAAAGTGCTAGAGCACCTATATCTGACTTCCATCTACTTTGTAGAGTCAAGCAGTGATTTAATATTATGCCTTTGTATATAAAATATATATGAGACTATCCTCATAATTATTTCTCTATATTTTATTTTTTAAAGAGCTACTCAGAAGTCTAAAGCTAAATTTACAGCTATCAAAAACTTACAAGGAGGTTTTTTTTTTCTTTTGGTTAGCTTATATTTGTGACTCTATAAGGGAAGTGGGTTTTATTACTTTGGCTTTTGTGTTCCTTTTTGTGGAGAACAGTGTTTCCCTCTGTTGCCCAGGCTGGTCTCAAACTCCTGGGCTCAAGCTGTCCTCCCACTTCTGCCTCCCTAAGTGCTGGGATTACAGGCATGAGCCATCATGCCTGGCCAAGGGAAGCTTGTAAGTCTAATTTTTTCTCACATGAACTAATAGCAAAGTATTGCCCCTTTAAAATTAAGAAATTAAACATTAAAATTAATGTTTCTGGTTTACCTTTTGTAAGCTTTAGTGTAATTTGTCCATATCATGGTCCCATTTATATATTGCTTTACAACTTACAAATTTTTGTGATATATATACGTACATTCTCTTTATAGCAATCATCTAGCATGTTAAGTAGGAGAGTTATATTTTAATCTTAAAAATGAGGAGCCTAAGATTCAAAAAGATTGACTACCTAATTCAGGCCATCTGATTTCAAGTTCAGTTCAGAATTAACCCATACTCTTAATTCAGGCCATCTGATTTCAAGTTCAGTTCAGGATATAGGACAGGGGTTGGCAAACTGTAGCCCATAGACCAAATGTGGCCCATGATTTGGTTTTGTACAGCCTATAAGCTAAGAATGATTTTTATATTTTTAAAGCATTGTTTAAGAAAAATACAGCAAAGACTTTGTGGCTTGCAAAGCATAACATTCTATCCGGCCCTTTTACAGAAAAAATTTGACAATACTCAGTGCAGTAGGAAGAGGGTAGGTTTTGCTCTTAAAGCAAGTCTGAATTAAAATCTGGGTACCATCACTTGATTTTAGTTTGTAAAATTGCGCATGTTACTTGACCATTGGTAGCTCTGTTTTTCTCATCTCTAAAATGTGCATGTAAACCTATGTAATAAGATCTTGCCGAAGGGCTGTAAATTCGTAAGGTCTTACCTTTGAAGTATATGGGTATTTTTTAGGATTTTCAAAAAAAAAAGTTATTAAAGCAGTATAACATAAAGTTACATTGGACTTCAAACTTTGAAAAATGTCTCATATATTTAATCTTTCTTCTTTCCTCCATTTTTTAAAGATCAAATGCATCTTTGACTAACAACCAGAACTTAATTCAGAGTCTGAAGGAAGATCTAAATAAAGTAAGAACTGAAAAGGAAACCATCCAGAAGGACTTAGATGCCAAAATAATTGATATCCAAGAAAAAGTCAAAACTATTACTCAAGTTAAGAAAATTGGACGTAGGTACAAGACTCAATATGAAGAACTTAAAGCACAACAGGATAAGGTATTTTGAAGAAACTTATCTTACAAAAAAAAACTAGGATGAATGTTATGAAATCTTATTTCTTTGTAATTTTGAATATTACTAGCTTTTAGATACCGAAATCGTGTAAGCATATATGATATCTTTATTTAAGATTAGTTCTTTAATATGTCTGAAAATGCATTATAAACTCACAAATTTTGGTAAATACTAGATAGTTCAGTCTTCACCTTTCAAATACTCTCCATTTTCAAAGCTATGTTCTTATAACTCATTGCTAATTAGAATTGTGTATATTAAAAAATGATGACTAATCTGGTTTTGTATAGTTTTAAATAAATTGTTTATGTTAACCACCTATCAAAAAAATTCAGAAATCTTTGTTATATTTATATTTTGAATCTAAATATTGTTTTTAATTCCTGAAGGTAAGGAATTTGTATGTTGAGAATTATGTATTTATTTCATGTTGGATTAGAAAATAAATATAAAGAAAAAAAATTCACAATTAATACCCCTTTGTTTTAGCCACTATTAGTACATTAGTATCCCTTTTCATACATGTAAGCGACGTTTTTCCAAAGAAATAATATTATATGCTTATATTCTTTTGTATACTTTTTTCACTTGATTCATTATCATGAAAATACAGTTAAGTGTTGAAAATTCAACTATAATGCATCATTTTGATTAGCTGTTTAGTATTCAGTTATGTGGAAAACCATAACTAGTTCCCCATTTTTGGAGATTACAGTTGTTTCATAGAAAATTCTGTTTTGAATACCTTCAGGGATAAAATTTCTTTGCAAAGCTGTGATTATTTTCTTAGACAAACTTGCAGAAATGGAATTACTGAATATAAATATGTGAGTGTATTATTACTGTTTGTTGTCTTAGGTTATGGAGACATCGGCTCAGTCCTCTGGAGACCATCAGGAGCAGCATGTTTCAGTCCAGGAAATGCAGGAACTCAAAGAAACGCTCAACCAAGCTGAAACAAAATCAAAATCACTTGAAAGTCAAGTAGAGAATCTGCAGAAGGTATGAGTGTGAGAACAGTCTGTTCCTAATTCTTTCCTGTTATACACCTAAAGAAATATGTGTTAACTACTGACACTTTGTCTTACCATGTGGGAATGGATACATTTTATTCTTTTTACTTTGAATGGCTCATGTATGTAAGTAGTACCCAATCATCTTCAAGTGTGCATTTAGTTGGTCTGACCACCATTTTTATACTTATACTTCCATTTAATCTTTTAAAAAGCAAATTAATAAGTTATACTTTAAGTTGCTACCACATACAGTTTATATTGAAATGATTGAATTCCATGGTGAATACTTTGTTTTCCTTTAAAGACATTATCTGAAAAAGAGACAGAAGCAAGAAATCTCCAGGAACAGACTGTGCAACTTCAGTCTGAACTTTCACGACTTCGTCAGGATCTTCAAGATAGAACCACACAGGAGGAGCAGCTCCGACAACAGATAACTGAAAAGGAAGAAAAAACCAGAAAGGCTATTGTAGCAGCAAAGTCAAAAATTGCACACTTAGCTGGTAAATATCTGTTTAAAGTTTGAACTTGGTAGTGAAAGTTGATTATGTGTTGCAGGCCTAAAACTAAATGGAATAGAAATAAAAGGTATCTACTTATGAAGGGTGTTTGTGTGTGTATGTGTGCTTTAAATATTAGGAATAATTAGTTGGACACAAAGAGCAATCCTAATTTTCAAGTGATGAGGATATCCTTGATATGATGAAATTTTTCTCAATTGTTGGCTGGCAGTAGATAATGGAATACTGCTATCCTTCTGCTTTCATGGATAACAATTCTATCTTGTGACAGAGATCCTTTGAGCCCAGACCGTGCTGTCTAGAAACCTTATGTAGACTGCATAAAGATCTTTACCAGCCCAGGGATTTTTTTGTGCCTCGTTTGGTGGAGGACCCCTCTAGCTTTTCAGGGAGAGTATCATGTCAAATTTATGAAGAACCTAGTTCTTCAAGGCTCAGGGCTTTATTCAGCCTTGCCTATCAGTCTGCTGAGTAGTTAAATAAAATGTCAAATCAGTTGGATTTTGTTACAGGCATTTTTTTAAAATGATCTCTAAGACAGTGTCCTAACAACTTACTTGATTTTAAAAGTTCTTGAATTATTTTTAAACAGTGCTGTAGATTATATGAAATAAAAATTTTGCAATTCATAGTAATGAATTGCATGATACATTGAAATATAAACGGGCTTCTGTTAACTAGGATCTTTAGCTTTTTGAGATTTTAGTTAGGAAAAAGTAAATTTTTATGTTGGAGTAAGTATATTTTATATTCTAGTAATAAGTTAAAGCATGAATGTACTTAGAACTTTGCTCATTGAGATGTATGATGTATCATAACTAATGTAGATGTTATAGTAGTAGAATCTGATGTGACCATGTGCCAATTAAGTGCATAAATGCTGTTTTAAATGTTTGATTATAATATTAATATAATCGCCTGGTTACTTCTTTAGGTGTAAAAGATCAGCTAACTAAAGAAAATGAGGAGCTTAAACAAAGGAATGGAGCCTTAGATCAGCAGAAAGATGAATTGGATGTTCGCATTACTGCGCTAAAGTCCCAATATGAAGGTCGAATTAGTCGCTTGGAAAGAGAACTCAGGGAGCATCAAGAGAGACACCTTGAGCAGAGAGATGAGCCTCAAGAACCTTCTAATAAGGTGATTAGCTAATTCTGCTTAAGTAACAAATTGTTTTTCTTTGTACATTTTACTTGAAAGTGCTTGGTGATATAGGAGCCTTTGTCAGTGAATTTTGGCTAAAATTCAATATATGCGGAGAGAATTAACAATAATGACAATTTTTTTGTGGCATTTTTAGTGGACTCTTGTGGGCTAGGAACAACAATCAAGAGCTTTCTCTTTATAGGTCCCTGAACAGCAGAGACAGATCACATTGAAAACAACTCCAGCTTCTGGTGAAAGAGGAATGTGAGTTTTAGTTATTTCATAGTCTGTTATTTTTCTTTTAAAGCTCAGGGAATATCTAGTGATCTTTCTGTTTAGGAAAAAGAAATCTGTGTATTCTATTGTAAAAACATACACTAAAGAGTTGTTTTCTCTGCAGAACTGTATCATGTATTTGCCAGCTTGTTTTCACCATACTTTCAGTCCTATCAGATGAAGCTTTGTGACAGAGAAAACGTCTCTCATCTTTTAGTTTACAGTTGGTTTCTAAGTTAGGCTGCTACTGATTTTCCCCGTGATGTTACATGATGACAGATAGAAAATGCTGGGCTGAGACTTGGGTTCAGCAATTCAACAGCTAGATACATTTTACATTGTCAGGATGCACCACTCTGGAGCATTCCCTGTGTAGTTTTTAATGCTTAAATTCAAAACAGCTTTAATAAGGCTCTGAAATATTTAGTGAACAAAAAAATGGAGACCTATACTCACTGTGTTTTTAAAAGTATTTGCATAATAATTTGTTATTAATTATTCTTCCATTTTCTCCTCTATAAGTGCCAGCACATCAGACCCACCAACAGCCAATATCAAGCCAACTCCTGTTGTGTCTACTCCAAGTAAAGTGACAGCTGCAGCTATGGCTGGAAATAAGTCAACACCCAGGGCTAGTATCCGCCCAATGGTTACACCTGCAACTGTTACAAATCCCACTACTACCCCAACAGCTACAGTGATGCCCACTACACAAGTGGAATCACAGGAAGGTTAGTAAAATAATACAGATCTGATGAGACTGCTTATTTAGATTTATTATGAGAAGATGACAGTAATTTCAAAGACAAATGAAGCATCCACTACAGCTGAAGTCACGTCATTGTAAAAATGGGTGTTTAATATTTGAAGGACATACTTCTAGGACCAAAATTTTCACTTGTAATGACAAAGAATATATGAAATCCACTTTGGAAAATCATACTGAATTACTGGCTCAATCCAACATTGCTTTCTCACTGAAACTGACCATTTCATTGCTTTCTTCAATTTTTTCCCATGACACTCTTGTTATTCATTACAGCAATTACAACTTTGTATTTTATTCTGTGGTATACATGCTTTTTACTCCACTACATTGAGCTCCTCAAGGGCAAAAATCTCAGCTTCTTATTGTTTAATCCCTTTACCTAACTCCACAGTAGGTGTTCAGTAAAACTTTGCTACCTGCATATTTCCTTAGATTCTTATCTTGACAAATGTTAGAATTCAGTAAATTATTCAAGTATTTCTGTGCTGTGAAAGTAGAGAATGTTTTATTTCAGCTACATCCAATAAACTAAATATATTACTAATCAAATTTACTATCTGTTATATCAATTAAAAACTAAATGATGCTTAATGAAAAATTCTAATTTTACTTTGAGCTTAATTTCATTAATTTTATTCAACAGTAATTTAAATGAATAGATGCAAAATCAGTTACAGATATTTATTTAATTCAGGCAACATTTTATTGCATGCTACCATATCAATTACATAGGGAATATAAAAATGCATAATACATTACCTTTACCTACAATGTATTTGTCTACCAAGTGCCAAATCTGTGTGAAAGGTGACATGTACCACAGAATAGGAAGGATAATTTCAGCTTTGATAAAAGTAGAAGGCTTATATTCAGCATTATAATTATTTTTCAGCTATGCAGTCAGAAGGGCCTGTGGAACATGTTCCAGTTTTTGGAAGCACAAGTGGATCCGTTCGTTCTACTAGTCCTAATGTCCAGCCTTCTATCTCTCAACCTATTTTAACTGTTCAGCAACAAACACAGGCTACAGCTTTTGTGCAACCCACTCAACAGAGTCATCCTCAGATTGAGCCTGCCAATCAAGAGTTATCTTCAAACATAGTAGAGGTTGTTCAGAGTTCACCAGTTGAGCGGCCTTCTACTTCCACAGCAGTATTTGGCACAGGTAAAATTAATTTTAAAATGAAGTCAGAGTAGACCTATGCATTTATAAGATCTTGAGTGTATCTTGAGTATATATATCTTGAGTATTCTTTGTACAAATGAAGTTAGAATAGACCTACGCAATTATAATATCTTGGATATAATACGTATCACAAGTATTCTTTGTGCATACATGCTTTCTACCAGGAATTAGAATGAATGAATATATTACTAACATTTTATTTCATGTTTACTACTGAATATGACTATTTTAAATCAGTTGTTTGTCATTAAGATGATTCTCCCCCTCCAGTTATTTTTTTTACTGGTCTTACATATTAATGCAAAACATTGTATATAATTTAACGGAAGTCCTGAGGACTAAAAGACACCTAAGATAAGACTATATACTGATTTACATACAGTGTACATTTTTTCTTATTCAAGGAGTCCTGAGTTTTATAGAAGGTCCCATGTAAACTTTGTAGATAACAACATAGTAATACAATCTCAGTGAACCAGATATATTGTAAAAATTGGCTGGCTTTATTAAGCAAAGCTTGGGTTGGTATAAAAACATTGACTCAGAGCATAAGTTGCTCTTTGTTTACCCATAGCTTAGCAGAAACAAATTATGTTGATGGACATTGATCTAGGAGTTGATTGATTGTATTTTAGTAATCTGTACAATTAAATGTTTACTGTGTTCTCCTTTAGTTAAGTGACCATATTGGGTAAACTATCTTTATCTAAATTGAGTTATTATCATGCTCTAATTCAAGATTTATATAATTTCAAAGTTTCGGCTACCCCCAGTTCTTCTTTGCCAAAGCGTACACGTGAAGAGGAAGAGGATAGCACCATAGAAGCATCAGACCAAGTCTCTGATGATACAGTGGAAATGCCTCTTCCAAAGAAGTTGAAAAGTGTCACACCTGTAGGAACTGAGGTGCGTAAAGTTCTTTCTGTGTATTTTAACTTTTACCAGTAGAGTTAAGGTACTCTTTTCAGCTACAGCCTAAAGAAAATTAACCTTTTGGGGCCAAAATATATTATCTGGAAAACACTTTTATTGAACTTTCTACAAAGATTCCACTGACAACCCAGGTATTATTACCAACAGTGTTTTATATTCTTGCATATCTTTAATTGCATTTGTTTCTATTTCAATAAAAAAGCTCAGTCATAAAAACATAAGTTGAATTTCATCTCGAAGTTTCTAAGTCTCATGGACATAAACTGTTACCTGCTATCTTTTTCTAAGATTAGCCAAAATTATATTCCTTTTTGTGGTTAAGATTAAATTGTAATGAAGCAGGTTTCAAATCAAACATTAAGGCTACTAAATTAATTGTATTAGCATGTATTAATGTTCATAAACCTTACTTTGTGTATACTGAGGAGGAATGTGATTATAATTTTTAAATAAAATTTTTTTATTTTTCTATAGTTTCATAAAATATAGATTTGAAGGGTTTTTTCAAATGAGAGAACTAACAAAAACAGGTAACCCTTCATCTACTACACTGATATGGTTAATATATTAGTGTATTATGATACAGGAAGAAGTTATGGCAGAAGAAAGTACTGATGGAGAGGTAGAGACTCAGGTATACAACCAGGATTCTCAAGATTCCATTGGAGAAGTAAGTAAAAACATACCTAAAGTACCACACCGTTGCTTTTCGTGAATGAAATTAGCTTTGACAAATTGAAACATTATTTGGTCTTTTTTTTTTTAGCTTGTTCTTATTATATGTAATGAAATACTACTAGAATTAATCATTGCAGAGTCTGCTTTCTTTTACTCCTATGAGTATAGTGTACTGCCTTCTAAACTTATATTAAAGAAATGTTTTTGTTCATATATAGCACAGATTTCCAGATTTTTTAGAGTTGTGAGCCAAGATTTTTCCCTATTTTAATTACATGAAATACAAGAGTGCTGGTTGCATCTTGAGTTAATTTATAGTGCCCCATTTGCTGGTTCTCTCTTACTCCCCTGTATTATTTCCCTTACAGAATTAAAGTAATCCATAAAAGGAAATGCATTTATATACCTCTTCATTTTTTGATCTCTCATTGAGGTTCCCCTAGCAGTTTTACTAGCGGAGAGAATATAGACCCTGAAGTTACAAAGCATGAGGTGTCATTCCTAGCTCCACCACTAGGAAGCTTTGTGACTGTAAGCATATCATTAATTCCCTGCATTGTCTCACTTGTCAAAAAATATAATTTTTAGGATTGTAAAATACCTAAAGTAGTACCTGCCACATATTAGGCACTCAGAATATTATTACTTTCCTTTCTTCCTTCTGTCCCACAAAATGAGAATTCATATTGTCATCAAGAAGACCCCCAGGGTGGCTAAATAGTGTTTAATAGAAAGGAGAGCTTTATTAGTGATATCATTTTGCTCATGAGGAAGAAATAGTCTCCAGCGTGGACCAAAGGTGTTCTGTCTTCACACAGGGCAGGGACAGGTGTGGTTTTATGCCTCACAGGGTCCTTATTACACAATAGAGTCATGCATATTCAGCAGGTTTTGGGGAAACGCTATACATATTTATGAGGGGAACTGAGCATATAAACAGTAGGTAAATATATATAATATACATCCCATGTTCACTTTGGGGCAGCGTTTTAGCATGAAAATGAGCTGGAATTTGGCTCTTTACGTGAAGAGTGAACAAAAGGTGAACTACAGGACACAAAGACAGTTTGTGCGCAGCCTCTTTAAGCAGGTTGAAACTAGCTTAAGGTGTCTGCAGTTCCTTGCCAGTGCTCTCTACAGTCAGAGTTGTAGTGGTCTGGATTGTAAATCAGAGATAGGAGTCTGATAACTTGCCCGATAGTTCCAGTTAGAGGAGTTTAGCAAAGGCTTATATTTTTTTATTGTAACCATATGAATTTAGAAATTTACCATGCCAGACAGGCCCTGAACCCTTGACCTACGGGTAACTTTTGTTTCCTTAACCTTAGGGTTTGTCTTAGTTGAGAAAATGGCATCTATTTTGGTCTCTCAAATCACAATGTATGATAGTAATTAAATATCAATATTTAACACAGAACTCATTACTATATGCCAAATGTTGATCTAAGAAATTTTTATTTATTAACTAATTTAATCTTCATTATACCTCATAGTTACAGAAACTGATACCCAGATAAAGTAGTGTACCGAAGTTCACATAGCATTGGAGCTCAGATTCAAACCCAGGCTGTGTAGTTTTCAACTGTCCTAAGCTTGAAACAGTACTTTTGTCTGTATAAACTTTCTGGATCATCTTATGCTATAATTATTTTATCATGTAAAATTAAGGAATTGTCTCAAGCTAACCATAAATAGCCATATCGCAAGTAAATTTTAGTTTCTTAGCTGCGTTTATTTTGTAAGTTAATTTTACCAGCTTTCTTTGACTGAAAACACTAAACTAAATCTTCAGATGATTATGTAGTACAGGTTGAACATCCCTAATTTGAAAATTCAAAACTTTTTAGGTGCCAACATTGCAAGCCACGTGTGTAATGTTCCACACCTGACCTCATGTGATGGGCCACAGTCAAAACAGTTAGAACTTCATTTTATACACAAAACTATTAAAAATATTGTGTCAGATTAACTTCAGGCTGTGTGTATAAACTTCAGGCTGTGTGTATACACCTTTGTATATGAAACATAAGTGAATTTTGCATTTATGCTTGCATCTTATAGCTGTCTCATTATGGATATGCAAATATTCCAGAATTCTAAAAAATCCAAAATCTGAAACACTTCTGGACCCAAGCATTTTAAATAACTTATTCAGAGCGTACTATAAATGATATCTTTTTCATCTATCCTTCAGAGAGCATTGTTTCTGAAGAACATAACAATTTGAAAATAATAAGATTTTCTGCCTTCTTGTCAGACTTGGTTAAATTATACTGAAATCTTCTGCAAAAGCTTTTTCTTGAAATTAGCAAAATTGTCTGTGACTCCAAAATACCATTTGGATTTTTATTCCACCCCTCTAGCATTGTCTACTGAATGTGTAACAGTTCATTTTTCTGATTTTCTGACAGTGAAGCAGACGTTCTTTTCAAGTGTTGCTTTTTCTGAAATAAGCATGTCACTTTGAGGCACTTTTTAAATTATACCATGACTTACTCATTTTTTCCATTACGGCATATGTAATTTTTTATGAATGTCTTAGTTTAAAAGATACTGTTGCTAGCTTGTATAAAAAATTGATTTTAGTGAGTGCTTAAGCCAAAAAGACATTTAACTTTTGATAGTAAATATTATAAATGAAGTTAAAATAATAGTTTATTTCAGTAGTTAACAAAATAGAATTGTGGAAATAGATTGAGCAAGGAATTATTTAGTATCTGATATATTTATTTTGGTTTGAAGGCTTGGAATAATTGGAATTTTGAGGAGGGAAGAAGTTCTTTGTAAAAGGACAATGATACTAACTTATGTATTCAGTGCTTTTCTTTGTAAAAAGACAGTGGTAATAGCTTATTTATTCACTGCATTTCCAAATTAGTTCTAGTTTGGGAAAACCTTCTGTTTAAACATTGCAGACCCATGAGTATTTTTTTTTTCTTTTCTGACTTTGGTCTGCAGCTGTATTGTGCACTAACCGCCCTGGCCATTGAGCAACTGAAATATGGCTGTCCAAATTGATACAAATATAAAATATACATCAGATTTTTGAAGACTTAGTAGAAATTTTAAAATGTGAAATATCTGGTTAATAATTTTTACATTGATTACATGTTGAAATAATATTTTGGATATATTGGTTAAGTATATTATTAATCACCTGTTTTTAAGTGGCTACTAACAAATTTAAAATTACATGACATATTCCTGTCTCACAGCACTGATACGCGATATCACGCTAGTAGTTTTGAATGCACAAATATTTGTTTATATTTTTTTCTCTTTTTCTTATTGGAGTATTAACCAATAAGATTTATGATAATTCTTCTATAGGAAGACATTAAGGAAACTCAAAGGTTCATCTTCTTTCTTCAAAAATACTTGAAATGCCATTTTTAAAATTAAATGTAGCTGGCTGAGGTAGCTCACACCTGTAATCTGAGTACTCTGAGAGGCCAAGGTGGGAGATCACTTGAAGTCAGGAGTTCGAGACCAGCCTGGCCAACATGGTGAAACCCTGTCTCTAATAAAAATACAAAAAATTAGCCAGACTTCGTGGGGTGGTGCCTATAGTCCCAGCTACTCAGGAGGCTGAGGCAGGAGAGTCGCTTGAACCCAGTGGGGCGGAGGTTTCAGTGAGCTGAGATAGCACCATTGCACTCCAGCCAGGGTGACAAGAGCGAGACTGTCTCAAAAAAAAAAAATTAAATTAAATGCTGCTAGTCCATAAGTACTCATTATTCTTTACTTTGACCTATAATAATACCTCACATATAGTTTTAGGTATGTTTATAGGGCTCTTAATTCTTTTTTAACTTTTTTATTTTTAAAGGGAGTTACCCAGGGAGATTATACACCTATGGAAGACAGTGAAGAAACCTCTCAGTCTCTACAAATAGATCTTGGGCCACTTCAATCAGATCAGCAGACGACAACTTCATCCCAGGATGGTCAAGGCAAAGGAGATGATGTCATTGTAATTGACAGTGATGATGAAGAAGAGGATGATGATGAAAATGATGGAGAACATGAGGTAAGTTTGATTTGAAATCATCTAGTGTTTTTAAACTATTGGATGAAAGTGCTCAAATCCTTGGGATACTAATGCATTGGCTGTAAATTCTGGTTCCCAGTCAGCTTAAATAGATTATATTTATTTATATTATATATTATATATTTAATATATTATATATTATATATTTATATATATTATATATAAATATATATATTATATATTTATATATATTATATATATAAATATATATTATATATTTATATATATTATATATATAAATATATAATATATATTTATATATATAATATATATGTTATATATTTATATATATTTATATATATAATATATATGTTATATATTTATATATATTTATATATATAATATATATGTTATATATTTATATATATTTATATATAATATATATGTTATATATTTATATATATTTATATATATAATATATATATTATATATTTAATATATTATATATTAAATAGATTATATATATTGTTTTTCTTCTATCTTAATTAGTTCAGAAATCAACATTTTATAATGAAAATTAGTGTAGAGCCAGTGATGGAATGCCCATTTTTAAAATTTTGTTTCATTTTGTTTTTTTGACAATTGATGAGTCTTTTAGGATTTGTTATCAATTAGACCTAATTTTAAGTCTTATTGATAAATGACTGTATGGCTTTAAATGTAAGTGCTATGGTTTCCGGAGATAAAAAGAAGAAACAAGAATTGTTTTTGTTTCCTCTTGGAGCCCCATAGTTCATTTTTGTCATTTTTTTATATATAAAGTGTATTTTATATATATAAGGTCAAATTGTTTGTTTTATTTTGGGGTTTAATCCTATATTGACAGCTTCTTATTTTAGATTAATAAACATTTTTTAAATAGCTCCTGATATAGTGTAATTTTATCATTTTCTTCAACTCCACCTGTTTAAATTTAGAATTAAACTGGACCACTTGATATTTTGCTGACACCTGAGGTCTATATTATCTTTGAGCAATCTCATGCAAACAGTTAGAATTCAGAATTGATCATTATTGCACTAATTCCAGTAAGTATCACAGTTGTGGTATTTGGTGCTGCTGTACTAATCCCATACAACTCTCAGGACAATTCCTATCTTCTGATTAATGAGTCACTTAAATTTCTAAGTGTGGTATCTAGACATGCAGAGCATGTGGGCCATATTCTAAACTTTTATTTATGCCTGGGGAACTTTCTACTAGGATTATGAAGAGGATGAGGAAGATGATGATGATGATGAAGATGACACAGGGATGGGAGATGAGGGTGAAGATAGTAATGAAGGAACTGGTAGTGCCGATGGCAATGATGGTTATGAAGCTGATGATGCTGAGGTAACTGGCTAGAATTTTAACCATTCATAGTTCTTTCTATGAGCTTTCTTTCACTTGCTGTTTTCCAAGGATATAGAAAGGCTTATGAAATTCACTAAAACCTTTGGTTGTTTTGTTCATTTGTTTTGTTTTTTGTTGTTATGGTTACTTATTTGTTTTTGTTGTGGTTTGGTTTGGTTAATTATTCTGTCCGGTTTTTTTAACATATTTATTTTATTTGAGCATTATGTTACCACGTTTTGTTTTTAGGGTGGTGATGGGACTGATCCAGGTACAGAAACAGAAGAAAGTATGGGTGGAGGTGAAGGTAATCACAGAGCTGCTGATTCTCAAAACAGTGGTGAGATTTTTATTAGCCTTTTTTGAATTGAATATCTCTGGTATTTTCTAAACTAGAATTGCACTTAATTCTAATATATAAATTTATTTATTGAATTGGTAAAAAGAGATTGGCCCCTGTTCTAGCTTTGTGACTGTTGTGCTCTCATAAAAAGTCTACTATATTTATGATTGTTAGGTGCTGTCATTATACTCTTTTCTGCCTCATTGGGCTGCTGTAAGATGCAAACATTTTGTAACCCTTACGGTATTATAAATGCTATATGCTGCCATTAAGAGGAAAAATTAAATTAGGGACTACTTGTAACAGCAGTTCACAACCAGAGGAGGTCAGTCTAATCAAGCTGCATGCTTCAAGATTTGGGGCTATTGGAGCTTTGCAGTATGGTCTGCTTTTCCAATGAATAAAAGATTTTTGGATCAATATAGCATATATTTTGTTAAATCTTGGATAAGTCCTGGAGGTCCACTGAAAAGTTGTGGGCATTAAAAGAGTATGGAAGTCGTAGAAAATAATTTTATTTTGAAATGTGTATTAAATAATTAGTGATTATCTGGTAATAGATAACTAACAACTGATACTAAGCTGAAATCATTAGTGTTGACATAGTAAAACCTTAGCTGTTTAGACTAATGGGAAAATACTGTATCTGGGTTTCTGTAGAGGCCTGGGTATTTAAAAGGGCAAGATATATTCTCATTTTAACTAAAGAACAGACAAAACTTTTAAATTTTTTAAGAGAAAAATACATTAATGAATATTAAGCCATATAATAGGTAATACTATTCTTACTTTTAAAGGGAGATGAGAAATTGATATACTTTGAACAAAAATTTACATTTATAAACAATTTGTAGGTTAAGAAACATTTTTTGTGTATCACGTAGTTGAAATATAGAGGGAGGAATTTTTGCTCCTCTAGGTCTCCCTCCCTCCCTCCCTTCCTTCCTTCCTTCTTTTTCCTATTTATTTTTATTTTTATTTTTGCAACCAAGCAAAAATAGGCCTAGTGCCCTGAACAAAATTAATGGATGGATTTGAGTACATTTCAAGCAACTACACTTGTATTGAATTGTTTAATTCTTGTAGTAAACTTAATAAGGTTTAGGTATCAATGAAGAATCTGAATCGCAGAAGTAAAGTGACTTGAGGTGTCGCATAGCTTACTAAGTAGCTAAGTAGCTTAAGTATTAGAGCAAGGATCTGAATCTAGACCTCAGACTTTTAAACTATGAAATTCTGTGACATCCTGTTCAACTTTTCATAGTTGAAGATGGCTTCTTTTGTTGCTACAGTGTATGTAGAAGAATACCCAGACATTTGAGAGACATTTGTTAAAATTCAAAATTCAGGAAAACCAAAAGATTAAAATGTAGTTGTAAGGCTTCTCCTCTGTCTTTATCCTTTTTGATTGTTACACTGATTCTCTAATGGTCTAACCTTTAGGTAATTTGTCTACTTTATTAAAATTAATCCAGATTTATTAAATGTTAATTTTAGTTTTATTTTATTTTATTAAATGTTTACTTTAATTTTAGTGTTTTTAATGTTTATCATAGGTCGAGCTAAGAGCTTTATGTTCATTATCTGAAATCTTTAGAAAAACCATTTTAGAAACACCAGACTTGGAGGTTACATTTGCTCTATTAACCAACCAAAAAATAGACTCAAAGAGGTTAAGGGACTTGCCCAAAGCCACACAGCGAATAAGTACACATCCCATTGTCTCTGGGTGTAAAACCCACATTTGCTTCCATCACACCTCACTACTTTACTTCTGAAAATATTCGTACGGTGAACATTCCTGTTGGCAAGATTTATACTTCTAGGGATTGTCCAAGTTTTTTTGTGGTAAATTTAGCAGTTCAAAAGTAAATTTCTCTTTTCCTACAGGTGAAGGAAATACAGGTGCTGCAGAATCTTCTTTTTCTCAGGAGGTTTCTAGAGAACAACAGCCATCATCAGCATCTGAAAGACAGGCCCCTCGAGCACCTCAGTCACCGAGACGCCCACCACATCCACTTCCCCCAAGACTGACCATTCATGCCCCACCTCAGGAGTTGGGACCACCAGTTCAGGTATTAAAAGTACTGGTCATTATGAAAAATGAACTTGAAAAAAATCTTGGCTTTTCTCCCTTTCCATTATGTATTTCTCTCTCTCTCTTGGTTTTTTTAAATTAGCAATCCCATGAACTTTTTGGTATTTTGGCATATTTTTATAAAATTCTTTGAACTAAAACTAATCTCTGAGGGATGTTTAGAAAGGCAAGTGTTACTAAAAGTTGTGCATACATTGAAATGGTTATAGTCATAGCAAATAAAATTGTTATTTCTCAAGTGAGAAAAGAAAAAGATTTTCTTGGGTTTTAATTAAAGTACATTTTCGCAGCTCACCATTATCTGATTTGAAGGTTTCTTTCTCTACAGTGCACGTATTTATAAAAGATAAAGGAATTTCTGTTGTACTTAACAGAAGAATATTTTTTCTCATTTCTTGGTAATCACATATTTTAACTTTTAAGTTTAATGAAGGTATGTATGACCCCTTATATTTAGCATGTAGTAGGGTCGGGCATCTCTTAATCAGAAGCACTTGGAAAAAGAGTAGGAAAAGTACAAAAGTTCTATTAATTTAGCTTAAGTTTTTCCCTATAAAATAGTATGTGTAAACACTGTCAAATATAGATTCTACTGAAATACCACTAGTGAAAATAACTTCATGATGGGAAAATATAAAGTCTTAAAGGATCCTGTATGGAGGCTACAAAAATATATCCAATCTGTCCATTTAGAATTATCTTAACTGGAAAACAGTTTAAAAAACAATACTGCTGTTTGAACTCCAAAAGAATACTTGCTAACACTTCCAACTAAGGAAATAGGAATTAAATTTGTTTACATACAAGATGGTATCATAGATCTGTTTTAAGTATTGGTTAATAATTGGTCTGTTGGTTAATAGAATGATTTTTATTGGTTAATATTATAGACTATAATTAAAAATTTGTCATTGACAAAAGTGATTTCTTGGCAGGTTTTCCTGGGAAAATGTCCTAATTACCTGTCTGCTAACTATTTTGTTGGCAGCGTAATAAGCTGTATCTGTTGATATTTGGTGTTTGTTTCATTGCCTCATTTCTTAAAGCAAATGTAATTCCTTTATCTTGACACGCAGAGAATTCAGATGACCCGAAGGCAGTCTGTAGGACGTGGCCTTCAGTTGACTCCAGGAATAGGTGGCATGGTAAGTACTTACCCATTATGTAAAAGTAATTCATTTCTTGAGCAGATATTTATATAGTCCATATGTGTGGTGTTTTGTTTGTTAACTCTGTTTTCTTTGTTTTAGCAACAGCATTTTTTTGATGATGAAGACAGAACAGTTCCAAGTACTCCAACTCTTGTGGTGCCACATCGTACTGATGGATTTGCTGAAGCAATTCAGTAAGTTAATGAAAGAGAAACATACTTTATAACTAATCAAACTTTTAGTCTTTCTCTGTTAGTTTGTTTATCATTTGGTTAACTCATTGTTTGTTGAGTCCCTCTCTACTATGTACTAATAAGTACTTGGGGTAGGTCAGTTGAGGATGTATTGTTGGGGAAAATTATACAGAGGTGAATGACATACAGTTACTTCTACCAAGAATTTTGAAGTTAAAGACAATATAAGAATGTTTAAGAACATGGCCTCTAGAGTTAGAATGCCTGTGTTTGAAACCTAACTCTACTGTTTACTAGCGGTAGCAAGTTCCTTAGGTTCTCTGTTCATGAGCACCTTCATTTTAAAAATGGGAATAACAATAGAATAATTTCTGTTGCATAAGTTATAAGAATTAAGTGAATCAGTTAATTTGTGTTAACATGTTTAAGATGTTACCTGACACATGATAAATTGCTTTATAGTTGTTGATTAAGTGTTGGTAATTACAATGATCATAATTTATAGTATTCTTGTGAAAGCTAAGCAAATGAGCAACTAACTGTAATGTAAACAATGTAGAAGGATAATAGAGGAATAAGCAGTAGGCTTTGTTACTACAAATGAAGAAGTAATTTATTTCAACAACTAATGAGAAAGAATATGAGATGATTTAACGCGGATGATATTGAATTCAGTCTTGGGAAAGAATAGCTAGCATTTATTGAGCATTTTCATGCATTAGTTTATTTAACCTCATAACTTATGAGAGTAGACATTATTAATGTTGTCATCTTATAGTATACTGAAGCACAGACATGTTAACAAATTTGCCAGAGGTCAGACAGCAAGGAAGTTGCAGTTTTTAGTTTCAAACCAGTTAGTCTGGCTGTAGAGGCTATGCTAAGTGTTGTGCTATACCACTCCTCTTAAACGGTTGAAAGGCTCTCCGTGTGAAAGTATACACATTTATTCGTGGCTAAGGTATTAGTTGCTTAACAGGATGTATTTGAAGATCAGAATTTAAAAATTTCTACAAACTTGGGGAAAGGTTGATTGTTCTGTAGATGTAACATGTGGCGGTTAGAACCAGTTTTAAACTTGCTCAGTTAGCCACAATTTACCTTGGCTAACACATTCTTACAAACCAGCCAATCAATTTCAGCTCCTTCCTTCTGAAAGTCAGCACTCAGGAAGAGACTCACTCCAATAAACATGCAGAATTCTGAGTACCAGCAATCAACAGCATTTTCACTCAAATAAATGTCACTACCCCTGTGCCTCTAGAAGTCACCACTTCCTGAACTCCATGTTTCCTAAAGACATTAATAGCTCACTAGCTAAGGAAAGATAGGCAGAGTTAAATAATGCTAAGTTTTATGTCCTGAATTATAGGCAGAAAGATAAATGATAGTGTTATTAGGATAACAAAGAAAGCAAGTTTTTAGCTATCTAATATTAGAATTTTCCTAAACCTTGGGAGCTAGCTAGTGAACTCTTAATAAGCTAGACAGGTGACTTGATTTTTCTATGACCAAATGAAAACTAAGATAAAACTTTGTCTCATGACTTCATTCTAACAACTCTTTTTGTTATGTTTTATGTTGAGTTTGTGTTGCTTTCAGTTTATCTATGTGAGGATATCTGAGACATTCAAGAAATGTGAGGCATAGTTCAGGAGAGCTGAAAATTAATTACATATAAATCACAGGTTATTCTTATTACTAAATTCATTGACAGCTGATAGTATAAAAGGATTTTTATAAGTAAGAAACCCTTTAAAATAAATAGACTTTATTTTCAATCTGTTTCCTTCCCAGTTTGTTGATGTTCATTCTTCCTTCTTCCTATATTTTTTTCACCATTGTGGTTTAAATAGGTTAACTTTAAATTTCATCTTAAATTAGTTTTTGTCCATTTAGTTCGCCGCAGGTTGCTGGTGTCCCTAGATTCCGGTTTGGGCCACCTGAAGATATGCCACAAACAAGTTCTAGTCACTCTGATCTTGGCCAGCTTGCTTCTCAAGGAGGTAAATAGTTAAACCTTTAGATCCCCTGAATTTGTATGTATTTGGTAATAAACTATTAAGATGTGATTTAAGGGGGGAAAAAGAGCAAATATGAATATTTTTAAAATTGATATTGTTTGCTAATTTATTTTTTTAAATGCTGTAGTATACTTATTAAGCACTGCCTTACATCTTATCTTTCCAACAAAGTTCTAATTTCTTTGAGCATAAGGATTAGCTTTTACATTAGTATCTCTTCTGGCTCCTGGTGTAATGTCATACACGTAGTTTAAGTATTCAGGAATATGTGTTGAACCAATAAATATAGGTACTACTAGCCATTTTAAAGTTGTTGGAAGGAATGCAGCATGTTTTCTGTTTACAGCTTGACACTTGTAACATTTCTAATTAAATGTATAAGGCTAGTTATATTTTTTGTATTAACATTACTTAAAAAAACAAAAAATAAAAGATCAAAATATGTGGAATAAAATGGCCACTACATTAAGTAGTAGAATTAGCTAGTTTTCCACATGTGAATTATGCTGTTTGTGGAATTGATTACCTTTTAATCCTCAGTTGGAATTCATATTACCCTCTTTATTTCTGGGAAGCTGTCTGGCACTTGGTAAATGAATAGAGAATGCATACTACTATTACAATAAGCTCAATCTTTAGCCATCATAAAAGTCATGTAATGTAACATCTGCTTGTTTAGGATATTAGTTCTAACACTGAAGGCCTCTTCTTATATGAAATTGTAAGTTGACTTTGTAAATTTAAAATGTTATGTGATTTTGTGACTTTGTATGTTAATACAGTTTCCTAGACTTGGGCATCTAGGCTTAAATTGGAATGCCAACATTTTAAGCTTAGTAACCTTGGTAATTACTTTGTTAATTACTTTGTAATTAACATCCATAGTTGGATACTCAATAAAATTAGCTTGTATGAAACTCTTAAGAGCATTTTAGCGAATGTTTTAAGGGTACTGTAGCATTAGAAAGTTTAAAGGATGTCTTTAAGTTGTATTTAAAATTTTGAGGCCAGGTGCAGTGGCTCACACTTGTAATCCCAGAACTTTGGGAGGCCAAGGCAGGAGGATCACTTGAGGCCAGGAGTTCAGGTGCAGCCTTGACAACATAACAAGACTGACCCCTGTCTCTACAAAAATGAAAAATAATTAGCTGGGTCTGTGTTGGTAGCCCTAGCTCCTTGGGAAGCTGAGGTGGGAGGATCACTTGAGCCCAGGAGTTTGAGGCTACAGTGAGCTATGGTGGTGTCACTGCACTCTTAACTTGGGTGACAGAACGAGACCCTGTCTCTAAAATAAAATAAAAAATAAAAGTTTGAGAGATGGATTTTTGCTTGATGGAATAATTAAATCGTGGACTTTAGTAAAGTTGTATATCTCCAATAATTAATATTTTTCTTTCACATCCCTGACTTGTTGATAATTTTATGTTTTTTTCAGTCATTCATTAATATTCAGAATTGTCTTTAGGTTTAGGAATGTATGAAACACCCCTGTTCCTAGCTCATGAAGAAGAGTCAGGTGGCCGAAGTGTTCCCACTACTCCACTACAAGTAGCAGCCCCAGGTAGGGATCAAAGGCAGATAGTAGGTTCTGTTTTATTGGTAAAATGAAAACCTATGAAGTATCTTCTGGCTAAAAATGTGATAAACCACAAAGTTTTAAAGTTCTTTTTCTTGTGTTGTCTTTTTAAAGTGACTGTATTTACTGAGAGCACCACCTCTGATGCTTCGGAACATGCCTCTCAATCTGTTCCAATGGTGACTACATCCACTGGCACTTTATCTACAACAAATGAAACAGCAACAGGTGATGATGGAGATGAAGTATTTGTGGAGGCAGAATCTGAAGGGTAAAAGTTTATTTTGTTGTTTTTGCTTGCTTTAGTCTCAACAGACTTGTACATTTGTTTTCCTTTAGCCAAGAAACAATCTGCAAAGTTGTGTTTTGTTTTTTTTTGTTTTTTTTTTTGAGACAGAGTCTCGCTCTGTCGCCCATGCTGGAGTGCAGTGGCGTGATCTCGGCTCAGTGCAGCCTCCGCCTCCTGGGTTCAAGCAATTTTCTGCCTCAGCCTCCCAAGTAGCTGGGATTACAGGCACCCGCCACCATGCCTGGCTAATTTTTGTAGTCATTTTGTACTGAAATTTTCACATGACTTAAACTGGAGCAGATTCATGTTATTCTTGTACTGTCTCCCTCATTTGTGTCTTGAATGGAAGAGAGAAAGATGGATGTAGCCACTGAGCCAGGAATTTTACATACCCATAGCCTATCTCATCTGGGCTAGAGCCCGTGGTTTGGTTACTGGTATACTATTTAGTAGTGTGACTGTTGTGAACTTTTTATAGTACTGTGCTTTCCTAAAATGTTGTTTTGAGATTTATCAAAATCTGGACCATATATTTCTTATGAGTGTCAAGAATGTGAACATCCTTGTCAAAAGGAAACATAAGAAGAGGAAAATCATAAACTAAAATTGGAACATGTCATAGTGAGAAAAGGAATGAGGAAAAAACAATTTGAGCTCTTTTCCCCCCTGCTCCTTTGAAAAATATATATGGTAACCAAATCAGTCTATAATTTTTTGTTTAAGGGAGCTCTGGATTACTTAAGTGATAAAATAGATTTAAAAGAGTGGATATAATTTATGATTGACTGTAGGATCAGTTTTGTATTTTCTCATTTTTCTTTTCCTTAGTATTAGTTCAGAAGCAGGCCTAGAAATTGATAGCCAGCAGGAAGAAGAGCCGGTTCAAGCATCTGATGAGTCAGATCTCCCCTCCACCAGCCAGGATCCTCCTTCTAGCTCATCTGTAGGTGAGTCCCTGCCCTTGACTGCAATACAGTTTTTATACATCAAACTTGTTTGTGAAAACACTGCTTTATTAGTAACAAATTAATAATCCTTTTTTCCTGTATTTTAAAATGCTTTATTTAAAAGAGAAATTTTATTATTAAAAGGAACTTGGTTTATATTGAAATAATTATTCTAAGAATATTCTGGCATCAATAATAAGAAATATGGACATGGTGGATCCATCCCAAAAGAATAGCTCACTCATGTTTCATCTAGACTATTGGTTGTCAACATATGTTTTGTAGAGCTCTTGGGTCTTTTAGAGGTGCTACAGGGGTTGTAGTGGGTGGGTATACTGGGAGGGAGGCTAAGGAGTGCTAGGGCACTCCAGGCCTCTTGCCTCTGTTTGAACCACAGCAGCTCCATTTTTATGTGTTCTACATATTGGGGTTCTACATGAGATTTGATGTGGAGAGTTAAGGGGTAAGAGCTCAGTTGCTTAAAAAAATTGTTTGAAATTTACTGATGTAAACAGTTTCAGAGTTTGGCTTTTCAAATTTTTGAAGTTATTTTGAAAAAAAGATATGTATTATTCCTGTAATAGAAGTTATTTTTTAGAATAACAGTTAGCATTTACTGAACACTTAACTGTGTATCATGTAGTATTCTGAGCCCTTTACTTATATTTCCTTATTTGATTCTCGCAACTCAGTGCGGTAGATATTCATCCACATTTTATAGATATGGAAGCTGAGGCACAGAAAGGGTGAATAACCTCTTCAAAGTCAAATAGCTAATAAGTAACGGACAAGCAACGATTACACTGAAGAAGTCTGGCTCCAGAGACCCCACTCTTGAACAATACACTATACTAGCTCATCTATCTCAAATTTTTAGACAGAGAATTACCTTTACTATTAAGGATATACAGTACTTGGTCATTCAGTCTGATTATTTTAATTTTTAATTGTTTACAGTGGTAATTCTCAAACTCTGCCATGGAACCTTCAGATTTTATGGCAGACCTGCTCAGTTATTTATTACTTTTTTAAATCACAGAACTTTGCTATCCCAAAATCTCTTCCCCTGATTCTCAGCTGCTTTGATGTGACACATCAGCCTATTGGTTAATATCCCTAATATCTACCGTTTCATATCTGGTAACTTTAAATTTCTATACATTATGTAATATGGATACTCATAACTAATCTTGCAATCAGGATTTAAAATAATGTATGTAAATTACAGAACCATTTCATACGCAGTAAGGCTTAAAAAATGTATAACAATCATATTAATGATTACTGAAGTTTTGTGCCCCCAGTTATATTTTGACGTCCCATAAAAATTGGCTTTCCTCAATAGAATTAGCACTTGTTATATCTTATCAGAGCTTGTATGAGAAAATATGGTTGTTTCCTTTAAAGTATAATATGAAATTACGATGTCTTTAAATTTATTTGATAATGTAAAACTGTACTTCCCCCATCTGAGTATTCATTTGGTCAACAAATATTTGACAGTGTAGCAGGCAGTTTCATAGGAAGCATCACTAAGAGAAGGTGACATTTAAGAGCTGAAAGAAGAAAGGGATCAAAGCTGTGCAGTTACTTAATGAAGAGCATACTAGATCAAAGAGAATATTAATAGATGCCAAGTCCATAAGGCAGCAGTGTGTCTGCTTGTGTTCAGGGTCAACAAGGAGGCCACTGTGGCTGGAGCACAGTGAGTGAGAACAGAGAGTAGCAGGAGATATGTTAAGAGGCGGGAGAGGATAGATCGAGTAGATCATTGTAATTGCCTTGGCTGTCATGGATACCAGAAGCTATTGGAGGGCTTCACACAGAATAATGACATGACATGATCTGATCAGTTTGGCTGCTGCATACAGAAGAGATTAAAAATGAATAATGGACAGAAACGAGAAACTTTGGAGGCTACTGCAGTAAGTCAGGAAAAGATAGTAATGGCTTAGGTGAGATGGTAGAGTTAGGATTGTGAGAAGTTGTCAGATTTGGGATATATATTTAAATTTGAGCATTCATGATTTGCTAATGATTGCATTTGGGGTGTCTGAAAAAGAATCAGATATAATTTGTGTTCTGTTGTAGGCTGTTTGCTGAGGGACTTGATATTTTGTTTTCTGTTGTATTTCTCAGCACCTGGCAGTATGTTTGATACATGGGTAGTCAACAAGTAAATATTTATTAATATAAGTGAATGAATGAAAAAAAGTCAAGCACTTCTGGTTTTTTTTTGGTGTTTTTTTTTTGTTTGTTTGTTTGTTTTTTTTTTGAGACAGGGCCTTGGTCTGCCTGGTTTTTTGGGTGTTTTTTAAGGCAGGATCTCACCGGTCTCCCTGGAGTACTGTTAGCTTGATCATGGCTCACTGCAGCCTCAACCTCACCCGGGCTCAAGTGATCCTCTAGCCTCAGCCTCCTGAGTAACTGGGACTGTAGGCATGTTCCACCATGCCCAGCTAATTGTTTTATAATTTTGTAGAAACAGGGTCTCGCTGTGTTGCCCAGGCTGGTCTCGAACTCCTGAGCTCAAGTGATCCTCCCACCTTAGCCTCCCAAAGTGCTGCTTTTTTTGTTGTTTAACCATTTACCCTTTTTCGGTTTGTTAAATGTTCCTCATTGTTTGAAAAAAAGAATTGAAATCAAATGAACAAGTCTACATCTTATTCATTCATTCATTTAGTAATTAGTTTGTATCATTATAAATGCTTTCTCATTTTTTCACTTGCTTTTCTTTTATCTTAATGTTTTTCTTAGATACTAGTAGTAGTCAACCAAAGCCTTTCAGACGAGTAAGACTTCAGACAACATTGAGACAAGGTGTCCGTGGTCGTCAGTTTAACAGACAGAGAGGTGAATTTCTGACATAACTGGATTACATGATAGAATGTGGAATAGTAATAAATGGAACAAGTTTTCTAATCCTTAAGCCTCCAATTTATTTTTTTAATGTTCCAAAGTTTTATTAAATAATTACATGTTGAGCAGGTGATATTTACCAATCTGTAAACTTCATGTAGACAGATTTGTATACCTTAGATATATAATAAATATGTGCTTATATTTTATATTTATTGATTTCTTCCTTAAATCCAAATTAAGATTTGGAAAATATGAAGTGTTATAGTGTTATATTCATTTGTTGTATCTCTACCTATTGCCATTATATTGTTAATTTTTTTATACAACACGATAAAGCTTTGTGATTATGTTTTAGCTAGTAAAAGTGTAAAATTTTAATATTTCCATGTTTTCCAATATAACTTTTAGATTGTACTTGTGTCACAAAAAGAGGGATTAATCTGCTTGTAATAATTTCCATTGAAGTTGTAGAATACCCAACAGTTTTATATCCACAATGCCTAGATATTTTTTATAATGAACTAGGGTAAGTGAATACACTAGTTTTGAATTCTTAAAAGATATATTCAATTTGATTCTTTTTTCTTTTACAGGTGTGAGCCATGCAATGGGAGGGAGAGGAGGAATAAACAGAGGAAATATTAATTAAATGGTCTGTAAACAATAACAACTGTGAATAAGATTATCAAATCTGTTTTAGTGTAATGATTGTCAAGTTTAAAAACATTTTTATATATAAACTGGTATACTCATGTCAATATTCTTTATTAATAAAATGTTTTTCAGTGTCAAAATTTATTATTCATTTCTTCATTAGTTGACTCCTCCTTTGCTCATCAGTCTAAGGACAGTTGTACCAGACTTTGGATAAGGTCTGCCCAGAACGAGTAGTAATTGCTCTTGCTGTTCTACTAGGCACATCAATGTTATAGTATTGATCTAAATGGAAGAGAAAACATTTTTTTAGTTAAAAAGAAAACAATGCCCAAACTAAAAAATAACTTATGTTGACTATTATGCTCAAAGACAATGTTTATCATTTTAATAGAGATGTTTTTACTAATTAATTTGAACTTTATAACAAAAAGAAAAACAATTGCCTAGACTTTTCAGCTTTTTTGATGTTTCAAAAGATTGACATTTCACCATCTTTTTGTAAAATCAGGTTCAGCTCTCCTTTATGAAGTAAACATTAAAGAGTAACCAAGTTTGAAAAATAATTTACTTGGGGTTATTCCTTTTAAAAAATACATGCCAATGTCATTCATATTATGAAATTACAGGCAGAATAACTTAGATTTCTGGGCATTTCAAAGAAAAGCATCCTGAGTAATATAATTTAATTAATAAAATTAGTTTCTCAGGAACTTCTTTCTGATCTTACAGACTCTGCAGTGATGCAAATCATTATAACCTTGTGCCAAACAAGGTATCTGTTAAATGCCACAAATGATAGAAGTAAAATACTATTGTCAGTAGCAAGTTTACTCTAGTAACTGGATGTTTTATCGTAATCTCATGAAGGTTAGAGCAGAATTGAATTGCAGTGCCATCATTTTAATTGAAATTAAAGCAAAAGTCTTAACTCTTTTCCACAGCAATTAGAATAAGTACCGTAGTGTAACTTCTCACATTCAGTCATCATTGCAGCCAGCATTTTTACTTTATCTTCATGTTTTCACAAATGATATCACCTCCTTGGGAAACTGTTAGTTAATACCTTACCTTTAGAAAAGGCATAGTAATCATAGCCGTCAGGTTTTCTGATGTTGGGCAGTGATATAGCTGAGGTAACCACATTTGGAAGTCCTCTCCACAGTATACTCACTTTAACTTCATTATGAAGGACACCTGTAAGTGGCATGTTTAATAAAAGATACCAGATTAAAAGGCAATGTACTATCTTGGAAAGAGCCAGACATCTGAGTTTTAATCTCAGTTTTAGCCCTCTGATGTAGAACTATTGAGGGTTATAGACTGGTATATAATGTTCTTGGTAAGAAGTACTTGATAAATAGTATTGGTTATAACTAACAAACCTGAACAAACTGCTTTACTTACCCACAAGGAAAAAGAAAGTATTGGTCTTTGGTTATTCACTAAGGCAAGTGGATGAGTTTTTCATCAGTAAGCTTAAATTATTAGGGCTGTTTGATCAGTATCCATATTTCATAAGCCTTACTGTATAAGAAACTGTATTACATCTACTTATGTTTAAGGATTTTTTTAACACAATAAAAATGTTACCTTTGTCTTGATAAGCCAGTCTGGCAGGTGAATATTGAATTCTGATGGTGTGTGTTTGAGAAGGTCCTATAGCACGTTCAAAGCGACGTCTCCTAACCTGTGTCGTTTCTCCATACACTGGATAATTTAGAGCAGGCCTTCTTCCAGGGCACTTCTGTACAGGTTCCTGTTTATAAATATACTGCTGAATGCTGCCACCTGTTATGTATTAGAATATCACATGGAAAATGAAAATTAATTTTAATACCCTCAGAAAAGGTGGAAAACAACTTTTACAATGTATAGGAAACAGTTTTGTTCTCATTTTTCATATAATATATTGATATTAATAATGGCTATTAGTCAAGGGTATTATAAAAATAATTATTAAACTGAAATACTTGTTGAATGAATAGATGCAGCAAATTACATAGTTATATATTTAATTTCAATTGAAAGTGACAAGTGCTCAGTTTGGCAGCACATATACTAAAACTGGAATGATACAGAGATTAGCATGGCCCTTGTGCAAGGATGACATGCACATTTGTGAAGCGAAAGTAAATGACATTCTATCAGTGACCTGAAAACTCAAATGAATTGTGACTTGCCTGTGAAGAAATGAAAATAAAAATTGAGGGCAATAAGAATACTACCCTCAATATTGATTTTTTTCACTGAAAATATTTGATTTCAGCCATTAAAGATATCTTTTGACAGTAAAGTCAATAATAAATGAAAATGCTGAGTGTAATTCTTTAAAAGTTTTGTAATCTTGTCAATTATGTAACACATACCTCTCTTGAAAAAATACACAGATTCAGGCCAGTTCTTATATTTAGCTGTTGAAAGCGCTGCCACTATTTGTCCAGTTAGTCCTCCAAATCCTTTGAAAATTGGTTTGGGGTACCCTGCATCTTTTATATCATTGGTAAAACGCCAGTACTGAGAATCCTGATAATTTAAAAGAGAAAATTATGTTATCAGCTTTGGGAAAAAAGATTTGGAACTCCTTTCTAGATTTAAGTATAGAGAGAACGTGTTAACTTGGTTAAACGGTTGAATTTTGACCATTACTGTTATCAAACTGTTGAATTATGATTAAATTTTGATGACAGAGTATTTAAAAGGACACATATTGGAGGTTAAGGCAATATATGTTGTAATAAATAATGCAGTTACAAATTATTATTAAATTTCTCTCACAAAGATATTTGTGTTACCTTAAAGAAGAAAGTTTTTCCTTCACAGTTGCACCTAGTAAAAACAGTATCAATGGGGGAAGGAATACCCCAAACTTCAGTAATTCTGCGAGCTGGAGATGGTGGACTGAATGGACTTAGCATCCAGAAATAATGACCTAAAATTTAAGGAAAGACATCAGCCTACAAGCTGAATGCTAAACCTATCACAAAAGAAACCAAAATGAAAAAAAATGTAGTTTTCTTATGCATTGTATGACTGGAAGTTTAGTCAGATACAAAAGGTAGTATTTGAACATTTCTGAGAGCAGGTATTTCCCAAGTCCGAAATTTAGCATAACCTTTGAGATACTTTAGTTTTCTAGTTTCTTTAGAAAGAGCCTATTGGTTGGGCCAGGTGCAGTGGCTCACACCTGTAATCCAGCACTTTGGGAGGTTAAGGCGGGTAGATGGCTTGGGCCCAGGAGTTTGAGACCAGCGTGGACACCATGACAAAACCCTGTCTCTACAAAAAAAAAAAAATACAAAAAAAAATACAAAAATTAGCCAGGCATGGTGGTGCACACCTGTAGTCCCAGCTACTCAGGTGGCTGAGATGGGAGGATCACTTGGGCCCAGGAGATCGAGCCTGCATTGAGCCGTAATTGCACCACTCTACTCCAGCCTGGGTGACAGAGGGAGATCCGGTCTCAAAAAAGCCTTTTGGCTTTGTGACTTACAGTCACTATCTCTTTAGATCTCAATTTCTTTATCTCTTAGAACTAAGGAATTATAATTTAATGACTAACATCTCTTTAGCCTCTACTGTACGAAAAGGAATTGCTTTCAGATTTAATCTAAATATGTTTCAAGACTGGACTAGCAGAGTACAGCAGAGAATTAACATGAAATAACTTTTCTTCTGTTACTCTCCGACAGAGAGTGTAACACTTGAACACATCACAATTGAGATGTTATTTTCAAATAAAGCAGTGAATATGCATGCTGGTGTCATTTCATTTGGTATGAAATTAAAATTTTATTTTATTTTTTAAATTTTAACTACCCCCCCCCCCCAAAAAAAATGAACTACTTTTTAAATCTTAACAGTAGGAAAAAACCTCAGTAGTATCAGTTCAGGGTCTTGGTTTTGTTTTGTTACTTTGTCTAATTTTCTTAATCCAATATTTCTGTTATTACTCTCGGATTCTCCTGTGAGGTGTGCTTATCAATCAGATTCCCCTCCAGAAAACAACCCAAACTAGCACTCTTCCACGGCTTTGGTTCTCATAAATGCCAAAACAGAATGATGAGAAGAAAAATAAATGTGTACATAGCTCACCTCGGAATGCAACTAATGTCCCATTGCGCAAAGTAGTCAGTCCATCTACTGGCTTACCATTGCATATATTGGTCTCATCTAAACAAATTAACAAAAACAAAACAAATATAGAACAGAATGAGAAAAGTCTGTATGTTCTTTTCAAGTCTTTCCACATGGTTCTATTTCCTGTTTACCTTTTCTAAGATCTTGAAGGACACAGTTTGACCTGTTTGCATAGTTATATACTTGATAATTCCATTTTACTTAAAGATGATACTCTTCAAAAGTATTATATGAAATA